>NC_000023.11:108712542-109337542 GCF_000001405.40 Homo sapiens
ATAAATCTCCCAGTCATTTCTGAGTGGTTCTGTGTGCTCATTAGGACACATTTTCAACATTCAGCTAGGCAGTTTTTAGCTCTGCCTTAGTCTTCACTCCTTGCTTATATAGAAGCCTCAAGATTAGGCAGTGATGAGAGATTTGGGCCTTCTCATGCCTCTCCTGAGCCTGTACATAGCCCTGGGCATTATCATATCACTACACCTGTACTTTTTCTTCTAGGTTCTTCAAACTATTTTATAACTTTTCAAAGTCTCCTATGGGCATCTCATTCTCCCTCCCATTTTCTTTTTCAGATTTTTAGTTAGCCTAATGTTTTCCCCAACTGTCATTCACCACCTCAGGCAGCTGCAATATTAAACAATTGCCACTGAGTGTTTTCAACAAATGCCCCCAAAGAAAATTTGTTTGCATGGGCAGAGCTCTGTGTCAGGGCAAATAATGACAAGCCTTGTGATTAGGGTGTCCACAGAATCACCAGACAGGTCAATAATGGCCGTTCTCTGGGAATGAAGCTTTCAAAATGCTCCAACCCTTTTCTGCTCCCTCCAGTGGCTACCAGGTGAGTGACTTTCATCATGATTATGATTGAGGGCTATTAGTTTACTAGGCTACTATAGAGCTTGGGGAGAGGGAGATGGGAATAGAGCAAGTTAAAATACTAGGAATCTCACTGTTCTTATTGAGATGCAGACATTTTTCTTAAATAAACACTCCCCAGATTGCTACAAGGCTTTTGTTAATTTTCAGAGTTCTTAAAGAGTTGATTCTGAAAATTTTTTCAGTGTTCTCTTTGCTTTTATGGAGAAATGAATTTTCAGAGTTTCTTAGAGCACCATTTCCACTAATGCCCTCATTTAAATAATAAGAAATAAATAATAAAAATAGTTTATATATAGTTTACATTTTCAATGCTCTTCATTTCTTTGTATAAATCTATATTTCCATGTTGTATTATTTTCCATGTATGAGAGAATTCCTTTGACATTTCTTTACTTTTTCTTTTTCTAAAAAAATTTTGTGAGTACATAGTAGATGTATATATTTATGGAGTATATAAGTTGTTTTGACACATGCGTGCAATACGAATTAAGTACATAATAAAGAATAGGGTATCCATTCCCACAAGCATTTATCCACTGAATTGCAAACAATCCAAGTACACTCTTTAAGTTCTCTAAAATGTACAGTTAAGTTATTATTGACTGTAGTCAGTAAATCAATTGACTACAGTCAATAATAAATCAATTGACTATAGTAGTGCTGTCAAATATTAGGTCTTTTCATTTTTTTTTAACTTTTTTATACTCATTAACCATCCCCACTCCCTCCTCCCCCAACCTTTCACTATCCTTCCCAGCCTCTGATAACCCTCATTCTACTCTCTATGTCCATGAGTTGAATTGTTTTGATTTTTAGATTCCACAAATAAGTGGAAACATGCTATGTTAGTCTTTCTGTCCCTGGCTTATTTCACTTAATGATTGCTAGTTCCATCCATGTTGTTGCAAATGACTGGATCTCATTCTTTTTATGGCTGAATAGTACTCCATTGTGTATATGTACCATATTTTCTTTATCCGTGCATTTGTTGATAGACACTTAGGTTGCTTCCAAATCTTAGCTATTGTAAACAGTGCTACAACAAACAGGAGTACAGAAATCTCTTTCATATACTGATTTCCTTTCTTTTGGGTACATACCCAGCAGTGCATATTTGCTGAATCATTTGGTAGTTCAATGTACAGTTTTTTGAGAAAACTCCAAATTGTTATAGTGGTTGCACTAATTTACATTTCCAACAAGAGTGTATGCGGTTTCTCTGTTCACATCTTCACCAGCATTTGACACTTCTTATGGAGCAGTCTGCTGGTAATGAATTCCTTCAGCTATTATAAGTCTGAAAAAATCTTTATTTTTGCCTTCAATTTCACTAGATATAGATTTCTAGTAAATAGTTTTTTAATCCTATCAGTACTTTAAATATGCTCTTCCAACATCTTCTTATGTGCATACTTTCTGGTGAGAAAGTTGTCATATTTATCTTTGTTCTTTCTACATTACATAATCATGCTGTGTCTTGGTGTACTTCTCTTCATATTTCTTGTACTTGGTATGCATTGAGACTCTTGGATATGTGGATTTATGCTTTCATTTAATTTGGAAAATTTTCACCTACTATTTCTCAAAACAGTTTTCTGCCCTTTTCCCCTTTGCTGTACAGACAGTATTCATGTATATCAAGACACTTGAAGTTGTTCCATATCTCACTGATGCTCTGTTGATTATTATTTTTTACTTCTATTTTTCTCTTTGTGTTTCATGTTGAATTTTCTATATTGCTATGACCTCAGGTAGACAAACTTTTTTCTTCTGCAGTGTATAATTTGCCATTAATCCTATTCAGTGTATATTTTAATCTCAGTAATTGTAGTCTTTGTCTCTAGTAGTTCTACTTGTTTCATTTACATAAATATATCTTCTCAGTCTCAACTTAACTTTTAATATATGGAATATGGTTATAATAACTGTTCTAGCGACCTTGTCTATTAACTCCATCCTCTTTGTCATTTCTGGATAGATTTACACATATTTTTCTCTCTAATATGGGTCATAATTTTCTGTTTCTTTGCATGTCTAGTAATTTTTTGATTTAATACTGGACATTGTGATCTTGTTGAATGCTGCGTATTTTTTTAATCTTCTTTTTTTTTTTTTTTTTTTTTTTTTTTTTTGAGACAGGGTTTTGCTCTTGTTGCCCAGGCTGGGATGCAGTTGCGTGATCTCGGCTCACTTCAACCTCCGCCTCCCGGGTTCAAGTGATTCTCCTGCCTCAGCCTCCTGATTAGCTGGGATTACAGCCATGTGCCACCATGCCCTGCCAATTTTTGTATTTTTAGTAGAGGCAGGGTTTCACCCTTTTGGCCAGGCTGGTCTTGAACTCCTGACCTCAGGTGATCCATCTGCCTAGGCCTTCCAAAGTGCTGGGATTACAGGCATGAGCCACCACGCCCTGCCTGTGTTTTTTTTAATCTTAAAAATACTTTTAGCTTTGTTCTGAAACAGTTAAATTACTTGGAAACTGTTTGTTCCTTTCAGTTCTTGCTAGTAATATTTTTTTTAGCTAAGTCTGGAGCAATGCTCAGTCTAGGATCAACTTTTCCCCATTACTGGGGCAAGACCCTTCTGTGTACTTTTGTGTAACATTCCATGAATCCTGAATTTTGCTATTCTGGCTAATGGGAATACGTCTTATTGCTGAGCATGTGTGAATGTCAACCACTGTTACCTCTACTTCTTTCAGGTTGTTCTTTCTTTGGCCTCAGATAATTTCATTGTATGAGTGAGATGATCAGTAGTCTGATGAATACTCAAGGAGGACCCTCCCTCTGCAGATCTCTGGAGTTCTTTGTGTGTGTGTGTGTGTGTGTGTGTGTGTGAATCTCTCTCCTCTCTTATTCCTTATCCCATGAATTATAGCCACCTTCTTCTCCTTGGACCCTGAGCTCCATCTCTTCAATTTAGGAAGTCTACTTGGGTTCCCCCACTCTACCCCATGGCCTAAAATCGCTCTCAAATCAGTAAGCCCAGGCAATTGTAGGGTTCACCAAGTTTGTCATCTCTTAGGGATCCCTGTCTTTTATTGCCTGATTCAAGTGTCATTAAAACAAAAACAAAAACAAAAAAAACCCTTGTTTCATATTTTGGGTGTTTTGGGGATTTTTCAGGTGGGATGGTAAAACTGATCTATCTTGGCCAGAAGCTGAAGTGTTCCTAAAGTTTTTTAGTCCTCATTACTTCCAATGCCTTGGTGCCAGGGCAGGGTATATATTCACTACAACAACAGGTCAAAATTCTTCGAGAAGATTTTGTTTACTATGTGGCACATAGGCTTTCAGTGTAGGGTCATCTGTTGTGTCTCTTGCAATATGAATACTTGTATTAAGATGGCCTAATCTTTTGTCTCAGTTGTGTCTCAGTTTTCTCTCAACTGGAACTTCAGTTAACATGTGTTTTTATTTAATTCTAGCAGGATAGGGTTTTACTTTTCCTATCATAAGTGAGGAAAGTGGAAAATGGTTTTAAAGTCTTGGAATTCACAGAAAGAAGTCCTGTGAACACATGTGAAATTAAGCCATTTCTTGTTGAAGGTAGGGAGAATCATAACAGGGAGGGAGAGGAGACAATATTCCTTTTAAATCCTATATGGCAAACTTTCATTTTCCATGACTACTATGAGTCAGAAAACTGTAGTTTAAGAAGAAATCTTTCCATCCCATTCCCCTGCAAGCCCTTTTATTAGGACTTTAATAGCTAGGAAAGATGATTAAAATAACTTCTCCAAGGGAGAGAAGTAAATGAACAGAGACATAGTTGAAGACTAATAGGGATTGGTCTATACTATATCTAAGATTCCTTGCAATTCTAAACCCAATTCCAGAATATCCACTCTATACACAGTCAACTATCATTTTCTAAAGTGTTATGGAGTCAAACTAGACTGTTTCAAGACTAAATGTTGACCAAGTGTCATTGTCACACATCCACAAAAAGACATGGTAGTCTTTCAAAAAAGTTTTTTTCAAGTATCTATATCACACATGAGTTTTATCTACTGTAATTAAAGTAATATATTTAGCTATAATTCTAAGCACTAAGCACCACCACCAATATCTCCTGTGTTCCTGGAATGAGCATAACCTTAATATAAAGAGGGGGAAAACAGAATGAAAAACAAGGTTAGAAAGATAGTCCCTAGCTTCTTGTGAGAAAGTTAAAACAACTATAACAAAAGTCTGAGCATGGATATATTTTAAATGGCCTACATACTTTTAATTCCTTGAAAATAATGCAGAAAATCCAAAAATGTTGAAAACGTTCTTGGGGATTACAAGTATGGAAATACAGAATGAATTGCAAACTTCACATTTTTTTTTCTGTAGATATTTAAGAATCTGTTTTCCAATTCAATATTTCCTTGCTCCTTTTGTTATTGAAATGCTAATTCAGATTTTTGCCAGTGAAATAGAAGATCCTATAATGGATATTCTGAGATTGAAAAGTGAAGGAGGGTATTGCTTCTAGTTCAGTTCTATGGACCCAAATATTTAATATTAAGTAAAATCAATGGTCTCTTCCTAAATTCTCAGGACTTTATTCTAAATAAGCTTTCCCCATTTACATAGAATGGCACTGATGTTGCTGAGAAATTCCAATGTAGCATGCAACAGTGGTTCCTAATTGCTTTAGCATTTATCATGCACAAGAGACAGGAGGGAAGTTGTCTCATTTTGTATAGCTCAGTTGCATTTCTTATCTCTGAAGTACATTTAAGCAGCAAACTGGGACTTAAGGTAGCTGCCTGAAAACCAGCGTCCATTAACATGCATATCTTGCGGGGTTGGCGGGGGATGAATTGGGTTTTCTAAAGCAGAATACAGTTCCATCTCATTCTGTGCATTAATTTTACATAATTTCTCTTTTACACATTTTATAAATTAAGGACCATGATCTGACTTACCCATACAAATTCTCATGCTCACATTTTCCAGGTTGTGCCTCTTGTCTGCTTTGTTTTCAAAACATTTATTTTATTTTTCCTTTTCGTCCCACACTATGCTGATGTAAGTTTTCAAAACATTATGAAAAAGCATCTTGGTGCATTTCCAAGATGCTCTTTGGGCTCAATTAGTACCTGGTAATATTCTTCCAAGTAGTCATGGGAGGTGTTTAACTACTGTGCACTTACGCATCTTTTACCTGACAAGTCTTATGAACAGGTTTTATGTTATAAAGAAACAGTACTACTTCACATTCTACAGCAAACATTTGGTTAGCATGTATGAGTCTAGGAGAGTGGGGAAGCTGAAGTTCTGCTTATGCACTCTTGAATGTGATCCTTCCTGCCAGTGAGTTCTGATGATTTGTCTAAGCAGCAACAGACTATGGTTACTGTTTCAGGAATTCAAGTCCCATTAAGATGTAAACCCCCAAAGGGGTATACAAAATCAGATGGACTGAGAAGCACAGGTGTACCTATTTGTCTTTGAGGGGCTGTTTGGATGAATAAAGTATATTTGGACTATGCCCTGGCAAATATAGATTGCCCCCTTGAAGTGAGGATTAAAGTTTATGTATATATACATATGTATATATAGGTATGTAAATATATACTGATCCTAAAATGGTCTCTGCTGTAGACAGTTTCTAACAGTTTCTAATATAAAGGCAGTCTAATTACACCTTCCTATTGTGATGTAGATATTGTTTTACAAAATCCCCCCTAGGTGCATCAAGTGAAGTGAAGCTGTACAATCAACTTAATTGTCTGTATATAGACAATCCATGTACCTTGTAGATTTTTGCACACCATTCGTGACTTGCTTTCCTATCCTGTGGCCCATGTGATCCCACAGATGCCTTCTTTGGACAGGCACTGGTCTCTAAGTCTTACTCTTACCGCCCTTCTGCGTGGCAAGGGTGATTTGGTAAAGAAAGAATCAGGAGTAGGGGCCAATTATTTTTCTAGAGTTCTTTTAAACTTTTGGTTTCCAATAAGGCAGGCATTATAATTTGCTAACAAATTATTGATATTCAACCCATCTATCCTATATTCCATCAGTGCAAGCATACTTTCTTGTCTGTGATGAGTATATTTTCCATGTACTCACAGTTGCCTTCCTAGTGGTTAAAAATAAGAAAATGAAAAGGGAGTCATTTAGGCCGGGCACGGTGGCTCATGCCTGTAATCCCAGCACTTTGGGAGGCTGAGGCGGGTGGATCACCTGAGGTCAGGAGTTTGAGACCGGCCTGGCCAACATGGAGAAACCCCGTCTTTACTAAAAACACAAAATTAGCTGGACGTGGTGGCTCATGCCTGTAATCCCAGCTACTTGAGAGGCTGAGGCAGGAGAATCGCTTGAACCTGGGAGGCGGAGGTTGCGGTGAGCCGAGATCGCACCATTGCACTCCAGCCTAGGCAACAAGAGTGAAACTCCGTCTCAAAAAAAACAAAAAAAAAAAAAAAGAGTAATTTAAAGAGCAAGATTAAGTGTCAAGGGAAGGAGACAGAAAAAAAAAAAGTAAATGATCACCTCAACCTCCTTGAGTAGTTGCTTCAATATAGGATTCACTCATTATCCAAGGTCTGCATGAAATTTTAGGTAAGTCATTTTATAAATTGTTCTACACTAGTATCACCTCTACATTTGAAAAATCAAGAGTTGACTTTATTGACTCTATTGAAAAGCCTCATGTTTCTAGGCAAAGTACCTTTAGCCCAAACCCTAAAATACCCCATTTGTTTCATTCTGAAAAATGCAGTCAATCCTACTACAAAGCAGGAAAATATATTTATAATAAAGTAGAGACAATAGTATTAAAAAATGAATCTCTACAGGAATAATTTACATGAACACATTTATTGTGAGTAGCTGTATGGAAAGGCAAGTCAGATATATATAGATATACATATATATATAAACACTATACAGAGTTGCAAAGTCGTCTCCCAAAACTGCAAACGAGATGTTTACAAGGAAAAGAAAGTACAAGAGTATTTACAAAGGAAGACAAAGCCAAAGCAACTCAAAGCATATCTGTGAAGCAGAAATAGCAGATGTAATTAGCTGGTGGAACTGTAAAGTTTCAGTTTTTAACGACCAAGTGACTATGCCTGATATCAAATTAAATGTAGAGGTCACACACACAAAAATATTCCATCATTGTTTTTTCTTAGCAGCATGAACTGATAGCTGGAAGGTAAGTGATAAGTTGGTAAACATATTCCACAAAGATTCTTCCAGCACAATACTGAATAAATTAATTGTCTGTAAACTAATAAATAATGAGAACAAGATTGCATTTGTTATGCAGTACCTGTGACTATGTGTACCTGTTACTATTTGTATAATACGTACTACTGTGTATGAGGTTTCTCATTCATTTATTCAGCAACTGTTACATCTGTGCTGTACCCTCTGTACCCTGTCTGCTGGCAGCTTCTGAACCTAATATGCAAATAAAGTGATACAGTATTTTCCCCCAAGTAATCTTTTTTCCCACAATTCTGAACAATTATTACTTAACTTACTTGAAAAAATAAAATGGTGACAGAAGGCTTGAAAAAAAGTTGCCTAAAGAGCGCGTTGTTATAATGAACAAAAGCCACACTGCGTTATTTGATTAGGTTGGAAAAAGAGAAGAGTCTGAAGGAACTGATAAAGTTGATGCCCTAGCAGTGACCAGTAACTGGAACAATGACTGATCTCATAGCCACGTCCTCTCCTCAGCACAATTTACAAGAGGGAAAAAAGAGCCCACCATCCCTTTGGTTGGTAGGCAAGGAAAAATAGAAGTCAACTCGGTTCTTTGGAAAAGTTAGTTTAGCAACACGTACTATAAGCTTGCTTGAAGATAGAAGTACACGTTCAAAGACATTAAAACCAAGTAGTGAAAACCTTTAGATAAATATTACACTACTTCAAAGTTGCACATTAAATGCGAAGCAAATTTCATTTTAACAGAGTTTACACACAACAGGTACATCTACAATCACATGTACACAGGTACACAAAGTGTGCATACACACGAATATGTACACACACACACTAGTGCTCACACACATACAAACACACCCAACTGTGATATGATGAGGTTTGCCAATGATGGTACAGCAAGCCAAGATTTGTGTGCCACCACGGAACAAAGCTCTAAGCAAGCTTCAAGACCTTTGTACCTATTCTCTGTGGTCACCACCTTGCTAGTGTCACGTTCTCAAAGGTCCAGGTACCTAAAATCTTAATTCAGTTTACATCAGAGGCAAGCAAAAATAGAACGGGGGGGAGCTTGCTCTGATTTTTTTTTTTAATTTGGTACATCTTATATTGGCTCAATATCCAGAAGGAAACAAGGCCTTATAAGAGGTTCTTTTTGGCTTAAGTTTTTGTCAGAATATTGATTGATAAGTAAACACTAATTTCTTGAATATGGGAAATTGATCTCTTTATAGTAGCCATGGGCATAAGAGGAAGAGTGTGCATTGGGGAAAATGGAGAAAGAATAAGAAAAAGTAGAATAGAGGTTGAAAGTGGGGAGAGGCCCAGAGAAGCAGGGAGGGGCCTTGGGAAGAGACTTTTGAAGAGCTTTGTTTCTTTTAGGAGGTAAATGTAGGTTTCACAATAAATGAAAAATAATAGGTTTGGAAATACTCAATCGATTTTCAGGCAGAACATCACAGTGTTGTATGTGAACAAATAGCTGTTTCTCAGTTCTGCCTTTAAAATGTTGGAAATGCTCAATCAAGATATTAGTTTCATTGACATATAACATGAGCAGAATGTTGCAGTTTTGCTAATGAGCAAAACTTGAAATAATCTGCCCTTTAGTCCTGCCTTTAAAATACTGGTAATGCCCCATCAAGATATCAGTTCAGTTGACATTTAATTCATTGATCAAGAAATGTTTTGTGTGTGTAATACTCGGAAAAAAGATTCCAGATCATACCTTCCTTCCAATTATGACAGCTGTTTTTTCTTTATGTGCCCTGGTTTAAAGTTTTTCAACTTCAAAATTGAATCTAAATATTTTACATTATTAAAATTGGCATTGACCAAATTTATATGTATTCTAAGTTACTTTTTTTTAAAGAGGGAAAGAGTTATGAGATGCTCACTTGTATAGTATCTGTTTCCTTTCAAAGGGACAGACTGGGGAGGAAAACCAGAAAACAAAAAACAAAGCACAGTGTAAATATTGTTAATTAGAAATCACTGGATCCATAAGCAGCAGTATGAATGATCTGCATGAATAGGATCATTCAATTGCCAGAGTCCACTTGTAGGCTTGTAGAAATTTGGGTTGCTTTCTACTCAGAAGCCTCTGAGTTTTCTTTCCTTTAGGCAGATCTGGAGTAGACGAAGATAAAATTCCATAAGCATCACTTTTCTTCTAAAATGTGTTTTTGTGGCAATATAATCACTCTAGGAAAAAGATAATAAAACAAAAGTTACTTGCAGAATTAATGTGGAGAGCTGTCACCCCCACCCTGTTTTAAAACAAAACAACACAAAACAAAACAAAATCTAACTAGAAGTTTTTGAGAGATATACAGAGGAGACTGCCTGGGCATGGACATGGTTAATCAACTCTGCTGGCTGCCTGTGAGGAATATCAGCTGGGCAAAGACACAAGGGCAGTTATTCTTCTTGCCCCCAGGCTGTCACTGACATTTCTGGTGGACAGCATCTTTGCACGTGCGTGCACTGTTCTACTTTCTTCCAGTGGAGCCCAAGAGTGAGCCAGGCATTGTGCAGAGAAACAGATTTTTTTCTTCTTCTTCTACATGTTTGACTCTGCCTTCACCAGGTTATGTGGCACAAGTCATAGGATTTAAGTACAGCATTGGTGATGGTCTCTAGACTCAATCATTGAATTTCTTCTAATAGAACAAAGTCATACCTGCAAAGGAGACTTGAAATTCCCATCTGTTTAATAAAAGAAAAAAGTTCCAGCATTATTCTCTTGGCTTTCTGCTTTTGAGTGGGTGCATAATGGGGAGTGTGGCAGGGGGTGATCAGATACATAGAAGAAGGTGCTGGACCAGAGAAGGGATAGGAATAAATGATCAGCAAATTGATTATGGGATGCCAGTGTTACCTTAAGATCAGGTCACCACAAAGTACCAAGTATTCTATTTTATTTGAGACATCTTAAAAGAATCCATGGAAAACATCCCCCAGAGTGGGCTTCAAGTACAAGATTGTCTATTAAACTGGAAATATACATTTTAAGTATTCATTTTCTCATCAAAGGTTTTACAATTTTTTTAAAGAGATGAGGTCTCACTATGCTGCCCAGGGTGAAGAGCAGTGGCATCATTATGGCTCACTGCAGCCCCACCCAGACTCCTGGGCTCAAGGATTTTTAAAATGTAACAAATTTGCAGCTGGATGAAGCACTGAGTGGGAACAGTACATTTCCCTCTTACTAGTTGTGTCTCTTCATTAAGATTCAATGTATAGGTTTGTTCTTGTAGATTAGAAGTTTAAAAAAATGCTAGCCATGGTGGCTCATGCCTATAATCCCAGCACTTTGGGAGGCCAAGGCAGGTGGATCCCTTGAGGCCAGGATTTCAAGAACAGCCTGGGCAACATGGTGAAACCCTGTCGCGCAACTACACTCTAGCCTGGGTGACAGAGTGAGACCCTGTCTCAAAAAAATGCCATAGATTAGTAAAGGTATTAAGCTTTCCTGTCAGCAGTGGGTTTAGGAAATTTTACATTTTATGTATCTAGTTCTACACAGGAAGAAAGGAGTCTGTGATAACCACAGTTAACTGTGAGACTGCATATTAGTAACTGTTAATTCGCTGCAAAATTAGGCTAGACCAGTACCAGTATTACAGTGTTATCAGATATCAGCTACATTTTAAAATAGATATTTAAGGTTAGGAAGGTATTTCACCTAGTTTAGTTTACTATTTTGTTTTAATACCAAAAATATTTTCATATGTCCATATATAGCACATTGCATGTGCTTTAAAAGGGACTTCTTGCTGTCTTATATGATACACTGGATTTCATATATATTTTCCCAGAAACCTGCAAATTAAGCTCCATATAACTACCCTATTGGCATTATACTAAGATTAGGAACATTTGCTTTTATTGGAGTTGTTTTTCTTTCTCTTTCCTTTTTTTAAATGACAGAGCCTCTACTAAAATTTGATTCATATTGCCATTGCTTTCCTATAACACCTACACCAGCATTAAGTGAATGTTTGGTAACTTAATAAAAAGTGACAAATAATTGTGTAATTTCATGTTTACTTCACAAAATACATTTGTCAATTCTTGATTAACTATGCTAGTAGAAAGGAATAATGTTATCCCAAACAGGATAATCCCAAAATAATTTAACTTGCTTTTGAAATGCATTATGGGAACTTGAGCCACAGATTTGCCTTTATAATCCTATTTTACTTAGGCCAATATTAAAATGAGTTTACATTCCCGGGGCACATTCCAAAGAACAGCGTAAGGAAGCAACTCAGAAGCTTGCTGGGTGGCAAAGGAAAGCAATTCGAGATTAAAACTTGGTTGTGAACAGTCTGCAAAATGAATATTAAAGGGCTAAAAGTCATACCTTAGATTTGTCTCCCGTTCATTTTTATGTGATTTCACCATCAGCAAGGTAAATGGTGATGCTTGTAATAATGTGGTCTGTTTTGGATGTATTATTCCCATTTGATACTGACAGGTTATAAATACTTACCTTATTGTATATTCTTATTTTCCCAATTAATCAAAGGTCTTTTAAACAACAAGTTAATTTCACCCTTTTTAATGGGTGGTATACTCTTCAGGTAATTTTTCTCTGTAATATAGAAAACCTCAGTGGACTCTGATGAGTCAAAATATTTCCCTACTCCTCCTACCAAAATCTGGCAGGGAACTTTTTTTTCTCAAAAACAAATGAAGTAAACTTTTCTGTTTCGAGTTATATAATGATATAAACCTGAACATTAATCTTTAATACGCTAATAATGCACAGATGACTTCAATATCCCTGGAAATTTGTAGGGTGAGCCAAGTAGGCAGTTCCTCCAGGGTATTTCAGACCTCTTTATATGAATCATAAATATGCCTCTATTACATTTTGAAGTCCGAAACAGCAGTATTTCCTCTGCTCAGAGAAAGGTGAACCTATAACAATATATTGTTATTCTCTCATTCTCTTTTCCCTTTCTGCAAACTTATTGTCTTAGTTATCTTTTCAGCTCCAATTTTCCTGGAGCTCAAAAATGTTTTTCAAGGGTTTTTGCAAATTCCTCACTCTGTTCATTTGACAACATGCTATCCCTGCACCCCTGTGATCAACTGGAGCTCACATAAGCAGGGGCAACCAAGTAAAGCACCAAAAAAAAAAAAAAAAAGGGAAGCAAAGAAAGATATGTTGAAGCATACATGCCAAAGATGAATGTATAATAATGCAATTATATTAGTTAGCTTAGCATTGTCTCTGGAGTATATGTAGGTTTTTTTGTTTTTTCTCAATAAGAAAGGATCATCATACTTTTCTGTGCCCTGTGATTGTAGAGGAGGATGACTCTCTAGGACTTGATAAAATTAAGTGCTATTGCTCAAGGCTAAAAACTAGTAATAATCGCTGCTAGTCTTTACAACACCAATTATACCAGACTATTATCTCCTTCATAGATCGGATGATAAAATACCTTTGTTCCCACAATGGCAATAGTTTTGGGACAGAATGCTCAAAAGAATCTGTAAGGGAAATGTATGACACTTGTAAACCCCCATCTCCTCAAAGGTCAGCTCAATCGTTTTACACCTGCCCTTTGTTAGCAGGCCCTGGGCCACTTATGCATGTGCATTCCAGTCTTGAGTATCTGGATACAAACTCTATGGAGATCAGCTACAGGATTTTCATGGTAGGTCAGCTTCTCCACTACTTCCCAACACACACATGGGCCACTTCACTCTGCTGCCTAGTTACTGCCAACTTAAAGAATGCAAGTTACTAGAATTCTAATATAGGCAGTTTCAAATTTACAAAACAGACATATTCCAAGGTCATTGTTTAGTTGAAACTCAGAATAAATTATCTTGTAGAAACAATGTCATAAATTAATGGTGGATAGGTTTATAGCTTTGTCTAGATATGCCTATATTTAACCTATGCAACTCCTGAACTAACAGAGAACTATTTTGACTATACCCAGTCATCATTTCTGAGGGAAGATGTATGTGAAGTTTCAGTTTGAGACTCCAGGAATATATGTCTTCCAGCCATGGCAATAGGAATTGTGTCCCCCATACTCAACCAGTTGGAAGAGTCGGAGGCAGGGTGACAGCCGAAGGGAAACTATGGTAAAAGCTGCAGCAACAATAAGGACTTCATCATGGAGGTGGGTGGGGGCACAGGACTCTGAGTGCGAGGACAAGGTTGGTAAGCTTTCAAGACTGGAGGCATAAAACTTTAAAAAGCAAGAGTAAAAAATCACATTTGCTGGTCAGACTTTCAAGGGCCCCATGGATACACATGTGAGCAATTTTCAAGATTAATTGTGAGATGGAAACTTCACTGTTATTCTAAGTTTCAAGTCTATAAGTAGGAAATTATTAATCATAGGAGAAAAATTATATAAATTGTCAAAACTAGCTAAAGTGACTACAATATATAGGGAATTAGATATTCGGTAAATCCAGAAGGTGTGGCTGGCATCAAACATATTGTGATCAATCCAACCATGAAAATAGCTTTAAACACCGGCCCAGCTGCTTCTGTGCCAAGTGACAGTAGGGCAGGCAGCACAGCCTTGGATCTGTACAACAAGGATCCCTACAAGGAAGGTTGCCTCTGCAAGCTAAGTGCAAGAAGGCTGTGTACTGGGAGTGATCAACATCTGGCGAAGCCCTCTATGGGCCCTGCAGGACTCCCACAGTGGCCCTCACCTTTTCAGCCAGAGAGAGACCAGGAAAGGGCATGTTTGCCTGAATTCAAGGGCACAAGTTTGGCAAAGGGCACATGAGGGTAAGACTCACAGAACACAACCAATGCAACCCTAACCAATAAGAAAGAGGTATCAGGAAGCTAAGAGAAAATAGCAGTAACTTTCTCATTTCACTTAATAAGTATTTAAGTACATGTTTTCCATTCTAAAAGAAATTAATTATTCAGCCAGAAGTTGAAAGGTACCCTCTAAAAATGCATATCTAAAACAGTATATAATTTACACTAGAAACATCTTTAAACATTCCTATTTCTCAAGTGTTGAGTCTATTTTTCCAAAATAAGGTGGAAATGTGAGACCTGTAGCTACATTACCAATAATCAATGCAGAATTGCTGGAGAATATATTTTAAGTTCATATGGCAAGCACATTTTTCTTGGCAATTTTATCAATAGCTTTAAAATCAGCAATCCAATGATTGTGGCAAAAACTCAGTGCTTTGTGATGTATTTATTTCATTATTATAAAAAGCAGTGTCTTAAATTTCTCATTTCTCATTCAAGACCAAGCAACGTTTTCTAGTAAATGATCCTCACTATCTAAGAGTCTGGCAGCACCTCTTAGAGAAAATATACTGAAAGTTTTAATTAAGCATTTTACAAAAGCTATTTTCCAATACTGCCAATAAAACGTCTGGGCTATTTTTATATACTCTTAAAGCCTTAAAAAAGGTGCTAAATCAAAATGAACTTAATTGTAAACAGGGATTTCTATGTCCCAAGGAGAGAGTTTGATTTTCAAGGCTTCTAAAATCTACTTGCCTGACTGCCAAAAGCAAGTTCACTTTTTAAACAAATGAAGAACGTCTATTGCTACACTGCTTATTCTTCCACCTGTCTTACTTTATCCTGTTTTGCCTACTGTGCTGATTTAGATCAGAATACCAAATTTTATAATGAAGGAAGAAATTAAATGAAAAGACTTTTTGCTATAACTCCCAAATGTCAATGAATTATTAGGAAAATCAAAGAAATCTAACTTCAGTTAAAGAAATGACCATTAATGGAAATTTACTGAATGCACCCTCAATTCACTTTCTTTCCTTTCAATGTTTCTGTGGGATCTAAATAGATACATACACTATTTGTGTTTGGGCAGTGAAGATTAACCAACTCCTCCCTATATCAGATTTAAAACATTCAATTCCAGCACAAGTCAAATTCTTTTATTCTAAGAGCCAGGGCAAACAGTTCAATGTAATAAAATTACCCAGGTCCTGGAAGATAGTCCACAGTTATAATGCTCTGAATGAATTACTTACAACAAAATTTGCTACTATCAAGTGAAAGCAAACTTGTAATTTTTTCCTAATCATTAACCATGTAATAATCTGTCACCAGTGGGAAAATAACAGACTAAACACCTGATTAAAGGGAGGTGTCATGTGTTGGGTGGAGTGCTGGACTTGAAATCAGATGTATGAGTTAGATTTTCAGCTCTGCCACTTACCTTTTTGATCTTGGGAAAATTCTCAACATGGGCTTCATTTCCAGTACTTACCATCCATCAGTAAAATAATGAATGTGAATGTGCTTTGCAAACTATAAGGCAATCTGCAACTGGAAAGCATTTCCTCAATCAACAATTTGACAATTTAACAATAGACCCTTTTAAATCACATAAACTATTCCTTAGTTCTCCCTACACTCGTCAGCCACATCTATTCCCACAGGAATTATTTTTTTGTCACTCTGAGAAGCCTAAGTTTGTTCCCAAAACAGGGGATTAGGGAGAGAAAAAGAAAGTAAGAGATCTCGTTCGAATTTTTATACATGTGTGACATTCTGGTGTGCTTAATTAAAGTTCTGGTCCTTGTTTAAGGTAAGTATTTTGCTAGTAGTTGAAATTTTTACCCTGAAAACATCACTCTTAAAATAGAATGAATGCAAATGAATAATGATTGTGAACAACTTTAGTTAACTTTAATTAAGTGAAGTCCTCTTTAATTGTTAGAGGACAAATACCTCATTAGTCCAAACACTGTCCAATTTTGAGGTGTTGAATATTACCTAAAATAAATGATCCGTCAATGGTAGCTGGGAAATTTCTGCTATATGGAAATTTTTATAATAATTAACTTCAATGGAATAAAAACAATGTGCTCTTAGTGCCTATAACTGATAGCAACAAGTTTGGCAGTAGTACACTCAAAAGAAGCATGATTCCTTCATGGTGATAACAGTGTCTAACACTGAAAAATTAATTACTAAAGTTTTTTTTTTTTGCTTTTTAATACCAAGTGCCATCATAACATTACTAATTTGGCTGACCGATTCTCTCACCCCTCCTAGAGCTGCCCTTTTATATCCTCCCATCTCTTGAATAAAAAAACCAGGAAAATGTTCACCTCAAGTCATTTTGAACTATGAATTGTACATCAGGTAAGGTAGAAAAAGAAGCAAATAGTCATACATAGGTTAACAGTCAAACTAAACTGCATAAGAAACAACATTCTTCTCCTAAATGCTAATGCCTATAACCTATGTGTTTAAAATGTGAAGACTTCATCTTTAATAAATGATTAAAAATTATTTCATTTATTAATACAGTCATGTCTAAGGTTATACTTCTGGGTGTTTCTTTCTAATCGACTTGAGTAAATTCCTTTACTGTACTTACTTATACGCAATGTGACTGTAGGTAAATGGAATTACATATTAATTTTGTGTTACATGAGAACAGCTGTCTCACAGATTTATAATCTCACTTCACTTAAATGGTAATCTATAAACATGCCAACTGAACAATAATGTAAAGTATTTTAAATGCAAGTAAAGACTAACTGAAAAGTGAGATTTTCAGATGGAGAATCTTAATTTAGGTTTGTTTTTCTAAATGTAATAATAACAGTAGCAACAATAACAATGGCAATAACTGTAAAATAATTCATGTATAGTACTTACTATATGCCAGGCACTGTTCTAAGCACCTGCCATCAATTAAAATGACTTTTTGAAATACATAACTTCTAATAAAGATGGTATTTGTTCCTCTGTCAAAGCATTATGTTTTTGTTTCCTAACGTGATTGTTTTTGTTTTAATGTTAGATAGGAAAATAGAGATCAGAAATGAGTGAAAATTATTCTACAGCTTTACAATAAAAAAGGATCAGAATCATTCAGCTTGTTCTTAACACTTCACAGACAACATTCTACCATACAATTTACATTAAAATGCTAACCAAAGTCATTTCCTACAATGGGTTGTTTCACCACCATCAACACCACCACCACCACCACCACCACCCCCACCCCCGCACCCCCCCGCCGGCAATCCCCACCATTCCTTTCATGTATTTCAGCAAATTATGTGCAGGAATCACCCTCAAGATCAATTATTTTGCAAGAAACTGAATCAGTTTAAACTGCCGAAATTTCACTTCAGTATTAATCCAATGACACTAAAAATATCTTACATTTGTAAAGTGCTTTAACATTCCAAAGTGCTTCCACGTTGATTCTCTTATTTCAACCTAAGCGCCTGCCTCCCTGTGAGATAGAGCTTCCTTGCTAAAGTCACTCAATAAAGCTAGGAATTTCCTCAATAAACAATGCATTTACAGAATGTTAAATCTCCAAAATAGCTACAAAGTCATAAATCAGGAATTTATGCTAAAATAATGATCATTGTGTCTAGGTATTCCTTGGGAAGTCAGAATTTATTCAAGGAACAGTAAGATTTCACTATTTAAATCTTAAACTTCTTAAAATAAACCTCTATGAAAACTGGTCCTTTTGAAAGTACTACAGGGACACAGGCAACTGTGTATCATCTACATCAAAATTATAAATGGTGTCTTCAATAGTTAGACTCAAACAATAGATTGAGATCAATTTTCAGGTATATTCTACAGAATAAAGTAGATCTACTCTTGAAAATCTTATTATGGATTAAAGACTTGGAAATGAAATTATATATTTTAAACGTATGATTATGGTAGCAGTGGTGATCATGTGTGTTTGTGTGTGTGTGTATGTGTGTGTGTTGGGGAGGGAACTCACAGTTTAAAAGAGGTCTGAATTGAATCCTTTGGCAAGCCAAAGCATCCTTTTGTTGTTTTAATGATCACTCTTTAATGTGTCCACGCTGCAAATGTGAGTTTGTGTATGGCAAGTTTTCTATAGCAGGGAGAAAAAGGGGATGTGGGGGGGCTACACCTGCATTAAATAGGGAGCTTGTTAGGTGACTGTTGTGATCAGTGCCCGACTTGTTCTGCCTGATCAAGCACAGTGGGCAGAGATCCAATCACAAAAGCATTCCACAAAGCAAGCAAAGCAAAAATCTTCACTAAACTGACTACTGGAATGAAAACTGCTGGGGTCCATCCCTTCCCTTCACTGGGAAAGAAGCATATTCTACTTAAGAGGCAAGGTAGTTGAGACTATGGAGACATCATCCTCTGCAATCATCTCTTGAAAATGTTTCAAGACACACTGATGACAACATTCCACAATGTTGTACACAGTAGAATTACTCTAAGTCTTGTTTCCAAGTCTGACAGCTCCTACTCTTCCTTACTTCTTCCTTTGGAAAAGTAGCCCTTTAAAAACTTCCACCATTCCAGGGTAAGCTGCCCCTGGAGTCAGGTCTTCCTCCAGCCTTATCTTGCTTTCCTTGATTTCCCATAAGATATATGAATTAAATGTTTTAACTGCTTTTTAAACCTTTGAAATAATATTCATATCCATTCTCAAGTTGTCACCACACCCTCTTTTAGAAGGGTGGGGGGTTAAAAGAAGAAAATGAGGCACAGCAAATGTGACTTGCCTGTCATTACTAGTGACAGAGAAAAGGAACACTCAAGGTTTCTGGAATTTATCCTGTGTAAAAACAAAAAGAAAATCAACACACAAACACATTCCAGAGCCAAATACTGTCTTCTTTTAATCACCTCCTGTTTTGGATTATTTATGTTTTGTTCCCCCCAGACATTCACGTTAACAATTGAGATTTAACTTTCTTGGTAAATCACAGCAAACTAGCACAACAACGACTGCTCTTTAAAAAGTAACTTTCAGAGGAGAAAATTATCCTCCCTAAACATAAATAGTTGATTATTACTGCTTAATAGTCTGTGCTCTTATTAAATTCCTACACTTAAATATGGGCATTTGCAGAAAAGCAGCTTTTAATTGTTGATTTGAAAATTAGTTGGTGGAACCCAATTTACGATATCCTGCTTTACATTATCATTAAATGATGGGGAAGGATGTTTAAAAGTATCCTTATGCTTTTTATGTCTGCGTTTTAACTACTCCTAAAAAAGTAGAACCAGTGTTTAAATGATAATCAGTTCTGTCCAGATAAAGAAATTGATTAGATAAAAACAAATTTTTGCAAAGATCAAAAAGGCATTTGTGAATAATTAAAACTGAATTCTATACTCCATGTCGAATAGCACCAGTTAATGAAATAGTATCCCTAACACTGTAGACTGTAGCGCATCGAATCATTAGACAATGACCATTCACTTTAGGGAAATTAATTCTAAAATTACCGACCTCTTTTGGGAGAGTCGAACTGATTATCACGTCTGGCAAAATCCATTCTCACGTGAGTGTCGTCGTCGTTGTCAGAATCTTCTCTCTCCGGGGGTCTTGGCACCCGGCGACTGCGAGGTGGTGGTTCCGGAGCGGCAGCTGCAGCGGCAGCCCCGCCAGCCTGGTTATCACCTCTGGCAAGGTTTGCAGATGGGTTGTGGGCTCCAGGGTTCGAGCCACCGGCAACGTCTTGGGCTCCCCTTACTGCTTCGGCATCAGCAGCATTAGCAACAGGTTGAAACCAGCGGGCAGAGGCGGAGTCAAATCCAGCAGCTGCGGCTGCTGCGCCGATGCCCGGGGCTGCGGCGAGCGCGGAGGCCGCAGCTACAACTTGGCTGAGGGCTAAAGTCGGCTCTGCAGCCGAAGCGACAGCCGGGGCTGAGGATGGGGAAAGGTCTCTCTCGAGGCTGTCTGTTGGAAAAGCAGAGACAGCGGCTCTGGCTGCTGCAAAGAAACTTTGAGAACGGCTTTGTGGGCGTCTTCTCTCCTGCTCTTCTTCCTGCAGCAGCCTAGCTACAGGTGGTGGTTCAGAACATCGGCTGGGGGAGAGAGAAATATCCATACAGCACTCAGAAAATGGGTCGACCACATAGATTCGACCTGTTTCAGCATCATAGCGAATGGCACTGTCAGCAAGAGCCATGGCTGGTGTCATTGCTGAGTTGAAAATTACTTCAATGTAGTCACCCTCTTCCTCAATAGCATTGCTACCTGTAGCACTGAGGGGAAGGGGAGGAAGTGGCCACCTAGCACTGTCCAGAGATAAGGGGTTGGCACGTGGTATAGCTCTTAAAAGATCTGAGAGGTCGTTTGCTGGATTTGGAAATGGCACTCCAAACTCAACATTCACATAATTAGAAAAGGCTGACTGTCTGGGTTCAGCAATTATGCCCCACGAATCTGGTAGTCCTTGAGTAGAGGGAGCTGGTGTATTGCTCTCTCTTTTAGTGAAGTCCATGTTGACGTAGTCACTAGAGCTGTCAGCTTCTCTCTGCTCATGTGTGGGCTTTTGTGGTTTTGGCTTGATTTTATATCCTTTTGTAATAAAAGAAAGTCGGTTAGGTCTCTTAGCTTTATTCTTTGGGGGCTCATGATCTGAAGGCTTTGAAGGTGATCCCCCATCTCCAGGCTTTGAGAATGATCCCTCACCTGAAGGCTTTGAAGCTGCATCTTTGGGGTCCCAGTTATAGGAGACTTCTTTGTCTAGGCCCCTCCCCAGGAACTTTCCAGGTAACATTGGCACATACTCACTGTTGTCATTCTGTCCCAAAGGTGAGCTCCGAAAAGGGTTTGGTAGAGAGAAGTAGGAGCTCCAACTTTTGGAGGAAGAGCCACCCTGAGGATTTCTGGGGTTTTTTGGAATTGCACCGGCTCCAGGAGCCATAAACATGTAGTCACTCTCACTGTCATTGTCCTTTGAGTCATCCTCTTTATTAGTATCAGGTGCTTTTGGAGGACTCGGAGCAGGTGGTGGGCTCACTCTGGGAAACATCATCATGTACCCTCTTGAATCTTCAAAAGGGGATCGAGAGTGGCGCTTTTTTGAAGCAGAGACATTTTGAGGAGCCATTGGCATATAATCACTGGAGCTTACAAGAGGGGTGGCCACCCCTGGCCTCATTGGCACGTATGGGTCATCCTCATCTTCATCAAAAGCTCTGGCTCTGTGGGGACCTCGAGCTGCACCTTCTGGGATCTCTGCATCTTTCACTTCTTTGGCTTCTTTGCATTCTTTCGTGGCTCCTCTGTCAACACAAAAATAAAGTCTGAATCTTCCCCCAGACTTCCCTTTTCCACCAGTTCCTCCAGCTGGTGGGGGTGGAGGAGGAGGTGGTGGAGGTGGTGGCATTTGCTGTTGCTTGCTTTGAGTTAATTTGCCAAAATAGGATCTTTTCTTCAGAGATTTTCCACGTTCACCATCACCATCGGATCCTTTCCCACTTCCTGAGCCTTTGCCCCCCCCAGAGTTCTTGCCACCACCTGAGCCATGGCCATCTCCAGGTCCCTGGCCACCACCTGAGCCATGCCCACCTCCAGGTCTCTGGCCACCACCTGAACCGTGCCCACCTGCGGTGCCCTGGCCATCTCTAGAGCACTGGTTTCCTCCTGAGCCCTGGCCATTTGAGCCCTGACCACCTCGGGATCCCTGTCCCTCGCCTGAACACTGGTTTCCTCCCGAGCTATGGCTACTGGAGCCTTGGCCATTTGAGCCCTGGCCACCTCCTGAGCCCCGGCCATTTCCTGAGCCCCAATTGTTCATAGGCATGTAGTCACCTCCGCTTCCTTCCTGATCTTCTTTGCCCTGGGGATTGCCTTCCTCCCCAAAGTTGCCAGAGCCAGAACCAGACACTTCAGAAGACAGGCGAGCTCCATTGTTCGGGGCTTCTGCAGGGTGCCGGGGACGTGCTGGGCTGGGTGCTAAGCGGCGAAAAAAGCTGGCCGGCACTGAAACCGCTCTCCTTGACCTGCGCCCTCTGGGCAGGTGCAGTCTTCCTCGCCTGGAGTGGGCCACAGGCTCGCTGGGTGTTACGAAGCGCCTGGTGAAAAGCATCTCGTCTTCCCCGTCGCCGATGGCCCTGAGGTGGCAAAACTGCTCAAAGCGGGACCTTCTGAGCCAGCCTCCCGGCTCGAGCGGCACCAAGCCCAGGTGCCTCCTAGCGGACAGCAGGGTTAACAGGTGGGCGCCGATGCTGATGCTGTAGCTGCGGCAGCGGGCTCTGTATTCGTCTGCACACAAGGCTCTCATCTTCTCCAAAAACAGCTCATGCATGTTTTGGGCAACCACACAGTCATCGACCTGCATCCAGAGCTCTCCCGGACCGATGACAGTGGACCTGCCTACTTCCAAGAAGAAATACTGCTCCGAGTGTCCACAGCGACGGATGCTCAGGAGCTGGACGACCACGCTGGCCACTTCGGTGTTCAGCCTCACAAACACGACCTCCTCGTCGGTTAGACACAGCCGGAACACGCCGCTCAGCTCTTTTCTGTGCCCCAGCCCCCTGGGTTTGACTATTACCTGCCACACATCTTTATAGAAGGGTGGCTCCGCCGCCGCTGCCGCCGCCAGCGCGGCCGGCTCTCCGTCCGGCTGCGCGCCGAGCGTGCCGCAGCGGCGGCGCTTGCTCTCGAGGATGAGGCGGCTGAGCAGCAAGTACCAGCTTTCCTGCTCCGACTCGTTCTCGGCCACCATCGCGAAGTATTCGTCTTGGGTGAAAAGAGCAATGAGGTGTCGGTACCTTGCATCTGCTCGCTGGCTCACGGAAAAGCACTGGTATAGGGTGATCACGCGCCGCGGTGGAATGAGCGGGGGGATCGCGGCGCCAGAGGCGGCCGCCGCTGCTGCAGCCGCCGCGGCGCGGACACTGTGCCGGAACTTCCTGGCATTTTCGTAGTATTCCAGCCGAGCTGGGGCGTCAGCAGTCTCGAGTTTGAGCACGAAGTAGCGCCTGTGCCCATGCTTCTGTTTCCGCAGGTAGCCGCGTTTGCAGACTTCCTCCCCGACGGGCAGGTCCTCCTCTTCGGACTCGGAGTCTGACCGGGAGCCAGTGGCCGTGGAGAGCCACATGGCTCCCGGACAAGACGACCCGGTCCCAATGAGTGCGGTCGGGGTTCCCGAGGAAAGAAGCGGGGTGGTCACCACTGCTGCTAGAGCTGCCGCTGCCGCCGCTGCTGCACCTCTTAGTCTTCTTGTCGCTTGGTCGCGAGTGAAGGAGCAACTCGCCATGGTGATGCACGATGGTTTTAAGGTGAGCGAGGAGGAGGGGGAATTCAGGAAAGGGAGGGTTGGGGGAAGAGGCTGTCTACCCTCGTCTGCCCGCCCCAGCCCCCTCCTGCCTTGGCCCGCGCCCCCGCCCACTCCACTCTGAGCGCACGACAGCGGGCAAAACAACACGTGACCACAGCCTCACGCGGCGGCCGCTGCGGATCCTGCTACCGGCGCAATGGAGGGGCGCGAGCGGCCACCAGTAGAGGTGAGCAAGGGAGGAGACGGCGGGCTCGGGAGGCGGAGCCACCTCCGGCTGTGCCAAATCCTCCCGGTCAATCTCCAGGCCTGTGGGCCAAGGGAGGACCGAGAGGAGGAGGCGGGCTCTCTGGCCAAGCTGATTCTAACAGGGAGTCCAGGAAGGCATGAGGGGGCGGGAGAAGGCCTGGAGGGGCGGAGGAGAAAGCGGCCGGCTATCAGGGTCGGGAGAGGGCGCCACAGTCGGGGCCCCATTGGTGGGAGGTGGTGGGAGGGGGCGTAGCGCAAGCAGTGCCTGCCTGCGGCGCCAGGGTGCAGAGCGGGCACAGTCGCGGGACAGTTTGTTTGTTTATTTGGGAAGCGGGAGCCAGGTGAAACTGTTGCAAGGCTCTGATTGGTTGGGATAGGAGCCAATGGGAGGGTCCGGCAAGAAGGCAGCCCCGAAATCATTAGTTTGGCGGGAGGGAGGGGTGAGAGGGGAGAGGGGAGAGGGGGCGTGGCTGGGGTCCCAAAGTGGCTTCGCTGTCGGCTTGTGGCGCTCTCAGGCGGTAAACAACCTTACGCAAATAGCTGTTAATGGTGGTGGTAAACTCGTGCAAATCCCAGAGCCGTGGTGACCCGGGATGGAGTCGGGTGCCCTGGTACTCCCTGTCAATCACATAAATTCTCTGTTCCTGTCACAGTCTGGTTCATTCTTTCCAGCCGCACAAGGCGGCGGATCGAGCTTCTTGGGAGAAAGTGTCGGCACCCCCTGAAAACGGGTTGACGACCAGGGCGCTCAGAACTGCTTCCCACCGCTCTGCAGGCACTCCCGAGCCCGCTGCACCCCTGACAGAAGCCCGCGACTCTGAGGCACACGAATAACAGCGATGCATTCAAAATGAACATGATCTTTATTAATCAGAATGCACTTCTAGCCCACGAAACACAGGTTCCCTAAATACAGTGTTTCTGCCTATTTGATTAACGATGACTATGAAAGCACAAATTTGGGGGCCTGCAATGTATACAGCCATATTGGAAAAAATTGGACTCGATTCTTACTGAAATAACCAGTGTTGGGCTGTGAAGGTATTTTTCTGTGGGAAATGCTTTGGAAGGTGCCTTTAAAAGAATCTCAAAATATTGCTTTCCTTTCCTTGAGCGAGACCGAAAAACTTTAGAAAAAGAAAAGCTCATACCTAGAACAAAGGACCACGCTGAATGCATATTCTAGAGCACATTTCACATCCCTCGCGTCAACAAGAAGAAGAAGAGGAGCTTTGATGCATTTCAGTCTACAAGTTGACATCACAAAAGTAAGAACTACTGCCTCCCTCATTTCTGGAAAAACTGCCGGAGTGTAAGTGCAACCTCCTCAAGTCTCTCTCTCTCTCTCCCTCTCCTTCTCCCTTTCCCTCTCCCTCTCCCTCTCTCCCCCACCACCCCAGTTATTACTTGACTAGGATTTTAGACTCTTAATGGTGGAGATGGGTCGTGAATTATCAAAGGAGTGACCAGGTTTGCAAAGAGGAATGGAGGGAGAGGAGGAGAGAAATACAGCATTTCTCTCTGAAAGAATGGAATGTCAGTTCACCCTTGCTCTAGGGTTGATATGGCAAAGGGTACTATTTATAAAATCCAACAGTAAACTAGGCAATATGTATATCATAAAAATAAACCATATTTCTGCCCTCTTAAGAATTTGCTCTGTTAGAAACAGAACACACGTATTTGAATAAATGGCTCCTTTTTGATGCTATAATTTAAGAGAAAAAGAAATTGGTTTGGGTTGTCCCCCAGATATTACAAATATTCAATAACATTCCCTCTGCTGCCAATGGTTTATAAGTGCAATATATTCACAGGTGCTGGAAGCAGCCGTGGTTTCGGAAGGGAGCTAGAGGCAGAACGAGTGTGGATGCTGAGAGATCCCTGACTGTGACTGCTACATATTTCAGCTGCGTAGTCACATATATACAAGATTCCCTGCACTTACAACCAAAATGATAACAAATGCTCTCATTTGGGATTTTGTTTGATAGTCATTAGGATATTTTATAAGTCTTTCCAAGCACAAGGTTTTTTTCTTTTTTTTTTTAAAGAGAAATGTGACAAATAAGGCAACATATTTGAAAGTGCTTTGAGTAATAACATGACATTGAAAATATCAAAATGAATATTAAATGAAATGGGAAAATACTGGAGATTTTTAAATCCTCATGTCCTTTTTCCTGTACATATAGTTTTTACATAGAGCAGTAGGCTTACAATTTATATAATTTTGCATCCTGTTCTTTTCACTGAACATTATACAATATTTCCCCATATTATTATGCATCAGCATAAATATCATTTAAAATACAACATATTATCCAACACAATCGATGAATATTAATGTAATTAATCATCTGCTTTGGGGCATTTAGGTTGTTTTCATTTTTTTCAGTATTATAAATAACATGTCAATGAATATCTTCTACCTACAGCCTTTTAAAATTCCCATTGGGTAAAAACTGAGCACTGGAATTAGTAGGCTAAAAGATATGAATATTTAATACATTATTTTTCAAAAATATTATATTAGTTTACCCTGTCACCAGACTGATTGTCAGCATTGGACATTCTTATTTTTAAAAAATTAGAGATAAGATGGGTGAAACGGTATTCCACTATTCTTTTTTTTTTTTTTTTTGAGATGGAGTCTCATCCTGTCACCGAGGCTGGAGTGCAGTGACGTGATCTCAGCTCCCTGCAACCTCGGTCTCCCGGGTTCAAGCAATTCTCCTGCCTCAGCCTCCCAAGTAGCTGGGATTACAAGTGCCCGCCACCATGCCCAGCTATTTTTTGTATTTTTAGTAGAGAAGGGTTTTCACCATGTTGGCCAGGCTAGTCTCGAACTCCTGACCTTGTGATCCACCTGCCTCAGCCTCCCAAAGTGCTGGGATTACAGGCCTGAGCTACTGCACCTGGCCTCCACTATTCTTTCAATGTGCTTTTTTTTTTTAACTAGTGAGATTAAACATTTATATATATTCACTGACATTATATTATTTCCTATGTCCTTTGTGTTGTCTATTGTATTCTTAGTATTTTCTTCTTATGTGTAACTTGTTTATGTAATAAATACATTAAAACTTTGTGGTATTTGTTGCAAGTTTTTTTTCCCCAGTCTGTTGACTTTAAAAATCACATTTAACTTGATTTTCTTCTATTTTGAAAGATATGTAAATTGGGCATGATGTGATTTGTAGCACAGTTTGAAAGGGAGCTGTTGATACAAGTGTCACCATGGTCACTTTTAAACTTCTTTTAAAAGATCTCATATATTTCAGCTTATATGCTCTTTTAAAAGGAGAAATAGGTTTCTTCTTTTGTCAACAAATTATGAGAGCATCTAAATTAGTTAAATTTTATTTATCACTCTGAAATAATACTTTATGAGACATTTTCTATTTTAAGGGGAAATATCTAGCATTAATCAATGTGTTAAAAAAAGAAGTGTGAAAATAATTTCTAAACTATTACAGTGAAAGATGAACAGTGCTGATCACTTTGTACCCAGGGTATATTATTTGGCTGCAGCGAAGTGGAATTAGAGCTATAGTGAGATGCTTCACAGAAGAATTTTACTTTGTATCTTTCCTAATCTGGCAAGCATGAGTACTTGTAAACTGGGAGAATGTCTGACTAGAACATTATTTTCTTCCTACAGGTCAACCAAACCTTCTCAGTCCTAAAGTTGTCTCAACACTGAAGCTCTGTAGAGCAGACCATCATTACTGAATTGTACCAGATGCTAGAGCTTGTCTGACATACATTTAAATTTTCATTTTCCTGGACAACTTAATGATATAGAATAGTCATTTAGTTTAGGTCAGATTCTCATAGGCAAAGTAAAACAGATATCTAGATGGTTTAGGCAAAATGTAGAGAATTTTTATTTGGCTTGAACTCACTCAGTGGTGGCTTTAATGCTCTACCCTCTCTTGGTTATAGATTCCTGTCTCTTATTTTTTTTCGTTTTTGTTTTTATTTTAGGACAGTTTATCCCAGAAGGCTAAAGTTGCCTTGCATATTCAGTTATTACAACTGTAAAGTTTGGAATCTGCACAAAGGGTCTGAAATACAGATTTTTAAAACAACAGATAATAAATAATAAGACTTAAAAGATAGTTCTTGTTTTAGTTTGCCAATTCAACTCAAGGGATAAAAAACACAAGCATTGTAACTGGCATTTTATGGCTATAAACTAATGTAAATGGATAAATAGCCACAATACCTTTAAAACCAATTCCAACTAATGAAGAAATATGCCTTTAATGATGTGTGCTTTTAAAAGGAATTTCCTGTGAGTCCTGTTTTAAGAAAGCAATTGTTTGAATTGACTTGTCAGTGATAACAAAAATTCATCTGCTTCTTTTCTTACATACATGATCATGAATATTCTAAACTCAACTTGTACTAAAATCGAAATGGGTAATTCAAGTGTGGATTTATTTAGTTTAAAAATTAAACTGTTGTATTAAATATGGACGACATTATTCAAGAGAATAAAACCTAAGAGGAAAAGTAACCAGTATCAAAAAACTATTATTCTTGTCCCACGTATAAATTATCTTCTAAGTATTAATTCTAAAAGCTTCATGAGCTAACGTCCAATTATGCTGATAAAAATGTGATGCCACCCTTGATATTAAAAAATGATGTTAGTGATGACGATTGCTTCTCTGTGTTGGGACATAAATCATGTACAATGAAAGATGCTTTCTACACTATGCAGGAATGAGGGCTGCCCTGTGATTTGTGGCTGCAGCCACTGTTTGTAGATGATGGCTTTGCTTCTCAGCTTCTTTACTTCTGTGCTACTCAAAACCTCTGCTAGAGAAAACAACCATCAAAGGCCTGACTGCTGCACACAGAACAGGTCTGTTTGCTGCTTTTGTTTCCTAGCAGTCTCCAGCGAAAGTAATTAGAGCAAATACATGGTTTAATTAGGCTCCTAAAGCTTTCCTGTTATCTTAAGAGTCAACTTAAAGTTAACTTAGTTAAAAATCAAGCATTTCTTCCCACCTTCAAAAGATAAAAGTTTCATTTGGAAATAACTTTTACTAAGTAAGATAAACATCAGAACAATGAAGTCTGCTAGGTTTCACATAAATTTTAATGATTTAACATCATACATGTTCTCCATGCTAATATAAATCAATAATAGAAAATTTAGCTTAATGCTATGCTCTTCCGTATTAATATCATATAGCAGTATTTTTCTTAGTGTCAAAAGGCTATCAATTCATACTGCCTTGTCTTCAAAAGTTAGAATCTTTATTTTTTAAATTAAGTAGGATAATTACATAGTTAAATATATTATTTTAAAGGAGTTAGTATCATAGACTTATATTTTTCTTTGGATATTTAGAAAGCCAGCTGTCATATTTAGGATAATATGTATTATGTTTCTTGTTGTTTCCCCTCTCTCCACTCCTCACATGGTCCTGCAATATCTGTCAGATTGAACACTTTGTTTCACTTTCATAGTCACCATCCTTGTCCCTGCCATAATTAACCCTACCAGAATTGCCTAAGTAACTTCTTAAACTGGCTTCTGCATTCTTCAGTCTCTTCTTCATATAGCCAGCAGAATATTTCCTTTCATATGTTCCTTTCATCATACAATTCCCTGCTCAAGGACATACAGAAGCCCCCCTCCCCCTTTCTCTGCTATATCAGAATTAAATAACTAACCCTAATATGTTTCCCTGTTCTCCACTGACACAACAACCAACCTCTTTTTCTCTCTTGCTGTATACAACCTTTTCTTCCAAATTTGCCTCCCATTCTATTACAGTACATTCTTGCTGCCCACACCTCCACACAGGTTGGTTTCTTAATGGCATTCTGTATACGATTTCTCAATTTCCATCTTTACTTAAGCTGTTTCCCTCTTTTTCCTCATCACCAACTGATGCCAATCATCTTTCTCAAGAATAAGATCAAGACCCAGAAAAAGGTTTCCTCCATCACATAATCCCACCGCCTAATCTCTTTAAGCATTGGATGTAGGTGGAGCTAAGGATTTAGTTGGTATTCATCCATACAGGCATATCATTGTTAAATGATAGTCATTGGTAAAATAACGAATACTTTTCTACCACTTAGTAAATAGCTACTGCCCTGAAACTGTTCCCCACTGAGTAGTCTTCTTGCCCACCCATTGTCCTGGCTACTACAACACCTCCGTTAGGACCTTCTACCTCTCCACTATCCCGCAACTACAAGGTTAACTACTGGCACATTGAGGGGCTTCCAGGATTCCATACTCAAATTTTGACTGACATACATTCTTATTGGTTGGCTTGTGCTACGCAGGTTGTTGAACAGTTAAAATTACCATGCCTGGATATAACTAATCCCAGAGTTGAGAACACGGTTCTAGGCTATATGCTCCTCGAGGGCCAGGAATTAATGCTTGGTATAACAGTCTGGCAATTATCAGTACATGTTTGCTTCAAGGAAGGAAGGAAGGAGAAAAGAAGAGTGGGAGGGAGGGAAGTGGGGAGGGAAGGGAAGAGGATTAAAGGAAGGAAAGGGCAGAAGGAAGAAGGAAGGGAGGGAGGGACAAGGGAGAAGGGAAAGAGAAGAACAACAATGTTCAAGACGTCAATGCAGACTACCTCCCCCTCCAAATCACTTGCAACCATGCCAAAACTCTCCATGACTGATGGCAAGGCTTGGTGACTTATGCCCAACTTAACATCTCTTCCCTCTCAAAAATATCACGCCCATTGTTTTCCTCATCTATCACAGGTCAGCAAATCTTTTTCTCACACATATTTCTTTCCCATCTTGCAGTTGTTGTTAGAAACCTCAGGAAATGTCTGTGCCCATTGATTTCCCCCTCCTGTCTTTAGTTCCATTTAGGAACAAAGAGAAATTTTAACCTTGATCATGTAAGGTTATAAGTATAAACTTACTTAATATTAGTCTTAGGGTAATGGTGATGATAAACCTCCATTAAGGAAAAGCACTTAGCAGTTCCTGATATCATTTTTTTTCCTTTCTCATTCCTTCCACTAGAATATAAGCTCCCTATATTCCCATATATTCTGCATGTATACTTACCTTGTATTCCCAATGCCAAGAACAGTGCCTGACACATGGTAGATACTACTCTCAATAAATATATGCTGAAGGAGTGAATGAAAATTAAAAAAAAGTTTTGAAATAGAGATACCTCAAGGATCACAAGTGCTTTTGTAAAGGATCCCCTTAAGAATCTCTACAGAAATCTTCATCTATCTGCTTTAATTAAACATGCTCTTTCTCAATCATCAGCATTCAAAATATGTCCAGATATATTTTATAAGCCTAGTTTGTAATCACTTTTATTTTCCAATGTTTCTCTAATTGTTAGTATTGCAACCCTTTTTCTTTCTACTGTATTTTCATAGCGAATATGCAGACAGAATTTTCACATATTGTGAATTAAGTGGGTTTCTTTTGGCAAATATATAAATCCAATCGGCGTTTATTCAAAATGTTTCTATTGGTAAAATGTGTTCTAAGTTTGAAGCAATCATTTTACAAACTGCTTTTGAAATACAACCATTTTAAGTTTCCTGAGTTTCTGTATTCAGTCTTTATTTTACTGTCAGATGATTGTTTATGAAATGTAAGTACTTTTCATTTGCCTCCTGAGTGGATGCTTTATCATCCCAAATGTTTTGTAAGCCCTCCTGAGGGCAGGGATTGCATTCTTCTACTTTTGTTTGCCCTTTCATGGTGTCTACTACTGCGTGGAACCCAGTAACTACTTGTTGAATGAAAGATTTTACCTAAATGCAAAATACTACATAAGGTGATGAACTCAGAGAACAATGTATTATTTTTTGCAGAAGGTGAAATATCAGTCATTCAATACACTTTTCAGTATTTAGGGCCACTGCAGCTGTGAGTCATGTTAGAGAATACATTTTCTTTAGGCTTGTTAATCATCCCTCTTTGACAAAATTTTTCACATAAGGTTTATTTAAAAAGACAGCAATACAGGACAATAAATTATAATTATGAAAATAGCAGCGTAAGTTTAAAATATTTCTTTCATTAATTATGTGTTGTTTCTTCCTCTTAAATTCATTATCACAGAGGATCATGAATTATTATGTAAAGAATGTGATTTGAGTTCAGGAGTTAGAAGGCAAAATGTTTGAGCTTATTTTTTTCAGGACCTTTTCTTTTTTCTTTTTTTTTTTTTTTGAGACGGAGTCTCGCTCTGTCGCCCAGGCTGGAGTGCAGTGGCGCGATCTCGGCTCACTGCAAGCTCCGCCTCCCAGGTTCACGCCATTCTCCTGCCTCAGCCTCCCGAGTAGCTGGGACTACAGGCACCCGCCACCACGCCCGGCTAATTTTTTGTATTTTTAGTAGAGACGGGGTTTCACCGTGTTAGCCAGGATGGTCTCGATCTCCTGACCTCGTGATCCGCCCGCCTCGGCCTCCCAAAGTGCTGGGATTACAGGCGTGAGCCACCGCACCCGGCCTTTCAGGACCTTTTCTAAATTTGAGACTAGAAGTCAAAAGAGAAATAAGGAGGGAAAACTTTCATTTGTGGTCACGGAACAAAGAAATTTAGACTCTCATAGTGAACTGCTCTCTTCCTTCTATGACTGCGTTAAAAATACCTAGAATTGTATTTCTTACCCTGAGTCATAGTTACTTGGACATTCAGTTTATAGTTATTATTTAAACTGCATATATGTACTTATGTACTTTTCTGTATATATGATATATTTTGCAACATAAAACAAAATAGATACCTTAAGGCAAAATCTGGTCCAAAGAGGGAAGCATATTAATACTTCACACTGATTCAAAATTAAGAAACAAGTAAATCATTTTTTCTTTTTCCTAATTAGCATTCAGAAAGGAATAATGTTAACATTTGAATACAGCATTTAAGAAATGGTTGACATTTGCATCTGAAAGGAAGTGTCCCTTGGAAAATAAAATTGGTGCTTTCAGTATTAAAAAATAAAAAACCAAACGAAGCAAAGTGTTTTGTCTACCTAAAAAGATTTCTTGAAAGATTAAGGTCCACCTGAAGACTTTTGTCACATGGTTCAGCACTCCCCTGGGATCTTCCAGGTGTAATAGAATCAAAGCTGAGAGTTCTGCAAAGAGTGAGACAGGTAAACGGAGAAATCTTATTCAAAGTACCTAATTGTACAAGTTGATATTTATCAGAGAAAACTTACTTTTTTCTTGAAGCTTATTCATTTTCTATGATTTTGTCTGTGTATATGTGTGTACAATATAATTGCGGTTTTAGTATAATTTTTTCTCATGAACAAGATTATATATTTCTTGAGGATAGGGATAATCTATTGTCTGGCTTTCATGCTCCCTGCGTGGCATAACTCTGGTTAGTCACCTAATACTTTTGCTTGATTTTCAAATGCATACATGTCACATTCTGATAGCTTGTGACTCCTTTGTCTCATCCATTTTATACCCGAAAGAATATGCTAGAAGATAGATATAACAGCCTCTTGTTTTGTAATGTATACCATCTGGAGGCAGTAATAGCCATTAATTGTAAATTTTTAGGGTGTTGGTATAATTAAAATGATTAAACTATAAATTTGAAAGCAGGTGTGATTTGGAATCTTGAAATATTATTCATTCTACAGACATTCAATTTAAGTTGATTATTTGGTATTCTTACCTACCCTAAATTAAAACAAAACAAACAAAAACTCCCTGAATTTACTAGAACCATAGGCTTATGCCTAAAATAATAGCATGACATAATATTTGAGAAATGTATCTTTAAATTTCTATTACTTGAAGTACAAACTGATTTCCTCTCCATAATCTTTCTTTGAATTGAAAGTCTCATATCTTAAAATTTAATCATTGTCATAGTTTACAGTGTTACAAATTACGTTTAGCAACTGTATTGCTAAATACAGTCTCTAATTTTTAGAGATCTTTATTCAGCTTTGGCTAAGTGTTCCTCTTTCATAAGAATTGTACATGTATGATATATCTTTGTTTTACAATTTCAAGTACATACCCATAGCATACCACCTACTCATAAGTATTAATAAAACTTTCTTTAACCCTTCATGTCTCCTCGCTAACTAGTTGGACTGCCATTTGACCTTTGTTATGCCATAATGGAACCAGTATTTGATAATGACCACAATATTGATCTTTAGTAACAAGAAAGGTATGGAAAGAGCACTCTACTGGAACTCAGGGAAGGTGGGTTCTAGTCCCATTTCTGCCACGTATTAGCTGTGTGATCTTAAGTAGGCCATTTAATCCCAGTTTACTCTTTAAAAAATGAGAGATTAGAACCCAGTGGTTTCTAATGTTTCTGAGACAGGGAGAAAGAGGACAGATATGTACTCTCTGGTTTCTGTATGTTTAGTTTGTTTCTTATGTTGAATCATTTCCACAGAGAATGTTTCACTGTACTCTCAGAACAAAAAATGTAACAATGGAACATCTTAAAATAAACTACAACTTTGTTTTCATCCCTTTTTTCTTCCATTCATTTATTCAAAAACATTTATTGCAGTTCAGATATGTTCTAGCTAGTGTTTAAGGTACTGCAGATATGGCAATGAATAAGACAGACGAGGTCTTTATACTCTTGTGGAGTTTATATTCCAGTAAGGGGGTAGCCAAATAAATAAACACATAAGAAAATATTAAGTAGGGACAAACGCTATGATTAAAATGGAACTGGGTGATATGATGGATAATTTAACTATATTGGATCATCAGGGAAGGTCTCTTCCAAAGGAGAAGACTTTGTTCTGAGACCCAAATGCCAAGAAGAAACTAGCCATGCAAAGATCAGAAGAAGAATTCCAGGCAGAGGAACAGAAGCTATCAGAAAGGTACAAAGGTATAAAAGCCTTCGTGAGCTTGGAATGTTGGAGGAACAGAAAGAAGGCCAGTTTACTTTAACATAGTGCGATCAGAGATACAGGGGCCACATCAGGGAGGGGTTTATAGGACAGGTAAAGAGTCTGGAGTTTATTCAAAGTGCAATAGGTAGCCACTGGAGAGATTGTAGCAGGAGAACGAGATTACCTGGATTATGTTTTAAAAGGGCACTCTGGGTGCCACTTGAATTGTAGGTGGCCAAAAGTGGAAGCTGAGAGACCAACTAGAAGAATATTTTAGTGCTCTAGATAAAGATGGCTTAGACAATGGTGATAGTAGTGGATGTAGAGATAATTGCACAAACTTGGGATGTATCTGGAAGGTAAGGTCTACAGAACTTGCAACAGGATTAGATTTAGATTGTGAGGGACAGGAGTGAATCAAAGCTAACTCCTAGGTGTTTGGCATGAAGAGATTTAGTGGAGTTCTTATGCACTTAAACATTTTTACGGAAAATAGAACCCACTGAACATTAAACTCTATATAACTTCATCTTCCCCATCTTTTTGTGTACACACATGTGATTTTGTATAGTAGTCCCCTTTATATGTAGTTTTGCTTTCTGTAGTTTCAGTTACCTGTGGTCAACCACAATCAGAAATTATCAAATGGAAAATTCCAGAAATAATTTGTAAGTTTTCAATTTCACACCATTCTGAATAGCATGTTAAAATCTTGTGCCATCCCGCTCCATCCATTCCAGTACATGAATCCTCCCTTTGTCCAGTGTATCAGCAGTGTCTTCTCTACCCACCTGTTAGTCACGTAGTAACCATCTGGGTGATAAGATTGACTGTCATGGTATTGCAGTGCTTGTGTTCAGGTAACCCTTATTTGACTTAATAATAACCCCAACATGCAAGATAAGTGATGCTGGCATTTTGTTATAATTGTTCTATATTATTATGAGTTTTTTTTTTTTTTTGAGATGGAGTTTCGCTCTTGTTGTCCAGGCTGGAGTGCAATGGCCCGGTCTCGGCTCACTGCAACCTCCGCCTCCTGGGTTCAAGCAATTCTCCTGTCTCAGCCTCCCAAGTAGCTGGGATTACAGGCGTCTGCCACCATGCCTGGTTAATTTTTGTATTTTTAGTAGAGATGAGGTTTCACCATGTTGGTCAGGCTGGTCTCGAACTCCTGACCTCAGGCAGTCCACCCTCCTTGGCCTCCCAGAGTGCTGGGATTACAGGCGTGAGCCACCGTGCCCGGCCTATTATGAGTTCTTATTGTTAATCTCTTACTCTGCCTAATTTATAACTTAAGTTTTGTCATAGGTATGAATGTACAGGAAAAAAAAAACAGCAGATAGAGGGTTCAGCACTGTCTACGGTTTCAGGCATCCACTGGGGTTTCAGAAAGTGTCCCCTGAGGATAAGGCAGAACTGATATAGCTGTAATCAGTGAAGCAGAATGTTTGAACAGTTTGATGTTATTTTTAATATTATTTACACAGACAACTCTATGAACATAAATCCTAGCCCTTGTCATTTTCGGCATGGCTATAGCATTCTCATATATTCCTCTATTATTATTCCTATTATCACCCTAATCTTGAAATGTATTTGGTATTTTAAAAAATACTACCAATTTAATTTTTTGTCAAATTCCACACTACTTTCCCTGGTCTGTTTTCTATTTTTTATCAAATATGTATTAAGTACCTTCATGTACTAGGTAATTAATTACTGTCATTTTATTTTAAAAAATTTAAAAAATTATAAAATTACTGTGTAACTCTGGAGATTAGCTTGCAGAAGGGTAGGTAAAAGGAGCACCTGAAAGCAATGGAGGAAGTTTTGTCCTACTTAGTTCCAAATATAGTATTAAACTTTTTTATGATGAATGCTATCATACATAATATGAATTAAATGATGGGTTTAGCTGTCTTCATGTTTGACCGGGACTATAAGAGTCTGTTGCACAAAAGCAGAACACGCATGAAGGTGATTCATAGCTTTATGAGAATGTTTTTTTCAGATTATTATTGTGCTACCCTAGAAACTGTTTGGAAACAGACATTCAGTCTCTGATAGCTAAACAAACCAAACTGATGTGTCTTCTGCTACTGTTATTTCTCAGCTGGATATCCAATGCTGCATTGTTTGAAGTTTTCATATTCAGACTGCCCTTGAAATGTTTCCTCTGTTCTCCTTGGTTATTATTTCCTCTCTGAAGATGATCATACCTCCTTTCATCTATCCTTTTCATTTCATTTGCCAAGATACTGTCTTGCCACTTAAAGTTAGGTGAGGGGACTAAAAGAAGACATTAATAAAAATATTCCAAAAGGCCCTCAGGATCTCCATAGTAGCCGATGATCAACACCCATGGAAAACATGGAGTGAGAAGCTCTAGTGCTCATTTAATTTGGAATTACACTTATGTGTAGCATCCTGGCAGGGTTTTGTTATCACTGCATTTGGGGTCATGGTTTTAAAAATTATGTAGCTCTACAAAGATTATTATAAAAACAACAGTCCTCTTCCCCCATTTTCTCCTCTCCAGAGGCAACAATATTCATCTCTTATGCCTTTATCTTTGATTCTTAGCTCATTATTTCTAAGCTAAGTGTTTATATTGTTATGTCTTGATTGTTCAGGTTTAGGTATCTGTTAACTTCTCTCTATGAAAGATCAGTATTTTGATCTATTTCACATAGATACATAGACAATCATATACACTCCACACACATGCACCCTTCACATCCCTTCATTTTTCCACTGCAGATATACTGTGTTTCCATTGTTTTGACTATGCAAATGCAATTAACAGGTGAGCCAGGTAATATACTAGGATACTTTGCATTTCCTCTATTACTTTGTATTCTTCTTGGAATTAATATTTTTTGGCTGTTGAATTTTTTGTTAGTAGCACTAATTCAACCATATATTTTCCACCTATTTTCTAAATATGCTTTCAATTTATTCAGACACAGGAAGTCCTTGAGTTTTATTTGCTGTCCTATTTTCCAGGTCTTTTGCTCTATTCTTATTGAGTACTCCATTTCTGCTTTCATATTTTTTCATCTTTGAAAAGTTTTTTTTCTATTCTCTATTTTTATATAGCATCCTATTATTTCATAGTTCAATATCTTCTCTAATATCAGGGATATTGATTTTAGTTACAATTATTCTCTCTGCATGTGGAAGAGAAAATTCATTGCCTCTGAACATCCTGGAAAACTGGAAGTGGTTAGACAGCAAGTGGCAAGGACAGATTTTTCATACCAGAAAGCTGGTACACTTTTGTTAAAGGTAACAGTCACCTAGGATATCTTGCAAGTCCGACCACATGCTGCTAACTGAGCCTTCAGTATTAGAGGAAATGGTTTTTAAAAATTCATAATGTTGGTGCATCTCTTACTTTGTGCTGCTTTTAACTACTAAGTTTTCTTACAAGAAAGAGAGTGCAATCCAGAGATAGCCAAAAGGAGGCATGCTATGCTTGTAGTTTACAATCTAATTTTACTTGCGGAACATGCAGAGATGAAAAAAAACAATTACTTTCAATATGACAAAATGAAACAGTGATAATCAATAAGACAGTATTAGAAGTTGAGAAAATTTTGGCCCCAAGTATTTTTTTAGGAGGGTCTATTTAAGAGTTCTCTTCCTGATGATGGGATCTAGCAAAAATTAAAGTAAGGGAATTTTCTTACCACTGAAACTTATTTTAGATGACTTCCAGGTATCCACCATTAGGTTGAGATAGAAAGAGTAAGGAGAAACACAGAGACTAATGAATAAAATATCAGAGATCGGATTAAAAACTAACTCTAGAAAAGATCATTGTATGTTCTTACTCCCTCATGAGACTGAGAAGAAGTAATGAGTCTAGAAGCCTATAAGTTTTTAAAGATATTGAATTGCCAAAGAAGCTACGAAGGTTCCGAAAACCTGTGATACAATGGCACCAAATCCTGTGAAATATTACATATAAACCTAATAAAATATGTGCATGAGCTGTACATTGGAAACTATAAAAGACTGATGAAATGAAGACCTAAAGAAATAGAAAAATGTTTTATGTTCACGGATTGAAAGACTCAATAGTCTTAATATGTTGAAACTCCCTAATCTTATCCATAGATTCAATGCATTTTCAATAAAAATCTTAGCAAGATCTTTTGTAGATATCAGCAAGTCAATTTCTAGAATTTATACGGGAAGCAACTAAATTAGAATAGCCAAAACAACTTTGAAAAATATTTAAGTAGGAGGGCTCACATCCTGAATTCAAAATTCACTATAAATTTATAGTAATCAAGACAGTGTGATATTTGTGAAAGAGCGTACGTATGGATCAATGGACAAAAGATAGAGACCAGAAGCAAGGTGCAAAGGCAATTGAATGGAGAAAGAGTAATCTTTTCAACAAACGGTGCTGAAAAAATTGGACATCCATGTGCAAACAACAACAACAACAAAATAAAAAACCTTGATTCTTTATTTTATTAAAATTTTGTTGTGGGTACAAAGTAGGTGTGTATATTTATGGGGTATATGAGATATTTTGATACAGGCATACAATGTGTAATGATCATATTAGGATAAATGAAGTATCCAGTACCTCAAGCATTTATCATTTGTGTTACAATCCAATTATACTCTTTTAGTTATTTTTAAATGTACAATACATTATTATTGTAGTCATCCCCTTGTGCTATCAAATACTATATGTTATTCATTCTATCTAACTATATTATTGTACCCATTAACCATCCCCACTCACCTGCCTCCCAACTACACTTCGTAGCATCTGGTAACCATGATTTCCTCTTATCTCCATGAGTTCAGTAGTTTCAGCTCATGGAGATAGACAGAACTAATTTTATTAGCTCCCACAAATTAGCTCCCATGTCAGAACATGTAAAGTTTGTCTTTCTCTACCAGGTTTATTTCACATAACATAATGAACTCTAGTTCCATCCATGTTGGTGCAAATGACAGGCTCTCTCTTTTTTTTTTTTTTTTTTGAGACGGAGTCTGGCTGTCTCCCAGGCTGGACTGCAGTGGCGCAATCTCGGCTCACTGCAAGCTCCGCCTCCCAGGTTCACGCCATTCTCCTGCCTCAGCCTCCTGAGTAGCTGGGACTACAGGCGCCCGCCACCACGCCCGGCTAATTTTTTGTATTTTTAATAGAGACGGAGTTTCACCTTGTTAGCCAGGATGGTCTCGATCTCCTGACCTCGTGATCTGCCCGCCTTGGCCTCCCAAAGTGCTGGGATTACAGGCGTGAGCCACCACGCCCGGCCTCTCATTTCTTCTTTTTATGGCTAGATAGTACTCCATTGTATATATGTACAATATTTTCTGTATCCATTCATCTGTTGAAGGACACTTAGGTTGCTTTCAAATCTTGGCTGTTGTGAATAGTGCTGCCACAAACACGGAAGTGCAGATATCTCTTCAATACACTGATTTCCTTTCTTTTGGGTATATACCTAGCCATGGGATTGCTGGAACATATGGTAGATCTATTTTTAGGTTTTGAGGAAACTCCAAACTGATCCCCATAGTGGTTGTACTAATTTACATTCCCACCAACAGTGTACAAGGGTTCCCTGTTCTCCACATCCTCACCAGCATTTCTTATTGCCTATCTTTTGGATATAAGTCATTTTAACTGGGCTGAGATAATATTTCATTGTAGTTCTGATTTGCATTTCTCTGATGATCACTGATGTTGAGCATCTTCTCACATAGCTATTTACTACTTGTATGTCTTCTTTTGTGAAATGTCTATTCAGATCTTTTGCCCATTTTTAAATTGTATTATTTGATTTTTTCCTATGGAGTTGTTTGAGCCCTTTTTATATATTCTGGTTATTAATCCCTTGTCAGATGGGTATTTTGCACATATTTTCTCCCCTTCTGTGGGTGTCTTTTCACTTTGTTGATTGTTTTCTTTGCTGTGCAGCAGCTTTCCAACTTGATGTGATCCTGTTTGTCCATTTTTGCTTTGGTTGCCTGTGCTTGTGGGGTATTGCTCAAGAAATTTTGGCCGAGACGAGTGTCCTGGATATATTCCCCAATGTTTTCTTGTAGTACTTTCATAGTTTGGGGTCTTAGATTTAACTCTTTAATCCATTTTAATTTCATTTTTGCATATGGCTAGAGATAGGGGTCTAGTATCATTCTTCTGCATATAGATATCTAGTTTTCCCAGCTCCATTTATTAAAGATATTGTCCTTTCCCCAACGTGTGTTCTTGGCAACTTTGTCAAAAATGAGTTCACTGTAGGTGTATGGATTTATTTCTGGGTTCTCCATTCTGTTCCATTGGTTTATGTCTGTTTTTATGACAGTACCATACCTTGCGTACTATAACTCTGTAGTATAGTTTGAAGTCAGGTAATGTGATTCCTCCCATTTCATTCTTTTTGCTCAGGATAGCTTTGGCTATTCTGGGTCTTTTGTGGTTTCATATACATTTTACAATTTTTTTCTATTTTTGTGAACAATGTCATTAGTATTTCGATGGAGATTGCATCTAATCTGTAGATTGCTTCAACTAATATAAACATTTTAACAATATTGATTCTTTCAATCCATGAACATGGAATATCTTTTTATTTGTTTTGTGTCCTCTTCAACTTCTTGCATCAGTTTTTTACAGTTTACATTGTTGAGATGTTTCTCTTCTTTGGTTAAGTTCATTACTAGGTATTTTATTTTATTTGTAGCTATTGTAAATGGGATTACATTTCTTATTTCTTGTTCAGATTCTTTGTTGTTGGAATATAGAAATGACACTTATTTTTGTATGTTGATTTTGTATCCTGCAATTTTACTCAATTTATTTATCAGTTTTAATAGTTTTTGGTGGACTCTTTAGGTTTTTCTAGATATGAGATCATATCATCTGCAAACAAGAGTAATTTGGCTTCTTTCTTTCCATTTTGAATGCCCTTTATTTCTTTGTCTTGTCTGATTGCTATAGCTGGGACTTCCAGTGCTATGTTGCATAGGAGTAGTGAAAGTGGGCATTCGAGTATTGTTCCAGATCTTAGAGGAAAGGCTTTCAATTTTTCTGCATTCAAGATGATACTAACTGTGGGTCTGTTGTATGCAGCTTTTATTGTGTTGGAGTATGTTCCTTCCATACCTGGTTTTTTGAGGATTTGTATCATGAAGGTATGTTGAATTTTATCAAATGCTTTTTCAGTATCAATTGAAATGATTGTATGGTTTTTGTCATTCATTCTGTTGATATAACGTATCACATTGATTGATTTGCATATGTTGAACTACCTTTGCATCCTTGGGATCAGTCCCATTTGATCATGACAAATGATCATTTTAATTTGTTGTTGAATTTGGTTTTTTGGTTTGCTAGTATTCTCTTGAGGATTTTTGAATCAATGTTTATCAGGGATATTGGCCTGTAGTTTAATTTTTTTGACATGTCTTTGTCTGGGTTTGGTATCAGGGTAATAATGCTGGCCTCATACAAGGTGTTTGGAAGTATTCCCACCTCCTCTATTTTTTGGTGAAGTTTAAGTAAGATTGGTATTACTTCTTTAAATTTCTTCTGAAATTCAGCAGTGAAGCCATTGGGTCCTGGGAACTTTTTATTCTTGATCTTTACCTTGCATCCTGTAAAAAAATTAACTCAAAATGTGTGTTACACCTAAATGTAAAACCTAAACCTACAAAAATTCCAGAAGAAAACATATAAGAAAATGTCTGTTAACCTTCAGTTAGGCAAAAATTTTTTGCATATGACACTAAGCACATGATCCATAAAAGAAAAACTTGTAGATTTGCCTTCTTCAAAATTTAATTTTCTGCTCTGTGAAAGACACTTTTAAGAGAAATGAAAAGGCAAGAAATGAACTGGGAAAAATATTTGCAAAACATACATCTGATCAAACACTTGTATTCAGAATATGTAAAGCATTCTCAAAATTCAATAAAAAGAAAATGAACAATTCCAATATAAAAGATGTTAAAAGTTTGAATGGACACTATATACCTAAGAAGATACACAGATGACAAAAAAGCACATGAATAAATTCTCAGCATCTTAGTCATTAGTGAAGTGCAATTTTAAACTACAATGTGATACTACTACACTCTTATGAGAATTTCTAAAATATAAAAAAAAAACTAGCACATGGAATGTTGGTGAAGATGAGGAGCAACTGGAACGTTCATACGTTGCTAGTGAAATGCAAAATGTCACAGCTATTTTGGAAACATCTTGGTAGTTTTTTATAAAGTTAAGCAGACACTTTACAATACATTCCAACTATCCCACTGCTAGCTATTTAGACAAAATAGTGAAAACTTACGTTCACACAAAGCTTGCATGTATTTATAGCAGTTTATTTTTTATGATTACCCCAAACTGAAAACAACCCAAATATCCTTTAATTGGTAAATAAAGGGACAAAGTTTGTTTTATCTATACAGTGTATAGATTTCATCTATACAATGGAATGCATCACTTAATGATGGGAATATGTTGTGAGAAAATGCATTGTTAGGCGATTTTGTCACTATGCAAACATGATAGAGTTCATTTACACAAACGCAGATGTTATAACCTACTACACACCTAGGATATAGAGTATAGCCTATTGCTCCTAGGTGGCAAACCTTTATAGCATGTTACTGTACTGAATACTGTATGCAATTCTAACACAATGGTATTAGTGTATCTAAACACATCTAAACATAGAAAAGGTATAGTGAAAATATGATATAAACGATTTTAAAAATGCTATACCTCTATAAGGTACTTACCATGAATGGAGCTTCTACCACTGGAAGTTGTTCTGGGTGAGTCTGTGAATGAGTGGTGAGTGAATATGAAGGCCTAGGACATTACTGTACACTACTGTGGGCTTTATAAACACTGTTCATATAGGCTACACTAAATTATTTTTCTTAGTTTTCTTAAAATTATTTTTCTTTCTTCAATAATAAATGCAACTTACTGTGACTTTTTTACTTTATAAACTTTTACTATTTTTAACTTTCTCTTTTGTTATAACACAGCTTAAACACATTGTACAACTGTACAATTTTTTGTTTATATCCCTATTCTATAATCTTTTTTTCTATTGTTAAAAAGTTTGATTTTTTTAAAACTTTTTTCTAAAAACAGAGACACAAACACACACAATAGCCTAGGCCTACACAGGGTCAGGACCATCAGTATCATTGTCTTCAACCTCCACATCTTGTTCATTGGAAGGTCTTCGGGACAGTAATATGCATAGAGCTCTTATATCCTATGATAACAATGCTTTCTCCTGGAATACTTCCTGAAGGACTTGCCTGAGGCTATTTTACACTTAACTTTGTTTTTGTAAGTAATACCATGAACTATTATGTAGCCAGAAAAAAGAATGAAATCATATCGTTTTCAGCAACATAGGTGCAGCTGGAGGCCATTATTCTAAGTGAATTAACACAGAAACAGAAAACCAAATACTACATGTTCTCACTTATAAGTAGGAGCTAAACAATGGGTACACATGGGCATAAAGATGGAAATAATAGACACCAGGGACTTATAAAAGTGGGAAGGATGAAGGGGGGAAAGGGCTAAAAATCTATTTATTGGGTAGTATGTTCACAATTTGGGCGATGGGTTCAATAGAAACCCAAACTCCAGCATTATGCAATATGCCCATTGTAACAAACCTGCACATGTACACCCTGAATCTAAAATAAAATTTAAACAATAGAAATTATCTCAATCATGCTGAAAAGAATTTGATGATTGCTACAGGGCAGTGATTACCACATGTTCTCATTTTTACCTTGCTTCAATATCAGTTTTTGTTTTTGTTTTGTTTTGAGACAGGGTCTCTCTCTGTTGCCCAGGCTGCAGTGCAGTGGCGTGACTCGGCTCATTGCAACCTCCGCCTCCTAGGCTCTAGTAATCCTCCCACCTCAGCCTCCTCAGTAGCTAGGACTACAGGTGCACATCACCATGCCCGGCTAATTTTTGTATTTTTGTGGAGGTGGGTAGAGATGGGGCTTTGCCATGTTGCCCAGGCTCGTCTCGAACTCCTGGGCTTAAGTGATCTGCCCAGCTTGGACTTCCAAAGTGCTGGGGTTACAGGCGTGAGCTGCTGTGCCCAGCCAATTTCAGTTTTAATTGCATTCTATCTTATTCTTACTCTACTATCCTATATTTGCTGTTTTGAGGGTGAGGTAATGAGAAGAAGGTAACCTGCCATTTACATGAAGTTGAATCTGCAACTTATCTAATACATTGCATAGTCTGTTTACTTAAAGTTGATCTCTTCTATTTGTTTTGGTTGCTGTCTCTCACAAGAGAAAGTTATCAGGTTATTCTTGGTTGCCCGCTCATGTTAAAGACTGTAGAACTAAAATGTTGACTGGAGATTTCTGCTTCTGGTAATTGCAGAATAAGTAAGTTGGACTAAACCACAAAAAAAGAAGTAATATCTCTTAATATCTTCAGTGCATCTGAGAGTTAATAAGGTAGTGAAAAAACACTGAACTTGGATCCAAGGAGATGACCGAAATTTGAAAAAATCAGCTTGGGAAAAGCTAATGTAAATTTTCTCTGGAGGAAGATAACATTATCTAAACTTTGAATTATTTTTATAACCAATTTTAATTGCAACGTTTAACATACGGTAAAAATCACACCGGAAAAAAAGAATGTGAACAAAAATCAACAGAAAAAATAGACCATAGTAGCATCTCCACAGGTGATCCAGAAATATGAGATATCTCACACAAATTTTAAGGTAACTATGTTTATCATATTCAAGGGGTTATAATACAAGATTGAGAATTTTGGCAGAGTAATAAAAACTAAGAAGATATGAGACTTGAAGAATAAAATGGATATTTTAGAATTGAAAAACTATGAAAAACAATATCAAGAATTCCATGGATGTGTTCTCACAGGAGGTTTAAATCTGGCTGAAGAAAAATTTGGTGAACTGAAATTTGGTGAAATTTTTCCTTGGAAAGATCAGAAGAAAAATATCTAGAATAAACCATGCTCAAAAGATGAAAAACACTAAAACAAGGAAGGAACCATAAAGAATGCAAAGAGAAGGTCTAATATATGTGTAGCTTCAGATGCAGAAAAAGAGGAGAGAAAGAATAGATCAGAAGTAATATTTGTGGAAATGATGGCTGAGAGTTTTCCCAAACTAATAAAAGACATTGAGACACCCAAACAGAATAAGTACAAGGAGCTAAACACCTAAGCCTATTGTAGTAAAATTGCTCAAACCCAAGTTAAAGATAACATTATAAAATCAGCCAGAGGGCTGGGCGCAGTGGCTCATGCCTGTAATCCCAGCACTTCGGGAGGCCGAGGAGGGAGGGTCACCTGAGGTCAGGAGTTCAAGACCAGCCTGGCCAACATGGTCAAACCCTGTCTCTACTAAAAATATAAAAATTAGCTGGGTGCGGTAGTGCATGCCTGTAATCCCAGCTACTTGGGAGGCCAAGGCAGGAGAATGGCTTGAACCTGGGAGGCAGAAGTTGCAGTGAGCTGAGATCATGTCACTGCACTCCAGCCTGGGTGACAGAGCGAGATCCGTCAAAAAAAAAAAAAAAAAAAAGCAGGTAGAGGAAAAATAGGTCAATTTATTTATTTATTTATTTATTTTTGACACAGGATCTCACTGTCGCCCAGGCTGGAGTGCAGGTGTGATCACAGCTCACTGCAGTGTCAACCTCACGGGCTCAAGCTACCAACCCACCTTAGCCTCTGGAGTAGGGTGGGACCACAGGCGTGTGTCACCACACCCAGCTAAGTTTTTAAAGTTTTTTGTAGATATGCGGTCTTATTATGTTTCCCAGGTTGGTCTTAAACTCCTGAGCTCAAACGATCCTCCCACCTTGGCCTCCCAAAGTGCTGGGATTACAGGCATAAGCCACTGTGCCTGGCCTAGAGGTCACTTTAAAAGGAACAAAGTAAGACAAGGCCCAGGGGCTCGCATCTGTAATCCCAGCACTTTTGAGGCTGAGGCGGGAGGATCACTTGAGCCCACAAGTTTGTGACCAGCCTGGGCAACATAGTGAGTCCTCTTCTCTATGAAAAAAAACTGAGCATGGCAATCACCCCCGTGGTTCCAGCTACTCCAGAGGCTGATGTGGGAGAATTGCTTGAGCCCTGGATGTCAAGGCTGCACTGAGCCATGATTGTGCCACTGCATTCCAGTCTGGGTGACAGAGTTATACTGTCTCAAAAAAAGGTGGGGAACAAAATAAGACTGACAGTTCACTTCTCAGTATAATTAGTGGAAGCTAGAAGACAATGAAATGATACCTTTAAAGTACTGAAAAAACAGTTACTGCCTATGTAGAATTCTTTGTCTAGTTAAAATACTCTTAAAGAATGAAGGTATAATAAAATCATTTTCAAACATCCAAAAACCAAGAGAATTTGCCACAACAGATCCAATTCAAGGAAAATACTCTAAGATATTCTTCAAGCAGAAGAAATAGGATACAGATAAAAGGTTGGAGACACAAGAGAAATAAACAATGAAAATAGAATATATGTACCTTAAACTGAAAGAATATTTCCTAATAATATCTTGTTGCTTTTTAACAAATACAGAGAATGAAAATACAAGACAGTAATCAGGAAGGGAGTAAATTGATTTAAACTGTTCTAAAATATTTGTGTTTTTCAAATAAAAGGTAAAGATACAAATGAGCATTAGATTCTATCTTTGTTATCTCTGGGGTAACTGCTTGAAGATAATACAAGAGTGTACAACTTTCTTTGACAGCTTTGTTGAGATATAATTCACATGCCACACAATTAATCCTTTTAAAATGTACAATCCCATGGTTTTAATATATTCCCAGAGCTGTACAACCATCACCTCTATCTAACATTAGAACATTTTCATCACTCAAAAAAGAAACCCTATTCTCATTAGCAGTCAATATCCATTCTCCCAGAATCTATCATCCTAATCCTTGGGCGGCCATTAATTTACTTTTGTCTATATAGATTCCCCTATTCTGTACATTTCATATAAAGAGTATCATACGTTCTGCATTTTTTGTGATTGACTTTTTTCACTTACCATAATGTTTTCAAGGATCATCCGTGTTGTATCATATATCAGTACTTTATACATTTTTATTGTTGAATAATATTCCATTGTATAGACATACCACATTTTATTTATCTATTCATCAGTTGATGGACATTTGGGTTGTTTCCACTTGGCTATAATGAATAATGATGCTATGTACATTTGTGTACAAGTTTTTGCATGGATGTATGTTTTCAATTCTCTTGGATATCTACCTAGAAGTGGAATTGCTGGGTCATGTGGTAACTATATAGTTAACTTAACTTTCAGAGGAACTGCCAATTTTTTTTTCTTTTGAGACGGATTTTCACCCTTGTTGCCCAGGCTGAAGTGCAATGACATGATCTCGGCTCATTGCAACCTCCACCTCCCTGGTTAAAGTGATTCTCCTGCCTCAGCCTCCCAAGTAGCTGGGATTACAGGCATGCGCAACCACTCCTGGCTAATTTTGTATTTTTAGTAGAGATGGAGTTTCACCATATAGGTCAGGCTGGTCTCGAACTCCTGACCTCAGGTGATCCACCTGTCTCGGCTTCCCAAAGTGCTGGGATTACAGGTGTAAGCCACTGCGCCCAGCCCCAAATTATTTCCTAAAGCAACTGCACCATTTTATATCTCCACCGCAGTGTATGAGGGTTTCAATTTTTCCACAAAATGAATAACACTTGTCATTGTCTGTCTTTTCTATTTTAACTGTCCTAGAATAAGCATAAGGAACTAAACACCTAAGCCTATCATAGTAAAACTGCTGAAAACCCAAATTGAAGATACGATCAAAAAGCAGCCAGAGGAAAAAATGTAAGTCACTTTTATTTATTTATGAGATAGGGTCTCTGTCTGTCACCTAAGCTGGAGGGTGGTGGTACAGTCACCTCTCACTGCAGCCTCTACCTCCTGAGCTCAAGTGATCCTCCTGCCTCAGCCCTCCCAATTAGCTGGGACTACAGGCATGTGCCACCACACCTGGCTATTTTTTTTATAGAGATGAAATCTTGATATGTTGCCAGGCTGGTCTTGAACTCCTGGACTCAAGTGATCCTTCCATGTCAGCCTCCCAAAGTGCTGGGATTACAGGCATAAGCCACCACTCCCAACCTCATTGAGGTTTTGATTTGCATTTCTTGAATGACTAATAATGTTGAGCATCTTTTGTGTAACTTCTGTGGTGCAATGTCCAAATATTTTCCCATTTTGATTAAGTTATTTATCTTCTTATTAGTGAGCTGTAAGTTTTCTTTATATATTCTGAATAATATTGTTTTGTCGCGTATATGATTTTTACAGTCTGGGACAGAATTTCTACTTACATAATGTCTACATAATGTCTTTTTTTTTTTTTTTTTAAGATGGAGTTTTGCTCTGTCACCCAGGCTGGAGTGCAATGGCCCAATCTCTGCTCACTGCAACCTCTGCCTCCCAGGTTCAAGCTATTCTCCCCCCTCAGCCTCCAGAGTAGCTGGGATTACAGGCACCCACCACCACACCCAGCTAATTTTTGTATTTTTAGTAGAGACAGGGTTTCACCATATTGGCCAGGCTGGTCTTGAACTCCTGACCTCAAGTAATCCACCCGCCTCAGTCTCCCAAAGTGCTGGGATTACAGGCGTGAGGCACCACACCCAGCCCAACATAATGTCTTTTGAAGAAGAGCAAACATATTTTAAATTTCATGAATTCCAATTCATTAATTTTATTTTCTTTTGTGCCATGATTTTAGTGTAATATTAGGAAACCTTTGCTTATCCCAAGGTCAAAACAAATTTTCCATCTTTGTTTTCTTCTATAAATTCTATAGTTTTAGCTTTTATATTTTGAGCTATAATAAATTGAGAGTTAATTTTTACATACGGTTTTTGGTAATGATCTAGGTTCACTTTGTTTTATGCATATGGTTATCAAATTGTCTCAGTACTATTTGTTGAAAAGACTATTCTTCCCTTAGCAATTTGGTTCAATAACTTTAATGAACATCAATTTAGCATAAATACAATGATATTCTCTGTGCTTTCTATTATTTTTCATGTTTCTTAGTTGGTTTGTGCTGCTGTAACAGACTATTTGAGACTGGGTAATTTATAAATAAAATAAATTTGTTTCTCACAGTTCTAGAGCCTGGGAAGTTCAAGATCAAGGAGCCGGCATCTGGTGTTTGTCAAAGGCCTTATTGTTGCCTCCTCCAGAGGTGAAGAATGTTGTGTCTTTACATGGCAGAAGGCAGAAGGTCAATGACTGTCTTCATCAAGCCCTTTTATAATGGCATTAATTTATTCATGAGGACAGAGCCCTCATAACCTAAACATCTCCCCAAAGACCCAACCTCCCAACAGTTGCACTGGGGATTAAGTTTCTAATATGTGGATTTTGGGAGACACATTCAGAATATAGCATTTTGCTTCTGGACTCTCAAAATTCACGTCCTTCTTACATGCAAAATACATTCATTCTATCCCCAAAGCACCCAAAGTCTTAACTCATTCCAGTATCAACTCAAAAGCCTAAAATCCAGAGTCTTATCTAAATTAAATACGGGTGAGACTCAAGACACGATGCATCCTGAGGCAAACTTCCCTCCATCTGTGAGGCTGTGAAATCAAACAAGTTATGCATTTCTAAAATATAGTGGTGGGATAGGCACAGGTTATACAATTCTATCACAAAAGGGAGAAATAGGAAAGGAGAAAAGAGTAGTGGGTCCCAAGTAGGTCCAAAACCCAAAAGGACGAACATCATTAAATCTTAAGGCCGGAGAGTTATCTTCTTTGACTTTATATCCCACCTTCCAGACTTACTGGGGCAGAGGTTGGGTGTCCAAGGCTCCCCAAAACCCTACCCCCATGGTTCTCATGGTTTGGAGTCAGATGCCTGTAACTACGTCAGGCTGATGTGGAATACTGGTAACTCTACAAGTCTGAGACCTCAGGGGCAGCCCTGTTTCCATGGCTCCATTAGGCATCGCCCTAGTGGGAACTCTCTGTGAGAGACCTGCCTCTTTGACAGGTGTCTGCCTGGGCCCTGAGGCTGTCTAAGACATCCTTTGAAATCTAGGTGGAGGAAGCCGTGCCTCCACAGCTTTTACACTTTGTATGCCTGCAGAATTAGTACCACAGGGATGCTGCCAAGGCTTACCACATGTGCCCTCTGGACCAGTGGTTTGAGTTACACTGGGGCCTGCTTGAGCCACAGCTGGGGTGGGCCAAGGAGTACTGCACTATAATGTGGAGAGCACAGACCTGAGGTGACCCTTGGCAGTGAGCCCTGAGGTCTTGCAGGTACCCTGGGCCCCTTAATGAAAATCATTCTACTCCAAAGGGCCTAGTACTCTGAGCCTGTGGTGAAAAGGATAGCTTAGAAGATCCCTGAAATGTCTTCAGGATCACTCTCTCATAGTCTTGGTGAACAAAATCTGGCTTCTTTCTATTCATACTAATCTCCTTATCAAAAAGTTGTTGGCCATGCTCTTAGTTTTCTCTACTAATCACACTTTTAAATTCTTGATATGGCCAGGCTGAGAATTTTCCAAATCTTTACATTCTGCTTTCCTTTTAATTATAAGGTTTGTCTTCAAATAATTTCTTATGGCGTTTTACTATAAACAGTTAAGAGAAGCCATGCAGTGTCCTGAACAATCTGCTCCTTAGAGCTTTTTTCTGCCAAATATCTCACTTCCTTGCTCTTAAGTTCTGCTTTCCATAAAGTCCCGGGACATAGACAATTTAGCCCAGTTCTTTGCCACTTTAAAATAAAGATGACCTTTTCTTCAGTTTCTGGCACATTGTTCCTCCTTTCCACCTGAGACTTCATCAGAACAGTCTTTATTGCCCACATTTCTAGCAACATTCTGTTCGCAATCATTTATGTAATTTCTAAGAAGAGTGAAGCTTTCTCTATAGCTCTTCTCCTTCTGAGCCCTCACCAGAATCACTCTTAATGCTGTATTCATGTTAATACAGACTTTTTTCCAGGATTCACTTCAAAACTGTTCCAGCCTCTACCTATTACCCAGTTCAAAAACAGCTTCCAGATTTTAAAGTATTTGTTATAGCAACATCCCATTCCTCTGGTACCAATTTTTGTCTTAGTACTTTTGTGCTGCTAAAACGGAATATCTGAGACTGGGTAGTTTATAAAGAACATAAATTTATTTCTCACAGTTCTGGAGGCCAGGAAGTCCAAGAAGGCATTGGCATCTGGTGCCTGGTGAGAGCCTTCTTGCTGCATTCTCTGGAGGGGAAAAATGTTCTGTCATCACATGGTAGAAGGTGGAAGTCCAACAGAGCAAGCTCCCCCAATCAAACCCTTTTATAACAGCATTAATGCATTCATAAGGGCAGAGTCTTTATAACTTAAACACTTCCAAAACATCCTACCTCCTAACACTGTTGCATTGTTGGATTAAATTTCCAACACATGCATTTTGGAGGACACATTTAGACCAAAGCACTATTGATATACGTGTCTATCATTAAGCCAGGATCATTCTGTCTTTATTAATGTAGATTTATCGTAAATTTTTTAATGTGGTAGTTTAACGTCTCTCACATTTTTCTTCACTTTCAAAATCATTTAGGCTATTCTTGGTACATTGCATTTCCATATGGGACTTAGCATCAGCTTGTTAATTTTTCCAATAAGGCTGCTCAAATTTTTACAGAGATTTCATCAACTCTATAAGGCACTACAGGAAAACATCCATTTTAACAATATTGAGCCTCCAATCTATGAACATGAATTTTCTATTTATCTTAGATTTTTCTAATTTCTCTCATCGATAATTGGTAGCTTTCAGTGTAACTTACTTGTGCACTTTTAAAAATCAAATAATTTTTTGTTGTGGTAAAAATATACATAACTTAAAATTTATTATTGCCACAATTTTAAGTGTACAGTTTGGTGGCATTAAGTACATTCACATTATTGTACAACCATCACCAGCAAGCATCTGTAGAACTTTTTCATCTTCTCCAACCAAAACTTTATACAAATTAATCATTAGGTCCCCATTCCACAGCATTTTCCACCTACAGCCTCTGGCAACCACCATCTTACTTTCTATCTCCATGTATTTGACCACTATAGGTACCTCACATAAGTGGAATCTTACAATATTTTTTTAACTGACTAATTTCCCTCAACATAATGTCTTCAGGGTTCTTTCATGTCTTGGCATGTGTAAGAATTTCCCACCCTTTTAAGGGTTAATAGCATCCCATTGTATGTATATGTTAAATTTTATGTAATCATTCTTTCATCTATGAATATGGTTTGCATCGTCTTTGTAGCTATTATGAATAAGGCTGTTATGAATATGGGTATAAAAATATTGCACACTTTAAAAATTAAATTTAAACCTACTTATGCATCATTACTTTATTCTTTTTTATGGCTGTATATTATTTCATTGTGTGGTTATGTAACATTTTGTTTATCCATTCATTCATTGAGGGGCATTTGTTTTCTTACCCACTTTTTGACTATTATTAAAATGCTGCCATGAACATTTGTGTACAGATTTTTGGGTGAATGTATGTCCTCATTTTCTTGGACATATAATTAGGAGTAGAGTTGCTGAGCCATATGATGACTCTATGTTTAGCTTTTTGAAGAATGCCAATTTTTTTTTACAGCAGCTGAGTCATTTTACATTTCCACTACCAATACATGACGGCTGCAATTTATCCACGCCATTTATAACACATTTTATTGTATATCTTTTTGGTTATAGCCATCCTAGTTGTGTGAAGTTCATTGTTTCATTGCTGTCTTGATTTGTGCTTCATTAGTGGCTAATATTCTGGAGCATCTTTTCATATGCTTATGGCCATTTTATGTACTCTTTAGAGAAATATCTATTCAAATGTTTTGCCCATTATAAAATGGGATATTTATGTCTTTATAATTGAATTATATTTTTTATATATTACAGATACAAATCCCTTATCAGATGCTTGCAAATATTTTGTCCCATTCTGTATATTGTCCTTTCGTTTGATGGAATTGTTTGTAGCAGAAAGTTTTAAGTTGTGATGAAGTCAAACATTTATTTTTTTCTTTTGTTGCTTATGCTTTTGGTGTCATTATCTATAAAGTCTTTGCTTACCTCAAGAGCATGTGGATTAACTCCTACGGTTTCTTCTAAGAATTTTCTAGTTTTAGCTTTTACATTAGGTCCATGATCGAGTTTTAGTTAATTTTCGTGTATGGTTTAAGAAAGGGGTACAACTTTATTTTTTTGCATGTGGATATCCAGTTATTTCATTGCCATTTGTTGAATAAATTATTCTTTCCCCTATTGCACTATCTTGGAACCTTACTGAAACTCAATTGACCATACTGAAAGTGTGTATTTATGGATTCTCAATTTTGTCTCAACTATCACGTATCTATCCTTATGCTAGTACGTCTTGATCCCTGCAGCTCTGTAGCAAGTTTTGAAATTGTAAATGGCATCCTCAAACATTTTCTCCATATTATCTCTTGAATTTCCATATGAATTTTAGGATTAGCTAGTAAATATTTGCAAGCAAAAACTTCCAAACAGCTGGGATTTTAATAGAAATTTTGCTGAATCTATAGATTAATTCGGGGGAGGTCAGTGCCACTTTTAGAATATTAAATCTTCTGAAAAAGAATGTATTTATATTTATATTGATTTTATTTATTTTTCACCAATTTCTAAAGTTTCTTTAACATTGCACTTCCTTTGTTAAATTCATTTCTAAGTATTTTATTCCTTTTGATGCCATTGTAAACAGAATTGTTGTCAATTTCATTTTGTTCATTGTTTACATAGAGAAATATAATTAATTTTTATATATTTTGTCTTGCAACCTTGCTGAATTTATTTATAAATATTAGTTCAAGTATTTTAGTATTAATGGTTAATTTCTTAGAATTTTTCCATATAAAAGATCATATCATCCTTGAATGCCAAGAGTTTTACTTATTTTTTTCAAACCTGGATGCCTTTTATTTCTTTTTATTGCCTACTTGCCTTAGCTAGAACCTCTCATATGCTGTTAAATGGAAGTGTCAAGAGTGGACATCTTTATCTCATTCCTGGTCTTGGGAAAGCATTCCATCTTTCACCATTAAGTATGATGTTATCTGTGGGTCATCTGTAGATGTCCTTTTTCAGGTTGAGGAAGTTTCCTTTTATTCCTAGTTTGTTGAGTTTTTTTTTCAACTATGAAATAGTGTTGGATTTTGTCAAATTATTTTCTGCCTATATTGAGGTGAGCATGTGATTTTTGTCTTTTATTGTATAGGTATTGTGTATTTCATTAATTGTTAAATCAATATTGCATTCTTAGGATAAACCCAACTTGGTCATGGTGTAAAATACTTTTTGTGTGTTTCTGGATTATTCTACTAGTGTTTTGTGGAGGATTATTTTTTTTATAACAGATATTCATCTGCAGTTTTCTTGCAATGCTTTTGTCTTGTTTTGTATCATAGCAATATTGGTTTCACAGAATGAGTTTGGGAGTGTTTTCTTCTCCTCTGCCTTTTGAAAGAATTTGTGGAGGATTGGTGTTAATTCTTTAAATTTCTGATAAAACTTACCTGTGATGCCATCTGGGCCTTGGCTTTTCCTTGTGACATATTTTAAATTACTAATTTGTTTTCTTTACTTGTTATAGGCCCACTTAGATTATTTCTTCTTCACTTAGCTTCAGAAGTTTGTGCTTTTATAGGAGTTGTCCATTTTATCTAATTTACCAACAACAGTTGACATACTGTTGTTCATAGTATTTCTTTATAATCTCTTTCATTTCTGCAAATTCAGTCCCAATGTACATTTTTCTTTGCTGATTGTAATAATTTTATTTTTCTATTTTTTCTGGTTCATCTATCTAAAAGTTAGTCAATTTTGTTGATGTATTTAAATAACCAATTGTGATTTCGTTGATTTTCTCTATTGTTTTTATATTCCCTATGTTATTCATTACAAATCTAGCATTTATTATTTTCTCCCTTCTGCTTTAGGTTTAGTTTACTCTTATTTTTCTATTTTCTTAAATAAGTTATTGATTTGAGATCTTTCTTATTTTATAATATAGGCTTTTAAACTAAAAGCCTATATTAAGCACTACTTTAGCTACGTGACAAGAGTGTATAACTTTTAAGCCAATAGAGGGGGAAATAAAATAATAAAAATATTCACTCCAAAAGAAAGGAAGAAAGGAAGGGAAAAGGAAAAATAGAGAAAATGGGAGAAATAGAAGTGTATAATAAAATAGATTTAAGCAAATAGAATCTTGTTCTGTATGGCAGTCAGCTGGGTATATATATGTATAAAAATTCATAGTTCTACACTTAATATTTCTATGTTTTATAAAGGTCAATAATGCCTCATTAAGGTGTATTTAAAAACTCAAAATAAAAAGTAATTATATTATGTGGAAAGGGACTAAATATTCCAATTAAGACAAGCTTGTCAGACAGCTTAAAATCCCAACTACATGCTGTTTACTCGAGAATCTGAAAGGATATAGAAATGTTGAAAGTAAAAAAATGGAAAAGATATGCTATATAAATTCTAGCCAAAAAGAAAGCTGGTCTAACTGTATTAATCTTGTTAAATTCATTTTAAGCCAAAAATATTTGTAGAAATAAAAAGAGGCACTACATTTAAAACGGTGAATTTATCAAGAAAATATAAAAACACTAAATATATATGTAACTAATATTATAATTTCAAAACATGTAAAGCAAAATCCAACAAAATTACATAGAGAAATAGACAAATCTACAATCATGATTAGAGATTTTTATATATCTATCTTGGTAACCAATCAAGTAAACAACAATAAATACTAAGAATAAAGAATCTTTGAGCACATAATTTAAATACTTGATTGAATTGTTACATATAGAATAGTACATCCAATAATTGCATAAAACACATTGTCTTAAGCACACATGGGACATACATAAAAATTCATTATACACTAGGCCATCAAACAAGTTTCAGCAAATTTCATTGGACTTAAGTAATATAGAGTCAGTTACCTGATCACAGGTGAAGTGAGAAATCATTTATGAAATGATACCTAGAAAACACTTACATGTTTAATAATTTAAAATACACTTCTAAGTAATCAATAGGTAAAATAACATATCATAATGGAAATTTTTAGAAACTACTTTAACTGAATGATAACAAAAATATACTGCATATCAAAACTTGCATTATTCAGTTAAAGCCATGCTCAGAAGGAAATTTGTACAGTAACATGAAAAAAATAGAAAAGAAGAAAGGCTGTAATCATTGAGCTAAGCATGTATCAGAAGAAGTTAAAAAGAACAGTAAATTAAATTTATTAAGGAGGTAGGATATACCAATGATAAGAATGGAGATCAATGAAATAGAAAATGAATGTACTATAGAGAGGGTCGGTATAGACAAAAGTGGATTATTTGAAAATATGAAAAGAATTGACAGACTCCTGGCAAGACTAACCTAAAAGAAGGAGGAGAAGAAGGAGAAAATAGCTAATGTTATTAGTTATTAGTTCATTTTCACACTGCTATAAAGATACTACCTGAGACTGGGTAAATTATAAACAAAGGAAGTTTAATTGACTCACAGTTCTGCGTGGCTGGGGAAGCCTCAGGAAACTTACAATCATGGCAGAAGGGGAAGCATATTGGGGGAACCCGCCCTCAATATTTCAACATACGTTCTTTCTATTTTCCGTAAGTGTCAGCCGGCTGAGAAATAAAGAGAAAGAGTACAAAGAGAGGAATTTTACAGCTGGGCCTCCGGGGGTGACATCACATATGGGTAGGACCATGATGCCCACCTGAGCCTCAAACCAGCAAGTTTTTTATTAAGGGTTTCAAAAGGGGAGGGGTGTAAGAACAGGGAGTAGATCACATGCTTCAAAGGGCAAAAAAGAGAACTACTGATAAGGATCCAACAAAGATCACAAAGCAAAGGGCAAAAAGGAGAACTACTGATAAGGGTCTATGTTCAGGGGTGCACGAATTGTCTTGATAAACATCTTAACAGAAAACAGGGTTCAAGGCAGATAAAATATACTGATACATAAAATCCCACAGCAATTCTCATATTTAATGGTGAAATGTTGAAGGCATTCTCTATTAGGTTGGAGATAAGACAAGAGTGACCACTATCGCCATTTCTATTTAATATTGTACTGGATAATGCCAGTACACTAACGGAAAAATAGAAAAAAAGAAATAAAAGGTATTATGATTGGAAAGAAAGATATAAAACAGTCATCTCCTACAAATATAAGTATTAATAAGTGAGTTTATAAATTTTGTGGTATATAAAGTTAATATGTAAAACTCATACCAGTAGTAGACAGAAATATAAATAAAAGCATATAATTTACAATAACATTGAAATGTCAAATGCCTAGGAATAAATCTAACAGTAATCTAACGTTAGATATATAAAGCCTCTATACCTAAAACTATAGATCATTATTAAGCAATATTGAAGAACATGTAAAGAAATGAAAGGACACACCCCTTTTCCTAGGATTGAAAGATTCAACTTTAAACACATGTCACTTCTTCCCAAACTTGTATATATTTAATGAAATCTCAGTTAAAGTCCCAAGAGGCTTTGTGAAACTTGACAAGCTGATTCTAAAATTTATATGGAAATGCAAAGATGAACAAGATCATAGAATTTGCTCCACAACACATGAAGACTTATAAAACAACATTAATTAAGCTTGGTATCGGTACAGAAATAGAGAAGAAGAGCAAAGGAACAGAACAGCATGCCCAGAAACAGACTTATGCATATTTGGCCACTTGATTTAAGACAAAGCTGGAATTGCAGAGCAGTGGAGAAAGGGCTGTTTTTCAACGAACAATGTAGGAATAATTTTATAGCAATTTAGAAAGAAAAAAGAAACTTGATTGCAACTTTATGCCATATATAAAAAATTAGTTTCAGAAGGAATGAAGATCTACATGTGAAAGGCAAGATGACAGAGCTTCTGGGAGATAATTGAATATTTTTATGATGTTGAAGTAAATAAATATTTCTTAAACATGCTAAAAAATACTAAAAGGAAAAATTATAAATTTGATAATAAATTTAAGAGCATCTATTCAGGAAACTATTAAGAAAGGGAAAAGATAAGCTACAGAACATACTTTCAATACATTTATCTGACAAAGAATGCCTGCAAATCCATAGGAAAAAAAGCATGACTATGCACTTCCAAAAACTAGACAACCAAATGACCAAAAACATGCAAAAAGTTAATCAACTTTCTTAGTTATTAGGAAATTCCACAAAATGTCAATGCAACAAAATGGCTAATATCAAGTGTTGACAAGGATGTGGTTTAACAAAAACCCTCAGACAATGCTAAGAGGGAATGTATATTGGTAAAACAACTTTGAATAACCATTTGGCTCTTCCACTTATTTAAAAATATCCATCAGCCAGGCATAGTGGCTCATGCCTGTAATCCCAGCACTTTGGGAGGCAGAGGTGGGCAGATCACCTGCAGCCAGGAGTTCAAGACCAACCTGGCCAACATGGTGAAACCCTGTCTCTACAAAAAATACAAAAAATTAGCCAGGTGTGGTGGTGGGTGCCTGTAATCCCAGCTACTCAGAAGGCTGAGGCAGGAGAATCACTTGAACCTGGGAGGCAGAGGCTGCAGTGAGCCAAGATCTCACCAGTGCACTCCAGCTTGGGCAACAAGAGCAAAACTCCATCTCAGAAAAAATAGAAAGAAAGAAGAAAGGAAGAAAGAAAGAAGGAAGGAAGGAAGGGAAGGAAAAGAAAAAAGTATCCATACCTTATAACCCAGCAGAGTTATAATCTTTATAGATATGTGTGCATATGGACACCAAGAAACATGTACGAGACTATTCATAATAGCATTTTCTAAATAGCCCCAAACTGGAAACAACCTAAGTGTCCATTAACAGTGGAATGTATAAGTAAATCATGGTACGTTCATAGAAAATAAAATATTATATAGCAGTGATCCTCAAAGTGGGGTTCCTCAACCACTAGCACCAGCATCACCTGGGAAGTGGTTAGAAGTGCAAATTCTTGAGCCCCATCTTAGGCTGACTAAATCAGAAACTGCAAATTGGGGGCCTAGAAATCTGTGTTTTCACAAACCATCTGGGTGATTCTGATACACTCTCAAATTTGAGAATCACTACTCTACAGCAAGGAAATGAATCAACTGCAGCAATATGCAGCAAGATACATGAACCTCACAAATGCAATGCTGACTATGAGAAGCCATATATAATATGCACTACATGATTTTATTTATATGAAGCTTCAAAAATTAAGCAACACAAAACAACAATGTTTAAGGACACATGCCAAGGTAGGAAACTTATAAAGAAAATCAAGAATATGCTTACTATAAAAAAAGACATACTGGTTACCTCTGGGTGAGGAAGGAGCAGGTAGAGATTTAAAACTACCTTGATGGGGATTATGGGTCTGGTGGCAAATTTTTATTTCTTTATATGGGTGGGTATTTAAGAGTTGTTTGTGATAATTCATTTAGCTGTACTTTGTTCTGTGCTCTTCTATTTTCTCTCTCCCTCCCTCATAAATATATATAAGAAAAAATATATAATATGTATTATATAAAAAATATAATATATATTATAACATAATATACAATATAACACATATAACATAATATATAATAAAATATGATATACTATTCTCATACAATATATATAATATATATGAGAATATACATATTCTCATATAATATATATTCCAAATTACATATAATAATGTATATAATATAAAATAAAATATATTATATAAAATATATATTCTATATTATACACAATATATAATAAAATATATTATATACAATATATCTTCTATATTCTATATAATATCTAATATCTAATATATTATATTAAATGCAATATATGATATATAATATATAATATATAATATATTAAATTCTATATATTATATATAATATCACATAATATTGTATTATATATTATATTATCGACAATATATTATATTATACATCATAATATATATACTATATATAATATATATATTAAATACTATACATACTATATACAATATATTATATATATTATATATATTAGATAATATAACATATATTATATATTATATAATATAATATACATTATATATTACATGATATAAAGTAAGTTATATATAATACATAATACAATACGTATCATATATATTACATAAGATATATTATATATATAACATAATATAATATATATTGTATATATTACATAATATATATATTATATAAATGACATAACCTAATATATATTATATATATTACATAACATTCATATATATTATATATATTACATAACATAATATATATTATATATATTACATAACATAATATATATTATATATATTACATAACATAATATATTATATATATTACATAACATAATATATATTATATATTACATAACATAGTATATATTATATATTACATAATATAATATAGAATATAAATTATATATTGCATAATATAATATGTACTATATATTATATATTACAAAATATAATGTATAATATATATTATATATGACATAATATAATATATAATATATATTATATATGACATAATAAATATATAATATATATTATATATTATATGCATTATAAAATATATTATATATGACATCCAATATATAATATATGTAATACATCATATATAATATATAGTATATATAATATATATTATATATACCATATATTGCATATATATATAATATATTATATATAAAATATATAGTATATGTAATATATTATATATACAATATATAAAACACATTATATATAGAATGTATAATGTATAATACATAATACATATACTATATATTATACATTGTATATTACACAGAATATAATATATAATATATATTATATATAGTATATATACTATAAACTATAATATATACTAAACATAATATATAATATAATATATTTATGTATATGATATAAATAATATTATACAATATATAATATATGTAATACATGATATATATTATGTATTATATAAAATACATATAACATATGCAATATATAATATATAATACATATTGTATATACTATATGATATCAAATATATAATATGTGATATATACTATATTATATGTAATATATATAACATGTATTATATATAACATATAATATGTAATATATTATATATAGTATATATAATATATAAAATATTATATATAGTATATATAATATATAAAATATTATATATAGTATATATAATATATGATACAATATATAATATATGAAATGTATAATATATACAATATATATTATGTAATAATTAAAATATTTTATATTATATTATATATAATATGCTGTATTATACTATACATCACAATATATAGTATATATAATATATAGTATATATATTGTATAGTATATATAAATATATAGTACATATATACAATATATATTAATATGTAGTACATATATGTTATATAATATATATTACTTAATATATATTATATGTTATATAATATACATCATATAATATATTTTATATACTATGTAATATACATCATATAGAATATATTTTATACAATATATAATATATATTGTATGATATATATAGAATATATTCATATATATTATATGTAATATATATTATATATTACATATAATATATAATATATAGTATATATTTCAAATATATATGTTACATGTACTGTATATATAATATGTATTATATATTATATATTGTATATATTATACATTCTATATTATATATAGTACATATAATATATATTACGTATTAATAGATACAATACAATATAGAATAGAATATCATATATGTTATACATATTATAAGCAATATATATTTTATATAAGATTATGTAATATATTATATATAATATAATATTACATATTATATATAATGTATTATATACTATATATAAAATATCATATGTAATATGTATTACATATTTAATATTATATATTATATATTATATGTTATATATCATTATATATTATAATATTATATATTATATGTTATATAATATTATATTTCATAATATTATATATTATATGATATATAATATTATATATTATAATATTATATGTTATATATTATACATTATAATATTATATGTTATATAATATTAAATATTATATTATATGTTATATAATATTATATATTATATTATATGTTATATGTTATATAATATTATATATTATATTATATGTTATATCTTACATAATATTATATATGATATTATATATTGTATGTTATATATTATATATTACAATTTTATATATTATATGTTATATAATAATATATATTATAATAGTTTATATTTTATATATAGCATTATATAATATATAGAATGTAATATTATACATAATATATAGAATATAATATCATATATAATATATAGTTTATAATATATTCATATAATATATTTTTTCCACATGTAAATTTCTATGTATCATTTATTATGTTTCATATATATCATATATCTCATATTACATATTTCATGTATATTATATATCAGATATTATATATTTAATATATATTATATATTACATATTATATGTTATATATTTCATATATAATGTATATTATATAATATTTTATATATTTCATATATTATATAACATTTTATATGTTTCTTGTATAATATATGATATATTGTATTCTATATATTATATTTAGACTAGATATAATTTAATATATAAATATATTATATAATATGTAATTTATAGAAGTTAATATTTTATATAATGTGTAATGTATAGAATAGAATATATAATATATATAATATAATATTTAATAGATTATATATGAAATATATAATCTATACTTATATGTAATATTTCACAATAAACAATTTTAAAGTTGTTTGGAAGGCCTAAGTCATTTTTTGTGGGAAACCCCAAATTTTTACTCTAGAAATGTCCTTTTAGAAGCTGTTTAGATTCCTGAGAAGAATACTTTAATCTCTTGCCTGAGGGCTAGGTGTGGCTTCCCATGTTCAAAAAACTGAGTGGGGAAATAGGGTTTTCCTTACATGCGATATTTGCTTACCTAATATGTTGCTACTTTTATCTCCTCTTTTATTATATATTTGTCTCTGTTGGTTCATGCCTTTACACAATTCCCCTTACTGTTGCTTTAGTGGAATTTCAGAAGGGAGCAAAAGTAACTGCAGGCATTCAATTTGCCATCCTTCTTGGAAGCCCTCTATAGTTTTGGCTTCATTTTGTATGGTGGAAAATTTCCTAAGAAGACTTGTTTTCTGTCTTCATAACATAACATACTACATTTTATATGACAATACATTTCCATTGGGAAAAACATCGTAAATCATATCACAAATTAACTTAACCATGTTACTATTACTGGATATACAGCCCCTCCCCGTTTTCCCTGATTATGAGCAATGCTGCAATGGACAGCTTTGTGATTAAACGTTTGTCTGCAATTTTGATTATTCCCTGAAGATACATTTCAACAAATATATCAAAGAGCACAAATATTTTGTCATTTTTTCCAGTAAATTGAATCTTTTATTGACTTTTTTTCTGATTATAGAAGTTATATGTGCTATTGTAAAAATTTTCAGAAAACAAAGTAGGAGAAAGAAAGCAAAAATCATCCTCACTCACAAGCTAGTCCTAAAGATAACCACTGTCAACATTTTGGTATATCTTCCCACAAATATGCACAAATGCAAATATAGATTAAAAGAAATCTATTTTTATAATTTACATGTTTTGCTTAATAGTTTGCTAAAGACATTTAAATACTTGTCCAGTAGAATTTTTGGAATGACAGAAATGTTCTATTCTGTACTGTCCAATGCAGCAGCTACTATTCACATGTGGCTAATTTGAGTGAGGAACTGGATTTCAACTTTTATTTAACTTTAATTAGTTTAAATTTGGATATTGCTAGTGGCTACCGTACTGGACACCCCAGGAACATAAAATATACATATTCATTTAATAATTTGCAGAGTACTTCATTTTATTAATACATTGTAACTTGTTGAACTAATACCGAACTGGTAGACATACGTTGCTTGCAATTTTTGCTATTATAAAGAACCTTTCAATGAATATCCCAGAAAATGAATATATTTGAAAATACTGAGCTAGTTCCATTTTCTGGTATATTATCAGTTCGTACTCTTTTGCCAGATCTCTACATATTTATTTTGATTGCTCTTATGATTCAGTTATGGGAATATTTTGCTGAACTTGGATATATATTTTCATAACTTTAATATTCTGAGTATTTTCTTTTGGAAAAATTTTCCTAGTGTTCAGAAACATTTTCCAACACTAGTTCCCTAGCATGAATGAATGCAATGTTTTTATTCCATACTAATTATAAAACACTCACTAACTCTTTTGATGGTAAGGAATGTATCGTTTAGGAAATTATCCAGCCATAAGATATTAGTGAAATTCTCATGGATCCAAATTTATATGGATACTTTAATATATTTTTTCCTTTATAGTGTAGTTGTTTTATTTTGTTTTACATTTTTCTTAATTTTGAAGATTAGCATACATACAAGAGTAGAAGAAAATGTATGTACAGTTGAAGGAACATCCTTGTACCTACCACCCTGTCCAAGGAACAGAATATTACTCTACTCCAGAAGCCTAGTGCATGACCTTCTGTCATCATATTTCCCTCACATTTCCCAAGAGATAAACATTTGAATTTTGTGGTAATCATTCCTTGATTCTTCAAAGTTTTTAGCACTTAAATATGTATCCTTAAAAAGAAACAACGTATTGTTTTGTCTGTTTTTGAAATTTATAGACATGGAACAATAAGTATGTATTATTTTATGTCTGTCTTCTTCCACTCAAATTAAGTTACATTACTGATGATATTGTTTTATATCAAGGGATAACATAGATACAATAAAGCACATAAAATACACTACTTTTAATTGCACATCTCAATGATTTTTGAAAATTCGTACATACACCCATCTAACTATCATTCTGATAAAGATGAAGAAGATTTGCAGCACCTGAGAATATGTGAGCTTTGCTGTCCGTTATCCCTCCAAAGGAGACTGCTATTTTGGTTTTTACAAATTAATGATTAGTTTTAACTTTTTTGAAGTCCATATGAAAACAGTCTTACAGTATGTGGTCTTTGGAGTCTGGCTTCTTTTGCTTATCACTATGTCTGTGAGATTCATCCACGTTGTTGTGGTGTCATTGATGTGCCCTTTATTAAGTAGTATTGCCTTGTATGAATATACTACTATTTGTCAGATTTTTTGATGATGAGTACTTGTTGGTTTTAATTTGGCTATTATAAATAAAGCTGTTGGAAGCAGTCTTGTGTGTGTATTTTGGTGAGTATATGCATTCATTTATTTGGGCTATATATGCCCAGGAATGAAATTACTAGGTCTTAATCCATAAAGTAGGCATATGATTAGCTTTGGTAAATACTTTCAAACAATTTTCAAAAGTGGCTATACAATTTTACATTTCCAGGAGGAGTGTAGGAGAGTTCCAGTTCTTCCACATTTTTTCCAATAGTTAGTATTGTCAATATTTTAAATTAGAGTCAGTCTAGTGGGTAGTATCTGGTTGCAGTATTAATTTGCATTTCACTAATATAATTGTTAAATGATGAGCACCTTTTTAAGTGCTAATTGGCTATTATCCAATTGATAATAGCCTCTTTTGTAAAGTGTCTCTTTAAGTTTGTTGCCATGTTTTTGTTGTATTTTCTTTTCTTATTAATTTGTGTGTTTTCTTTATGTATACTTGATAAGAGTCATTTGTCAGATACATGCATCGCAGATACCTTTTGCAATCCTCTAGCTTACTTCTCCATTTTATAAAAACTTATTTTTAAACAGTCTTACTGAGACACAATTCATACCCTATTCAATTTACTCCTTTCGAGTGTGCAATTCAATGGCTTTTAGAGTTGTGCAACCATAAACACAATTAATTTTGGGACATTCGCATCACTCCAAAAAGAAACCCTGTACCTATCAGCAGTCACTCTCCATTATCTCCCAATTCCCACATAATCTTCCTTCTGTTTCTGTAGATTTGCCTTTTCTGGAAAATTCATGTAAATAGAATCATATAACATGTGGTCTTTTGTTACGGGCTTCTTAGAGTAAACATGGTTCATCTATATTATAGCATACATTAGTACTTCATTCCTTATAGCTGTGTAATATCCCCTTGTTTGGATATACCACATTTGGTTATTCATTAATCCATTGAAGGACATTTGAGATTCTTCCACTTTTTGGCTATTATGAATAATGCTTGTTTGGAACACTCTTATACATGATTTTGTGGACATGTGCTTTAATTTCTTTTGGGAATATACCTAGGTAATATTTTGAGTCTATGTTTAACTGAGGAACAGTCAGACTATTTTCCAAAGTGGCTGTACCATTTTACACCTTCACTAGCAATATATGAAGGTTTCAATGTCTCCATATCCTCACTAAGACTTGTTATTGTATTTTAAAAAAGTTATAGCCATCTTAGTGGATGTGAAGTGGCATATTATTGTGGTTTTGATTTGCATATCTCTGAGGGCTAATGATGTTGAGCATCTTTTCATGTATTTATTGGCCGTTTGTGTATCTTCTTTGCAGAAATGTGTATTCAAATTATTTGCCCATACTTAATTGGGTTATTTCTCTTTTTATTGTTGAGTTGTAAAAATTGTTTGTATATTTTGTATATAAGGCCCTTGTCAGATATATGACTTGCCCTTTCTCTCTTTTCGTGGTGTACTTTCACAAACAAAGGGTTTTGTTTGTTTGTTTGAGACGGAGTTTTGTTCTTTTTGCCCAGGCTGGAGTGCAATGGCGCAATGGCGTGAATTTGGCTCACTGCAACCTCTGCCTCCAGGGTTCAAGAGATTCTCCTACCTCAGCCTCCCAAGTAGCTGGGATTACAAGCATGTGCCACCATGTCCGGCTACTTTTTTCTATTTTTAGTAGAGATGGGGTTTCACCATGTTGGTCAGCTGGTCTCAAACTCCAGACCTCAGGTAATCCACCCACCTCGGGTCTCCCAAAGTGTTGGGATTACAGGCGTGAGCCACCGACTTTAATGATTATATTTGAACAGTTTTTAATGTCAATAAAGACCAGTTTTTTATTTTAAAATTATTATTGCTTTTTGGGTCTTAAGAAATCTTTGTCTATGCAAGGTTATTAAGTTGTTTCCTTATGTTTTCTTTTAGAGCTTTTTCACTTTATTTTACATTTAGAAATATGATATATTTTGAATTAGTTTTTCTGTATGGTATGAGGTTGTTGTCAGGGTAGCCTATTTCTGGATTCCATTCTCTTTCATTAATCTACTTGTCTACCTTTCTGCCAATGCCACACCATTCTGAATTACTATAGTTTTATTGTAAATTTTATAATCCAATAAACAGTGTAAATCCTCCAACTTTGTTCTTCTTCAAGATTTTCTTGGTTATACTAGACCCTTTATATTTTAATATAAATTTTAAAGTTAGTTTATCAATTTTGACAAATATTCTTCCTGGGAATTTCATTTAGATTGTACCAAATTTGTAGTTCAATTTGGTTACAACTGATATCTTAACAATGTTAAGTCTTCCAATTCAAAAACGTGATATAAGGCTCAGTTTATTCATGTCTATTCTCAGCAATGTATTTCATTATAGAATGCTTGTATATCTTTCATTAGATTTAGTCCTATTTTAATTTTTTCTTATATGTATTAGAAATGGCAAAATTAAAAATTTTTCAATATTTTTGTTTCCAGTGTATATAAATACAAGTGACTTTTGTATACCGATTTTGTGTCCAACCACCTTGCTATCTTATTTATTCTAATGATTTATCTATAGTTGCTTGTCCATACTCTTGGTGTGCTACATTGTGAATAATGAAAGCTTTGCCTCTTCCTTTCCAATCTGTATGACTTTTATTTGTATTTTATTTTCAATTTATTTCCTACTGTTCTGGCTAGGTTGTTCAGCACAATGGTAAATAGAAGTGATAATAATGGATGATTTTGTCTTTTTCATGAATTTAAAGAGAATGCCTTCAATTGTTTTATGAATAAGTATACTCTTTTTATAAAGGATTTTTGCAGATATAACTTATCAGATGAAAATTTTTTTACTTTTAGTTTTCTAAGAATTTTTTAAATAAATAGATGCCAAATTTTATCAAAAGTATTTTCTATATCAGTTGAGATGTTCAATTGTTTTTAATCTTTAATGTGGCAAATTACATTATTTGCTATTAAAACTAAAAAGTTTGTATTCCTTGAATCAATACATTTTTGCCATGGCATACTTTTTTTTTTTTTTACATTTCTGAATTTGGTTTACTAATGTTTCCTTTATGATTTCTGTATCTCAGTTTATGAATGAGATTGGCTTGGGATCATTAATGTGAGATTGGAATTACTTTTTCTTTGAATGTTAGGTATTATTCATGGGTAAAACCTTGTGGATCTGGAGTTCACACTATAGACACATTTTTGAATGATTCATTTACCCAAGGATTATAAAACTATTCAGGTTTTCACTTCTTTTTGTTTCAATTTTGGTAAGTTATAATTATTTATTTAAAAAATTGTGATTTATACAGGTTGATAAAATTTGTCAATATAATTTAATTATATATTTTAAATTTATTTTATTGTCTATCCATAGTTAGGTAAACCATTTCTTTCTTAATGTTGATTATTTTTGACTTCTATCTTCTTTTTCCTAGATCAGTCTTGGTAATGATTTTGTTAATTTTATTAGTCATTTCAAGGAATCTTCTTTTGTTTTAATTCATTATGATCTCTATTGTTTACTTTTTCATTTTTTAAGGATTTTGTGCTTTTTTATTATTATTCCTTTTTCCTATAGTATATGGGTTTATTTTACTGTTTTTTTTTTTTTTTTACAAATTTCTTAAGATGGATACTTAGCTTTCATTTTCAGTTTTCTCCTTTTCAATAGAAGTACTTAAACCTGTAAAGTTCCCTCTAAATGTTGACCTATGTGTATACTCTAGGTTTCAAGTGTAATATTTTTATAGTTTATTTCTATTTTCTAGTTTAGTTATAATTTTTTCTTTGATCAGTTATTTGTCAGTGTATTTATTAATTTCCCACATATGGGGGTTTTCTACCTATCATTGTTTGCTATTAATTTTTAATTGCAATCTGGTCTAAGAACATTGTGTGATAGAAGTCATTTGGTATTCTGTTGAGACTAATGTTATGGCTCAAAAATGATCATTTTCTTGGTTGTATTACATAAAATAATATATAATTGAAAACAGTATGTAATTGGTAACAGTTGGATTCAGTGTTCTCTCTATATATATTTGATCAGACTTTGATGTGTGACATTAAGCTCTTTCATTTCCTTACTGATATTTTGTTTCCTTGATCTACTAATTATTGGTGAAAGTGTATTAAAAATTTTCACTCTGATGGTATATTTGTCTGTTGTTCCAAGGAATTCTACAATTTTTGCTTTATATATTTGAAAGTCATGCTGTCAGGTATACCCAAGTTTATAACTGTTATATTTTATTTGTGAAATGAAATGTTTAGCATTATACAGTGAACATTTTTTCTCTAGTAGTTCTTTTTGCCTTTATCTCTATTAGTTCTTTTTTCATATATTTTGCCTGTTATTAGTATAATTACACCAAATTTCAGTCTTTATTTCTGCTATTTTAATTTCAAATTGACTGTAGCCTTATATTTTGGCTGTCTCTTTTAGCCTATAGCTGAACATTTTCTTCAGTCTCACAAACTTTATTTTTTAACTTTAAAAAACTATTTAACTTTTTACTCTGAAGTAATTTCAGATTACATATAAGTTGCAAGAATATTAAGGATTTTTTTTTTGAGATGGAGTTTTGCTCTTGTTGCCCAGTCTGGAGTGTAATGGCACGATCTTAGCTCACCGCAACCTCGGCTTCACGGGTTCAAGTGATTCTCCTACCTCAGCCTCCTGAGTAGCTGGGATTACAGGCATGCGCCACAACGCCCAGATAATTTTTTGTATTTTTAGTAGAGATGGGGTTTCTCCATATTAGTCAGGCTGTTCTCCAACTCCCTACCTCAGGTTATCTGCCCACCTCGGCCTCCCGAAGTGCTGGGATAACAGGCGTGAGCCACCACGCCCGGCCATCTTAAGGATTTTTAATACCCTTAAACAAATTGGCTATTATTATGTCTTTACTACATTATTTGTATAGCTATCAATAGACATGGAGTTCAAATATATAAGTATATTGGTGACATGATGGATTTTTATCTCTATTTCAGTGTGTTTCTTAAAATTTTTTCTTACATAACTGGACTATAATGGTTAAAATCAGAAAATTAACATTGCTGCATTACTATTATTTAATCTACAAACTTCATTCAAATTTTGCCAAGTATCTTAATAATAACATTTACAGAAAATATTTTTGTTCTCTGCTTCAGGATCTAATCCATGATCTCATATCACATTGATTTGTCATGTCTCTTTAGCCTCCTCTAATCTAGAAAATGTCCTCATTCTTTCTTAGTTTTTAATGATCTCAATACTATTAGAGTTAAGGCTGCTTTAGTAGCATACTAGAATACCCTCTTTTTTTTTTATTTGATGATTTTCCATGACTACATTTAGGCTACACATTTTGATAAGAGTACCACAAAAACGATATTGTGTTCTTCTCAGAATGTCATGTGAGGAATCAACAATGTTGATTTGTCCTTTTCTGTTGTTAAATTTTGATTTCTTGCCTAAGGTAGAATCTACTAAGTTTCTCTACCGTAAAGTTATAAGGTAAAACTTGTAACTAAGGAATATCTTATGGGAAGATGTTCTGGAACTATGTAAATATTCTGTCATTTCTACATCTTTTGCCAACTTGTTTTAGTATACATTGGAGATTTTAGCCTGAGTCTATTGTTATTCTGATTATTACAAAATTAAAATTTTCCAATTTGATCATTCATTCTACATTTATTAGTTGGCATTCTACTATAACATGATTTTGTTTATGTGTGTACTTATTTACTTATAGTAGTATGGATTTATGGACTCAATTTATTTGATAGGTTTAATCCATTACCATCATTATTTATTTTGGTACTCAAATAGTCCTAGATTTGGCTGGTGAAAGCCCTTTCAAACTGACACCTGTTTTTCTTTGCCATGTGATTATCATTCTTTCAGCACTTCCTTATTTTTTTTAATTTTCAACTTTTATTTTGGATATAGGGAGTACATGTGCAGGTTTGTTACATGGGAATATTGCACCCAGGTGGAGACCTTAGTACCCAATAGGTAGTTTTTCAGTCTATGACCCCCTTCATCCCTCCTCCGTCTAGTAGTCAACAGTGTCTATTGTTCCCACGTTTATGTCCAAGAGTGAGCACTTTCTTATATTTTGACTTTACAAGATACTCCAGACTCATCTTTTAATTTCTCAGTTCCAGCCCTGAAATGGGCCCTTTCTTCAAGGAATCCTGGGTGCTACAAGTGTTTATTGCGATTGGAATGTCATTGCTTCTAGGTCCTCTATGTCTATATAGGCCAAACTACCTTTATTTCTATATTTATTTATATACATAAAATGCAAATTTGTTATACTAATTATAATATAATCTCATATATTGTGAAATGTATTTATAAAAACCAAAAGTTTACACTGATAACTCAAATTCCAATCCAATAATGCAGGTTAATTCTAGCATTTTCTCTTCTTTCAATGTTGAGAAATCTGGTTCCGATTATCCACAATATATTTACTCATTTGCTTATCCTAAAATGCGCAGCAGTTTCATAATTGATATCCTATACTACTACGAAAAACAAACCTGTAATTCAATTTAAATATTTGTTTACAGTTTTTTTTGTCTTTAGTCTGAGGATATATATTCAAAATATTGTGTTCAAACAATATTTAGGTTCATTTTGCCTTCTCTTTCAGTTTGGTGACAAGTTCATTTGTTTCTGTTTCCATTTTATTTTGTTTTCCTCCATACTTGTTGATTTTAGTCATATCATTTTTGAGTATGTGAAACATTAACATGGTTCCAAAGTTCAGAGGTGTAGGAAAGATGTACTCTGAGAAGTATAATAACCCCCATCCTTTCCCACCCTGCCTTCCCACCAACCGTAGGTACCAATCTAATTATTTCTACATTTTTCTTCCTGCATTTCCTTTTGCATAAACCAACAGACTAGGGTGTGTGTGTGTGTGTAATATTTTTTCTTTTTTCCCTTTTTTTCTTACACAAAATATAGCTTACAATAGATATTCTTTTACACTTTGCTTTATCCACTTTATGATGTACTCGAACTGATGTTCACAGAGATTTTACTTATTTTTTAATGCTTAATGGATTTTAATGTATGGAGTAGTTTTGGGTTTGTGGAAAAAAATTCAGCAAATTATACAGAGTTCTCATATGCCCTTCACTACCCCGCACAACAATTTTCTCTATTTTTAACATTATGTGTTAGTGTGGCACATTTGTTACAAATGATAAGTCAATATTGATAAATTAACTGAAGTCCATAGTTTACATCGGGGTTCAGTCTTTGTGTTATACATTCCATGGGTTTTGACAAATGTATAATCATGTATATTCGCCATTACAGTGTCATACAGAATAAAAATTTCACTACCCTAAAAATCCCCTGTGTTCTGCCCATCCATCCCTCTCTCTGTCTGAATGCCTGGCAACCACTAATCTTTTTACTATCTTTTACAGTTGTGTCTTTTCTAGAATGTTATGTAGTTGGAATCATACAGCATGTAGAGTTTTCAGATTGGCTTCTTTCACTTAGCAATTGGCATTTAAGGCTTCTCTATGTCTTTTGGTGGCTTCATAGATCATTTCTTTTTATGATGGAATAATGTATGAATGTACCATGGTTTGTATATTCATTCACCTCTAGAATGACGTCTTGGTCCTTTCCAAGAGTTGGCACTTATAAATCAAGCTGCTATAAGCATTCATTTGCAGGTTTTGGGGTGGATATAACTTTTCAATCCGTTTAGATAAATGCCCAGGGAGCAAGACTTCTGGATCATATAGTATGAGTATGTTTAATTTTACAGGAAACAGACAAACTGTCTTCCAAAATAGCACTACCATTTTGCATTCACACTAGCAATATTGAGTTCCCGTTGCTCCATATCCTTGCCAGCATTTGGGGTTGTTAGTGTTTTCGGATTTGGGCCATTCTAATGGGTGTGTAGTAGTATATCACGGTTGTTTATGTTGCAATACTCTAATGACATATGATGTAGTGCATACTTTCATATGCTTATTGCCATCTGTATATCTTCTTCAGTGAAGTGTCTGTACAGATCTCTGTCTCATTTTTAAAACAGAATTCGTTTTCTTTTTTTTTTAATGTGGAGATTTCCTTGTATATTTCGTATACCAGTCCTTTTTATATTTGTTTTGCAAAGATTTTTCTGCCAGAGTGTGGATGTCTCTTTTTGCGGGGGGCAGGTATCCAATCCTCTCAAGAATTTATCTTTTGTGTTACAAACAATCTAATTATACTGTTTTACTTATTTTAAAATGTACAATTTAATTATTATAGACTATAGTCACCCTCTTGTGCTATCAAATACTAGATCTGTTTCATTCTTTATATTTTTGTGTACCCATAAACCATTCTGAACACCCCTTCCCACCCTAACACTACCATTCCGAGCCTCTGGTAACCATCCTTCTACTTTCTATTTCCATGAGTTCAATTGTTTTGATTTTTAGATCCTAAGAATAAGTGAGAACATGCAATAATTGTCTTTCTGTGCCTGGCTTATTTCACTTAACATAATGACCTCCAGTTCCATCCATGTTGTTGGAAATGGCAGGCTCTCATTCTTTTTATGGCTAGTTACCACTTCATTTATATATGTACCATATTTTCTGTACCCATTCATCTGTTGATGGACGTTTAGTTTGCTTCCAAATCTTGGCTATTATGAACAGTGCTGTAACAAGCATGGGAGTGCAGATATCTCTTTGATATAATGACTTCCTTTCTTTTGGGCATATATCCAGCAATGAGAATGCTGGATCACATGGTAGATCTATTTTAAATATTTTGAGGAAGCTCCAAAATGTTTTCCATAATGGATGTACTAATTTAAATCCCCACCAACAGTGGAAGAGAGTTCCCTGTTCTCCACATCCTCACCCAGCATTTGTTATTGCCTGTCTTTTGGATATAAGCCATTTTAACTGGGTTAAGATGATATCTCATTGTAATTTTGATTTGCATTTTTGTGATGATCAATGACACTGAGCACCTTTTCATATGCCTGCTTGCCATTCCTATGTCTTCTTTGAGAAATATCTATTTAAATATTTTACCCATTTTTGACTGGATTACAATATTTTTTCCTATAGAGTTGTTTGACCTTCTTATCTACTCTGGGTATTAATCTCTTGTCAGATGGGTAGTTTGCAAATATTTTCTTCCATTCTATGGGTTGTCTCTTCACTTTGTTGATTGTTTCTTTTGCTTTGCAGAAGCTTTTTAACTAGATGTAATCCCATTTGTGCATTTTTGCTTTGGTGGCCTGTACTTGTAGGGTATTGTTCAAGAAATGTTTGCCCAGACCAATGTCCTGGAGAGTTTTCTCAATGTTTTCTTGTAGTATTTTCATAGTTTGAGGTCTTAGATTTAACTCTTTAATCAATTTTAGTTGCATTTTTGTATATGACAAGAGATGGATGTCTAGTTTCATTCTTCTGCATATGAATTTCAAGTTTTCCCAGCACCATTTATTTAGGGGACTGTCCTTTCCCCAGTGTGTGTTCTTGGCACCTTTGTCAAAAATGAGTTCGCTGTAGGCGTATGAATTTGTTTCTAGGTTCTCTACTCTGTTCCATTGGTCTATGTGTCTGTTTTTATGCCAGTTAGATGCTGTTTTGGTTATATATCTGTGCAGTATAATTTGAAGTCAGGTAACGTGATTCTTCTAGTATTGTTCTTTTTGCTAAGGTTAGCTTTGGCTGTTCTGTCTTTTGTGATGCCATATAAATTTTAGGATTTTTTTTCTATTTCTGTGAAGAATGTCATTAGTATTTTAATAGAGATTGTGTTGAATCTGTAGATTGCTTTGGGTAATATTGGCATTTTAACAATATTGGTTCTTTTAATTCATGGAATATATTTCAATTTCTTGGTGTTCTCTTCAATTTCTTTCATCAATGTATTATAGTTTTCATTATAGATATCTTCTATAATGAAAAGATTATAGATTATGATTTCTTCTTTGGTTAATTCCTATGTATTCTACTGTATTTGTAGCTACTGTAAATTGGAGTTATTTTTTAAAATTCGTTTTTCAGATTGTCCACTATTGGCATATAGAAATGCTACTAACTTTTGTATGTTGATATTGTACCCTGCAAATTTCCGAAATTTATTCATCAGTTCTAATAGTTTTCTGGTGGCGCCTTTAGGTTTTTCCAAATATAACATCATATCATCTGCAAACAAGAATAATTTGACTGATTCCTTTCCAATTTAGACACCCTTTACTTCTTTGTGTTTTTTATTGCTCTAGCTAGGACTTCCAGTACTATATTGAATAACAGTAGTGACAGTGGGTGTCGTCTTTTTCTGGTTCTTAGAGGAAAGGCTTTCAGTTTTCCCCTTTCAGTATGATTCTAGCTGAAAGTCTGTCATATATGGCTTTTATCATGTTGAGGTATGTTTCTTCTATACACAGTTTATTGATGGTTTTTATTATAAAGGGTTGTTGAATTTTATCAAATGCATTTTCAACATCAATTTAAATGATCCTATAGATTTTGTCCTTCATTCTCTTGTTATGATGTATCACATTGATTGATTTGTATGTGTTGAACCATCCTTGAATCCCTGGGCTAAATCCCACTTGGTTATGATAAATGATCTTTTTAATGTATTGTAGAATTTGGTTTGTTGGTATTTTGTTGATGATTTTTGCATCAATATTTATCAGAGATATTGGCATGTAGATATCTTTTTTTGATGTGTTGTCTGGTTTTGGTATCAAGGGAATGCTGGCTTCATCGAATGAGTTTGGGAGAATTCCCTCATCCTATATTTTTCAGTATAGTTTGAGCAGGATTGGTAGTAGCTCTTTAAACACTTGGTAGAATTCAGCAGCAAAGCCTTTGAGTCCCAGGCTTTTCTTTACTGAGAAACTTTTTATTATGACTTTCATCTCATTATTTGTAATTTGTCTGTTCAGGTTTTGGATTTCTTCATAATTCAATCTTGGTAGGTTGTACATGTCTAGGAATTTGTCTGTTTCTTTTAGATTTTCAAGTTTATTGGCATTTGTTGCTCATAGTAGCCATGAATGATCCTTTGAATTTCTGCAGTATCAGTCATAATGTCTCCCTTTTCATCTCTGATTTTATTTATTTGGATCTCTTTTTTTTTTCTTAGTCTGTGATATGGTTTGGCTCTGTCCCCACCCAAATCTCACCTTGAATTGCAGCTCCCATAATTTCCACATGTCATGGGAGGGACCAAGTGGGAGGTAATGGAATCATAGTGGTGGGTATTTCCTGTGCTGTTCTCGTGATAGTGAATAAGTCTCATGAGATCTGATGGTTTTATAAAGAGCAGTTCTCCTGCACAGGCTCTCTTGCTTGCTGCCATGTAAGACATGCCTTTGCTCCTCCTTTGCCTTCTGTCATGATTGTGAGGCCTCTGAAGCCACGTGCAACTGTGAGTCCATTAAACCTCTTTTACTTTATAAATTACCAAGTCTTGGGTATTTCTTCATAGTATGAAAATGGACTAATAGAGTCTGGCTAAAAGTTTGGCATGTTTTAAAACTTTTCAGAAAATCTTTTTTTTTTCCCATTGATCTTTTGTATTGTTTGCTTCATTTTAATTTTATTTATTTCTGCTCTGATCTTTATGATTTATTGTATTCTACTAATTTTGAGTTTGATTTGCTTTTGCTTTCTCAGTTCTTTAAGATGGATTATTAGGCTGTTTATTTGAATTTTTGCTTGTTTTTGATTGTACACATTTATAACAATAAATGCCTTTTAGTATGGTTTTTGCTGTATATCACAGGATTTGGTTTGTTTTGGTTTTAGTACTGCTTTTGCTGTATCTCATAGGATTTGGTTTGTTTTGTTTTAATTATTATTTGTTTCAAGACAATTTTCAATTTCCTTTTTAATTTCTCCATTGACCCACTCATCATCCAAGAGCATATTGTTTAATTTTCATGTATTTGTGTAGTCCCCAAATTTTCTTATTTTTGATTTCTAGTTTATTCCATTGTCATCACAGAAGATGCTTAATATAATTTTAATTTTTTGAAAGTTTCAAGACTTGCTTTGTGATGCAATATATGGTCTACCCTTGAGAATGATCCTGTGCTGAGGAAAAGAATGGGTATTCAGTAGCTATTGGATGGAATAGTCTGTAAATATCTATTAGATCCATTTGGTCTATAGTGCTGATTAAGTCTGATGTTTCTTTGCTGATTTTCTGTCTAAAAGATCTGTCCAATGCTGACAGTGGGGTGCTAAAAGTCTCCAGGTATTATTGGATTGGAGTATATCTCTGTCTTTAGCTCTAATAATATTTGCTTTATATATCTAGGTGCTCCAGTGTTGGGTACATATATATTTAAAATTGTTATATCCTTTTGCTGAATTGACCCCTTTATCATAATATAGTGACCCTCTTTGACTCTTCTCATCATTTTGCTCTCAAAATTTATTTTGTCTAATAGAAGTATAGCTACTCCTACTCTTTTTTGGTTTCTATTGGCATGAAATTTTTTTTAATCTCTTTATTTTCAGTCTATGATATCTTTATAGGTGAAGTGTGTTTCTTGTAGACAACAGATCAATGGGTCTCATTTTTTAAATTCAGCCAGCCAATCTATGTCTTTTCATTGGGAGTTTAGTCAATTTATATTTGATATTATTATTGATAAGTATGAAGTTACTTCTGCCATTTTATTGTTTTCCAGTTTTTTTGTGGTCTTCTCTTCCTTCTTTCTTTCCCTCCCATCTTCCTTTTAGTGAAGATCATTTTCCTCAGTGGTATGGTTTAGTTTCTTGCTTTTTATTTTTTGTGTATCCATTCTATGTGTTTTGGTTTGAGATTACCATGAGTCTTGCAAATACTATCTTATAACCCATTATTTTAAGTGGATAACAACTTAACATTGTTTGCCTAAACATACAAATAAAGAAAAAACTAATGAAAACTTGATACCTTAGCTTTTCTCCTTCCTTTTTACCTTTTTTCATTCCTACTTATATCTTATTGTATTGTCTATGTCTTGAGAAGTTGTTGTAGTTACTATTTTTTATGGGTTCATTGTTTGATTTTTCTACTTAGAATAACAGTATTTTACACACCACAGCTATAGTGTTATAGTGTTCTGTTTTTTCGTGTACTTACTATTACCAGTAAGTTTTGTACCTTCAGGTGATTACTTATTGCTCATTAATATCCTTTTCTTTGTTATTGAAGTACTCCCTTTAGCATTTCTTGTAGGAAAGGCCTGGTGCTGATGAAATCCCTCAACTTTTGTTTGGGAAAGTATTTCTCCTTCATGTTTGAAGGATGTTTTTGCAGGATATACTATTCTAGGGTAAAAATGTTATTTTCCTTCCACACTTTAAATATGTCATGCCACTCTCTCATGACCTGTAAAGTTTCCTTTGAAAAGTCTGTTGCCAGACTTATTGGAGATCCATTGTGTGTTTCTTTTCTGTTCCTGCTTTTAAAATCCTTTATCCTTGATCTTTGTGAGTTTGAATATTAAGTGTATTGAGGTATTCTTCTTTGGGTGAAATCTGCCTAGTGTTCTATAACCTTCATGTACTTGGATGTTAATATTTTTCTCTAGGTTTGGGAAGTTCTCTGTTATTAACCTATTGCATAAATTTTCTACCCCTGTCTCTTTCTTTACCTCCTGTTTAAGTCCAATATTTGTTACATTTGTCTTTTGGGGGCTCTTTTCTAGATCCTGTAGGTGTCCTTCATTGTTTTGTATTCTCTTTTCTTTTGTCTACTCTGAACGTTTATTTTATTTTTTTCCTTCAACTTTTATTTTAAGTTTTGGCATACATGTGCAGGATGAGCAAGTTTGTTACATAGGAAAACGTGTGCCATGGTGGTTTGCTGCACAGATCAAACCCTCACCTAAGTATTAAGCCCAACATCCATTAGCTATTCTTTCTGAGGCTCTCCCACCCCCTGCCCACCCCATCAGCTCCAGTTTGTGTTTCTTCTCCCATATACCCATGTTTTCTCATTGTTCAGTTCCCACTTATAAGTGAGAACATTTGGCATTTCGTTTTCTGTCCCTGTGTTAGTTTCCTGAGAATAATGGTTTCCAGTTTTATCTATGTGTCCCTGCAAAGGACATGATTTTGTTCATTTTTGTGGCTGCATAGTATTCTATGGTGTATATGTATCACATTTTCTTTATCCAGTCTATCATTGATGGACATTTGGGTTGATTCCATATTTTTGCTATTGTGAATAGTACTGCAATGAACATATGCATGCATGTATCTTTATAATAAAATGATTTATATTTCTCTGGGTATATATCCAGTAATGAGATTGCTGGGTCAAATGGTATTTCTGCTTCTACATCTTTGAGGAATTGTCACACTGTCTTCCACAATGGTTGAACTAATTTACACTCCCGCCAACAGTATAAAAGCATTTCATTTTCTCCGCAACCTCACCAGCATCTGTTGCTTCTTGCCTTTTTAATAATTGCCATTCTGACTGGCGTGTGATGGTAGCTCATTGTAGTTTTGATTTGATTTGCATTTTTCTGATAATCAGTGATGATAGGCATTTTTTTTTTTCTCAGAGTCTCGCTCTGCCTCCCAGGCTGGAGGGCAATGGTTTGATTTCAGCTCACTGCAACCTCTGCCTCCTGAGTTCAAGTGATTCTCCTGCCTCAGCCTCTCAAGTAGCTGGGATTACAGGCATGGGCCACCATACCCGGTTAATTTTTATATGTTTAGTAAAGACGGGGTTTCACCATGTTGGCCAGGCTGGACTCGAACTTCTGACCTCAGGTGATCCACCCGCTTTGGCCTCCCAAAGTGCTGAGATTACAGGCTTGAGCCACTGTGCCTGGCTTAAGCTTTTTTTTTTTTTAATAGGTTTGTTGGCTGCATGAATATCTTCTTTCGAGAAGTATCTGTTCATGTCTTTTGCCCATTTTTAATGAGGTTCTTTGTTTTTTCTTATAAATTTGTTTAAGTTCCTTGTAGACTCTGGATGTTATACCTTTGTCAGATGGATAGATTGATAAACTTTTCTCCCATTCTGCAGGCTATCTATTCACTCTGATAATAATTTCTTTTGCTGTGCAGAAACTCCTTAGTTTAATTAAGTCCTATTTATCAATTTTTGCTTTCATTGCAATTGCTTTTGGTGTTTTCTTCATGAAATCTTTGCCTGTGTCTGTGTCCTGAATGGTATTGCCTAGATTTCCTTCTAGGGTTTTTATGGTTTTGGGTTTTATATTTAAGTCTTTAATCTATCTTGAGTTAATTTTTGTATAAGTTGTAAGGAAGGGGTTCAGTTTCGATTTTCTGAATACGGCTAGCCAGTTCTTCCAGTACCATTTATTAAATAGGGAATCCTTTCCCCATTGCTTGTTTTTGTCAGGTTTGTCAAAGATCAGATGGTTGTAGGTGTGAGGTCTTATTTCTGAGTTCTCTATTCTGTTCCACTGGTCTACATGTCTGTTTTTGTATCTGACTGTGTAATTTCAAGTAGCCTGCCTTCACGCTTATTTTTTCTCCTTGATCCATTCTGCTATGAAAAGACTCTGATTCATTCTTAAGTGTGCCAGTTGTACTATTTAGTTCCAGAATTTCTGCTTGATTCTTTTTAATGGTTTCAATTTCTTTGTTAAATTTATTTGATAGAATTCTGAATTCCTTCTCTGTGTTCCCTTGAATTTCTTTGACTTTCCTCAAAGTAACTATTTCAAATTCTCTGTCTGAAATGTCACAAATCTCTGTTTCTATAGGATTTGTCCCTGGTGGCTTATTCAGTTCATTTGATGAGGTCTTGTCTTCCTTAATGGTGGTGATGCTTGTGGATGTTCATTGGTGTCTGGGCATTGAAGAAGAGTAAGGTATTTATTGTAGTCTTCATTGTCTGGGCTTTCATGGGAAGGTTTTTCAGATATTTGAAAGGACTTGGATGTTGTGATCTAAGTTGTGTCTTCTTCAGGGGGCACCCCAAGCTCAGTAATGCTGTGTTTCTTGCAGACTCATAGAGGTACCACCTTGATGGTCTTGGACCAGATCTGGGAGAATTCTCTCGATTACCAGGCAGCGAATCTTGTTCTTTTTCCTTACTTTCTCCCAAACAAATTGAGTCTCTCTCTCTGGTCTGAATCACCTAAATTTGGGGGGGAGTTACATAAATACCCCTGTGGCACCACCGCTATGACTATGCTTAGTCAGATTGGAAGGAAACACACCTCTAGGCCTTGCCCAAGGCCTGCCGTAACTACTCCCTATATTCACTCAAAACCTTGCAGTTCTACAATTAGCAGGTGGCAAAGCTAGTCAGGCCTGTATCTTTCCCTTCATGGTGACAAGTTGCTTCATGTCTCGGAGGAGACCGGAGGTGCCATCCAGGATTCAGGGACTAGAAGAGTCAAAAACCCTAGAATTCTACCTGGTGTTCTATTATACTGTTGCCAAGCTCACACTCAAACCACAAGATTCAGTCTTTCTCACTCTGGCCTCTCCTTTCCAAAGACTGAAGAGCCTAACCCCATAGCCTCTGCCTCCACAGGCCATGGGGAGTACTGCCAGACTACTGCTGATGTACACTTAAGTCCCAAGGGCTCTTAAGCCTGTTTGTGGTGAATGTTACCTGACCTGGGACTCACCCTTCAGGGCAAGTAGGCTTCCCTCTGGCACAGGGCATGTCCAGAGATGCCATTCAAGAGTCAAGTCTTGGAATCGAGGACCCCAAAAGCCCACTTGGTGCTCTACCTCTCTGTGGCCATGCTGGTACCTGTGGTGCAAGACAAAGTCCACTTTACTTTTCCCTCTGCTATCCTGAAGCAGGACTTTTACCCCATAACCACCTCAATTGGGAATGTCATGAGTCTCACCTGAAACCAGCAAGTCTCAGAGTCTCATCCAAGTCTCTTGATATAGTACCTGATTATCGCTGCTGGTTATTCAGGGCCCAAGGGTTCTTCAGTTAGCAAGTGATGAGTGCTTCCAGGACTGAGTCCTTCCCTTCAAGTCAGTGGGTTCCCTTCTGGCCCAGAATGTGTCTAGAAATGCTGTCCAGGTGAAATGTCTGCCTTCTCCCATGTGAGCTAGGGCCTGGAACTGGGGCCTCACAACTGTCCAGTGCCCTGTCCTGCTGTGGCTGATCTGGTATCCAGGATATACAACAAAGTCCTACCACTCTTCCCTTCACTCTCCTCAAGCAGAATGAAGGAGTCTCTTTTGGAGCTGTGAGCTGTGCAGCCTGGGTTTAGGAGGGTGATGCCAGCACTCCCTTAGCTGCCCTAGCTCGTGTCTCAGTAGGTCACATGCTTCCATAGTCCATTGTCTCTCGGCCCAGTTCAGCACTAGGACTCACCTAAGAGTTGTGGCCCTTATGGCCTAGACTGCCTTTCAAGTTTATTTAGAGACCCAGAGCACTTTATCTTGTGGTGACTAGCTTAGCCCTCTGGCTAGGGCTGGTGTAATTGCTCGCTCCATGGTCAACATTTTTTCTGATTTTCCTTTCTGCTCTAACAGGACAGCACTGAGTTCAATGCCTTATGACTGCTGTGTTCTCCCTCCCACAGCATCCACAGATGCTCTCCACACCATGCTGTCACTGCTGGGGTGTGGTGGATGGGTGGCATAGGCAATTCAAAACTATTTTTTCTATCTCTTCAGTGCCTCTTTCAGTAATACAAAGTTAAAACCAGGTACTGTGAGGGTTCACCTCATTTTTGATTCTTATGAAGGTGTTTCTTCCATCTAGATAGTTGTTAAATTGGTGTCCTTTTAAGAGGGACGATCAGTGGAACCTTCTATTCAGCCATCTTGCTATGCTTTTTCTTCTCAATATAATTTTTATCCTTGCTTCTTCAAAGGATTTTTTCAATTTTTTTTCTTTCCTTTGGATTTTGTGAAGTTTAAAAATGTTATATCTAGGTGTGGATTTTTTGGTATTTATCCTGCTTGGTATTCTCTGACTTTCCTGGATCTGTGGGTTAGTTTTTATTGTTAGTTTTGGCAAATTTTCTGTTATTGTTGCTTCAAATATTTATTCTGTGTTTTTTTTGGGGGGGTGTGGGGGGTCTTTCTTCTCCTTCTGGTATTCCCGTTCTGTGTGTTTACACCTGTTGTTATTGACTCTCAGTTCTGAGGTAAATATTCTGTTCTGTTTTGCATTCTTTTCTCTTTATGGATTTCAGAATTGCTAATTCTTTCCTTGGCTGTGTCCAATCTATTAATGAGACTATCAAAGGAATTCTTCATTTCTGTTATAGTAATTTGTAATTTCTAGCATTTCTTTTTTATTCTTTCTTAAAGTTTTTGTCTGTCCACTTATATTATCTATATCTTATTTAATGTTGTCCAACTTTTTATTAGAGTTCTTATCGTATTAATTATAGTTGTTCTAAATTCCTGGTTTGATAGTTCTATCATCTTTGTCATATCTGAGTCTGACTAATGCTTGCTCTGTTTCTTCAAACTTGATTTTTGTCTTTTAGTATGCTTGGTAAATTTTTTTTAGCCAGGCACAATATACTGCTTAAAAAGAACTGAAGTAAATAGGCCTTTAATGTGAGATTTTTTGTTTATCTAGTTAGGGTTTAGGCTGTGTTAACTATTTGCTATCATTGTACATTTAGAAGTTAAACTTTTCTCTAGCGTCCTTGCTTTGTCTCCCCTATTGTCTTTGGGTTTTCCTTGGAGAATTATTAAATATCATCTGAGGCACAGGGTTATTTCAGTTCTATTTCTGTATTATACATGAGCTCTATTGTGGTGGTGGGTGGGTAGTGGGACAACAATCTATATTTCCATGATTAGATCAAAGTCTTTTTAGCAATCCTGTACTACTGGGCTGTGACATTTACAAGTGCTTCTGAGGTTTTTGTTTGTTTGTTTGTTTTTCTTTTTAGGACAGTCAGGAAGGCTAAGAGGGTACTAGAGTTGGACATTTCGCTTCCTCCATGTGGAAGGTAGCAAAAGCTGGAGGTGGATATTTTCCTTTTCCCCAAGTTGGTTAGACTTTGTAAAGCTCCAGTAGGTTACACTCCAGTAAAATAGCTTCTCTTGAGGGTGGCCCTTGTTAAGAAAAAAAAATACTCTGAGCATATTTTTAAATTGTTACTTTATCTCTTGTCTTACCAGAAGCATGAAGGGAATATAATAGAGCTCCTGGAGGTAAAACCAAGCTCCCTCAATCCCCACTAAGACTAGGCTGTCTGGAATTTTAAACTCTTAAACTTGTCCACACTAAGCTTCTAGGTAGTCATCATAAGGTTTTTTTGTTTTTGTTTTTTGTTTTTGTTTTCCCCCAGACTGGTTTCTGTGGAGGTTTCTGCTCATTGCTTTCCATTAGGGTAAGTTGTGATCCTCCATCTCTATCAGTCCATCTCTTCCAGTTTGGGGGCAGAGGTTTGCCCTGTGATATCAGTTCCCTGATGAATCTAAAAAGAGATTGATTTTCATTTTGTTCAGTTTTTTTTCTTGTTTTGTGAATGAGAAAGACATATTTCAACCTCCTTACATGCTAGGCTGGAAAACAGAAGTCCACTCATTCTTTTGTTACAGGTGTATATACTCCATTATATTAATATAATATAGTTTATACAAGGATTAGCCTATGTATGGTCATGTGTATTGTTTTGAATACTTTCCGATTACAAACAATGTAATTCTGATGTATTTAGATTTCTTTTTACAGCATTATATTCTGTTTTTCTTGCCATTTCTATATTTGTTTGCTTTATTGGCTAACATCTTTTGATTTATTAATTATTTCCCCATTTTATTCATTCTTTTGTTTATATGGAAGTTATTCTCTTTTTTATTGTGGTAAAAAAAAAACCTTAAATTTGCCATCTTAACCTTTTTCAAATGTACAGTTCAGTAGTGTTAAGTATATCTACATTGGTGTGTAACATATCTCTATAACTTTTTTATCTTGTAAAACTGAATCTCTATACCCATTAAACTCTAATATTCTCTACTCTCTCCCTCTAACCCTTTGCAAACACCTTTCCACCTTCTGTTTCTATAATTTGATTACTTTAGATACCTCCTATGAATGGAATAATGCAGTATGTGTACCCTTGTGACTGCATTGTTTTGCTTAGCCTAATGTCTTCAAGGCTTATCCATGTTGTAGCATGTGATAGGATTTCCTTATTTTCTAAGCCTACATAATATTCCATTGTATGTGCATACCACATTTTCTTTATACATTTATCTGCTAACAGACATTTGTGTTGCTTCCATCTCTTGGCTATTGTGAAGAATTATAGAATAAACATGTGTGTTCAATTATTTCTTCAAGATCCTGCCTTGAATTATTTTGAATATATATGTATATGGAGTCTCACTCTGTCACCCAGGCTGGAGTGCAGTGGCGTGACCTCTGCTTACTGCAACCTCCGCCTCCTGGGTTCAAGCAATTCTCCTGCCTCAGTCTCCTGAGTAGATGGGATTACAAGCACGTGCCACCACGCTTAACTAATTTTTCTATTTTTAGTATAGACGGGGTTTCACCATGTTGATCAGGCTGATCTCAAACTCCTGACCTCATGATCCACCCGCCTTGACCTCCCAAAGTGCTGGGATTACAGGCATGGGCCACCATGCCAAGCCTTTGGATATATTATTTTAACATGTTCCCCAACGTTCATGTTTTAGAAACTTAATCCCCAATTCAACAGTGTTGAGAGGTGTGGCCTTTGGGAGATGCTTAGGTCCTCAAGGCTCTACCCTCATGAATGGATTAATGCCCTTATAAAAGGGCTTGGTGGAGGGACTTTATCCCTTTTTTTTTCCCTTCTGCCTTCTGCCATGTGAGGAACATAGCATTCTTCACCTTTGGAGCGTGCAGAATTCCAAGTGTCATCCTGGCAGCAGAGATCAGATTCTCACCAGACATCAAAGCTGCAAACACCTTGACTTCGGGCTCCACAGCCTCCAGGACTGTGAGAAATAAATTTATCTTAATTATAAAATACACTGTTTCTGATATTCTGTTACAACACTACAAAATTTACCAAGGCAGAATATACATCCAAAAGTGGCATTACTGGATCACATGGTAATTTATATTATTTTTAATTTTTTGAGCAACATATATTCTGTTTTCTATAATGGTTACACCATTTCACATTCCCACTAGCAATGCACAAGGGTTCCAATTTGTCCACATCCTCAACACTTGTTGTTTTCTGTTCTTTTGATAGTGATCTTCCTAACATGTATGAGGTAATATCTCATTAAGGTTTTAATTTGTATTTCTCTTATGACTGCTGATGTTGACCATCTTTTCACATATTTGTTAGCCATTTGTACATCTTCTTTAAAATACTCTATTCTTACTTTTATAGTTTTTACCCTAGAAATTGTAAACTACGTATTCAACATTTTCTTTATCTTTCTTGCATCTCAGGTCTTCTATCTTGTTCTCTTCCCCATCTAAATTGTATCCTTGAAATTGTATGTTTGAATTTGTTTTAGTGAGGAATTACTGGTTACATATCTTTTTTTGGTTTAAAAATCATTATTCTCTTCTCATTCTTTAAAGGTATTTTTAATGTGTAAAATTCTACTTTGACAGTTTATTTTTTCTTTTTATCAGCATAGTAAACATTTCTGATTACTTTTAAAGTCTTCTCTTTATCTTTGACATTTTGAAGTTCATGCTGTATCAAGGTGTGGATTTCTGTTTTATTCATCTTGTTTGGGAATCATTAGGTTTCTTGAATCTATTTATTGGTGGCTTTGATCACCAAACCTAACTTCTGGAAATTCTCTGCCATTATCTCATGAGTTATTTCTAACCTACTTTTTCTCTCCTCTCCTATTCAACTTCAATTGGACATGTGTTATATATTCTTATTCTGTCTTCCTGCTTTCTTACTCTCTTTTTTACATTTTCCACATTGTTTTTTGGATAGCATTTAAAAAAATTTCTTCAATTTTTGGGAGATCTTCCAAGATGGCTGAATAGGAACAGCTCCGGTCTGCAGCTCCCAGTGTGATCGATGCAGAAGATGGGTGATTTCTGCATTTCCAACTGAGGTACCAAGTTCATCTCATTGGGACTGGTTGGACAGTGGGTGCAGCCCATGGACAGTGAGCCAAAGCAGGGCGGGGCTTTGCCTTACCCAGGAAGTGCAAGGCCTTGGGGGATTTCCCTTTCCTAGCCAAGGGAAGCTGTGACAGACTGTACGTGGAGGAACGGTACACTTCCAGCCAAATATTGTGGTTTTCCCACAGTCTTAGCAACTGGCGCACCAGGGGATTCCATCCCATGCCTGGCTCGGTGGGTCCCACACCCAAGGAGCCTTGCTCACTGCTAGCACAGCAGTCTGAGATCAACCTGTGAAGCTGCAGCCTGGTGGGGGGAGGGGCATCTGCCAATGCTGAGGCTTGAGTAGGTAAACAAACCTGCTGGGAAGCTCAAACTGGGTGGACCCCACTGCAGCTCAGCACAGCCTGCTCTCTAGATTATACCACTGTGGGCAGGGCATAGCTGAATAAAAGGCAGCAGACAACCTCTGCGGACTTAAACATCCCTGTCTGATAGCTCTGAAGAGAGCAGTGGGTCTCGCTGCACAGTATTCAAGCTCCAGTAATGGACAGACTGCCTCCTCAAGTGGGTCCCTGAACCCCGTGTAGCCTGACTGGGAGACTCCCCCCAGTAGGGGCTGACAGACACCTCATACAGGCAGGAGCCCCTCTGGGACAAAGCTTCCAAAGGAAGGATCGGTAGCAATATTTGCTATTCTGCAATATTTACTGTTCTGCAGCCTCTGCTGGTGATACCCAGGCAAATAGGGTCTGGAATGGAACTCCAGCAAACTCCAACAGACCTGCAGTTGAGGGGACTGACTGTTAGAAGGAAAAGTAACAAACAGAAATGAGCAGCATCAACATCAACAAAAAGGACATCCACAACAAAACCCCACCTGTAGGTCACCAACATCAAATACCAAAGGTAGATAAAACCATAAAGATGGGGAGAGACCAGAGCAGAAAAGCTGAAAATTCCAAAAACCAGAGTGCTTCTTCTCCTCCAAAGGATCACAGCTCCTCACCAGCAACTGAACAAAACTGGATGGAGAATGAGTTTGATGAGTTGACAGAAATAGGCTTCAGAAGGTCAGTAATAATAAACTTCTCCGAGCTAAAGGAGGATATTCTAACCCACCGCAAGAAAGCTAAAAACCTTGAAAATAGGTTAGACGAATGGCTAACTAGAAGAAATAGTGTAGAGAAGACCTTAAATGACCTGATGGACCTGAAAACCACAGCATGAGAAGTTTGTGATGCATGCACAAGCTTCAATACCTGATTTGACCAGGTAGAAGAAAGGATATCAGTGACTGAAGATAAAATTAATGAAATAAAGTGAGAAGACAAGATTAGAGAAAAAAGAGCAAAAAGAAATGAAAAAAGCCTCCAAAAAACATGGGACTATGTGAAAAGAACAAATCTACATTTGATTGGTGTACCTGAAAGTGACGGGGAGAATGGAACCAAGTTAGAACACACTCTTCAGGATATTATCCAGGAGAACTTCCCCAACCTAGCAAGGCAGGCCAACATTCAAATTCAGGAAATACAGAGAACACCACAAAGATACTCCTTAAGAAGAGCAACCCCGAGATACATAATTGTCAGATTTACCAAGGTTGAAATGAAGGAAAAAATGTTAGGGGAAGCCAGAGAGAAAGGTCGGGATACCCACAAAGGGAAGCCCATCAGACTAACAGCGGATCTCTTGGCAGAAACCCTATAAGCCAGAAGAGAGTGAGGGCCAATATTCAACATTCTTAAAGAAAAGAATTTTCAACACAGAATTTCATATACAGCCAAACTAAGCTTCATAAGTGAAGGAGAAATAAGATCCTTTACAGACAAGCAAATGCTGAGAGATTTTGTCACCACCAGGCCTGCCCTACAAGAGCTCCTGAAGGAAACACTAAACATGGAAATTAACAAACGGTACCAGCCACTGCAAAAACATGTCAAATTGTAAAGATCATCGATGCTATGAAAGAAACTGCATCAATTAATGGGCAAAATAACCAGCAAACATCATAAAGACAGGATCAAATTCACACATAACAATATTAACCTTAAATGTAAATGAACTAAATGCCCCAATTAAAAGACACAGACTGGCGAATTGGATAAAGAGCACACCCATCAGTGTGCTGTATTCAGGAAACCCATCTCACATGCAGAGACACACATAGGCTCAAAATAAAGTGATGGAAGAAGATCTACCAAGCAAATGGAAAGCAAAAAAAGCAGCAGTTGCAATCCTAGTCTCTGATAAAACACACTTTAAAGCAACAAAGATCAAAAGAGACAAAGGCCATTACATAATGGTAAAGGGATCAATTCAACAAAAAGAGCTAACTATCCTAAATATATATTCACCCAATACAGGAGCACTCAGATTCATAAAGCAAGTTCTTAAAGACTACCAAGAGACTTTGACTCCCACACAATCATAATAGGAGGCTTTAACACTCCACTCTCAATATTAGACAGATCAATGAGACAGAAAGTTAACAAGAATATCCAGGACCTGAACTCAGCTCTGCACCGAGTGGACCTAATAGACATCTACAGAACTCTCCACCCCAAATCAACAGAATATACATTCTTCTCAGGACACATTGCACTTATTCTAAACTTGACCATATAATTAGAAGTAAAGCACTCCTCAGCAAATGTAAAAGAAGAGAAATCACAACAAACTGTCTCTCAGACCACAGTGCAATCAAATTAGAACTCAGGAGTAAGAAATTCACTCAAAACCACACAACTACATGGAAACTGAATAACCTGCTCCTGAATGACTACTGGGTAAGTAACAAAATTAAGGCAGAAATAAAGATGTTCTTTGAAACCAATGAGAACAAAGACACAACATACCAGAATCTCTGGGACACATTTAAAACAGCATGTAGAGTGAAATTTATAGCACTAAATGCCCACAGGAGAAAGCAGGAAAGATCCAAAATCAACACCCTAACATCACAATTAAAAGAACTAGAGAAGCAAGAGCAAACAAATTCAAAAGCTAGCAGAAGGCAAGAAATAACTAAGATCAGGGCAGAACTGAAGGAGATAGAGACATGAAAAAACCCTCAAAAAATCAATGAATCCAGGAGCTGGTTTTTTGAAAAGATCAATAAAATAGACCACAAGACTAATAAAGAAGAAAAGACAGAGGAATCAAATAGATGCAAAAAAAAAAAAAAAAAAAAAGATAAAGGGGATATCACCACCAATCCCACAGAAATACAAACTACCATCAGAGAATACTATAAACACCTCTACACAAATAAACTAGAAAATCTAGAAAAATGGATGAATTCCTGGACACAAACACCCTTCCAAGACTAAACCTGGAAGAAGTTGAATCTCTGAATAGACCGATAGGTTCTAAAATTGAGACAATAATTAATAGCCTATTAACCAAAAAAAGTCCAGGTCCAGACAGATTCACAGCCAAATTCTACCATTGGCACAAAGAGGAGCTGGTACCATTCCTTCTGAAACTATTCCAATCAAAAGAAAAAGAGGGCATCCTCCCTAACTCATTTTATGAGACCAGCATCATCCTGATACCAAATCCTGGCAGAGACACAACGAAAAAGAAAATTTTAGAACAATATCCCTGATGAACTTCGATGCAAAAATCCCCAATAAAATACTGGCAAACCGAATCCAGCAGCATATCAAAAAGCTTATCCAGGATCAAGGTGGCTTCATCCCTGGGATGCAAGGCTGGTTCAACATATGCACATCAATAAATGTAATCCATCACATAAACAGAACCAATGACAAAAACCACATGATTATGTCAATAGATGCAGAAAAGGTCTTTGACAAAATTCAACAGCGCTTCTTGCTAAAAACTCTCAAAAAACTAGGTATTCATGGAACATATATCAAAATAATAAGAGTGATATATGACAAACCCACAGCCAATATCATACTGAATGGGCAAAAACTGGAAGCATTCCCTTTGAAAACCGGAACAAGACAAGGATGCCCTCTCTCACCACTCCCATTCAACATAGTGTTGGAAGTTCTTGCCAGGGTAGTCAGGCAAGAGAAAGAAATAAAGGGAATTCAATTAGGAAAAGAGGAAGTCAAATTGTCCCTGTTTGCAGATGACATTACTGTATATTTAGGAAGCCCCATTGTCTCAGCCTCAAATCTCATTAAGCTGATAAGCAACTTCATCAAAGTCTCAGGATACAAAATCAATGTGCAAAAATCACAAGCATTCCTGTACACCAATAACAGACAGAGAGCCAAATCTCAGAAGTAACACCACACATTTACAACCATCTGATCTTTGACAAACCTGAAAAAAACCAGCAATGGGAAAGGATTCCCTATTTAATAAATTGTGCTGGGAAAACTGGCTAGCCATATGTAGAAAGCTGAAACTGAATTCCTTCCTTACACCTTATACAAAAATTAACTCAAGATGCATTAAAGACTTAAATGTTAGACCTAAAACCATAAAAACGCTAGAAGTAAACCTAGGCAATACCATTCAGGACATAGGCATGGGCAAACACTTCATGACTAAAACACCAAAAGCAATGTCAACAAAAGCCAAAATAGACAAATGTGATCTAATTAAACTAAAGAGCTTCTGCACAGCAAAATAAACTATCATCAGAGTGAACAGGCAACCTGCGGAATGGGAGAAAATTTTTACTATCTACCCATCTGACAAAAGGCTAATATCCAGAATCTACAACTTAAACAAATGTACAAGAAAAAAAAACAACCACATCAAAAAGTGGGCAAAGAATATGAACAGACACTTCTCAAAAGAAGACATTTATGCACCCAATAGACACATGAAAAATGCTCATCATCACTGGTCATCAGAGAAATACAAATCAAAACCACAATGAGATACCGTCTCACGTCAGTTATAATGGCGATCATTAAAAGTCAGGAAAAAACAGACGCTGGAGAGGATGTGGAGAAATAGGAACACTTTTACACTGTTAGTGGGAATGCAAATTAGTTCAACCATTGTGGCAGACAGTGTGGCGATTCCTCAAGGATCTAGAACTAGAAATACCATTTGACCCAGCAATCCCATTACTGAGTATATACCCAGAAGATTATAAATCATGCTACTATAAAGACACATGCACACGTGTGTTTATTGCAGCACTATTCACAATAGCAAAGACTTGGAACCAAACCAAATCTCCGTCAATGATACACTGGATTAAGAAAATGTGGCACGTATACACTATGGAATACTATGCAACCATGAAAAAAAGAATGAGTTTCATGTCATTTGCAGGGACATTGATGAAGCTGGACGTCATCATTCTCAGCAAACTATCACAAAGACAGAAAAGCAAACACCACATGTTCTCACTCATAGGTGGGAGTTGAACAATGAGAACACTTGGACACAGGGCAGGGAATATCACACACCAGGGCCTGTTGAGGATGGGGGTCTGGGGGAGTGATAGCATTAGGAGAAACACCTAATGTAAATGACGAGTTGATGGGTGCAGCACACCAACATGGCACATGTATACATATGTAACAAACCTGCACGTGGTGCACATGTACCCTAGAACTTAAAGTATAATAATAAGAAAAAGAAAATTTCTTGAATTTTTTTTTTACAGATATCTAATTCTGTCTTTGGCTTTATTTGACCTGCTGTTAAATCTGTCCGTTGAGTTTATAATCTCATTTACTATATTGTTAATGTTTTGAATTTCTATTTTTTTAAAAATTGCCATGTTCATTACTTATTATTTTTTTCATGTTTCTTTCATTTTTTAAATTATTATTATACTTTAAGTTTTAGGGTACATGTGTGGGATCATTTCTATAGTTTGTTCATTACTTATTTTTAAACATTTCTCATTTTTGTAATATATTAAGTATACTTGCTTTATGTTCTCTGTCTTATAATTTCAAGATTTGAACTTTAGTTTTGTTTTTTTTTTTTGGTTTGATTCTCTTGTTTCTTTTCTGCTGTCTTTTATGGTGCTTTCTTCTTAACCATTTGAGCATAGAGACTTTTGACTATCAGTCACTTACTTGCTTTGAATGTTCATCAGTGGAGATTAAATGATGCTTAGGTGAGTACCTACAGAAAATGTTTGGGTTATATATTTGAGATGTGTGGGGATACCAATAGTCTAAAACCACTTTAATTAATTTTCTGTTTGAGTTTTTGGATATTCTTGGTAAAAAATGTTGTATAAGTAAACCTACTTGAAGCTTTCTTCTGTTTATGAGTTCTCAGGAATTATTTTTCTATCATCACTTAGCACCAAGATTCAAGATAATCCATTTTCTTTTTGGTCCCCTTCCGAAGCCAGTTTATATGTGGATTACTATTAAATAAGCTTCAAACATCAGAGATTCCAAATTTATGGAAGAATTTTTAAATTCATTTCTCACTTTAGGGGTTCCTCAACTTTGTCTTCTGTTCCCCAAATCCTTTAAGTCTTCAAAAAGTAATGCTTAATTTCATCTAGTTTGGCAAGTGTTATTAACATAAAAGCTTCAGGGCTGTACTTAACTTTCTGGGTAGCTATCCTTTTCATTTAATCCCTGGCCTAACAATTCCTCACTTTTTGTCAGTTCATAAAAGGTGTTAACAATCTTTTGAAAAATATTTGACCTATTATTTTTGTTGTTTTTCAGATAGAAGATCAGTCTGAGCATGTAGTCTGTCATGCTGCTTTCAAGAGGACAAGAAAAATGTGGTTTATATGTTTTACTATATTTTGTGTGCACCAAAAATATTGTACTATTTTTTTGGTGGTAGACATATTTTTATTTTGTGGTAGTCATGGTTGACAATACGGTTGATACAGAAGGACTAGAAACAATATATCAATAATGAAAAACAAATAAATTCCATTATAATTGCTATTATCAACTTTTTTTCTTCTCTCCTTGAAGATCAGATTACAAGAGTTAACTCTGAATTCATTCGGCATTATTCATTGCTTCATTTTTATTTTTATTTTTATTATACTTTAAGTTCTAGGGTACATGTGCCCAACGTGCAGAATTGTTACATATGTATACATGTGCCATGTTGGTGTGCTGCACCCATTAACTCGTCATTTACATTAGGTATATCTCCTAATGCTATCCCTCCCCCCTCCCCTCACCCTATGACAGGCCCCTGTGTGTGATGTTCCCTTTCCTGTGTCCTAGTGTTCTCATTGTTGAATTCCCACCTGTGAGTGAAAACATGCGGTGTTTGGTTTTTTGTCCTTGTGATAGTTTACTGAGAATGATGGTTTCCAGCTTCATCCATGTCCCTACAAAGGACATGCACACGTGTGTTTATTGCGGCACTATTCACAATAGCAAAGACTTGGAACCAACCCAAATGCCCATCAATGATAGACTGGATTAAGAAAATGTGGCACATATACACCATGGAATACTATGCAGCCATAAAAAGGATGAGTTCATTGCTTCATTTTTAAAAAGAAAGCCTTCAAAGACATCTTTACTTACCAGTGTACTTGAAGAAATGTTATCAAAACCTTCAGCGTTATCTTTCTGCAGAGCTGAGATAAAATGGAACACACTTTGGCAATTTCTATAGATTATAGGGCTCAGTATTTCAAAGTGTATACACAAAGGTGTATTGTGATGAGTGAATTATCTCTATCACCTGATTAAAGATTTGTCTGTCTTTGTGATAAGGGGAGAATCAACTTCTTTTGGCAGTGATGCTTTGAAAATATGGAATGGCCTATATTCTGCACTGTTATTTTTAGGGTATAATATTCTTTAGTGATATAATAATTTTCAAAGTCCTGAATTTTTTTTCTACAAAAAGTTAAGTTGTCAGATTCTTGTCAAACAATGCCATAATTTGAAGTAAAAGAAAGTAATTCTCAGTTAATCTTTACAATTTCTGAATTTATGACATTTTTTGCTTTTTATTTACATTGAGTTCCCCACATATTTTATTTATTTTTAAAATTTATTTATTTATTTAAAATTTTTGTGGGTATATAGTAGGTGTACATATTTATGGGTTACATGAGATATTTTGATACAGGCATGCAATGCATAATAATCACATCAGGGTAAATGGGGTTATCGATCACCTCATGCGTTTATCCTTTGTGCTACAAATAATCCAGTTATACTCTTTTATTCATTTAATAATGTACAATTAAATTATTTTTGACTATAGTCACTCTGTTGTGCTGTCAAATGCTAGGTCTTATTCATTCTTTCTGTTTCTTGTACTGAATAAACATCCCCACTTCCCCCTCACTCCCCTAAATCTTAATAAAAACTTTCATTATGCCTTTACATTATAGAAAAGCATTTCATATACTGTTACAATATACAATTTCTGCTAATTTATACTAAGCATAGGGAATTTCTATTAATAGTTAACAATTTTTTTTGACAGTTGTGGATAGCTATGATACTATTCAGAAATGAAGTTATATTCATTTAAATGTTATTTTAGACATAAATGAAGTAAATTTCAAAGAAAAATAATTTAATGTTTTGAAAGATCCAAAATCAATGCTAAGATTTCCAAATCTGAAGTAAACACCATCATTATATAATACCATAATTTATATAATGCGAATGATGAAATCAACCTTGTATTCATTTCTGTCAACCACCTCATACTTACAGATAAGGCTTTTAATACTCCCAGAAGTCAAAAGCACAATATTCAAGTATTACAGAATTTGCAAAATATTAAGAATTGTTAAAATGTCTGATTGAGATGAATTTGTTCACCTCTAAAACAAAATACAAATATCATTTTAATTAGGCCACAAACTGGAGTTCTAATTCTTCTACCTCTATGCTAAAACTGTCTTTTTGAGATTTTTGAGTATGCATTTTTTTCAGTAGTGGCTTTAATTCTAACAAATTTCTGATCTCAATTATGGCATTAAAACTTGGAGACAGGGTAGTTACAAAGAATTCTATTTTTGATGCAACCAAAGGCTAATCTATCACTGTTGGTGCTTTCAGTAGCACTTCTCAACTACTATCTTGATTGTTTTACTGTCGAGTTTAAAAACCTTCAGTTTCTCTTCAATAACAAAATGATAAAGTAAAACTCCCTACATACAAAAAAGACCCTTCACAGTCAGTCCTAATCTGCTCTCCAGCCTCCTTTCCTATCATTTTCTCTATTTCTATCTCATTCTCCCATGCTGCAACCATACATACCTTTCTTTTCATTGACACCAAGGCAACTCATTAATTTTTAACACCCAACTCAGGCATTATCTCCTCTGTGAAGCCTTGCCTAACTTCGCCAGGCATAGTTAAGTTATTACTTCACTGTTAGTATTGGAAATTCAGGCTGCTTTAACAAATAGGCTCCCAAATTTTATCACACATTAGCACTGTATAAATATTTTTGTCTTTGTCTTTTAATAGTTGTGAAAGATTTTTCAGGTTGGTGAGATGGTGAGATAGCTGTCTTCTATCTAGTCATTCAAGACCTAAGCTGAGAAAGCACTCCAATCTTTAAAACAGGGCTTTTAAGTTGCCTTGAATGTTGGCACCCCAGGCATACAGAAGGGGAAAAGAGAACAGAGGAGCATGCATGGGAGGTTTTAAAACCCAGATCTGGAAATGAGGTACACCATTTCTGTTCTCATTTCACTGGAGACAGCTTATTCACCTGGCCACATATAATTGCATTAGAGATTAGAATGTAGTATGGTTGTGTGCCCAAGAAAGGGAGAAAAATGGTGGAGAACTGTGATTTCTGCTATACCCATCTAGGAGGTTCTCATAATACTACTTAAGCACATTTCCATTTGTAATATGATTATCATTTTATGTATCTATCTCCCTCATTGATCTATTACTAAATTGTGGGTTTCTTGAGAACTGGGACTTTAGTCAATATTCATAATTTATTCCATCAATTAATGTTCATTAAATGTCCTCTGTGTGCCAGTGTATCTGTGTTATTATATATGAGCTCTATTGTTGCTACCATACCTATTATAATGTTCAATGGATGCTTATTAAATAAACAAATAAGTAAATAAATAAAAAATAAATACCTGTATGAATTAGTGAATGAATATTGATATTACCATAATTGGGTTTTAGTGGTGCAGTGCTATGGTCCTCTCTTGTTAAAAAATTAACCCTGTCACTTGAATTGATACCTTCTTTCCTTCCACAAAAAATTCATTTTAGCACTGTAATAACACTCTTTTCTGTGGTGGTGTCCATACTTCCAAATTAATTAGTTAACTAAGCTTAAAATATTATAGTGCAAGGAATAGCGATTTTTTGGTAAAGAGACATATAAAAATTATTTTAGGACTTGCAAGACACATATAGTCTCTGTTGCAACTATTCAACTCAGACTTTGGAATATATGGGCTGATTTGGCCCACAGAAGACCATAGTTTGCCAACTTCTGTTATAGTGTAATATACGCTGAAATGTAGAAATCACTGGATATTTTTATTACCCAGAAAAGTGTAAATAATGTCAAATTGGCTTTAATGATGACTTGGAAAGCCCTTATAAAGAATGATGTTGGACAAGATGACATAGACTACATTTTCTCTGTTTCTATCTAAATATAACTAAATACAATCATAAAGAATATCCAAAAGATGGAAAAAATGGTGGATTGGCTAACTCAGAATTTGGAGAAGGACACTGCAGTGAGCTCCTTGGGTCTTATCTTTATATCCCAAGTAGCCTGAACTGTGTGCTGAAGCGCTCTGCAATGTAGAAAAACCAACAAGTGTAGACAAACTACCCAATAAGTAAAAACAAAAAACATTTGCTCTCTCTGGCCAAATGGGAAACCCAGCAGGGACTTACTAGGAAGAAATATACTTGCTGGTAGAAGCAGGTCTACCCATTAGAAGCAGTGGCAAAAATGGACTGACCCTGGTGGTGCTAGCCCACCTTACATCCCTCACCTGCCAGCTGAAGTGGACCCAATCTGCCTACAGCAGTAATAGCAGAACTTGGTCAGGACAACTCACCTCACATCCAATAATAAGAGGCAGCAAGTGGGCCCCTTTGCCCACAGTAGAGGCACTAGCATGCCTGATGTCTCCTGGGTTTTATCCAGCAGCAGAATATAACCCAGGGATATTGTATCCTGACTCTCCTTTGAATGGCAGAAAGCCACACAGGCTCAGCAGCTTCTGGCCCCTCCACCTAGTGTCAGAAGGTGGTCCATGCAGGTACTTTCCTCCCCTAGAGGCAAAAGCAGAAATAATAGTGGGAAGCCCACTGGCAGGCATCCAGTGATGGGGGAACAGGTCAGGAGAAAAACTTTTCATCTTGTGGGTCTGGTATCTCCATTCCACACCTAATGATACCAGATGGCACCAGCAAGGATCCAGCAGGAACTTGAGTGGAGCTAGAAGGAAACTGACCAGAATAGTACCATAAGAGCTCAGAAAATCAAATGATATTGGGACTACAGACCATAAAAGTAGGCCAGAACCTATGTACTAAACCTAAACAAGGTGACTGCTTGCTAAAATAGAAGATCTATATAGCATTGAGTTTCCTAATATCCAAAATATACACAATATAATAGAAATTCACCCATCATACCAAGATCCAGGCAAATCACAACTGGAATTAAAAAAATTAATTAATGGCAATACTGAAGTTAATCAGAAGTTGGAAATATCTGATGAATATTTTAAAGTAGCCACCATAACATTGCTTCAACAGTAGTTAGAGATTACTTCATTTTTTAAATATTTTATTTGATTTTATTTTAAGTTCTGGGATACATGTGCAGGACATGCAGGTTTGTTACATAGGTAAACGTGGGCCATGGTGGTTTGCTGCACCTATCAACACATCACCTAGGTATTAAGCCCAGGATGCATTAGCTATTTTTCCCGATGCTCTCCATGCCCCCGCCCCCCACCTGACAGTCCCCAGTGTGTGTTGTTCCCCTTCCTGTGTCCATGCATTCTCATTGTTCAGCTCCCACTTATAAGTGAGAACATGCAGTGCTTGGTTTTCTGTTCCTGTGTTAGTTTGCTGAGGATAGTGGCTTCCAGCTCCATCCGTGTCCCTGCAAAGGACATGATCTCACTCCCTCCTATGGCTGCATAGCACTCCATGGTGTATATGCACCACACCTTCTCCATACAGTCTATCATTGATGTGCATCTGGGCTGATTCCATGTCTTTGCTATTTTGAATAGTGCTGCAACGAACATACTCGTGCATGTATCTTTATAACAGAATGATTTATATTCCTTTGGGTATATACCCAGTAATGAGATTGCTGGGTCAAATGGTATTTCCACTTCTAGATCTTTGAGGAATCGCCACACTGTTTTCCACAATGGTTGAACTAATTTACTTCCCACCAACAGTGTAAAAGTGGTCCTGTTTCTCCACAGCTTTGCCAGCATCTATTGTTTCTTGACTTTTTAATAAGTGCCATTCTGACTGGCATGAGATGGTATCTCATTGTGGTTTTTGATTTGCATTTCTCTAAGGATCAGTGATGTTGGGCTTTTTTTCATATGTTTTTTGGCCACATGAATGTCTTCTTCTGAGAAGTATCTGTTCATATCCTTTACCCAATTTTTGATGGCGTTGTTTGTTTTTCTCTTGTAAATTTGTTTACATTCCTTGTAGATTCTGGATATTAGACCTTTGTCAGATGGATAGATTGCAAAATTTTCTCCCATTCCATAGATTGTCTGTTCACTCTGATGATAGTTTCTTTTGCCATTCAGAAGCTCTTTGGTTTGGATCCCATTTGTCAATTTTTGCTTTCATTGCAATTCCTTTTGATGTTTCCATCATGAATTCTTTGCCCGTGCCTGTGTCCTGAATGGTATCACCTGGATTTTCTTCTAGAGTTTTTATAGTGTGGAGTTTTACTTTTAAGTTTTTAACCCATCTTGAGTTAATTTTTTATAAGGTGCAAGGAAGGGGTCCAGCTTCAATTTTCTGCATATGGCTAGCCAGTTTTCCCAGCACGATTAATTAAATAGGGAATCTTTCCCCATTGCTTGTTTTTGTCCAGTTTGTTGAAGATCAGATGGTTGTAGATGTGTGGATTTATTTCTGAGCTCTCTATTCTGTTCCATTGGTCTATGTGTCTGTTTTGGTATCAGTACCATGTTGTTTTTGTAGTATATTTTGAAGTTGGTTTATTAGTCAGCGTTCTCTAGAGGGACACACATATATATATAAAGGGGAGTTTAGTAAGTATTAACTCACACGATCACAAGGTCCCACAATAGGCCATCTGCATGCTGAAGAGCCATGAGAGCCAGTCTGAGTTCCAAAACTGAAGAACTTGGAGTCCTATGTTTGAGGGCAGGAAGCACCCAGCACGGGAGAAAGATGTAGGCTGGGAGGCTAGGCTAGTCTCTCTTTTTCACATTTTTTGGCCTGCCTCCCTGGCAGTTGATTAGATTTTGCCAGCCCAGATTAAGGGTGGGTCTGCCTTTCCCAGTCCACTGACTCTAATGTTAATCTCCTTTGGCAACGCACTCGCAGACACACCCAGGATCAATATTTTGTATCTTTCAATCCAATCAAGTTGGCATTCAGTATTAGCCATCAGAAGTACACTTCTTGTCAACTTAAACCCATGCAAATCTCCTGAGATCATACATAATCTTCAGATAAAGACAATAATAAGGTCATAATTACACCTAACATGATACAACTATCCTTCATACAACCGGAAAAGCACCAATTCCCAACCCAAATAGTATTTCATAAAGTTAACAATACTTACATGCTGATGTGAATTCAATAAATCTTATGTCACATGATAAAGGAGAAAAAAATAAAATGAAGTTATTTTCTTAGTACAAGTGTATACATGCACAAACATGTTTTTAACAAAAGAAGGAGGAAATACTCATGACAATTACAGTCCTCGTTTCTGTAGCTGGTCATGTGGTAGTAGCTGGTAGTGATGACTACCTTCTTCTACTACCCATTCTGTATTCCCTTTGCTTTCAGTAAGCACCTCAGCAGGTCGTGTTTTTTGTTTTTGTTTGTTTGTTTGTTTTTTCTTTTTCTTCCTGATTGAGTGACCCAAACTTTCATTCCAAGGGTCTGGGCCATTTGTAGTCCTGCCTGGATTGGGCTGTTGTGGTTTCCCATTGACCTTAATCACAGGGCATGGTAATACTAAGAGATGCCCTAATGGATCTCCTGTATTCCATGCATGCTCTTCCTTGCCTCTGTTGTGGAGTAGTAGACTGATTTCATCTTGATAGTCTGGGTCAATCAACCCAGCCAACACTGCAACTCCCTTCATAGCCTGTTGACTTAAAGGTAGAAGGAAACCAAATTGTCCAGGTGACAATCTTAACTTCTGGTTTAATGGAGTCGTTGTTGTGTATCCTAGTGGCAGCTTTCCCCACTCTGGAACTAAGACCATTAGGTCAGCAGAATGTAATGTCCTGGAAACAGGAAGCAACAATTTTGCTAGGGTATCATCAGGAATGATGGTGAGTGGTGCCACTTCCACTTCCACCCCTTGATTCCTGGACCCATGAATCCTGGCTATGGGAGAAACAGTACCATATACTGGATGCTGATTCAGGGCATACAAGGTCTTCTGGAGAACTTTGCCCCAGTCCTGCAAAGTATTCTCACCTAGGTGGCATTGTAATTGTGACTTCAAAATACCATTCCACCACTCTATCAATCCAGCTGCTTCAGGCTCATGGAGAACATGGTAAGATGAATGAATTCCATGAGCATGAGCCCACGGCCACACTTCTTTATCCGTAAAGTAAGTGTCTTGGTCAGAGGCAATGCTATGTGGAATACCATGATGGTGGATAAGGCATTCCGTGAGTCCACAGATGGTAATCTTGGCAGAAGCATTGCATACAGGATAGGCAAACCTATATGCAGAGTAAGTGTCTATTGCAGTGAGGACAAATGTCTACCCATTCCATGATGGAAGAGGTCCAATGTAATCAACCTGCCACCAGGTAGCAGGCTGATCACCCCAAGGAATGGTGCCATACTGAGGGCTCAGTGTTGGTCTCTGCTGCTAGCAAATTGGATATTCAGCTGTGGACATAGACAGGTCAGCCTTGGTGAGTGGAAGTCCATGTTGCTGAGCCCATGTGTAACCTCCATCCCTGCCACCATGGCCACTTTGTTCATGGGTCCATTGGGTGATGACAGGAGTGACTGGGGAAAGAGGCTGAGTGGTGTCCACAGAATGGGTCATCCTATCTATTTGATTATTAAAATTCTCCTCTGCTGAGCTTACCTGTTGGTGAGCACTCACATGGCATACAAATATCATCACGGTTTTTGACCACTCAGAGAAGTCCATCCACATACCTTTTCCCCAAATTTATTTGTCACCAATTTTCCAATCATGCTTCTTCCAAGTCACTGATCATCCAGTCAAACCATTGTCCACAGCCCACGAATCAGTATATAATCACACATCTGGCCATTTCTCTTCCATGCAAAGTGCACAACCAGGTGTACTGCTAGAAGTTGTGCCCTCTGGGAAGATTTCCCTTCACTGCTATCCTTCAGGGATGTCCTAGCAAGGGGTTGTAGTGCTGCAGCTGTCCAATTTCAGGTGGTGCCTGCATATCGTGCAGAACCATCTGTGAACTAGGCCCTAGTCTTCTCTTCCTCTGTCGACTGATCATAGGGAACTCCCCATGAGGCCATCGGTGCAGGCTGGGGAAGAGAAGGCAGGGTGGCAGGAGTGGAGACCATGGCATTTGAGCCACTTCCTCATGTAACTTACTTGTGCCTTCAGAAACTTCTTGAGCTCAATCACGTATATACCACTTACATTTGATGATGGAATGCTGCTGTGCATGACCCACTTTATGGCTAGATGGATCAGAAAGGACCCACTTCATTATAGGCAGTTCACCACCCCTGTGTCTCTCAGGTCCTTGATGGTGGCACTAATCTCTGCAATCCCTCCAGGGATACGATATTGTTTTTGATTTATGATTTTTCTAGGTAGAGGCAGTACTAATGGTTTTCTTTTGGTCTTTCCTACTATAGTAGCCCTCACCCTACCAGTCAGGGAGCCAATGTGGGGGTTCTGCCAGCTGCTGAGTATGTCTATGTCAGTTATGCATTCTGGCACTGGGGAAATGACCACAGGATGAGTCCAGGGACCCACTGGACCCACTGTAAGTCGGATCTGAGCTAAAACTCCATTCATTACCTGGCCTCCATCAGCCCCTACTTTAACTGGAGGACCACAATGACGTTTTGGGTCCCCTGGAATCAATGTCAGCTCAAAGCCAGTGTCCAGCAGTCCTTGAAATGTCTGATCATTTCCCTTTCCCCAGTGCACAATTACCCCGGTAAAAGGCTAGAGGTCTTCTTGGGGAAGAATGGGAGAAAGATTCACTGCATAAATTATCAGTAACATAGTGGGGTCCTTCCTCAAGGGAACCCAGTCTCCCCTTCATTCAAGGGGTTCTGGGTCTGTAAAGTGGCTCAAGTCTAGAAATTGATTGATGGGCCATGATTCTCTGTTTTTTTTTAATTCAAATTAGTCTTTTGTCCATTCAACATAGAAGTTTTCTGCTTATATAAATTAAGTAGAATGCAGTAGGCTTCCTATCAATTTCACTTTTAGGAACACCATGCGTGATTAATTAGCCAATGCCAGCACTCCACATGAATCAGACTATTCTGATTGCTGCTTTGCCTCTGCTGTCCATTACCGTAGCTAGCCCACCATGCCTTCGATGGTTGAGTGCTGCCACTTGGCTGCTGCTACCTCAGGATGCAATTATTCCCATTGTATTTAAATTTTGTAGTTGAGTGACTGTGGTTCCCACCATTAGATCTGACATGCAGGGAAGAGCAATTACAGGGCTCTTCAAAGATAAAGGAGCTGCCCTCACAAATCTATTGCACAAGGCATTGGTCAAGGGTATCTCTTCTTGATCCTCCCACCTGGAATGAGTTGGTCTAAAGTGACTAATCCACTCCACCATCCTAATCTCCCTAAGCCTTTGGATCCCTTCCTCTACATGAAACCAAGGGAGATCAGGCATTTCCAGCTCATTCACAATGGGCCATCTTTTAATCCGCATTTCAGCTAACCAAGCAAATAAGCTATTGGAACCTTTTTTAACTCCCTGAGCTGCAAGATTAAATGCAGAGTCCCTACTTAGTGAGTCCAAGTCAATAAATTCAGCCTGATCCAACTCTATGTTCCTTCCACCATTATCTCATACCCTTAATATCCGTTCCCATGCCTGTTCTCCAGATTTCTGTTTACATAAATTAGAAAACTCAAGCAGTTATTTTTGAGTGTAGTGTACCTCCTCACAGGTCACACTCTCAATCTCACCTCCAGGGGCCCGCCAGGACTTTAGTTTAGTTATAGGTCTGGAAGCAAACAGGGTTGTTGGGGGTGGCTTCTGAGAATCAACGTTATCTTGGCTGACTACTGCCTCAGGGGAGGCCATCACTCTTGCCTCACGCAGCACAGGGTTTATCTCCTCAGACAAAGGTGTCAAGGTTGATGGCAGCATGGGCTGGAGAGGGGATGTTGCCACTACTGGGGATGGGGGAGCTGTTTCTTCTGGCAAAAAAAGGTTCATCAGAGTTTACAAACTCAGTGTACCCACCTTCATCAGGGTCCTCCCACAAGTCCTCATTCCAAGTTTCAGGGTCCCATTCTTTTCCAATCAATGCCCTCACTTTAACAGTAGACACCTGGTGAGGCTGTGCATGCACCTTTCATTGCAGGTCAGCCACTTGCATGATAAGAGCTTGTGTATGTTTTTCCACAATTTCAGCTCTTTCTCTACAGGAGATAAGGTTCTCACTCAGGGCAGTCTTAGCAGATTTGAGGCTCAGTATTTGCTTCTTGAAGTTGTGAAGTAGAGTCCCTGAGTTCGTCATTTTCTTCATCATTTGGTCCAATGAACTTAGGAGGAACCAATCAGCTTCATTATGTTCCTTGGTTCTCCACATATGGTCAATTATCTCTTGTTGGTGTATAGGAAAGCTCGTGATTTTTGCACATTGATTTTTTATCCTGAGACTTTGCTGAAGCTTCTTATCAGCATAAGGAGCTTTTGGGCTGAGACGATGCGGTTTTCTAGATATAGGATTATGTCATCTGAAAACACAGACAGATTGAATTCTTCTCTTTCTATTTGTATGTCCTTTATATCTTACTCTTTCCTGATTGCCCTGGCCAAAACTTCCAACAGTATGTTGAATAATAGTGGTTAGAGAGGGCATCCTTGTCTTTGCAGATTTTCAAGGGGAATGCTTCCAGCTTTTGCCCATTCAGTATTATATTGGTGGTGGATTTGTCATAAATGGCTCTTATTATTTTGTTAATTTTTTGTTATTATACTTTAAGTTACGGGATACATGTGCAGAACGTGCAGGTTTGTTACATAGGTATACACGTGCCATGGTAGGTTGCTGCACTGCATCAACCTGTCATCTACATCAGCATTTCTCCTAATGCTATCCCCTCCTCTAGCCCCACACCCGCAGACAGGCCCCAGTGTGTGATGTTCCCCTCCCTGTGTCCATGTGTTCTCATTGTTCAACCCCCACTGATGAGTGAGAACATGCGGTGTTTGGTTTTCTGTTCCTGTGTTAGTTTGCTGAGAATGATGGTTTCCAGCTTCATCCATGTCCCTGCAAAGGACGTGAACTCATTCTTTTTTTAATGGCTGCATAGTATTCCATGGTGTATATGTGCCATATTTTCTTTATGCAGTCTATCATTGATGGGCAATTGGGTTGGTTCCAAGTCTTTGCTATTGTGAACAGTGCCACAATAAATATATGTGTGCATGTGTCTTTATAGTATAATGATTTATAACCCTTTGGGTATATACCCAGTAATGGGATTGCTGGGTCAAATTGTATATCTAGTTCTAGATCCTTAAGGAATTCCCACATTGTCTTCCACAATGGTTGAACTTACACTCCCATTGAAAGCATAAAAGCATTCCTATTTCCCCACATCTTCTCCAGCATCTATTGTTTCCTGACTTTTTAATAATTGCCATTCTAACTGGTGTGAGATGGTATCTCATTGTTGTTTTGATTTGCATTTCTCTAATGACCAGTGATGATAAGCTTTTTTTCATATATTTGTTGGCCACACAAATGGCTTTTTTTGAGAAGTGTCTGTTCATATCTTTTGCCCACTTTTTGATGGGGTTGTATCTTTTTTCTTGTAAATTTGTTTAAGTTATTTGTAGATTCTGGATATTAGCCCTTTGTCAGATGGGTAGATTGCAAAAATTTTCTCCCATCCTGTAGGTTGCCTGTTCACTCTGATGATAGTTTCCTTTGCTGTGCAGAAGCTCTTTAGTTTAATTAGATCCCATTTGTCAGTTTTGGATTTTGTTGCTATTGCTTTCGGTGTTTTAGTCATGAAGTCTTTGCCCATGCCTATGTCCTGAATGGTATTGCCTAGGTTTTATTCCAGGGTTTTTATGGTTTTCAGTCTTACATTTAAGTCTTTAATGCATCTTGAGTTAATTTTTGTATAAGGTGTAAAGAAGGGATTCAGTTTAAGTTTTCTGCATATGGCTAGCCAGTTTTCCCAATACCATTTATTAAATACAGAATCCTTTCCCCGTCGTTTGTTATTGTCAGATTGGTCAAAGATCAGATGGTTAGATATATGATGTTATTTCTGAGACCTCTGTTCTGTTCCATTGGTCTATACATCTGTTTTGGTACCAGTACCATGCTATTTTGGCTACTGTAGCCTGTAATATAGTTTGAAGTCAGGTAGCATGATGGCTCCAGCTTTGTTCTTTTTGCTTAGGATTGTCTTGGCTGTGCAGGCTCTTTTTTTGGTACCATATGAAATTCAAAGTAGTTTTTTCCAGTTCTGTGAAGAAAGTCAATGGTAGCTTGATGGGAATGGCATTGAATCTATAAATTACTTTGGGCAGTATGGCCATTTTCACGATATTGATTCTTCTTATCCATGAGCATGAAATGTTTTTCCATTTGTTTGTGTCCTCTCTTATTTCCTTGAGCTGTGGTTTGTAGTTCTCTTGAAGAGGTTCTTCACATGCCTTCTACTTTGTATTCCTAGCTACTTTATTCTCTTTGTAGCAATTGTGAATGGCAGTTCACTCATTATTTGGCTTTGTTTGTCTATTATTGGTGTATAGGAATGCTTGTAATTTTTGCACATTAATTTTGTATCCTGAGACTGATGAAGTTGCTTATCAGCTTAAGGAGAATTTGGTCTGAGAAGATGAGTTTTTCTAAATATACAGTCATGTCATCTGCAAACAGAGACAATTTGATTTCCTCTTTTCCTATTTGAATACCCTTTATTTCTTTCTCTTGCTTGACCACCCTGGCCAGAACTTCCAATACTATGTTGAACTGGAGTGGTGAGAGAGGAAATCCTTGTCTTGTGCTGGTTTTCAAAGGGAATGCTTCCAGTTTTTGCCCATTCAGTATGATATTGACTGTGGGTTTGTCATAAATAGCTCTTATTACTTTGAGATACATTCCATCAATACCTAGTTTATTGAGAGATTTTAACATGAAGTGCTGTTGAGTTTTGTCAAAGGCCTTTTCTGCATCTATTGAGATAATCATGTGGTTTTTGTCATTGGTTCTGTTTATGTGATGGATTACGTTTATTGATTTGCCTATGTTGAAACAGCCTTGCATCCAGGGATGAAGCCAACTTGATTCTGGTGGATAAGGTTTTTGATGTGCTGCTGGATTCAGTTTGCCAGTATTTTATTGAGGATTTTTCCATGAATGTTCATCAGGGATATTGGCCTGAAATTTTACTTTTTTGTTGTTGTGTCTCTGCCAGGTTTTCGTATCAGGATGATGCTGGCCTCATGAAATGAGTTAGGGAGGATTCCCTCTTTTTCTATTATTTGGAATAGTTTCAGGAGGTATGGTACCAGCTCCCCTTTGTACCTTTGGTAGAATTTGGCTGTGAATCCATCTGGTACTGGACTTTTTTGGTTGGTAGGCTATTAATTACTGCCTCAATTTCAGAACTTGTAATTGGTCTATTCAGGAATTCGACTTCTTCTTTGTTTAGTCTTGGAAGGGTGTATATGTCCAGGAATTTATCAATTTCTTCTAGTTTTTTTGGTTTATTTGCATAGAGGTGTTTATAGTATTCTCTGATGGTTGTTTGTATTTCTGTTGGATTAGTGGTGATATCCCCTTTATCATTTTTTATTGTGTCTACCTGATTCTTCTCTTTTCTTCTTTATTAGTCTGGCTAGCAGTTTATCTATTTTGTTGATCTTTAAAAAAAAAAACCAGCTCCTGGCTTCATTGATTTTTTGAAGGGTTTTTCGTGTCTCTATCTCCTTCAGTTCCACTGTGATTTTAATTATTTCTTGTCTTCTGCTAGCTTTTGAATTTGTTAACTCTTGCTTTTCTAGTTCTTTTAATTGTGATGTTAGGGTGTTGATTTTAGATCTTTCCTGTTTTCTCTTGTGGGAGTTTAGTGCTATAAATTCCCCTCTAAACACTGCTTTAAGTGTGTCCCAGAGATTCTGGTACATTTTGTCTTTGTTCCAATTGGTTTCAAAGAACATCTTCATTTCTGCCTCAATTTTGTTATTTTCAGGGTTGTTGAGCTTCCATGTAGTTGTGCAGTTTTGATTGAGTTTCTTAATCCTGAGTTCTAATTTGATTGCACTGTGGTCTGAGAGACTGTTTATTATGATTTCTGTTATTTTGCATTTGCTGAAGAGTGTCTTACTTCCAATTATGTGGTCAATTTTAGAATAAGTGCGAAGTCATGCTCAGAAGAATGTATATTCTCATGATTTTGGGTGAGAGTTCTATACGTGTCTATTAGGTCCGCTTGGTCCAGAGCTGAGTTCAAGTCTTGAATATCCTTGTTAATTTCCTGTCTCATTGATGTGTCTAATATTGACAGTGGGATGTTAAAGTCTCCCACTATTATTGTATGGGAGTCTAAGTCTCTTTGTAGGTCTCTAAGAACTTGTTTTATGAATCTAGGTGCTCCTGTATTGGGTGCATATATATTTATGATAGTTAGCTCTTCTTGTTACATTGGTCCCTTTACATTATGTAATGCCCTTCTTTGTCTCTTTTGATCTTTGTTGGTTTAAAGTCTGTTTTACCAGAGACTAGAATTGCAACCCCTACTATTTTTTTGCTTTCCATTTTCTTGGTAAATATTTCTCCATCCCTTTATTTTGAGCTTATGTGTGTCTTTGCACATGAGATGGTCTCCTGAATACAGCACACCAATGAGTCTTGACTCTTTATCCAATTTGCCAGTCTGTGTCTTTTAATTGGGGCATTTAGCCTTTTTACATTTATGGTTAATATTTTTATGTATGAATTTGATCCTGTCATTATGATGCCAGCTGTTTATTTTGTCTGTTAATTGATGCAGTTTCTTCATAGTGTCAATGGTTTTTACAATTTGGTATGTTTTTGCAGTGGCTGGTACTGGTTGTTCCTTTCCATGTTTAGTGCTTCCTTCAGCAGCTCTTATAAGGTAGGCCTAGTGGTGATGAAATCTCTCAGCATTTACTTGTCTGTAAATAACTGTATTTCTCCTTAGCTTATTAAGCTTAATTTGGCTGGATATGAAATTCTGGGCTGAAAATTCATTTCTTTTAGAATGTTGAATATTGGCCCCCACTCTCTTCTGGCTGTTAGGGTTTCTGCCAAGAGATCTGCCATTAATCTGATGGGCTTCTCTTTGTGGGTAAACTGACCTTTCTCTTTGGTTGCCCTTAACATTTTTTCCTTCATTTCAACCTTGGTGACTCTGACGATTATGTGTCTTGGGGTTGCTCTTCTCGAGGAGTATCTTAGTGGTTTTCTCCGTATTTCCTGAGGTTGAATGTTGGCCTGTCTTGCTAGGTTGGGCAAGTTCTCCTGGATAATATCCTTATGGGTGTTTTCCAACTTGGTTCCATTCTCCCCATCACTTTCAGGTACACCAATCAAACATAGATTTGGTCTTTTCACATAGTCCCACATTTCTTGGTGGCTTTGTTCATTGCTTTTCACTCTTTTTATTTTTATCTAATCTTGTCTTTTCACTTTATTTCATTAAGTTGATCTTCAATCTCTGATATCTTTTCTTCCGCTTGTTCAATTTAGCTATTGATACTTGTGTATGCTTCACAGAGTGTTTGTGCTGTGTTTTTCAGCTCCTTCAGGTCATATTTGTTCTTCTCTAAAGTGGTTATTCTAGTTATCAATTCGTCTAACCGTTTTTCAACATTCTTAGCTTCCTTGCATTGAGTGAGAACATGATCCTTTAGCTCAGAGGAGTTTGTTATTACCTACCTTCTGAAGCCTACTTCTGTCAATTCTTCAAACTCATTCTCCATCCAGTTTTGTTCCCTTGCTGGTGAGGAGTTGTGATCCTTTGGAGGAGAAGAAGCATTCTGGTTTTTGGAATTTTCACCCTTTTTATGCTGGTTTCTCCCCATCTTCGTGGGTTTATCTACCTTGGGTCTTTGATGGTGGTGACCTTCAGATGGGGTCTGTGAGTGGACATGCTTTTTGTTGATGTTGATGCTATTCCTTTCTGTTTGTAATTTTTCCTTCTAACAGTCAGGCCCTCTGCTGCAGGTCTGCTGGAGGCCCACTCTAGACCCTATTTGCCTGGGTATCACCAGCAGAAGCTGCAGAACAGCAAAGATTGCTCCTTTTTCCTTCCTCTGGAAGCTTTGTCCCAGAAGGGCACCCACCAGATGCTAGCTGGAGCTCTCCTGTATGAGGTGTTTGTTGTCCCCTATTGGGAGGCGTCTCCCAGTCAGGATACACAGGGGTCAGGGACTCACTTGAGGAGGCAGTCTGACCCTTATCAGAGCTCAAACACTGTGCTGGGAAATCCACTGCTCTCTCCAGAGCCATCAAGCGGGATGTTTAAGTCTGCTGAAGCTGCGCTGACAGCCGCCCTTTCCCCCAGGTGATCTGTCCCAGGGAGATGGGGGTTTTATCTGTAATTCCCTGACTGGGGCTGCTGCCTTCTTTTCAGAAATGCCCTGCCCAGAGAGGAGGAATCTAGAAAGGCAGTCTTGCCACAGCAGCCTTGCTGAGCTGTGGTGGGCTCCACCCAGTTCAAACTCCTGGGTGGGTGGCTTTGTTTACACTGTGAAGGTAAAACCACCACTCAAGTCTCAACAATGGTCGATGCCCTTCTCCCCACCAAACTCAAGCATCCCAGGTCAACCTCAGACTGCTGTGCTGGCAGCAAAAATTTCAAGCCAGTGGATCTTAGCTTGCTGGGCTCCATGGGGTTGGGACAAGCTGAGCCAGACCAATTGGCTCCCTGGCTTCAGTCCCCTTTACAGGGGAGTGAAGAGTTTTGTCTCACAGGTGTTCCAGGTGCCACTGGGTTATAAAGAAAAACTCCTACAGTTAGCTCAGTGTCTGCCCACATGGCTGCCCAGTTTTGTGCTTGAAACCCAGAGCCCTGGTGGCATAGACACTGGAGGGAATCTCCTGGTCTGTGGGTTGTGAAGACTGGGGGAAAAGTGCTGTATCTGTGCACCATTCATCATGGCACAGTCCTTCACGGCTTCCTTTGGCTAGGGGAGGAAAATCCCTCGACCCCTTGTGCTTCCTGGGTGAGGTGACTGCCCACCCTGCTTCTGCTTGCCCTCCATGGGCTGCACCCACTGTCCAACCAGTCCCAATGAAATGAACTGGGTACCTCAGTTGGAAATGCATAAATCACCCACCTTCTGCATCTATCTTGCTGGGAGCTGCAGACTGGAACTCTTCCTATTCGGCCATCTTGCCAGCCTGATTTTTTTTTGGTCACATTTTTAAAAGGAAAAACATTATTGATAAAAGAGAAGTTTTAAAAAAGAATCAAATGTAAATTACAGAACTAAAAATACAATAGCTAAAATTTTAAAATCACTGGATGGGATGAATAGTAACAGTGGATATGAAAGAATATAGAAACAATGTACTAGAGGACAAAGAAATAAAATTTACACATTCTGAGCAAAAGAGAGAAGGTGAGAAAAACTGATTAGAGGCACATGGACCTGTGTGGCAATTATGGAAAACATACCACTTATAAATACAGTGGCTCTATGAGTTCCAGAAGGAGAAAAAAAAATAAAAACACATGAAAAAAATAATGACCCAAATGTCTCAAACTTGAAAAAAGGCATACATCTACAGAATCTGAGCAAACCACAAATAGTATAACCGCCCACCAAAATCCATGCTAAGGCACATCACAATTAAACATCTAAAAACTAAAGGCCAAAAGCACGTTCAAATCATCCACAGGGAAGTGATGCCTTTATAGGGGAACACTTACTGGAATGGCAGAGGATTTCTCATCTGAAACCATGGAGACCAGAAGAAAGAGACACAACCTACCGTGTTGTGGAGTATGGTATATTAATGAATTGGAAGACTCAATATAATAAAAATGTCAGTCCTCTACAATTGATCTGTAGATTTAATGCAATCTCTATTCAAATTGTAGCGAAGATTTTAAAATATAGAAAAACTTATTCTAAAAATTATATAGAAAGACACAGGCCCTAGCCCTAGAATAGCTAAAACAATCTTGAAAAGAAGAGTAAAGTGGGAGAAATCATTATATCTTACAGTAGGAATTATTATATAATAGGTACAGTAATCAAGAGTGTCATATTGGTGGAGTAACAGATGTGTGGATTAATGGAAGAGAATATGGAATCTAAAAATAGACCCACAAAAATATGCCCAACATATTCCTGACAAAGGTGTAAAAGCAGTTCAACGGAAGAAGAATATACTTTTCAATAAATGATGGTGGAGCAGTTGGCTCCCACAGACAACAACAAAAAATTTGACTTAAACTCACATCTTATTAAAAAAAAATGCCTCAAAGTGGGGCTCAGTTTGCAGTACATATGCTAGATTTGGAATGATACAGAGAAAATTAGCATGGCACCTGCACAAGGATGACATGCAAATTTGTAAAACATTTTGTATTTGAAAAAAGAAAATAATTACCTGAAAATGGATTATGGTCTTAAATGAAAAACATAAAACTATTAAATTTTTAGGGAAAAACATAGTAGAAAATCTTCAAGATCAAGGGGTAGGAAAAGGGTTCTTGAATTAAGACTAAAAGCACAATCTAGAAAATCAAAAATTGATCATTAGACCTCATTCATTTAAAAAAACTTTGCTCTGTGAAATACACTGTAGAGGATAGAAAGACAAGCTACATAGACTTGGAAGAAATATTCACAAACTCTACATCTGACAAATGACTAGTGTCTAGAATATATGAAGAGTTCTCAAAATTCAACAGTGAAAGACAAACAATTCAATTAGAAAACGAGCAAAAGACATTAATAGATATTTCACCTAAGAGGATATATGAATGTCAAATAAGCATATAAAAAATTCAACATCACTAGCTATTATGAAAATGTGAATTGAAACAAAAATGAGCTATTACTACATACTTAACAGAATGCCTGGAATAAAAAGTTGTAAAGCATCAGTTGCTGGCAAAGACACAGAGAAACTTGATTATTGATAAATTGCTGGTGGGAATATAAAATGGTACACCCATTCAAAAAATGATTTGGCAATTTCTTAGAAAACCAAACATTTATCTATATACAAATCAGAAATTTCAGTCCGGGCAGTTATCCCAGAAAAATGAATTATTTTTTTCACACAAAAACCTGCATACAAATGTTCATAGCAACTTTATCCTAATAGCCCCAAACTAGAAACAACTCAGATGTCTGTTAACAAGTGAATGGTTAAAAGAACTGTGGTACATCCATACCATGGAATAGTACTCAGCAATAAAAATAAACTATTGATACACATGACAATGTGGATTAAACTCCAGGGAATTATGCTGGATGAAAAAGTCCAATCCAAAATGTTATATACTGTATGATTCCATTTATATAGCATGCTTGAAATGACAAAATTATAAATGTTGAGGGCATATTATGGTTGCTGCAGGTTAAGGGCGTGTGAGAGAAGTGGATGTGGTTATAAAATGGCAACATGTGTGATCTTTATGGTGACAAAACAGTACAAGTAAAATTGGTGAAATTTGAACGGGTAGGTGGATTGTATCAATGTCAATATCCTAGTGTGATAGTACTATAGTTTTGCATGACGTTAATATTGAAGGAAAGCAGGTAAAGTGTATATGGAATATTTCTGTATTTTTCTTACAACTGCATGTGAATCTACAATGATCTCAAAATAAAAGTTCAATGTAAAAAAGTATAATGTTGGTGCATGAAGAGTTAGAAGATGGTTAAATCTATAATAAATGATTTTTAAAATTCATAAGAAGGATGCTGTCTAATAAAGCTGCATTTTTGATAGCCAAAATGGGAAGCAGAATGATAAACAGTTTCATGGAAAATGCCTCTAAAGGTCAACTGTGCAAAAAAGGGAAAAAATGTAAACATCAATGTGAATGACATGCTCTTATCTTCCTTGGAAGTAGTGTTGAGTTTATTTCATAAATTTATAATAAGTAATTATACTGATAGTTTGCTGCTTTATTTCTCTGATGAATTAATACTGGAATGAACTATCAGAAAGACGTGAATTTCAAAATCTGTGAGGTATTTCAGAGCCTGTGTTGGCAAGATCACTCTTTTTTTGGGGCCATGATTTTTGTTTTATTAGAAACTCTTTTCTAGGGGTAGGAAGTTTTTGCTCTTTAGAGAAATCCTGACACCCCACCCCCCAAAAAAAATTGCAAAGATCAAAAAGCTGGACAAGTTTTTCATCCTGGTAAAGGTTATTTTAATTTTTGAAAATATTTTGAAAATCCTTAAAAGCTTATCAGAGAGTGTCAGTTCTCTTAGAGGAATATATTCTGATAGAGGTATCACTGTGTTTAAGGCAAGGGTAGAGGACTTTGGGAATAGAAGGGCGACATGTTTGACTTCTGTAGCATCTAAAACATCGATGCCAGGTTGCTTCTTGCTCCTAAACATATTATGTTTATGCTATTTATTTTATCAGGTGGCTAATTATGTAAGAGAATCCCCAAAGGAGGTTTTTCTGGTCCAGGTTTTTGTTGGTGGATTTTAGTCATCTTGAAAATCTTCTAGTTCTGTTTCCGGGAACAGTTCATGACTTGAAGCTGTTATACCACCATTTCACCTTTGAGTTTCTTCAGAATATCTGAGTAAGTGGCACCTGATGTGTATATTATTTACCATCAGGTCTAGAACTTACCTGTTTAACTGTTTATGATTGAATGCTTCTGGTACTTCAAATTTCATATGGATTAAAGATTCTCCTTAATGGCTTCCTCTGTAAAGAAAATAACCACAATACCTCACTGAGTCTCTCTGTTACCATTCTTTCACACCTGATTATATCATAAAGTGGCCCCACTGATTCTGTAGCTCACTTCCTGATTTTGTTGTCCTTAAAAAATTTAGTATTCATTTAGGAGTGTCTTATAAGGTGATCCTTGGAATTATTATTATTATTTTTTACTTTATTGGCCATTTACAGATTTCTTGTCTGCATGTAGGCAGCTTTTTTTTTTTCATTAAAAAAATATGCTCCTCTTGTCCTCCTACCTCCCCAAGCCTCTTTACTTTGTCATATAGCCATGGATAAATTAGATTTTGTTTGACTGCTAAATTATTTTTGATACACTGCATGTATATTTGGTCTTTTTGAAGTGATTTTGAAAAGTACTCCTATGGGATTTCAATCCGTGAAAATATATTTTTGAAATAGCAATACCTACATTGTATTGTCACTCTTTCTCCTAAAGGTGGATAACCAAGTGATGGATAATTCTGGTTTACTTGCTTAAGCTAGTATGTAAAATTAAATTACTATTATATAGTATCTCCTATAGATATTTATATCTTTTCAAAACCATATTCTTTTGAATCCTACAAATCTCATTATAGTAAGTAGCCATACTTTTTATGCAAACCTCAATTTTACATTTCATTCTGACAAAATATTTGATCAGTTTGTGGATAACTGAAGACCTCCCAAAAGTACATCACCTAATTTCTATAATGTGGCCAAAATTGTATTATTCCTGTCAAGTCTTTTGTAATGACTATAGGCCTGTAACTTTATCAACACATTTTATATTTAAAAAATTTCATTTTTCCACTCACAGAATTTTTATTACCCTTTCCTTATCTAATATTCTATGTTTATACTATATATGTTTGCCTTCATACACATAGCAACATGCTTACTTATCTGTCCAGGTTGGGCCTTCCTGTAGTCTGTATGTACCTTGGCATTGCAAGTGGTTGGTTTTTCTCCTTCTACCAAATTGCTTAAAGTCTAGTTATATATCCTTGCATCCTGGCCTATATTCTAATTCAGCTATTTTCCTTTTAAAGCTTCTAGAAATAGTATATATGTGTATATCATATTTTAGTTACTTTTTACCCCTCCCTATATATGTCAGCTGTTCTTTCAAAACCATAATGAGATAGCATCTTACCCTAGCTAGAATAGCTATTATTAAAAAGACTAAAAATAACAGATGCTGTTGAGGATGCAGAGAAACGGGAAGTCTTATACACTTTTGGTAGGGATATAAATTAGTACAGCCATAACGGAAAACAGTATGGAGATTTCTCCAAAATAAAAAACTAGAACTACCATACAGTCTAGCAATTCCACTACTGGGTATATATTTCAAAGAAAAAATTGGTATATCAAAGGGAACAATGCACCCCATGTTTATTGCTGCACTATTCGCAATAGCAAAGGCATGGAATCAACCTCTGTCCATTAACAAATGAGTGGATAATGAAAATGTGGTACATACACACAATTAAATACTAGTTGGCCATAAAAAGAATTAAATTCTGTCATTTGCAGCAACATGGATGGAACTGGAGGGCATCATATTAAGTGAAATAAGCCAGTCACAGAAACACAAATGTCATATGTTCTCACTCACATGTGGGAGCTAAAAAAGGTGGATCTTACATAGATAGAGAGTAGAATGGTATCTACTGGAGGCTGGAAAAGATGTGTCGCGGGGAAGGGGATAAAAAGAAGTTGGTTAATGGGTACAAATATATAGTTAGATAGAAGGAATAAGTTCTAATGTTCTAATGCAGAGTAGGGTGACTATAGATAACAACAATATATTATATACTTCAAAATAGTTAGAAGAGAGTACCTGAAATGTTCCAAACACATAAGAATGATAATACTGGAGGTGATTAATATCCTAAATAACCTGACTTAATCATTACACCTTCTATGCATGTAACAAAATATCACATGTTCTTTTAAATATGTACAAAAATTATGTATCAGTAAATTATTTTAAAGTTGGCATTATAAGTTGCCTCCAATTTTCTTTGTTTCACTGTCATAGCCCTGGCCCATTTGTCAAACTTTTCTTATATTCTTTTACTCTAGTGGAATCTGCAACAGTTTGCCTTTTCTCCTATCTTGCCTCGTAGTTTTTCCTTTTTAATACAAGATTCATGATGACATTTTGTTAAAGTGTAGCCCAGCCTTCCTGTGTATCCTATAACTATTAAAAAGAGTTCTTGTGGATTCTGGAGAATTTGGAGTGCCCACTCTTTTTTCTCTGTATGGAACAGAAGCTATTTGAGAAAGCATCACCCTAGAGATCTTGGCCTTGAATTCATTTCTAGGGCATTAAATTTGGCCTACAGTACTATATTTTCTTAAGTCTTCATATTTAAATGTGCAGTGACCACTGGCTTTTCCTCCCCTGCCATCACCCGAGGCTGGCCTAGCAAATATTAAAAGGTTACCATGTAGCTAGCACAGCTTTGTTCTAACACATAACCTTCATTATTATCATACACATGGCTGTCTACACACTCTACAATCTAACCTACGCATGCCATTTCTTACTAGCCTATCTCAGAGACATATTCTCTGTATATAGTACACGGTGGCATAATAATGATGCCTGGATCTCATCAAAGGGTCATTTCTTGTTGAAGCCAACCTTCTTTAAGGCCCTTTTCCTCCTTAGAACCACAATTACTGCCCTCATGGAAATGAGAATATTTTACAATAATCTAGAGGCCCTTCGATGCTGTTTGTATCTGCCACATCTGCTATATTTACCAACAGAAAACAGACCTGTTCTATGATAGCCGAGAGTTCAGGAACACTACAGCTCCCACACTAATCCTGGCATTTTAAATTGAAGATAACGGGTCATAATAAATGGTATGTTGCTCAAAATGTGAACCTCTGACTTTAAGTCTTAGCTTCAGCTATACATGCTTGAAGAAGTCATTAAAATCGTTTGAGCCTCAGTTTCCTTATCTGTAAAATGGTCTATCTCGCAGGGTTGTTAAAAAGTTTAAATTAATGCATTCAAATTGTTTTATAAATTTTTATGATATAACAATACTTAGATTTTATAAACTCATAATATATTGGGCCTGAAGACAGCCCTAGGGATCATCTAATACAAATACATATTTTAACAGATGACTAATCAAAGTCCCAAACAAGGCCAAGAAATTTGCTCAAGTTCACTACAGCTAGTGTGGCAAACCTGGAGTTAGAGCACATGTATCCTAATCTAGTTCTCTTTGCCTCTTTTTGTTTCCTTCAGTCAATCACCAGGTACTTTAGATTCTGCCTTGGAAAAGTGTTTATATAATAGCTAACGTTTATTGAATATTACAATGTCCTAGACACTCTTCTAAGCATTTTACATGTATTTCCACATTTAATCATAATAATAACCTCAGGGAGTAGGTGCTATTTTATCTCCATTTTGCAGATGAGATAATTGAGAGTCAGAAAGTTTAATTTATCCAAGGATGCATAATCTTTACAAGATTAAACTTTCAAAAGCCAATTGAAAGATGATGTGAATAGTTGGATAGAAGTGATATGACTGGTGTCCAAAGCAGGGTAATGGAGAGAGTAAATAACAATAGCAGAATCCAGATTCAAACTTAGGCCATCTGTCTCCAGAACCCATGTTATTAACCAATAGTTTATTGCCTCTCATCTATGTTTTCTCTATTCTATCATCACCACCATAAACCTAGGCCTCAATTCCTCCTGAAGGATTTCCCTCCCTTCTTGTTCTTTTTCCTGCAACCCATTCTTCTCGTCTCAGTCTGATCAATATTCCTAGGCCACCACTTCATTCAAATCATTATCTTTTTCAGGAACAAGTCATAATTTCAAATTGCCTCACAAATCAAGTCAAAAATCCTGTCCCTGTTACTCAAGTTTCTCTAGAATATGAACTTTCTTCATTTTCTGATATGATTGTTCAGTATTCATCAACACGAATCCTTTACTTTTGCCAGGTGAATTGTTGGACAAAACTTGACTTCATCCTTACCTCTATATTAGTGTTATTACTTGAAATGTTCTTGTATCAGTTAGGATTCTCTATTGCACATGATGAAAAATCAAGTTAAACTGTCTCTAATAATAAAGGGAATTTACTAGCTCATTTAACTAAAAATCCAGAGAAAATGGCTTTAGGCAAGGATTGATCTAGCGTCTGAGTGATGTTGCCAAGGATCCAGATTAAATCTCTTCCACTTTGTTTTCAATGGTGTCCATACCAACTGTCAAAGACCACATAGTCTCCTTTCACCACACACATGTGATTTGGTTTTTAATGGCTATAAGCTTTGTATCCCCATAAAATACCATCTGGTAGAAGAGAGAATCTGTGTCCTAGCATTTCCAAAAAATGTACAGAAGTTTACCCTGATGAGAACCTTTCAGTGTCTGCTTCAATTTAATTACTGGGCCCAGAGGAATAAGATGCATGAATTAGTTTAGGCTTGAGTTATATACCTTTCCCTAAGTCAGTCACTAGTGCCAGGAGGACAGAATATTCTGATTGACTTAAGACAATTATGATGCACACTTGGAGTTAAAGTCAACTCTGTCTGAACCACTTGGCTACAAATTGTGGATGGAATGGTTTTCCAAACAAGATTGAAGTTTGCCAGAAGAAGAGAGAAATGGGATTCCTGGAAAGCACTCAGCAAATGTGTACTACAGTTCTCCTCTCTTTCTCTTTGACAACTCAAATTGTATCTTCTCTTTTATGGCCAATTTAATTTTATTCAATCTAGTTCACACCAATCTCTGAAGTCATACAGCATGTATAATACAGTGTACTCTATATTTGGCTTTATATGTTTTGATAGTTTATGTATTTAGAACTTGTGATTCCAACAAAATCATGTTAATTTATGGCACAGGCTATGTATTCTAACTTTGTGTAGCCCTCACAGCATCTAGAACATTTCTGGGCATACAGCCAGTGCTATAAAAGCACTTGTTCACTTGACTTGATGACTTGTTCGGTTAGGTACAGCCACTTTGTTCATTTCGGTCATCATCAAGATTGATGCTGATTGCTCTGGTTCACTCAATCATTTGGCTCTCCACATCAATCATGAGGATAACACAGTAAATGGATTGGTTAGGCTCCAGTTCATTCACTGTGCGCTTATAGATATAGCCTTGCCGATGAATAGTACTTGTCTGTCTGTACCCAAATCAGGTTCCATAGTTTTGTGTATGTTTTTGAAGATGTATCTTTTTGTTTGGATATGACTACTATTAAAACCATTTCTATGGAATGCATTCTCTAATAATGGGTTACATTTGAGTTACTGGTAAGTGCTTTCCATTTTGTAGTGTTTACTTGTATTAAGTATTGTATCCCATTTGATGTGCATCTGCCTTAACCTTTTTCTATTTCATTTTATTTTTATGTTCCATAATCAAACTTCTGGAAAACAGCATTAGCCACATTGAATGCGGTTCATCTTGTACAAATAATCCACTGCTAGCCTGATTTTTCCCCTAAATGGAACACTCAACTTTTTCCCCAGATCCATGGCATTTTTATTTTTCTATTAAAAGCTTAAGTGAATCCCAAAGAGTTGTTCTGTTCTGTTTTTTTTTAAGATGAAAGTTTCAAAAGCTAATGAAAAGATGATGCGGATCATTGGATACCAGTGACATGAAAGTTTCTAGACCAGATCTCAAAGCATTTCAAGTTTTTCCTGCTTCTGAAAATTTACACAACCTAGTTTGTTCTCCTGGAGTCATGTTTTTCCTACTTCTTCATGTAACTTTGATTACTTTTGCTCATTCTTAAGATTTCAACTGAAATTTTACTTTATCATGAAGGTAGAAGTTAAGCCTGATTTGTTCACTGCTGTATTAGGCATTCAATAAATATTATTGACTGACCGAATGACACATTATTTACTCTCATTTTCACTAAATTTTAATTTGAAGTTCATTAATATAAGCATAATTTTCAAATCAATGCAATATCTAAATTAGAAGCCAAGAGGATCATAAATATTTATCTGTCCAATAATGTTAAGATTTTAGAGATATTCATTTTAAAGCAAAGCACAGAAATCCTTGAGTTAAATGAAAGTAAGTTAAAGTGACAATAAAGATCTACACTAATAAGTTCCATTTTGAAGATTTTAGACTTAATGAAATAAAACTTTAAGGCTTAACTTGGAAAGATTTATATAAGTTGATAAAGGGCCTGTAAACATAAACTGAAGAACCTGCTTCCAAAGTCTAATACAGAGTCATTTTTGTTATTTGAGAAATGAAAGTTAACTAAGAGTTATATTTGTTTTGTATTTTTCCTAAATTTTTAAAGATTTCTTTCTAATTCTGTGTTTATCAGATATTTAGCACTTCTAATTTTGTAAAATATTCTTACACATGTATTGCATGTTCATGAAAGAAGAGAATACAGACAAATATGGATAAATAAAATAAAATCACCTACAAAGCTGCCACCTGACATAAAACTATTTACATGTGGTGCTTAGTCAAATGAAATTTTGAGTGACTATATACACACATATGGGTAGGTACAAAATAAGATCATGCTTTACATAATTATTTGTGATCTGCTGTATCATTGTAGTAATATATATATGTATAAAATTTACCATATATAAATGTACCATTTTTAAATGTATAATTCAGTGGCATTAGGTACATTCACAAAGCTGTGCAACCATCCACTATCTCCATTTCCAGAACTTTTACAACAAGTAACCCAATTTAAAAATGGTAAAGGATTCAACCCAGAAATCCCATTACTGGGTTTATGCCCAAAGAAATATAAATCTTTCTATTATAAATACACATGCACATGTATGTTCACTGCAGCACTACTCACAATAGTAAAGACATGGAATCAACCTAAATGCCCATCAGTGATAGATTGGATAAAGAAAATGTGGAACATATACACCATGGAATACAATACAGTGATAAGAAGAATGAGATCATGTCCTTTGCAGGGACATGGATGGAGCTGGAGGCCATTACCCTTAGCAAACTAACGCAGGAACAGAAAACCAAATATTGCATGTTCTCACTTATAAATGATAGCTAAATGATGAGAACACATGGACACACAGAGGGGAACATACACTGGGGCCTATCATAGGGTGGAGAGAGAGGAGGGAGAGGATCAGGAAAAGTAACTATTTGGGTACTAGGATTAATATCTGGTTGATGAAATAATCTATACAACAAACACCCATGACACAAGTTCATCTATGTAACAAACCTGCATGTGTACCCTCAAATTTAAAATAAAAGTTAATAAAATAAAATAATAAAAAAGAATATCCAGCAAATTGTTATTTATAAGAGTAAGATATTTTAGATAATCTCGATCTCAGTTGGTTAAATTATGATAAATCCACATTTTAAAGAAATGCTTTGCAACCATTAAAATTCTTATCTTTACATAACTGGCACAGAGAGTCAAAATATATTTCTAAGTAGAAAAAAAAAAGTAGATCACATGTACGCTACAACATGGATAAATTGAAAACATTATGCTAAGTGAAATAAGCCATATATGAAAAAATGAATACTGAATGATTCCATTTATATGAAGTGCCTAGAATAAGCAAGTTCTTAGAGACATAAAACAAAGCTTATCTGGGGCATGAAAGAGGGAGATCATAATATGCATAACTTTTTTCACTTAGTTTACTGTGAATTTTTTCATATCTATTTATCTATCCATCCTTCTATGTATACATGTACATATGCGTTTTAATGGTTCATAATAGTCCACTGCATTAATTAAAATATTTAACCAAATTCTTATTTATAATGTAAGTTGTTTCTAATTTTTGAATTAAAAATAATGATATGAAGGACATCCTTGTGCACAAATATCTTAACATTTTTCCAATTATTTCCTTAGATAAATTCCTAGAAAAAGGATTGCAAAGTAAAATGGCATGAACTTTTAAGACTTTTGATACAAGTTGCTAAGTAGCTCTCCAGAAAAGTTACGACAATTTACCTTTCCACCATCCAACACTTTAAAACAGCACCCATTTTCCTCCATCTACTCAACATTAAGCATTTTTATTTTTTTCTGAATTTTGCTAACCGTATGCACAGAAAATGGTATGTCATTAAATTTTCATTTTTAACTGCTAACAAAGTTGAATTTGTTTGAACTTTTTCTTATCGTTTGTTGGTCATTTGTATTTCTTGTTTTGTAAATTGCTTGATCTTATTCTCTGCCCATTATTGTCACATACTGGAGTATGCACTTTTTCTTATTAATTTATAAGAACACATTCTATATTAAGGATATTATTCATCTGGCTGTCATCTATATTTCAAACATTATATTTTGCTGTTTGCCATTTTTATTTCAAGATTTTCCAATTTATTGCATATAACTTTATAAGAATTTTTTCTAAGAATCTCTATTACACTGTAGTAATTGCTTAATTTTTCTAATTCTAAATTTTTATTATTTGACCTTTTCTATTGCTTATTTTTAATATTACTTTTTCTCAACATTTTATTTTGAAAAATTTTAAGGCTACAGAAAAGTTGCAAGAGTAGTACAGGTTGAGTATCCCTTACCCAAAATGCTTGGTACCAGAAGCATTTTTTTTCTAATTCCAGAATATTTGCATTACACCAGTTGAGGATCCCAAACCCGAAAATTCAAAATCCAAAATGCTTTAAGGAGCATTTTTTAAAATGTCATTTTGGAGTTAAAAATGTTTCCGATTTTGGAGCATTTCAGATTTTGGATTTTCAAATGCAGGATGCTCAAGATGTATAATGACCACTTGTCTGTATTCTTCACTACTTCCACGAGGTTTGTTTTCTCTATTTCAGTTTCTCTCTCCCTGTCTCTCACCTCAACATGTGCACATATTTAGCTATAGTTTGCTTCTTAAGTTTGCTTATAGTTGGTTTTTTCCCTACATAAATTTGAAATTTGGATATAGTTTAATATATTCCTTTATGTCTTCTGCCTTTAAATTCATATTTGGAAGTCTTTCCTCACCACAAGATTATATATATTTACCATCATCTTATTATTTCTTCTTTTCTCTTAATATTTTCAATCCACATAGAATTCATTTTAACTTATGGTATTGGGCTGAATTTTTTTTTCCAAATGGTGAGCCAACTTTTCATACTATATAAATAATTCCTACGAGTCAATAAGCAAACAGATCAATAATATACCAGGAAAAATATGTAAAAATTATGACTAGACAGTTTGCAGAAAAAGAAGCAAATAAAAGAAATGTAAATTAAACAACTTTCAGATAACATTTTTCACCTATCAGATTGGTAAAGATCAGAAAACTTATAACAATCTGTATTGGGAACAGTGAAGGGAATCAGTGAAGACAATACATTGCTAGTGTCAGTTTAAATTGGCACACTCTCTATGGAGGGCATTTTGGAAATAATACAACAAAAATAAAGAGGAACAAGTAGTTTGACTTAGAAATTCCACTCCTGAGTATTTGTCCTGTAAAAATAGTTACATTTGTGTGAAATAATAATTGCAGCATAGTTTTTATCAGCAAAATATTGGAAACAGCCATAACAGAGGGCTAGTTAAATTATGGTAAATCTATCTAATGGAATACTCTATGTAGTTATTGAAAAGAATGTGGCAGCTCAATATGTAGTTATGTTGAAGGGTATCCAAGATATATTTTTAAGTGAAAAATGCAAGATGCAGAGCAGTGTAACGTCGTACCATTTATTTAGGGGAGAATGGAATCCGTAAATATAAAATCTTTGAAAGTGCAGATATTATCTCTGGCAGGATACACAAGAAACTGGCAAAACTCCAGAGATACTGTAGTACACAGAAGAAAGAATGACTTAGCCAGTTATCACTACATTGTTTATTGAATAGTCTACCTTTCACTACTGTCAGTGGCTGATCTAAAACGTTGCTTTTATCATATATTAAAGGCTTATATGTATTTAGATCTTGTCTGGACATTCTGCTCTATTCTATGGACCTACCACTCCTTCCTCAACAGTACCACACAATTTTAATGATTCATTATTTAATTTTTGACATTGAAAAATCCCTGGCTGGGCAAATTCTTTTAACTATTTTTTACAAAAATTTCTTCACTATCTTATTTTGTTTATTTTTTCCAAACAACTTAATAATCTCTTTGTTGCAGATCCGCTTACCCCAAAAACTACTGGGATTTGCTGGGATTTGATTGAAATGAGTTAAAACTTAAACATTGTTTTTCTTTTATTCATTTATTCTATCTGCCATTCACTTTCCACAGTGTCTGTTACCTGAGGTCAACTGAAGCCCAAAAAATATGAAATGGAAAATTCTAGAATTAAACAAATCATGTTTAAAATTGTGCACCATTGTGAGTAGCATGATGATATCTTGTGCTATTGCAGTGCTGGGACAGGAATCCTCCTTTTGCTCAGTGTAACCATGTTGTCTATGCTACCCGCCCATTAGTCACTTAGTGGTCATGTAGGTTATCAGATTGACTGTCATGGTGCTTGTGTTCAAGTGACCCTTATTTTACTTAATAACAGCCTCGAAGCACAAGAATAGTGATACTGGCATATTCCTATATATGTTCTATTTATTATTAGCTATTGTTGTTAGTATCTTACTATGCTAATTTATCAATTAAAATTTATCATATATATATGCATACATACAATAAACACAGTACTTATAGGGTTGGGTACTATCTGTGGCTTCAGTTGTCCACTGCAGTCTTGGAATTTATCCTTTAGGAGAAGACTAATGTGTAAGTATTTACTGAGCACCTACTATTTGTCAGACACTAGTATACATACTAGTGATAGGTGAACATGTCAGTGAACAAGTCAAGCAATATCACTAATTTTGAGGAGCTTACATTTTAGTTGGATGCGATGATATGGAGATAAATTATAAACAAGCAAATAGGTACACAAACAGGATAATTTCACACAGTAATGAAGGTCATGGCAACATTTAAACAGCATAATGTAATATGACCATCTCAGCGAATGGTGAGGGTTTGCTTAGATCAGGTGGCTTCAAAAGGTGACACTTGATCTGAGAACTGAATTATGAGAAGAAGCCTTGTGAAGATCTGAAGCAAAAGTGTCCCAAACTGAAGTTAGAAGCCAAGAGTTCTGTTTTGTACCTTCAAAGTTTGACATGCTAAGACTTATCAGTGTGACTTGCCAAGTAGATAATTGGGTACATGACTGGCAGTCAGGGGAGAGATCAGGGTTGGAGTCATCAACATATAGTTAATATTTAAAACCATAAGAAAAGGTGAGTTCATCTAGGAAGAATGCAAATAGAGAAGAGAAGATGGTTAAGGACCAAAACCTTCAGAAGTTTTCAGGAAAGGGAAAATCCAGGTAAGAAGCTGAAAGGAGCAGACAGTAAGGTGGAAACACAAACAGGAAAAGGTTGTAGCACAAATTCCAAGAGAAGGATGTGTTTTCAAGAGAGAAGGAATCATCACATCTTTACACTATTGTCTTCCTCTTGAGAAACATGAAAGGTCTCTGCATTTATTTAAGCCTTCTTTTATGTCTTTTCTGTTTCTTAGTAAAGTTTTGTGGTTTTCTTAGCAGAGGTTCTCAACACAAATATTTAGTTTATCTTTTAAAATTATTATTTTATTATAAATTGACAAGTTGTAGTTGTATATATTCATGATTTATGGGATACAAATTTACGTGAGGATGTATGTGTACAATGAGAAATGGGTAAATCAACTCATTAACACATTAACCACCTCAAATACTTATTTTTTGTAGTGAAAACATTGGAAGTTTGCTGTCTTATTAGCAATTTTGAAATACACATTATTATCAACTATAGTCACTGTGCTGTGCAATATATCTCAAAAAATTATTCCTCCTATCTAACTGAAACTTTGTATTCTTTGGCCAACATCTCCCCATTTATATCTGCCCCCTAGACCTGGTAACCACCATTCTACTCTCTGCTTCTGAGTTCAATTATTTCAGATTCTACATATAAGTGAGATAATGAGGTATTTCTATTTCTGTGCCTAGCTTATTTTGTTTAACAAAGTGTCCTCCAGGCTCATCCACGTTGTCTCAAATGAGAGAATTTTCTTCTTTTGAGATGCTGAATAGTATTCAGTTGCGCATATATAAAACATTTTCTTTATCCATTCATCCTTTGTCACTTAAGTTGATTCTATAACTTAGCTATTGTGAATAATGTTGCAATGAACATGAAAGTGCAGTTAACTCTAACATACTGATTTTATTTCCTTTAGATATAAACACAGTACTGGGATTGCTGGATCATATGGTAATTCCATTTTTAGTTTTTTGTGGAAACTGCATATAGTTTTCCATAATGGCTATACTAATGTACATTCCCACCAACAGCGTACAAGGATTTTCTTTTCTCCACATCCTTTCCTACACTTTTGCTCTTTCATCTTTTTAGTAACATCTATTCTAACTGGTGTGAGGAAATATCTCATTATGGTTTTAATTTGCATTTCCCTAATTATTAGTGATGTTGAGTATTTTTTCATGTATCTCAAATACTTGGTCATTTATATGTCTCCTTTTGAAAAAATATCTATTTAGGCCTTTACCATTTCTATTAATTTAACATTTTTTTAACTTTTATGTCCAGGGGTACATGTGCAGGTTTGTTACATAGGTAAACTTGTGTCACAGGGGGCTTGCTGTACAGATTATTTTATCACCCAGTTATGAAGCCTAGTACCCATTAGTTATTTTTCCTGATCCTCGCTCTTCTCCCATGCCCCACCCTCCAAAAGGCCCCAGCTTGTGTTGTTCCCCTCTTTGTGTCTATGCATTCTCATTATTTAGCTCTCACTTATAAGTGAGAAGATGTGACATTTGGTTTTCTGTTCCTGCGTTAGTTGGCTTAGGATAATGACCTTCAGCTCCATCCATGTCCCTGCAAAGGACATGATCTCATTCTTCTTATCACTGTATTGTATTCCATGGTGTATATGTACCACATTTTTTTTATCCAATCTATGACTGATGGGCATTTAGGTTGATTCCATCTCTTTGCTATTGTGAGTAGTGCTGCAATGAACATACATGTCCATGTGTATTTATAATAGAAAGATTTATATTTCTTTGGGCATAAACTTTGTAGCGGGATTTCTGTGTTGAATCCTTTACCATTTTTAAACTGTGTTATTTGTTTTCTTGCTATTCAGTTGTTTGAGTTCCCTGTATATTTTGGATATTAACCCCTTATCAGATGTATGGCTTACAAATATTTTCTCCCAATTTGTATGTTGTCTTTTTACTATGCTTATTGTTTCCTTTGCTGTGCAGAAGATAGAATTCAGGAGCAAAGCCATCAAGTCCTTGGCTTGGACTCTTTAATGAGAGTCTGTTTAATGGGAGACTCTTTATTACTGACTCAATTTCCTTACTCATTATTAGTCTGTTCAGATTTTATATATATATTTATTATTCAGTCTTGGTAGGTTGTATGTGTCTTGGAATTTATCCAATTTTTTCTCTTATCCAAATTGTTGCTGTAGAATTGATCATGGTGGTCTTTTGTGATCCTTCTTATGAATCTGATGTTAGTCATACTGTCTCCTATTTCATTGTTGATTTCATTTATTTGCATATACTTTCTTTTTTTCCTAGACTAAGTTCTTATCAATTGTGTTAGTCATCTCAAAAAACCAACCCCTAATTTGTTAACATTTTCTATTGTTTCTGTAGCCTCTATTACTTTTATTTTTGCTTTGATCTATATTATTTCCTCTCTTCTACTAACTTTGGGCTTAGATTGCTATTATAGTTCTTTAAGGTGTACAGTTAGGTGGTTTATATGAGAGCTTCTCTTTTAATGTAGGCATTTATTGCAATAAAATTCTTTCTTAGAACTGGTTTTGCTGTATCCCATAAGGAGTGAGAATATGTGGTGTTTGGTTTCCTGTTCCTGTATTAGTTTGTTGAAGATAATGGCTTCCAGCTTCATCTATGTCCCTGCAAATGACATGATCTCATTCCTTTTGATGGCTGCATAGTATTCCATGGCGTATATGTACTACATTTTCTTTATCCAGTCTGTCATTGATGGGCATTTGGGTTGGTTCCATTTCTTTGCTATTGTAAATAGTGCTGCAATAAACATACTTGTGCATGTGTCTTTATAGTAGAATGATTTATATTCCTTTGGATATATACCCAGTAGTGTGATTCCTGGGTCAAATAGTATTTTTGGTTCTAAAACCTTGAGGAATTGCCACACTGTCTTCCACAATGGTTGAACTAATTTACATTCCCACCAACAGTGTAAAAGCATTACTATTTCTCCACAGCCTCATCAAGATCTATTCTTTCTTGACCTTTTAATAATCTCCATTCTAACTGGCATGAGATGGTATCTCATGGTTTTGATTTGCATTTCTCTAATGATCAGTGATGTTGAGCTTTTTCCACAAATTTTTTGGCCACATACATGTGTTCTTTTGAGAAGTGTCTGTTCATATCCTTTGCTCACTTTTGTTTTATATATATATATATATATATATATATATATATATATAATACTTTAAGTTCTAGGGTACATGTGCACGATGTGCAGGTTTGTTACATATGTATACCTGTGCCATGTTGGTGTGCTGCACCCATTAACTTGTCATTTACATTAGGTATATCTCCTAATGCTATCCCTCCTTCCTCTTCTAGGGTTTTTATGGTTTGGGGTTTTACATTTAAGTCTTTAATCCATCTTGAGTTAGTTTTTGTATAAGGTGTAAAGAAGTAGTCCAGTTTCAGTTTTCTGCATATGACTAGCCTGTTTTCCCAGCACCATTTATTGAACAGGGAATCATTTCCGCATTGCTTGTTTTTATCTGGTTTGTCAAAGATCAGATGGTTATACATGTGTGTTGTTATTTCTGAGGTCTCTGCTCTATTCCATTGGTCAATATATCTGTCTTGGTACCAGTACCATGCTCTTTTGGTTACTGTGGCCTTGCAGTATAGTTTGAAGTCAGGCAGCATGATGACTCCAGCTTTGTTCTTTTTGCTTAGGATTTCTGGGCTGTATGGGCTCTTTTTTGGTTCCATATGAAATAAAGTAGTTTATTCTAATTATGGGGAATATGTCAATGGTAGTTTGATGGGAATAGCATCGAATCTATAAATTACTTTGGGTAGTATGGCCATTTTCACGATGCTGATTTTTCCTATCCATGAGCATGGAATGCTTTTCCATTTGTTTGTGTCCTCCCTTATTTTCTTGAGGAGTGGTTTGTAGTTTTCCTTGAAGAGGTCCTTAACATCCCTTGTTAGCTGTATTCCTAGGTATTTTATTATCTTTGTAGTGATTGCAAATGGGAGTTCATTCATGATTTGGTTCTCTGCTTGTCTATTGTTGGTGTATAGGAATAATTTTGATTTTTGCACATTAATTTTGTATCCTGAGACTCTGCTGAAGTTGCTTACCAGCTTAAGGAGTTTTGGGGTTGAGACGATGGGGTTTTCTAAATATAAAATCATGTCATCTGCAAACAGAGACAATTTGACTTCCTCTCTTCCTATTTGAATACCTTTACTTTTTTATCTTGCCTGATTACCCCGGCCAGAACTTCTAATACTATGTTGAGTAGGAGTGGTGAGAGAGGGCATCCTTGTCTTGTGCACGTTTTCAAATGGAATGTTTCTGGGTTTTGCCCATTCAGTATATCAGCTGTGGGTTTGTCTTAAATAGCTCTTGTTATTTTGAGATATGTTCCATCAATACCTAGTTTATTGAAAGTTTTTAACATGAAGGGATGTTGAATTTTATATAAGGCCTTTCCTGCATCTATTGAAATGACCATTTATTATTTGTCTTCAGTTCTGTTTGTGTGATGGATTAAGTTTATTGATTTGCATATGTTGAACCAGCCTTGCATCCCAGGGATAAAGCCAAGTTGATCATATTGGACATGCTTTTTGATGTGCTTTGGGATTCGGTTTGCCAGTATTTTATTGAGGATTTATGCCACATTGTTCTGCAGGGATATTGGCTTGAAGTTTTCTTTTTTCGTTGTGTCTCTGCCTGGTTTTGGTAGTAGGATGATGCTGACCTCATAAAATGAGTTATGGAGGAGTCCCTCCTTTTCAGTTGTTTGGAATAGTTTCAGAAGAAATGGTACCAGCTCCTCTTTGTGTCTCTGGTGGAATTCCACTGCGAATCTGTTGGGTCCTGCCTTTTTTTGGTTGGTAAGCTATTAATTACTACCTCAATTCCAGAACTTGTTATTGGTCTATTCAGCAATTTTACTTCTTCTTGGTTTAGTCTTGGGGGAGTGTATGTGTTCAGGAAATTATCCATTTCTTCTAGTTTAGATCATTCTACTATAAAGACACATGCACACTTATGTTTATTGTGACACTATTCACATTAGCAAAGACTTGAAACCAACCCAAATATCCATTAATGATAGATTGGATAAAGAAAATGTGGCACATATACACCATGGAATACTATGCAGCCATAAGAAAGGATGAGTTCATGTCCTTTGCTGGGACCTGGATGAAGCTGGAAACCATCATTCTCAGCAAACTAACACAAGAACAGAAAACCAAACACTGCATGTTCTCACTCATAAGTGGGAGTTGAACAATAAGAATACATGGATACAGGGAGGGGAACATCACACACAGGGGCATGTCTGGAAGTTGGGGGCTGGGGGAGGGATAGCATCAAGAGAAATACCTAATGTAGATGACGGGTTCATGGGTGCAGCAAACCACCATGGCACATGTATACCTATGTAACAAATCTGCACGTTCTGCACATGTACCCTAGAACTTGAAGTATAATCATAATAATAAAAGAAAACCTCTGAAAGAGCACAAATAGACAATCTAAGGTCACACCTCAAGGAGCTAGAGAAACAAAAATAAATGAAACCGAAATCCAGCAGAATAAAAGAACAAAGATCAGAACAAAACTAAATGAAATTAAAACAAAAATACAAAAGATAAATGAAACAAAAAGATGCTTCTTTGAAAAAATAAATAAAATTTATAGACCATTAGCAAGATTAACTAAGAAAAGAGGAGAGAAGTTTTAAATAAGCTCAATTAGAAATGAAATGGGAGATATTACAACTGATACCACAGAAATATAAAAGATAATTCAAGGCTACTATAAACACCTTTATCCACATAAACTAGAAAACCTAGAAAAGATGGGTAAATTCCTGGAAATATACAGCCCTCCTAGCTTAAATCAGAAAGCATTAGAACTCCTGAGCCAACCAATAACAAGTAGGAAAATTAAAATGGTAATAAAAAATCACCAATAAAAAGTAGTCCAAGACCAGAAGGATTCACAGCTGAATTCTATCAGACTTTCAAAGCAAAATTGGTACCAATCCTATCGACACTATTTCACAGAATTGAGAAAAAGGGAATCCTCCCTAAATTATTCTATGAAGCCATTATCACCCTAATACCAAAACCAGGAAAGGATGTAACCAAAAAAGAAAACTCCAGGCCAGTATCCCTGATGAACATAGATGCAAAAATCCTTAACAAAATACTAGCTAACTGAATCCAACAGCATATCAAAAAGATTATCCACCGTGATCAAGTGGGTTTCATACCAGGGATTCAGGAATGGTTTAACATACACATGTCAATAAATGTGATACAGTATATAAACATAATTAAAAACAAAAATCACATGATCATGTTAATAGATGCAGAAAAAACATTTGACAAAATCCAGCATCCTTTATGATTAAAACCCTCAGCAAAATTGGCATACAAGGGACATACCACAATGTAATAAAAGCCATCTATGACAAACCCACAGCAATCATAATACTGACTAGGGAAAAGTTGAAAGCATTCTCCCTGAGAACTGGAACAAAACAAGAATGCCCACTCCCACTGCTTCTATTCAACATAGTACTGGAAATCTTAGCCAGAGCAATAAGACAAGAGAAAGAAATAAAAGGCATCCAAATCTGTAAAGAGGAAATCAAACTGTTGCTGTTTGCTGATGATATGATCTTATACCTAGAATACCCTAAAGACTCATCCAAAAAGCTCATAAAACTGATAAATGAATTCAGCAAAATTTCAGGATACAAAATTAATGTACAAAAATCAGTAGCCCTGCTATACACCAATAGTGACCAAGCTGAGAATCAAATAAAGAACTCAACTCCTTTCTCAATAGCTGCAAAAAAACTTAGAAATATACCTAACCAAGGACGTGAAAGACCTCTATAAGAAAAATGAAAAAACATTGCTGAAAGAAATCATAGATGAAACAAACAAATGGAAGCACATCCCATGGTCATGGATGGGTAGACTCAATAGTGTGAAAATGACCATACTGCCAAAAGCAATCTACAAGTTCAATGCAATTCCCATAAAAATACTACCACCATTCTTCACAGAACTAGAATAAACACCCTTAAAATTCATATGAAACCAAAAAAGAGCTCACATAGCCATAGCAAGACTAAATGAAAAGAACAAATCTGGAGGGATCACATTACCTGACTTCAAATTAAACTATAAGGCAATAGTCACAAAAACAGCATGGTATTGGTATAAAAATAGGCACATAGACCTATGGAACAGAATAGAAAACCCAGAAACAAAGCCAAATGCTTACAGCCAACTGATCTTCTACAAAGTGAACAAAAACATAAAGTGGAGAAAGGACACCCTATTCAACAAATGGTGCTGGGATAATTGACAAGCCACATGGAGGAGAATAAAACTACATCCTCAGCCAGGCGAGGTGGCTCACACCTGTAATCCCAGCAGTTTGGGAGGCCAAGGCGGGCGGATCACGAGGTCAGAAGATCGAGACCATCCTGGCTAACACGGTGAAACCCCATCTCTACTAAAAATACAAAAAAATTAGCTGGGCATGGTGGCGGGCGCCTGTAGTCCCAGCTACTCGGGAGCCTGAGGCAGGAGAATGGCATGAGCCTGGGAGGTGGAGCTTGCAGTGAGCCGAGATCGTGCCACTGCACTCCAGCCTGGGCGACAGCAAGACTCTGTCTCAAAAAAACAATAACAAAAACAAAAAAAAAAAACTGCAGCCTCTTCTCTTACCTTATACAAAAATCAACTCAAGATGGATCAAGGACTTAAATCTAAGACCTGAAATTACAAAAATTCTAAAACATAACATTGGAAAAGCCCTTCTAGACATTGGTTGAGGCAAAGACTTCATGACCAAGATCCCAAAAGCAAATGCAATAAAAACAAAGATAAATAAATGGGAGTGAATTAAACTAAAGTGCTTCTGCACAACAAAAAGAATAATCAAAAGAATAAGCAGACAACCCACAGAGTGGGAGAAAATCTTCACAACCTATACATCTGACAAAGGACTAATATCCAGAATCTACAAGGAACTCAAACAAATTAGCAAGAAAGAAACAAAGAATCCCATCAAAAGTGGGCTAAGGACATGAACAGACAATTTCCAAAGGAAGATACACAAATATCCAACAAATATATGAAAGAATGCTCAACATCACTAATGGTCAGGAAAATACAAATCAAAACCACAATGTGATACCACCTTACTCCTGCAAGAATGCCCATAATCAAAAAGTCAAAAAAAAAAAATAGATGTTGGGAACACTTCTACATTTCTGGTGGGAATGTAAACTAGTACAACGAATTATGGAAAACAGTGTGGAGAGTCCCTAAACAACTAAAATAGAGCTACCATTTGATGCAGCAATCCCAGGAAAGGAAGTCATTATACGAAAAAGATACTGGTGCACACCTTTATAGGAGCACAATTTGCAATTGCAAGAAAATAAAACAAGCCCAAATGTCCATCAATCAATGGGTGGATAAAGAATTTGTGGTATATATATGTGATGGAATACTACTCAACCATAAAAAGGAACGAATTAATGGCATTCACAGCAACCTGGATGGAACTAGAGATTATTATTCAAAGTGAAGTAACTCAGGAATGGAAAACCAAACATCGTATGTTCTTACTCTTAAGTGGGAGCTAAGCTATGAGGCTACAAAGGCATAGGAATGATACAATGGACTTTGGCGACTTGAGGAAAAAGGTGAGGGGGTAAGAGATAAAAGACTACAAATTGGGTTCAGCGTATACTGCTCAGGTGATGGGTGCACCAAAATCTCACAAATCACCGCTAAGTAACTTACCCATGTAACCAAATACCATTGGTTCCTTAAAAACCTATGGAAATAAAAAAAAATTGTTTTAAAAAAGAAATAACTCTCCTGCGTTCACTCCCCCTTTTGGAGAGGAAAGTGAACACATTCCCTCTGGTTTTGTTTTATATTTTATGGTGGATGGCAGATGAAAAACAAACATCAAATGTTTGTCAATTTTTGTTGTGACAGCACCACTCAACATGCATAAACTTATATTTTCTAATGACAATAAAATTCAGATAACATTTCTGTAATTAAAAAACCCTTGAAAATCAGAGCTGTTTTGTGGGTTTTTAAACCCAGTTTCTCAGGATTAAATTTAAGATGAGACACAGAATGCATTTGTACTCCCCAGTATTTGTCCTTTACTGTTTAAAAAGAAAACTCTCCAACAGGAAATCAATTTTCTTATTATGATAGTTGTAAAATCTTTATCAACGTCATGACTGATGAAAAGTCATTGTTATAACCACTGTGAAAAACAGTTTGGATATTTTTTAGTAGGCATTTACTCAAGGGAAAGGGAAACGTATGTCCATATAAAAACCTATATGCAATTGTTTATAGCAGCTCTATTCATAATCTCCCCAAAGCAGAAACAATCCAAATGTCCATCAGCTAGTGAATGAATGAACACTCTGATTCATCCATCCACACAATGGAACACAATTTATCAATTAAAAAAAGCAAACTATTGATACATGAAACAACATGGATGAATCTCAAATGTGTATTGCTAAGCGAAAGAAATCAGACTCAAAAGGTTATATACTGTTTGAATCCATTTATAAGATATTCTAGAAAATAAAAAACCACAAGGACATAAATCAGACCAGTGGCTGGTGGGAGGGGAGCTGGGAAGTTCTAACTACAAAGGGACACAAGGGAAATTTTTGAATCATGATTGTGATTATACAGCTGTATGCATTTTTCAAAATTCACAGAACTGTACACCAAAAGGGGGGATTTTAATGTATCTAAATTAATCTCACATTAATAAAACACATTGTAAGATATTATTTAACTATTTCCATTAACAATTACTCACAACTGATTAACTATTCGGTGAAATTTCCAAGCCCATTTCTTCTTCTCTTGTTGACATTTTGGCTGGTTTCTGGCATATTCACACTTCTACCAGAAAGTGATAGATGCTAAAATGAGAATGGGATAAACCTTAAATCAGTTGATATTTATTAATTACAAAAAATATAGATGTAAGTATAGGAAAGCCAAGGTCTCAAATTAGTTTTGGGGGTGAGCATGTTAAGAATTACAATGATTTATCTCCAGTGATTCTGAAACATAAAAGCTTAAAGAGCTTTTGTTTATGTAAATTATATCCTCCAATATTTACCATATCAATAATTAAAACTGAGAAATGTTAAAAATATTTTTTATTAATTCATTTAAGATGAACAATAATATATCTATTATATGTTAACATAATAATATAAGTATGAAAAACCCCTACATTTTCAGAAACAAAAAAGATAACCATAGTATGGGGGGAGGGGCCAGGATAGTCGACTAGAAATAGCTGCATTCAGAAGCTCTCACAGACAAGAAAGAAAACGGCAAGTGAATCCTGCACTGGCAACTGAGGTATCCAGGTTGTCTCAATGAGTCTGACCAGATGGTTGGTGCAACCCAAGGAGAGCAAGGAAAAGCAGGGTGGTGCAATGGCCCACCTGGAAGCCACATGGGGCAAGGGGAGCTCCCACCCCCAGCCAAGGGAGGTAGTGAGTGATAGTGCTACCCTGCCCAAGAAACCACACTTTTTCCATGGATCTGTGCAACCCATGCATCAGGAGATTCCCCTCGTGAGCCCCTGCCTCCAAGGCCTTGGCTCCCAAGCACAGAGCTGTGCAGATTGTCAATGGCCACTTGGCTGCAGACTAAGACTACTTAGTTTCTGGGAGGAGAGGTGGCCACCATCACTGTGGCTCCCTGCAGCCTAAGATGACTGAAGTCCCTGGGGGAATGGGTGGCAGCCATCACTACAGCTGCCTGCAGTCTAAGATGTCTGAACTCCCTGGGGGAGAGGCAGCAAAAATCACTGCAGATCCAGTCAGCCATCTTTTCCTGGCTGTCGCAAGGAGACTGGGCAGTTTGAACCCAGGAGGATTTCCCCACCGTGCAGCACAGCAGCTATGGCAGATCATGGCCAGACTGCCTCTTTAGGCCGGACCCTGACTCATCCCTCTTCACTGGATGAAGCATCCTTGCAGGAATTTCAGCAACTCCAGCCAAGGGTTTAGGGGCAAAACTCTGAACTCCCTGAAACTGAGCCTCTGTGGGGAACGGTGGCTGCAGTCTCCACAGATCAGCAGACTTAATCTTTCCCCCTGCTGGCTCTGAGGAATCCGGGCAGTCCAGATGAGGTTGATTCCCCCCATTGTGGCACAGCCCCTCTGACAAGGGGCAGCCAGAGTGCTTTCTTAAGCAGGTCCCAGATCCCATGACTCCTGACTGGGTGAGACCCCCCCAACAGGGGTTTCCAGACACTTTATACAGGAGCGTTCCTGCCTGCATTAGGTCTGTTCCTCTCTGGGACAGAGATCCTAGAGGAAAGAACAGGCAGCCATCTTTGCTGTTCTGCAGCATCCACAGATGACACCTCCAGGTGTGAGAGGGATCCCAGTGAATAGGGTCTGGAGTGGATCCCCAGAAAACCACAGCAGCCCTACAGAAGAGGGGCTTGACTGTTAAAAGAAAAACAAACAGAAAGCAACAATAACTACAACAGCATCAACAAAATAGTCCCCACAAAAACCCCATTCAAAGGTCAGGAGCCTCAAATATCAAAGACAACTCGTGAAGATGAGAAAGAATGAGTGAAATAATGCTGAAAACAAAAACCCAGAGTGCCTCTTCTCCTCCAAATGATTGCAACACCTCTGGAGCAAGGGCACAGAACTGGGCAGAGGCTGAGATGGATGAATTGACAGAAGTAGGCTTCAGAAGGTGGGTAATAACAAACTTTGCTGAACTAAAGGAGCATTTTCTAACCCAAGGCAAAGAAGCTAAAAATCATGATGAAACACTACAGGAGCTGTTAACTAGAATAAACAGTTTAGAGAGAAACATAAACGACCTGATGGAGCTGAAAAACACAACACGAGAACTTTACAATGCAATCACAGTATCAAGAGCCAAATTGACCAAGCAGAGCAAAAAAATTCAGAGCCCGAAGACTCTCTTGCTGAAATAAGACAGGCAGACAAGATTAGAGAAAAACAAAAGAAAAGGAACAACACCTCCAAGAACTATGAAATTATGTAAAAAGACTGAACCTACAAATGATTGGGGTACCTGAAAGAGCCAGGGAGAACAGAACCAAGTTGAAAAACATCAGGATATCATCCAGGAGAACTTCCCCAATCTAACAAGACAGGCCAACATTCAAATTCAGGAAATCCAAAGAGCTCCAATAAGATACTCCATGAGAAGACAAACTACAAGCACATAATCATCAGATTCTCCAAGGTCAAATTGAAGGAAAAAATGTTAAGGGCAGCCAGAGAGAAAGGTCAGGTCACCTACAAAGGGAAGATCATCAGAATAACAGTGAACATTTCAGCAGAAAGTCTATAAGCCAGAAAATATTGGAAGTGAATGTTCAACATTCTTAAAGAAAAGAATTTCCAACTCAGAATTTCATATCTGGCCAAACTAAGCTTCATAAATGAAGGAGAAATAAAACCCTTTACAGACAAGCAAATGCTGAGGGTTTTTATCACCACCAGGCCTGCTTTGCAAGAGCTCCTGAGGGAAGCACTAAATATGGAAAGGAAAAACCATTACAAGCCACTTCAAAAACCCACTGAAGTACAAAAATCAATGACGAACTACATTAACAAGTCTGCAAAATAACCAGATAGCATCATGATGACAGAATCAAATTAACACATAACAATCTTAACCTTAAATGTAAATGGGCTGAAAAATGTCCCAATTCAAAGACACAAAATTGCCAGCTGGATAAAGAGTCAAGACCCATCTCACGTACAAAGACACACATAGGCTCAAAATATAGGGATGGAGGAATATTTACCAAGCAAATGGAAAGCAGAAAAAAGCAGGAATTGCAATCCTAATTTCTGACAAAACAGATTTTAAACCAACAAAGGTCACCCAAGACAAAGAAGGGCATTAAATAATAATAGAGGAATCAATTCAAAAAGAAGAGCTAACTATCTTAAATATATATGCACCCAGATTCATAAAACAAGTTCTTAGAGGCCTACAAAGAGGCTTAGATTCCCACAGAACAATAGTGGGAAACTTTAACACCCCACTGTCAATATTAGACAGGTCATTGAGACAGAAAATTAACAAGTGATATGGTTTGGCTGTGTCCCCACCCAAATCTCACCTGGAATTTAAATAATCTCCATGTGTGAAGGGCAGGTCCAGGTAGAGATAATTGAATCAGTGAGGTGGTTTTCCCCATACTGTTCTCGTGGTAGTGAATAAGTCTCATGGGATCTGATGGTTTTATACAGGGGAGTTCCCCTGCACAAGCTTTCATGCCTGCTAAAATGTAAGATACCTTTGCTTCTCCTTCACCTTCCACCATGATTGTGAGGCCTCCACAGCCATGTGAAACTGTGAGTCCATTAAATCTCTTTCCTTTTTAAATTACCCAGTCTTTGGCATATCTTTATTAGCAGCGTGAGAACAGACTAATACAACAAGGATATGAACAAGGACTTGAACTCAGCTCTGGATCAAGTAAATCTGATAGATATCTACAGAATTCTACACCTCAAATCAAAGGAATATACATTCTTCTTGGTGCCACATGGCACTTACTCTGAAATCAATCACATAATTTGGAGTAAAATACTCTTTGGCAAATGCAAAACAACTGAAATCATAACAAACAGTTTCTCACATCACAGCACAGTCAAATTAGAACTTAAGATAAAGAAACTCACTCAAAACCACACAACTCATGGAAATTGAACAACCAGCTCCTGAATAACTCCTGGGTAAATAATGAAATTAAAACAGAGATCAAGAAGTTCTTTGAAACCAATGAGAACAAAGAGACAACATACCAGAACCTCTGGGATGCAGCTATACCAGCGTTAAGAGGGAAATTTATAGCACTAAATGCCCACATCAAAAAGCTAGGAAGATCTCAAATCAATACCCTAGCATGACAACTAAAATAACTAGAGAACCAAGAGCAAACAAACCCCAAAGCTAGAAGACAAGAAATAACCAAGATCAGAGTGGAACTTAAAGAAATAGAGATAGAAAAACCTTCAGAAATCAATAAATCCAGGGGCTGTTTTTTGAAAAAAATAATAAAATAGAAAGCTAGCTAGATTTATGAAGAAGAAAAGAGAAAAGAATCAAATAGACACAATAAAAAATGATAAAGGGGATATTACCACTTACCCCACAGAAATACAAACAATTATCAGAGAATAATATAAACACCTTTATTCAAATAAAGTAGAAAATCTAGAAGAAATAGATAAATGCCTGAACACATACACCCTCCTGAGATTAAACTGGGAAGAAGTTAAATCCTTGCTTAAACCAATAACAAGTTCTGAAATTGAAGTAGTAATAAATAACCCCAAAAAAGCCAGGACCAGACAGTTTTTTTTTTTTTTTTTTTTTTTTTTTTTTTTTTTTTTGAGACGGAGTCTCGCTCTGTCGCCCAGGCTGGAGTGCAGTGGCGGGATCTCGGCTCACTGCAAGCTCCGCCTCCCGGGTTCACGCCATTCTCCTGCCTCAGCCTCCCAAGCAGCTGGGACTACAGGCGCCCGCCACCACGCCCGGCTAACTTTTTGTATCTTTAGTAGAGACGGGGTTTCACCGTTTTAGCCGGGATGGTCTTGATCTCCTGACCTCGTGATCCGCCCGCCTCGGCCTCCCAAAGTGCTGGGATTACAGGCGTGAGCCACCGCACCCGGCCGACCAGACAGTTTTACAGCTTAATTCTACCAGAAGTACAAAGAGAAACTGGTACCATTGGTACCATTTCTTCTGAAACTATTCAAAACAATTGAAAAAGAGGGACTTCTCTCTAACTCATTTTATGAGGCCAGCATCATCCTGATACCAAAACCTGGCAGAGATACAACAACAAAAAAATTTCAAGCCAGTATTTCTGATGAATATCAATGCAAAAATCCTCAAGAACATACAGGCAAACCAAATCCAGTGGCACAACAAAAAGCATATTCAACACGAACAAGCCAGATTCATCCCCAGGATGCAATACTGGTTCAACATATGCAAATCAATAAACGTAATCCATCACATAAACAAAACCAATGACAAAAACCACATGATCATCTCAATAGATGCAGAAAAGGCCTTCGATAAAATTCAACATCCCCTCATGTTAAAAACTCTCAATAGACTAGGTATTGATGGAACATACCATAAAATAATCAGAGCCATTTATGACAGACCCACAGCCAATATCATACTGAATGAGCAAAAGCTGGAAGCATTCCCCTGGAAAACCTCCACAAGACAGGGATGCCCTCTCTCACCACTCTTATTGAACATAGTATTGGAAGTTCTGGCCAGGGCAATCAGGCAAGAGAAAGAAATAAAGCACATTCAAATAGGAAAAGAGAAAGGCAAACTGTCTCTGTTTGCAGATGACATGATCCTATATTTAGAAAACCCCATCCTCTAAGCCCAAAAGCTTCTTAAGCTGATAAGCAACTTTAGCAAAGTCTCAGGATAAAAAATGAATGTGCAAAAATTACAAGCATTTCTATACACCAGCAACAGACAAGCAGAGAGCCAAATCATGAATGAACTCCCATTCACAATTGCTACAAAGAGAATAAAATACCTAGGAATACAGTAACAAGGGAAGGGAAGGACCTCTTCAAGGAGAACTACAAACCACTGCTCAAGGAAATAAGAGAGGACACAAACAAATGGGAAAAACATTCCATACTAATGGATAAGAAGAATCAATATTGTGAAAATGGCCATACTGCCACAAATAATTTATAGATTTAATGTGATTTCCATTAAACTACCATTGACATTCTTCACAGAATTAGAAAAAATACTTTAAAATTTATATGGAACCAAAAAATAGCCTATATAACGAAGACAATCCTAAGGAAAAAGAACAAAGCTGGAAGCATCATGCCACCCAACTTCAAACTGTACTACAAGGCTACGGTCACTAAAACAGCATGGTCCTGGTACAAAAAAGGACACACAGACCAATGGAAGAGAATAGAGATCACAGAAATGAGACCACACATCTAAAAACATCTCATCTTCAACAAACCTGACAAAAACAAGCAATGGGGAAAAGATTCTCTATTTAATAAAAGGTGCTGGAAAAACTGGCTAACTGTATGCATGCAGAACATAGAAACTGAATCCCTTCCTTACACCTTAAACAAAAATAAACTAAAGATGGGTTAAAGACTTAAACGTAAAACCTTAAACTGTGAAAATCCTAGAAGAAAATCTAGGCAATATTATTCAGGACATAAGCATGGGCAAAGATTTCATGATGAAAATATCAAAAGCAATTGCAACAAATGCAAACATTGACAAATGGGATCTAATTAAACTAAGGAGCTTCTGCACAGCAAAAGAAATTATTATCAGAGTGAACAGACAACCTACAGAATGGAAGAAAGTTTTTGCAGTATATCCATCTGAGAAAGGTCTAATATCCAGAATCTATAAGGAACTTAAAGAAATTTACAAGAAAAAAAATAAACAACCCTATCAAAAAGTGGGCAAAGAATATGAACAAGCCGCTTCTCAAAAGAAGACTTTTATTCAGCCAACAAACATGAAAAAAAGCTCAACATCACTGATCATTAGAGAAATGCAAATCAAAACCACAATGAGATATCATCTCAAGTCAGTCAGAATGGTGTTTTTTTCAAGATTCTGAAAACTTTTAATGTACATATAGCAATTTGTACACTATAGCAAAAATTGCATTATTCAAGAATAAGTTACTTGTACAGTACATAAACAATACATAAAAATGTGCAAAATACCTTCTGCCTATAATCATACAAGATGAATCCACTTTTTGTGTTATCAAAATGTACTGTATATTCTAACCAAACACTGGATGTCAGATGCGTCCTTAATATACTCTCAAGTTCCTCTAGCTTGTGGGAGATATTAGAGCTAACACCTCTGCAATAAAGGACTTAGCCCTGAATGGAAAGCATGAAGGAATCTCAGGCAACCCTCAAGGAAGGGTCCAAGGCCTTGATTTTAGGTTAAGAAACTGTTATGTAAAAATAGTGTTCTCTGGCCCAAGATTTTAATGATTGCTATTCCTTTTTCCTATGGTCTAGAAGTGATCAAAGGCAGCTTTATACCAGATAAAGCCATATGGATTGCTGGTCTAATATTCAAGGCAGGTTAGTTGACTTAATTCTTTGGTGCTGGTGACTGTTAGTTTGTAAAAGTTCAATAAAGTCAGATGAAGAAAGTGATGGTCCTGGGAGCTGTCAAGCTGTACTGTTGGGGTCTGTAATTAAGGCTAACTGGAGGGATCATGATGTCTAATTTCCAATCTGGTGTTGAGCCATGGCTCTTGGTGGAAGTTGCTGGCAGGGCCTGATAGGGACTGGAAGGAGATTGATGGGGTGTGCTGTGCCTGTGGTGGCCTTTTCTTTGTGCTGGAGCAGGCCCAGCTGATGAAGGGGTGTGCAGCCGTGTGGGGCATGCACCTTACTGGCTGCAGCTAGAATGGTGATTATTTTTTTTTATTATACTTTAAGTTTTAGGGTACATGTGTGCAACGTGCAGGTTAGTTACATATGTATACATGTGCCATGTTGGTGTGCTGCACCCATTAACTCGTCATTTAACATTAGGTATATCTCCTAATACTATCCCTCCCCCCTCCCCCATCCCACAACAGGCCCCGGTATGTGATGTTCCCCTTCCTGTGTCCATGTGTTCTCATTGTTCAATTCCCACCTATGAGTGAGAACATGCGGTGTTTGGTTTTCTGTCCTTGTGATAGTTTGCTGAGAATGATGGTTTCCAGCTTCATCCATGTCCCTACAAAGGACATGAACTCATCCTTTTTTATGGCTGCATAGTATTCCATGGTGTATATGTGCCACATTTTCTTAATCCAGTCTATCATTGTTGGACATTTGGGTTGGTTCCAAGTCTTTGCTATTGTGAATAGTGCCACAATAAACATATGTGTGCATGTGTCTTTATAGCAGCATGATTTATAATCCTTTGGGTATATACCCAGTAATGGGATGGCTGGGTCAAAGGGATGATTTCTGCATTTCCAACTGAGGTACCAGGTTCATCTCACTGGGGAGTGTCAGAAAGTGGGTGCAGGACAGTGGGTGCAATGCATTGAGCCTGAGCTGAAGCAGGGCGAGGCATCGCCTCACCCAGGAAGCACAAGGGGTCTGGGAATTTCCTTTCCTAGTCAAAGAAAGGGGTGACAGATGGCACCTGGAAAATTTGGTCACTCCCACCCTAATACTGCGCTTTTCCAATGGTCTTAGCAAACGGCACACTAGGAGATTATATCCGACGCCCGGCTCGGAGGGTCCTACACCCACGGAGCCTCGCTCATTGCTAGCACAGCAGTCTGAGATCAAACTGCAAGGTGGCAGCGAGGCTGGGGAAGGGGCGCCCGCCATTGCCAAGGCTTGAGTAGGTAAAGAATGGTGATTATTAAAAAGTCAAGAAACAACAGATGCTGGCAAGGCTGTGGAGAAATAGAAACACTTTTACACTTTTGTTGGGAATGTAAATTAGTTCAACCATTGTGGAAGACAGTGTGACAATTCCCCAAAGACCTAGAACCAGAAATGCCATTTGACCCAGCAATCCCATTACTGGGTATATACCCAAAGGAATATAAATAATTCTATTATAAGGATACATACACATGTATGTTCATTGCAGCACTATTTACAGTAGCCAAGACATAGAATCAACCCAAATGCCCATCAGTGATAGACTGGATAAAGAAAATACAGTACACATACAACATGGAATACTATTCAGCCATAATAAAGAATGAAATCATGTCCTTTGCAGGGACATGGATGGAGCAGGAAGTCATTATCCTTAGCAAACTAACACAGAAACAGAAAACCAAACATGGCGCCTTCTCACTTACAGGTTGGAGCTGAACAATAAGAACACATAGACACAGGGAGGAGAACACCACCCACTGGGGCCTGTGGTGGGGGTGGGGGGAGAAAGAGCATCAGGATAAAGAGCTAATGCATGCAGGGCTTAATGCCTAAGTGATGGGTTGACAGGTGCAGCAGACCACCATGGCACATGTTTACCTATGTAACAAACCTTCATGTCCTGTACATGTATCCCGACTTAAAATAAAATAAAATTTTAAAAAATGATAGCAAGAGGAGTGCCATAATTTTACATTTTTCCAAGTGTCTGGCTTAAGCGAAGACAGCTGGATTCTCATATCTACTTCTGCATTCAGCCCATTGTGATACACCACTCGACTGTAAACTTGTAAGAGGATGAGGGTAAAAAAGGAAAATATTATTTTAGTATTATTATAAAAATTGTTTTGATTTTATGAACACCCTGAGAAGGGATTAGAGACCTGCAAGGGTTCCCGGACTACATAGTTAGAATAGTTGTTCTACACTATTAGTGTAGGGAAAATGATGCAATATTTATAAAATACTTACTATAAGTTAGGCACTGTGCTTAATACTTTGTATACATTACATATTATTTTCCTCATTTTATAGATGAGAAAACAGAGGTTTTGGGCCATTAAGTGGTTCAGATCCCACTGGTAGTAAATGGTAAAGTTAGGATTGAAACCTAGGCCTGTCCGCCTGTAAAGCAAGGCCTTTCTTCACCATACCCCAACTCCAATTTTACCAATAATTGATGTGTGGCCATGGAACCTGTTTCTATCCTGTAGTTGAAAGAAATAGGACTTTACATTGCTGGAACAACTAAGGATTTTGCATAATTAGCTTTATTCCATGCATTTGGAATTTATTCCTCATAAAATTGAAAGGGATTAATGACTGACAGAAGGCAGGCCTTCGTGCTAGTAGAAGTTATTTCCAAATTTCCCTTTCAAAATCCTTCCTTTCCCTGCATTTTCAAATCCAGAGCACAATCATCCTCCAACTACCTTTTTATTCCTCAGTATCTCTTGCAGGAAGGGATCGATAAAACCAATTCTCACTTAGGTGTTAGGGATTTAATGATACTCCTCTGAAGAGTATTTTTACTACCTGAGGGTGGGGAATGGCTCTTATTCATCTTTGTAACCCTAGCAACCTGCACACTGGAACTGTCAGTGTCCAATAAATATTGGTTGCCTTTAATGGGAAGTAAAAGGCCAAAGAGGGAGTTTTTGAAACCAAAGAAAGAATGAAATTTCAGTTATCAGTGGGGGAAATATATTTATTGGACCCAATAAATCACAACATACATAAAACTACATATCTAACTGCATGGAAGGACAACGAAAATATTTGCTTTAATGTAAATGTCCTTTATGTTCAGTTTTGATTTGACTGTTCTAGAAACTCTGGAAAGTAGATATTGTTGATTTGACAGTAGTTAACCTTCTAAAATGTTAAAATGTTAAATATCATTATTAAAACTAATATTTTTGGCTACATTATTTTTATGCTGTTGGTTTTCTCACATGCATTGGAGAGATCCAGAGAGTGTAACTTCAACTGACAGTGATGTTGTTAATTACTTCTCTCATCAATGGTTTGTCTCTATTGTAGCTTGTGCAGCAATTAAAAGAAAGTTCCTAGTTATCTTTTTCATTCATTGCATTTGGAAGTTTGCACTAATCTAAGAAGGAAGAGACCTAATCATTGCGTAGAGGATCAAAACTGGGGCATGGTACATGATAGGTATGCTCAAACTGTAAACTAGTCTTTCCCTGATATCAATATCATTTCTGTCTCTAACCAAATTGTGTTTACATTGAATGCAGTTTTTTAAATCTGCAGAGGAATAATGCAAATGATAATTGTGTGTGGTAGTTTTTAAAAATGTGTTTTTAATTTTAAATTTGAAAATAACCATGTTAAATGTAATAGCTTCCAGTCAGAATTCATTTTAAAAATGCTGATGTATATTGGCTCAGAATTAACTCTTTGTAATTCTAAGCCCAATACCGAGTTTGCCCATGTATAAATAATGATTGATAGACAAGGTTATTAAGTTTTGCCTTGTTGGTATGGCTGCCTTCTAGAAAAATAAAAAATATTAACTTGCCATCAACCTCTAGGAGAGATGGCAATTGTTATAAAATCCAAGGAACAACTTGCTCTACCCATGTGTTTGTCAGTAAAAGCTCAGTATCAGAGGAATTCAACTATTAATTATGTAAGTTCTTAGATAGTTGCAATACAATACTACTGGCAGTCTCTTTCTATTCATACTGAAGTCTTATTTCTACTCTGGGCTTTAGATGTCTTATCAAGATGGTCAAAAGGAATCATTTATGTGCTAAAATTACCCTAGGTAAGGGCACTTCTATGTCATACAGAATATTGAAATGTGACAAGAACTTTATTTTTTCATCACTGTAGTAGATAACGCTGAAGATTTTCCTGATCTAATTGGATTCGGATAAGCAGACTGAAGTAACACTACACTGTGGATCTTGCTATAAGTGTTTCTCATTCAGCAAATAAAAATGGCTAATATTTTATAGTCACTTTTTAATAACTTCTTTTCTTCCCTAAAAGCCCCCTTTGGGAGTGAAATACTTCACTACTGCTAATGTTTTCTACTCTATGGAGGCATCACCATATGCGTAATGCACTCGGTCTCTCTTCACTCTTTACTATTCCTCCACCATGAGAGGTAGAGTGACATGGTTAATAAGTTTGGGAACAAAAACTGGATTTTAATACAGCCCCCTCTTTCTTACTGGATACGATCTACATCCTCTTTTGCTCTTCTAAGAAAAGGACTCCCCATGCAACCTACGCTCTCATACAGCATCACCTTTAACTAGATAGAGATAATTGTTAATGCTAAGATTCAGTGTCAAGAAATACTCCTGACCAGTAACAATAGTTACATCCTTCAATCCAGACTTTATCAGTAATAAAAGTTCACTGTCTTGTCTTATGTCACATATGATTCAGAATTCACATAGGAAAAGGGTGACCTTTTAATAATGCCAACACCAGTCTCCATCATCAACCTACTCCGCCATTCTTCCCAATGTAAACCATTCTCTCATTTACCTGTTCATTCATCTGTTCCGTTTACTTTCTACCTGCCTACCAACCCATATAGCATCTAAAAGAACTACAGTTATCACTATGTTTACTAATATATGGTGTAACCTTGGATCTTACCTAAAAGGAACTCAACATTATAGGAATTAAACCAAAAATCATTACAAATTTGAGGCAGAGTTTTTCCTAGGGCACTGTGAATTGAAAATTTCCCTGTCTTCTTTGCCCAAGGGGATTGGTAGTGAGGGAAAAGTGACTCCTTTTGTGACTACTAAAATTGAGACCATTATACAAACAATTGCCTAATAAAATCTCCAATTATCTACAAAGTAAAATAATCAGGCTACTTCTTCTCACTTCCAATATATCTATTTTATAACTTTATTTTCCTCATTTAATGCTACATTTAACGTATATTTGAATCTTATTTTACTATAAGTAGGTTTAGGAATATGTATAGAGAGTGGATAAAAGTACATGGTGTGGTTTCCTCCATGAATTCCTCCTCTGGAAGACCCTAGATTCATGCCACCCCAAGGAAAGTCTTGATAGAGGGGAACATATATATAAATTGCCCAAGCCAGTGGATACAACCTGGCAAAGAGTGTTATCACCATGCCACCATTAATTTCAGGAATGGCAGAAAGCATGTACTCCATGATAGCTTTGGATCTGAAAATTCAAATACAGCAAATATTTATTTTGTTCTTAACATGTGCATGACTTTACTAAATGTAGTGAAGAATATGAAGATGCTACCTACCTCGGGCAGTGTATTCAGTCACATAGTCCTCATATGGTATGACAACTATCCCAGAGTTCAGAGTATACACCAGGGATGCCAAAAATGCCAGATATCCACAACATATGTGGAGGGCTCCTAGGGCTTAAGACTTTAGCTCTGGGTCATATAGCATAGGGTATATGCTCTGAGGGTTAGTTTTTAAGTATGAAGTCTTAGAGTTGGAAAAAACTTTAGAGATTACCTAGACTAGCCTCCAACTCAACATAGGAATCTCCACTACACTCTTACAAGTGGTCATACAGTTTTTTTCAATATCCCTAGTGATGGTAAGCCAATTACTTCAAAAAGGCATCTTGCTATGTGTTTATAAAACTTTTATGTAAAATTGCATGCTATTTGTGTGCTTATAGATGTAATTTAAATATTTATTTCTGAAGACATTGGGTTTTTTTTTTTGGCAAAGTACTAAACAGAAGCTCATATTATTAGGGCAACAGAAAATGTGGTAAATTAAGGTCGTTCAATCAGTTGGTTACCAAGAGGGCCCATAAAAGATGAGGATATATATGGAATCTCAAACCAAAATAAGAGAAGAAAATTTTAAGGGAATTTTCTAGTATCTTGAAGTGAGTGTACTTCCAGTTAGAGTTAAGCACTGACTGTGTGGCTACCAAAAACCATCTAGCTGCTGTTCTTGAGGAGAAAGTGCAGGTTGTAAAACCATCTCTCTGGATTCTACATTATCAGGGAAGATAAAAAGCATCCACAAAAATTGAGGCAATATTATTTTTAAAAAATAAAGAAGTTTTAGTCTCTAATAACATAGAAAGAACTCAAAGCTAAAACAAGACTGCCAGCCCTTCTATTTTAGAGAATATGGAATTGTATCCACTGCCCCTAAAAAAATACCTTGCTAGTAGTTGAATTTTATTTTTATTTATTTCCAGTTAATTTAGTTTAATTTTTAAATTACTATTTTTGGGGTATATAGTAGTTGTACATATTTATGGGGTACAGGTGAAATTTTGATACATGCATACAATGTGTAATGACCAAATCAGAGTAATTCGGATATCTGTCACCTGAAATATTTATCATGTCTTTGTGTTAGGAATATTCCAATTCTACTCTTCTAGTTATTTTGAAATATAAAATAATTATTGTTAACTATAGTTGCTATTGTGCTACTGAATACTGGATCTCATTCCTTCTAACTGTATGTTTGTACCCATTACCTATTAACCCCTTTTTATTGACCCCCTCCTTCTACCCTTCCCAGACTCTGGTAACTACCATTTACTCTCTGCCTCTATGAGATCAATTTTTCTTAACTCCCACATATGAGTGAGAATATGTGGTATTTACCTTTTGGTGCCTGGTTTATTTCACTTCGTATAGTGTCCTCCAGTTCAATACATGTTGTTGTAAATTACAGAACTTCATTATTTTGTGGCTAAATAATATTTCATTGTGTACATATACAACACTTTATGTATCCATTCATCCATTGATGGACATTTAGGTTGATTTTATATCTTGGCTATTATGAATACTACTACAATAAACATGGGAGTGCAGATATATATTCAATATACCAATTTCCTTTCTTTTAAATATATACCCAGCAGTGGGAATGCTGGATGATGTGGTAATTCTATTTTTGTTTTTTTGAGGAACCTCCATACTGCTTTCCATAATGGCTGAATTAATTTACATTCTCATCAACAGTGTATGAGAGTTCCCCTTTCTTCAAATCCTCCTCAGCAGTTCATATTTTTTGTCTTTTTGATAATAGCCTAATAAACTGGGGGAGATGATAATCTCATTGTGATTTAGTTTTGCATTTCTCTGATGATTAATGATGTTGGGCACTTTTTCATATAACTGTGGGCCATTTGTATGTCTTCTTCTGAGAAATGCCTATTCAGATCTTTTGGCCATTTTACATTGGATTATTTGGTGTTTTGCTGTTGAGTTTTTGAACTCTTTATATACTCTGGTTATTAATCCCATGTCAGATGGATAGTTTGCAAATATTTTCTCCTTTTCTGTGGATTATTTCTTCACTTTGTTGATTGTTTCCTTTGCTATGCAGAAGTTTTTTTTAAAAAAATTTGATGTGATCCCATTTTCCATTTTGTCTTTAGTTGCCTGTGCTTTTAGGGTATTACTCAAGAAATCTTTGCCCAGCCCAATGTCCTGGAGAGTTTCCTCAATGTTTCCTTTAGCAGTTTCATAGTCTGAGGCCTCAGATATAAGTATTTAATCCATTTTGATTTGATTTTTGTACATGGTGAGAATTAATGGTCTAGTTTCTTCTTCTGCATATGGATATCCAGTTTTCCCAGCACCATTTATTGAAGAGACTGTCCTTTCCACAGTGTATGTTCTTGGAAACTTTATCAAAAATGAGTTCACTGTAGATGTATGGACTTATTTCTGAGTTCTCTCTTCTGTTCCATTGTCTATGTGTCTGTTTTTATGCCAGTGCCATGCTTTTTTGGTTACTATAGCTTTGTAATATAATTTGAAATCAAGTACTGAGATGGCTCCAGTTTTGTTCTTTCTGCTCAAGATTGCTTTGACTACTCTGATTCTTTTGTGAGTAGTTAAATTTTAGCTGAATGTGTCACAGATTAGAAAAAGGGAGAAATTGAAAAACTCTGACCCAGTGAGTTATGTAACATATCTATTAGGTGTCTGATCTTTTAACCAGAGGGTGATGCTTGACCTCTTGAAGAAGCAGCAGCATCCTAGAAACCATGGGACAAAGATGTCATGGCTTATAAAAGGTAGTTATGAGGGGAGTGAGAGAAAGTTTCATAGAAAAAGAAGTGAAGCAGAGGAATCACTGTACCACTGTAAATATGTAGATATAAATATATGAAATAGATAATAATAGGTCCACCACCCTAACCACAATGGAGTGAACCAGACCATCTTAAAAAGCTAAGAATGCTTGCACATTATTAGAAGTAAGGGATTGTGCTACAGACTCTCAGAGGAGCCAAGCCTTGTTCACTAGTATTGCCCATAGAAGTGTAGAGGATGTTGAGAATAACTCAATGAGGCCAACGTGAAAGTGTGCCCCATCTCCTGGGAACAATGTTGAGGATGTGCCATAAAGCCTGCAGAGATATACCAAAGCTGTTGATTACTACCAAATCCTGCTGATTCTTTTGCCACCATAAGAATCAGCCCGTTCTCACACTGTCATAAATAAATGCCTCAGACTGGGTAATTGATAAAGAAAAGAGATTTAATTGGCTCACAGTTCTATAGGCTGTACAGAAACAATGATGCTGGCATGTGCTCAGCTTCTGGGGAGGCCTCAGAGAACTTACAATCATATTGTAAGGCAAAGGGAAAGCAGGCATGTCTTATATGACCAGAACAGGAGCAAGAGGTGAGGGGGAGGTGCCACACACTTTTGCAACCAGATCTCATGAGAACTCACTATCAACAACAGCACCAAACAGGCAGGGATAGTGTTAAACCATGAGAAACTGTCCCCACAATCCAATCACTTCCCACCAGGCCCCACCTCCAGCACTGGAGATTACATTTCAATTTAAGATTTGGTTAGGGACAACGATCAAAATTATATCATTTTGCCCTTGGACCTTCCAAAATCTCATGCCATTCTCACATTCAAAATACAGTCATGTCCTCCCAATAGTCCTCCAAAGTCTTAACTCATTCCAGCATTAACTCAAAAGTCCACAGTCTAAAGTCTCATCTAACACAAAGCTAGTCCCTTCTGCCTATGAATCTGCAAAATAATAAAAAAAAAAAAAACAAGTTAGTTACTTCCAAGATAAAATGAGGGTATAGGCATTAGGTAAATACTCTCATTTCAAAAGAAAGAAATTGGCCAAGAGAAAGGGGCTACATGCCCCCCATGCAAGTCCAAAACCCAGCAGGGTAGTCATTAAATCTTAAAGCTTCAAAATAATCTTCTTTGACTCCATGTCCCACATCCAGGGCACACTTATAAAAGGGATGGGCTCCCAAGGCCTTGGGCAGCTCTGTCCCTGTGGCTTTGCATGGTTCAGCCCCCATGGCTGCTTTCAAGGTCTGGCATTGAGTGCTTGTGGCTTTTCCAGACACATGGTGCAAGCTTTCAGTGGATCTACCATTCCAAGTTCTGGAGGTTGGCTCTCTTCTCACAGCTTCACTAGACAGTGCCCCCATGGGGACTCTATGTGGGAGCTCCAACCCCACATTTACCCTCTGCACTTCCCTAGTAGAGGTTCTCCATGAGGGCTCTGCCCCTGCAACTGGCTTCTGCCTGGACAGCCAGGTTTTTTCATATTTCCTCTGAAATCTAGGCAGAGGCTCCCAAGCCTCACCTCTTACAGTCTGCACACCTGCAGGTTTAACACCATATGGAAGCTGCCAAGGCTTAAGGCTTGCACCCTCTGAAGCAGCATCCTGAGCTGTACCTGAGACTCTTTGAGCCATAGTTGGTGCTGGAGTGGCCAGGATGCAAGGAGCAGTGTCCCAAGTCTGTGCAGGGCAGCAGGGCCCAGTGCCTGGGCCAGGAATCCATTCCATTCTCCTAGACCTCCAGGTCTGTGATGGGAGGGGCTGCTGTGAAGGTCTCTGAAATGCCTTCAAGGCCTTCTCCCCATTGTTTTGGCCATCAACACATGCCTTTCTTTTAGTTATGCAAATTTCTGCAACCTGCTTGAATTTTTCCCCTGAAAAATTGGCTTTTCTTTTTTACCACATGGCCAGGCTGCTAATTTTCCAAACTTTTACGCTCTGCTTCCCTTTCAAATATAAGTTCCAGTCATTTATTTGTTCATTCATAGTGCATAGACTGGTAGAAGCAGCCAGGCCACATTTGAATGCTTTGCTGCTTAGAAACTTCTTCCACCAGACATGCTAAATCATCACTCTTAAGTTAAAAATTCCACAGATCCTTAGAACAGGGGCACAATGCAGCTAGGATCTTTGCTAAAGCATAGCATAGCAAAAGTGACCTTTACTTCTGTTTCCAATAAATTCTTCATTTGCATCTGAGACCTCAGTCTGGACTTCATTGTCCATATAACTATCAACATTTTGGTAACAATTTAACCAGTCAACCAGTTTCTAGGAAATCCCAAATTTTCTCTCATCTTCCTGTCTTCTTTGAGTCCTCCAAACTCTTTCAGCCTCTGCCTAAACTTAAAAATCTAGTTACTATAACAGGAATAACAGAAAGAGAAGAAAAATCAAAGTTTAAGACTCATCTTGTGATTAACACAAGAAATTTGGGAGAGGGCTAGTCACAATATTTGTGTCCACAAATGTTTGACACTAATGAATAAAGACAGTATAAGACAGTATAAAGACAATAATTATTAAAATAAGTATAAATATGTTTGAAGAGGGTCCTTAGGATTAAGAGACTTGAATGAATGTCTTTGGATGATCAGGTGAGGGAAAATGGGAATAACAAAAGGAGGGCAGGAGAAACCCTATCTCTACTAAAAATACAAAATTAGCCTGACCAACATGGTGAAACCCCATCTCTACTAAAAATACAAAAAATTAGCCTGGTGTGGTGGCACATGCCTATAATCCCAGCTACTCAGGAGGCTGAGGCAGGAGAATCACTTGAATCTGGGAAGCGGAGGTTGCGGTGAGGCTCCGAGATGGAGCCATAGCACTCCAGCCTGGGCAACAAGAGTGAAACTCTGTCTCAGAAAAAAAAAAAAAAAAACGAAGAATCTTTTCTGCACTACCCATTTCCCTTAACCTGCAGCTGAAGATGCAGTACTGAATTCTTTGCCTCCCTTTTTAGCTGCCTGGAAGCTGGGATGGGAGCACCCAGGCTCTGAAAGTGCTATGTTTACCAGGACTCAAAGAAACAAGAGGGCTAGGTGAGGAATTTTCTTATAAAAAAAAATGTCCTGTGAATAGAAGGTATTGGAGGTTGGAGTTGGCAGGGAGAGATGGGGGCCGGTGGAGGTGTATGCTGGAAACTCCTTTTGCATGTAGCTTATCTCGTCTCTACATCTCTGTGGTGCCAGACAGGAGAAGGTGCCACCCACACAGCCTAGAGTGCTTGACATGTGGAAGCCTGCTCCATCCTGGGAACCAAGTCTTGGGTTTATTGGGTTACTTTAGGTAGAATAGTATTCACTTCCTTATTACTCCTTTTGTCCATCTGGAGGATTTACAGGGATTCTAAAGAGGAACATAATTTTGGGTTTCAGTTGGCATCTAGAGATGGAGGTACTTATCACATACCCCCATTCCTACCTTACTTTATGAGCAACTATTGCCAATGGGCCTACTTGCATCAGGACTACAAGACCTTTTGGGGTTAGTGATGAAGAGAATTTGATGACCAGTGGTCAGGCTACAGGACAATAACACTAACACTCCTGATCAAAGAGAAGATACAAAGCTTACTGTCACACTACTCCCCAACTTCTGGGGAAGGGAGTCACGGTATCAAGAATGATAAAGGATTTTACCCAGAAGTAGATGAGAATTGAGTGCTCTGGACTATATCTTGACTCACTGGCTCATTTTTCGAAAGAGTACTTTTGAGTAAGACATAGAATAAATAAGTAGGTAAAATGTTGTCTAACCTAGGTCCTGACAGTTTGCCCCCAAGGTCTTCAGCAGAGGGGAATGTGAACTGAGGAGCCAGATGACCCTTTGAGAGCCTCAGGAAAAATTGCAAATGTTACTGAGGGGAGTAGCTGCCCCAACTCAGCCGGGAGCAGAGACAATATGTTTAGCCAGTGGCCATTTTCCTCAGCTGCTTCCACAGAGACCACAAGGATATGCCACATTTTAGAGCAGTTTCACAGCTGGTCCGTGAGACACCCACAAGCTGCCTATACAGCAGCCACTTATGTTGTGAGACCAGAGTAGGTGTGGAATATCATTTGGCTGTTTCAGAGGGGTGAGTGGCTGGAAAGAATTTGGAAGGAAGGTTGCAGGGGGGTATTGTGGGTGAGAAATGAAGAGAAATGAATCAGTGACATAGTGCCTACGTAATCACAATGATGTTGGGAAATTGAAAGTGAGTATGTATAGTCATAGGCAACAATGCCGGGATGGTTGTAAATCTCTTCAAAGTAGCAGAATGATTTCTCACCTTCTAAAGAAGACATGAGTCAGTATTTATGGGCTATATTTATGTACATAATTGATCTTGGACAAAATGGTGAGGGAAGCATGTTTGATACTTTGGTCTACTCATATTTTAACTGAACTAAACAAACTTGAGAAAAAGTGTGTGTGTGTGTGTGTGTGTGTGTGTGTGTGTGTGGCTTGTAGTATTTAGCACATAGATTGGTTCTGGATGTCAGATCTTGCTGACTTCCCAGGACTCTCCTCCCTCAGTTCCTGCTCATCACCACCCAAATTGGGTTTCCTGTTTCCCCTTCCTTTACGCCTTGTAGATTCTCCTGCCTCCTCCAACTTAGGTGCCTGGCCCTTTTCTCTCTCACCTTCTTTCTCCCTGCTTCTTTCTTCTTGAGTCATGTTTCTCTGCACTCCCTTCTCTGTACCCCTCTCTCCCACTCTCTCCTCACTTCCCTCGTAATCCCCCTCTTGTTTTTCTTCCTTCTGATCCATCTGCTCAGACCTCCCAGATTTCTCCCCTCAGGGGCCTCAGTGTTGACATTCTGCTCTTTCCTTTACTTCCTCCTAGTACACAGCAGAAAAGGAGAAAAAAACTTTTAAGTCTTTACACAAAATGCAACTGCCCTAATTCATTCTGATTGCAGGGTAAGGGTTGGGAGTGGGAGAAAGGGAGGAGTTGAAATCAGTCTGAATTAATGAAAAATCTAAGTAGTAGAACAGTTTGAAAGAAATGTGATTGTATTACTTTCAAATGTATCCAGTCATATTGCTAACTGAAAGAGAATCTAGGAGACTCCTATAAGTGCTTTAACAAAGAGATAAGGATTATTTATAATTATTTAAATATAAATGAAGGTTGGTTAAGGCCCTCACTCTCACTTAAATAGGCTGACATTTCCCTTATTTACACTTAAATCTATGAGCAGACCCCTTTTCTTAGCCAAAGGTAAACTCCTGTTATAAAGGATCTTTACAACAGCGATTTACCTGTCACTGCAGGTGGTCTGTTATAACAGTGCTTTGTTGATGTGGTTACTCAAATAGCTGACAATAATGCAGAACAAATATTTTTCCTGGTTCGTATCTATTTAATAGTTATTCTCTATAGAGGTGGTGAGCTCTTTTCCATTGCAGATGGTAAACAGGAGAGGCGAGTGGAGATGAGTTATTCTGGAACTGACTCATATGGTTGATGTATTTGCCTATCTGTGCACAAAACTATGGTTGTCTGTGAGCACATAAAGAAGGGAGGAGAAGGAGTTAAGGAATTGTGTGTATAGTAGCAGATATAAAGAAGTCTGGATGTATGTCCCTACATGAGGACATGGTAGATACCTAGATGTGTGTTTAAGTATCTCAAATAAACGTGTTTGTATAGGGGAATATGTGTCCAAGATCTGAGTGTTTAGAGAGATAGGAGCACATGTGAGCAAACTTGTATAAACATTTGTGTAAAGGGTAAAGTTTGTGAAAATTGTAGTTTAGCCCTGTGAGTAGCTGAGCATAATTTATATGTGTGTGATTTTAAAAAGTGCTCTGTACCAGTACTTCTCAAAAATGGTTGTGAGAATCTCCTTAAGTCCTACTCCTCTACTAATGCAGATCCTTTGAGCTCTCTTTTACTATTTCTCCTTTATTTTCCTCTCGATGATTAACTCAAATGCCATTCTGAAGTGTGCTCAACACATAACTAGATGCTGAAGAGCAGGTGGGGGGAACTTGCAGAAAAAGCCCTGTAAGTGTGACAGTAAGTGAGGAGAGTATCCCTCTTTGTTGCATCCAGCAATTTTAGGCTACAAGACTCCTCAGATAATACTCATAGTGTCTCCTCAATGCCTCTGCGACCAGCCAGGTACCAAGGTGACTTTGACTTTCTTAGTACCAGTGATCTTTTTCACCACTTCCTCAGCCCTCTCATGGGAGGCTATAACTTTAGACTTTGTTGCCACTCACAGCTCTTCTACCTCCATGGCTTTACCCAAACTCTGAATTTTGGTCTCTCTTACTATAACTATAATGAAACCATAATTCATTCATTTATTCAACAAACATTCAGTGACAGATATTCATGTGTCAGATACTGTTCCAGGTATGTGCAATATATCAGTCAACAAAAGAGACAAAAATCCCTGCCAGTGAGTTCATATTCTAATATGGAGAGACAGACAACTAGCAGTGAACATGAAAAATATGTAAAGGATACAATATGTTAGACAGTGATGAGTGCTATCGAACAAAGTAGAACAAAATAATAGAGATTGGGAGTGTACATGTGGGGATGGGTATCACAAATTGCAATTTTAATAAGAGTAGTCTGAATTGCCCTCACAAAGAAGGTGACATTTAAGCTGAAAATTGAAGGAGCTGGGAGAGTGAATTATGCAGATTTCTGGGGGAAGAGCTTTGCAGCAGAGGGACTAGCTAGTGCAAAGGTCCTGCAATGGGAGCATGCCTGGAATTTATTAAGGCATAGGGAAGATGCATAGTGGGTAGAACAAAGTGAGCCATTAGCAGGAAAAGTGATCCAGAAAGGAAATGTTGAAGGATGGGGCTGGGGGAGAGAAAACACATTTAAGGAGCTTGGAATATTGCAGGCCCTTATGGAATGTTAATTTCCTTAACTCCTTCCCACTTTCCTTAAGTACCCCCTGACTGGCCAACTCACCAAGAGTATAGGGAGATTCAGTGAGAACTCTCATGGTTTCTATCTCAAAATCTTTAATTTCCTCTGTTCTCTTTCTTGATATATTCTGTCTTTAAGAAATAATTGTTCCCCCCTGCTATAGTTTGAGTGTTTGTCCTTTTTGAAATTCATGCTGAAATTTATTTGCCATTGTAACAGTTATTAAGAGATGGAAATTTTTTTTTTTTTTTTTTTTTTTTTTTTTTTTTTTTTGAGATGGAGTCTCACTCTGTCATCCAGGCTGGAGTGCAGTGGCACGATCTCGGCTCACTGCAAGCCCTGCCTCCCGGGTTCACGCCATTCTCCTGCCTCAGCCTCCCAAGTAACTGGGACTACAGGTGCCTGCCACCATGCCCGGCTAATTTTTTTTTTGTATTTTTAGTAGAGACGGGGTTTCACCGCATTAGCCAGGATGGTCTCGATCTCCTGACCTCATGATCTGCCCTTCTCAGCTTCCAAAAGTGCTGGGATTACAGGCCTAAGCCACCGCTCCTGGCCAAGATGGAATCTTAAGAAGGGTTAGGTCATGGGGGCTCCTCTTTCCTGAATGGATTAATGCATTACTGTAGGGATAGATTAGTTATCTTGAGAGTGGATTGCCATAAAGCAAGCCTAGCCCTTCCTTTTTTCTCATTTTTCATGCACTTGGTTGCTCCTTCACCCTCCTCCTTGTGATAATGTAATAGGAAAGCCCTCACCAGATGTGAGTACCATGCTTTTGTACTTCCCAATCTCCAGAACTGTGAGAAATAAATTTCTTTTCTTTATAAATTACCCAGTTTTTCATATTCTGTTATAGCAACAGGAATCAGACTAAGACACCTCATTCTTGCTAAAAGCTGACTCCTCTGTACCTGTATTTTTGTATCTCCATCTCTTCCCACTGTTTATCCACTTTCTTGCCTGTATTTTCAAACCCTCTCTTTCAACTGGCTCCTTTCCTTCTGGATACAAGTATACATGGTTTCGGTCTCTTAAATAAAACACCATACCATAAAATACTTTCCATTAACCCTACCACATACTCAAGCTACAGCTTCATCTCTCTTCCTTTTCAAATTTCTTAAAAGAGTTATGTTGCTTTTCCTGTCTCAATCAATGTGCAATTTGACTTCCACTTTAATTTCTGTACAGAAGCTGAACTCTGGATGGTAACTAATGTCCTCTTTCTCATCAAATTCAAAAACATATTTTTAGTTTTCCTTTTCTTAATCCCTTTGTAGTGTGCTTTGATGAAAAGAGCATAGACTTCAGCTCAAAACTGATGTGGATTTGAATTCAAATTCTGGCCCTACCTTTATGTCACTTTTTGAGCCATAGGTTTTTTTTTTTAATCTTTGAAAAGGGGTTGATTATGTCTACTTTGCCAGGAGTTGTCAAGATTAGAGAAAAGGATGTAAAACACCCAGTATATAGTTGGTACAAATTAAGTTATTTCTACCCACGTTTTGTAATTGCTTTTTAAAATCTCTTAAGCGGGACTTCCTCCTCCTGTCTCCTTAGAAAGATTTCCATACCTTGAGATTTTGCCCTTGGACCCATCCTTTCATCATATTGTACCTCCCCAGTGTCTTATGTACTACCACCTCTTCAACTAATATGTATGTCTAGATGTCTTTCACACCTAGTTCGAGATATCTAGAAATCTCTTCTAAATGCCTGATGTGAATTTCCAGCTTAAAGTTCCATTCCAATATGTATTTTCTGGGATTCTACATTCAGGATAAATGAAAGCAGAATTTGAGATGGGCATGGAAAGAGAGACAACTGAGGCATGGTACTGAATTCTGGGCTAAAGAGTGAGTTGACTAAATCAGCAAACTAAAGGGGTTCAGAGAAGTGTATTCACGTGATTTGAATTTACCATCTGTATGAGGGATGCAGTAGAGCAGAGAAGCTAAGGCAGGGAAGCCATTTAAGAACATATTGTAATAACCTACATATTAATGTGATTTTAGAAAGAAAACAATAAGTTAAAATTCAAGGAGCTTGCAGAGAAATGAATAGAAAGATTTGGCAGCATATTGGATGTAGTATAAAGATTTAACAGGGATTAAAATCATTCCACAGCTCCAAGGATAGACATTGGAAAACTAATGGTGCTATTGGTGGTAATGGTGTGGTTAGGAGGAATTCTTGTTTTGAAAAGGGTCAGACAAGTGAGAAGGGAGAATAATTAAGATTTTGACATATTAATTTTCAGGGGATAGTAGGAAACCCAAGGGAAAAATATCTTGCAGGCAACTGAAACGAGAATACAGCAATGAAAATAAGAAGTTCGAATTAAGTCAGTGCTGGTGCTGGACATATTAGAGTCATTTGTACACAAGGAGTAGCCAAAATCAAAAGAATACATGAACTCCCCTGAAGGAGTGAGGACAAAAGGGAATAGACAGGGGGCAAGAACTGAACTTTGGGAGACAGTCAGAGGGAATAAGTGGGAGGAAGGAGAGCTGGAACAGCCAAAGACAGAGACATTTAAAAAAACACACACACAAAAGGAGAAGCAATGTGACAGAAGCCTACTGACTTTTGGACTAATTCATTGGTCCCTGACTGACTCTTCAGTTATGTGCCTGCTCTCTTTCACTCCCACACCTGGGTCCCAAGCTTTTCTTTCTATTCATTGTTTAGCTGGGCCTCCTGGGCTTCACAATCTAATTATTATTCATGCTGTCTAAACCACTCTCAATTCATGCTTCCCTGCACCCATCAAGCATACTCATTTGCAAATATATATAAAGTGCTATCTTTGCTAATTTGGTAAGTGATGATGAAGAACTGGGATTCAATAGTAGATGGTCTTTCCGTCCCAATAGGGTGGTCTGCAAGAAAAAATCAAGCTGATACAATCTGCATTTATTTATTCAGAAGCAATGAATGAAGCACTACACCAACACATTCTTATTAAGTCCTACTGTGCATTCAGCTACTCCCAAATTAATAAATACTGTGAGTAAATTTAATATATAATATGAATAATGAGAGTGACATCTTCTAAATTTATGTGCATTCTTTTCCTATTTTGAGTGTTCTGTTTGCCAACATACATCATGCCTCCTTCTACTTCTTCCCCTTTTCTTTTGTTACCTTCAATCACATCTCTTTCCTTTCAGATACTCAGATTGTACACACATCCATAAATACTCTCACTCAGAAATCTTTTATATACTAACTTGCACACGAAACCTCCTGCTCACGTGTTTCGATGCTTTTCTCAAGCTTGACTATTCAAGGGAAACTCAAAATAGAATAAAGAATTGTTATAGTACTCCAATATAATAATTAAATCATTTATATTTTTCCATCTTTGTAACTCTAGTAACATATTGCTAACAGAGGGTGCAACATGGGGATCTAATACTGCCTTTGATTCATAAATAGACCTTTTCTCATTGGTTTACATTTGACTTAATTATGATTTTACATAATAAAATGCCTTTATTCTTTCTTCTTATTACTCAAGCAATATAAATTCATAGTAAACATATTAAAAATTTAGAAAAGTGTAATGGATAAAAACCAGACATCCTGGGCTGGGAGTGGTGGCTCACACCTATAATCCCAGCACTTTGGGAGGTCAAGGTGGGCAGATCACGAGGTCAGGAGTTCGAGACCAGCATGGCCAACGTGATGAAACCCTATCTGTACTAAAAAAACAAACAAACAAAAAAAAAAAAAATTAGTTGCCTGTGGTGGCACACACCTGTAATCCTAGCTACTCAGGAGTCTGAGGTGGGACAATTGCTTAAATTCAGGAGGCGGAGATTTCAGTGAGCCGAGATCGTGTCACTGCACTCTGGCCTGGGTGACAGAGCGAGACTCTGTCTCAAAACAAAAAACAAAACAACAGCAACAACAACAAAAAACCAGACATCTTATGCCATCATGACAAAGCAACTGGCAATAGACTTGCCCTTCTGATGTAAATAACTGTAAAACTGGAAAAAAATATTTGAGGAAACCCTTATCAGGGATTGAACAAGCAGCAGCACAGAAATATGAACCCTGAGAGAAGGGAGACAAATGAGGTGAGTCTCACATTCTCTCCATCTAACTGTTTGGAGGCAATGACACAGAGACCAGTATTCAGTGAGAGCATTTACTGCAAATATTTGGCTGAGGTCTGAGCTGCAAAAGGGTAGAGCAAGATGCCGGGAAGCCTAGCGGAGAATGGCTGCTACAGGTTGTGAACAAAATGGAGATACTAGAGATAACACAGTGTATGGAGATGTTGGAATTTTGGTCCAGACAGAAGTAAGAGAGCTTGATAAAAACCTAGGGCCAAAGAAGAGGCACCAGGAAGGCCACAACAAGAGTAAAGTCCATTCCCTAGTACTGGGGCTACTTTAGACACATCGAAAGAAAGCTTAAAGTTAAGCATCCCCACATTCAAGGAGAACCACTAGAAAATAAACTACCACTCACAACAAACCTTATCATTCTTTAAAGGAAGATAAATTCAGACACCTTAAAATGTGTCATTCACAATAATCTGCATACAATAAAAATACTAGACATATGAAGAAGGAGAAAAATTTAGACAAAATCAAGAAAAAATATGTACTGTCAATGGACAACAACTTTGAAATGGCCCATATTTTGGAATTATCAGCTGAGGACCTTAAATCAATAATGTTAAACATGTTCAACCATTTAGAGGAAAATATGGTCTTAATGAGTGAAAACATGGGGAATCACAGACAATTGGAAATTCTAGAAATGAAAAGTATAAGTATATCATAAAAAATAAGGTGGATGAACCTAACAGCAGATTGAAGAAAGCAGAAGAAAGGGGGAGTGAATCTGAAAACAGAGTAATTAAGTGATCCACTCTGAAGAAGGGAGGTAAAAAAAGATTGAAGACAATAAAGAACAGAGTCTCAATGGCCTGTTGGAATACCAGATGAAGAGAGAAAGCTAGAATGAGGGAGAAAAGAATATTTCAAGCAGTAACGGTTGAAAATTCCTCAAAATTGGTGATAAATAGCAACCCCCACATTTACCCTCCACACTGTCCTAGTAGAGGTTCTCCATGGGGCTCCACCCCTGCAGTAGACTTCAGCCTGGACATCAAGGTGTTTCCATACATCCTCTGAAATCTAGGTGGAGGTTCCCAAACCTGAACTCTTGTCTTCTATGCACCTGCAGGCCCAACACCACATGGAAGCTGCCAAGGCTTGGGGCTTGCACATTCTGAAGCCATGGCCCAAGCTGTACCTTGGCCCCTTATAGACCTGGCTGGAGCTGTAGTGGCTGGGATGTAGGGCACCATGTCCTGAGGGTGTACAGAGCAGCTGGGCCCTGGACCTGGCCACAAAACCATTTTTCCCCCTAGGCTTCTGGGCTTGTAATTGGAGGGGTTTCCATGAAGATCTCTGAAATGCCCTGGATATATTTTCCCCATTATCTTGGTTATTAGAATTTGGCTCATCATTACATACGCAAAATTCTGTAGCCAGCTTGGGCTTGAAATCCTCCCTAGAAAATGTATTTTTCTTTTCTACTACATGGTCAGACTGCAAATTTTCCAAACTTTTATGCTTTGCTTCCCTTTTAAACATAAGTTCCAATTTCAAGCCTTCTCTTTCTGAATGCATATGACTGTACATTTTCAGAAAAAGCCAGGTCACCTCTTGAATGCTTTGCTGCTTAGAAATTTCTCCTGCCAGATACCCTAAATCATCTGTCTCAAGTTCAAAGTTCCATAGATCTCTACAGTAGGGATAAAATGCTGCCAGTCTCTTTGTTAAAGCATAACAAGAGTGACCTTTACTCCAGTTCCCAATAAGTTTCTCATCTCCATCTAAGACCAACTCAGCCTGGTCTTTATTGTCTATATTACTATCAGCATTTTGGTCACAACCATGCAACAAGTCTCTAGGAAGTTCTAAAACTTTGCCACATCTTCCTGTCTTTCTCTGATTGCTCCAGACTGTTCCAACCTCAGCCTGTTACCCAGTTCCAAAGTTACTTCCACATTTTCAGGTTATCTTTATAGCAGTGTCCCAAACCCCTAGTACCAATTTTCGTTATAAGTCCTTTTTCACACCGCTATAAAGAACTACCCGAGACTGAGTAATTTATAAAGAAAAGATGTTAAGTTGACTTACAGTTATGCATGGCTGAGGAGGCCTCAGAAAACTTACAGTCATGGCAGAAGGGGAAGGGGAAGCTAGGCATGTCTTACTTGGTGGCAGGAGAGAGTGAGTGAGCCAGGGGGGAAGTGCCACATTTTAAAAGCATCAGTTCTTGTGTGAACTTACTCACTATCATGAGAACAGCCAGGGAGAATTAAATCCCCATGGTTCAATCATGTCCCACCAGGCTCCTCCTCCAACATGTGGGTATTAAAATTTGAGATGAGATTTGGGTGGGGACAGAGCCAAACCATATAGTGGGTATATAACCAAAGGAAACAAAATCAGTATCTTGAAGAGATATCTGCACCCCATGCTTATTGTGTAATTATTCAAAATAGCAAGACATAGAAACAACCCCTACATGTCCAATGACAGATGAATGGATAAAGAAAATGTAATATATGTGTTTGTATGTGTGTATGTATGTGTATATATACACATATATGCATACGTGTATAAGTGTATGTGTATATATACATACATACACACACATCTACACACATGCATACATATATACATACAAGGAATATTCAGCCAAAATAAGAAAGAAATACTATCATTTGAAACAACATGAATGAATTTTGAGGGCATTATGCTAAGTGAAAGAAAGTAGACAGAGAAAGACAAATATTATATGACTTAGTATGACTTAGTGTGGAATCTAAAAAGGAAAATCTAATTCATAGAAACAGAGAATAGAATGATGGTTGCCAGGAGCTGAGGTGTGGGGGAAATGAGATGTTGGTCAAAGAGTACTAACTTTCAGTTATAAGATGAGTAAATCCTGGAGATTTAAAGTACAGCATGGTGATTATAATAATGTTATATTGTACACTTAAAATTTGTTAAGAGAGTGATCATAAATATTCTCATCATTTAAAAAACTGTAACAGAATTTGGTATCTAGTGAGAAATAATCTTCAAACATCAGGGTGAAAAAAAGATGTTTTGGATAAATGAAAGCAGAAGCAATTTTTAATAGATCTTCACTGTAAGGAATACTAAAATATAGTTTTTTGGCAGAAAGGAAATGTAGAAATATATATGTACAGGAAGGAAAAGTGAGCACCAAAGATTGTAATGAATGAAATATTGATAAAGTATGAGACTGAGCTGTGTTTATTCTTATTTTCTTAAAGAAAAAATTACTAAACAAAAATAATATCATTGTAAAGTTTATGACGTATTATAGAGAAAAACATAAAAACAATAACACAAAGGATGGGAGTGTGGAATTGAATTATACTGCTGTCACATTATTTACTTTTGAAATGTATGAATTGTGAAAAAATACAGTATTAATTCTAAGCAAATTATGATAATTTAAGATGTATATTCCAATATCAGGAGCAACCATTAAAAATAAACAGAGATAGAACTAAGAAGTTAATAGCAAAATTAAGTGAAATATTGAAAAATATTCATTTAGTGAAAAAGAAGACAGAGAATGGAGAGAAATAAGTGAGTGAGACAAACAGAAAACAAATAGAAAGATATTTAAAGTGAAATGTGTCAATAATTACTTTAAATATAAATGGACAAAAAATTTCAAAGTAAAAGGCAAAGATTGTCAGATTTTATAAAAAATGAAGACCTACTACATGCTGCACAGCAGAGACAAATTTTAAGGACACAATTAAGTTGAAATAAAAAGGATGTGAAAAAATATCTTATGCAAATGATAAGCATATGACAACTGGTGTAGCTATAATAAGATTAGTCAAGACATTCTTATATGAAAAAAACTAAGAAAATTTGCCACCACCAAATCTGTCTTTAAAAAAATGGCTAGTGGAAGTTTTTTAAATAGAGAGGAAACAATAAAAGAATCTTTGATCCTCAGGAAGGAAGAAAGAATAAGTGTAAGGGAGAAATATGAATAAATATAATAGATTTTCTTTCTCCTTGTGAGTTTTCTTAATTATGCTTGATAGTTAAAGAAAAAAATTATACTATTGCTTTGGTTCTTAATGTGTAGGGAGAATTATTTATGACTCATAAATAAGGTAGGGTAAAGAAATGTAAAAGAAGTTAGATTTCTGCACTTCACTTTAGCTGGTAAAATGTCAACAGGAATAAATAGTGATAAATTAAGTATATATAATACATAATGCAAATGCTAAAGGAACAAAACAAGAAATGCACTCAAAAATGCTATAAATGAATCAAAATGGAATTCTATAAAGTGGCCAAGTAACTCATATTAAGGCAGGGAAGAGAAGATAGAGAAATAAAAAATAGAATCCAAAGAGAAAACAAAAAATAAATTGGCAGACTTGAGCCTAATACATCAATGGTTACAATAAATGTAGAAGGTCTAAATACACCAATCAAAAGACAGAAATTGGCAGAGTGGATAACAACAACAACAAAAAATGGCCCTACTACATGCTACCTACAAGAAAGCCACTTCAATGTAAAAATATAGGTTGACTGAGGGTAAAAGGATGCAAAAAATATGCCATGTAAATACAATCAATAGAAGAGAAGTGGGTATATTACTGCAAAATTTTAAAAGTGTAAATCCAACAAGAAGGCATAGCAATCCTTAATGCATATCCACCAAACAACAGAGCTGCAATATATGCAAAGCCAATGCAGATAGAATTGAAAGGAAAAATAGACAAATTTACAATTATAGTTGAAGAGTTTAACACACCTTATGAAGAACTTATAGAACAGAGAAAAAATCAGCAGGGATATATAAGAACTAAACAACACCATCAACAAACAGGATCTAATCAACATTTGTAGAAAATTCCATCCAACAACAGCAGAATGCATTCCTTTTCAAGTGTACATGGGACATATACCAAAGTAGACCAAATCTTGGATCATAAAACAAACATTAACCAAGGTAAAAGAATTGAAATCATTCAGAGTGTGTTTTCTGACCACAGTGAAATCAAACTACAAATCAGTAATTAAAAGGTAACAGGAAAATTTCAAAACAATTGAACATTTAAGAAAATAACTCTCAATAATCTGTGGATCAAATAGTAAGTCTAAAGGAAACAAAAATGCATGGAACTAAATGGAAATTAATATACAACATATGAAAATGTGTGAGATGCACTGAAAGCTGTGCTGAGATGGGTATTTATAGCACTAAGTGCTTCTATTGGAAAAGAGCTAAAGTCTTAGATCAGTAATATAAGGTTTCACAAGAAGAAACTATGAAAAAAGAGCAAAAATGCCCAAACCAGCAGAAGAAAGAAAATACTAAAGATAAGGGCATAAATCAATGAAACTGAAAACAGAAAATCAATACAACAAAGAACTGTTTCCCTACAAAGACAAAGAAAAAGGAGAAGATATAAATTGCCAATATCAGAAATAAAACAGAGGACATTACTACAGACTTCACAGACATCAAAAACATAAGAAAAAATACCATGAACAACTGTAGACACACAACTTTTATTAATACAACTTAAATAAAATGGATCAACTACTTGAAGAATACCAATTACCACAATTCATCCAATATTAAACAGATAATTTGAATTGTCCTATAGCTATAAAAACATTGAAATTGTATTTTAAAAGCTCCTGAAAAGAAATTTCCTGGCACAGATGGTTTTATTGGAGAATTCCACTAAATCTTTAAAGAAGAATCCTACACTATCTCTTTCAGAAAATAGAAGAAGAGGAATATTTCCTAGTTCATTTTATGAAGCTAGTATTAGTCTGATTCAAAACCCAGAAAAAGATAGCCCAAAAAAGAAAACTTGTGTATTAGCTTTCTATTGCTACTGTAACAAATTACCACAAATGTAATGGCCTAAAACAACACAAATTTATTATCATACAGTTCTATAGTTCAGAACATTCAAAATGGGTCTCATTCAGCAAAATAAAGGTTTCAGCAGGGTTGCATTTCTTCCTGGGGGCTCCAGGGGAGAATCGGTTTCCTTGAGTTTTCCTGCTTCTAGAGGCTACCTTCATTCCTTGGCATATGATCCCCCTCCTCTATCTTCAAAGCTAGCAACTGCAGCCCAAGTTCTCATGCTGTCATTTCTCTGGTTATTTCTTGCATAGTCACATCTCCCTCTGACCACATCTGGGAAATGTTCTGTGCTTTTAAGGACCCACGTGATTAGATTGAGCCCACCTAGATTATCCAGAATAATCTCTTCATCACAAGGTCCTTAATTATACCTGCAGGGTCTATTTACATATTCTGTGAATATGTAAAGTAATATATTCACAGGGATGGGATAATAATATGTTCATGTCTTTGGGATGGGCATAATTCTGTCTATCAAAACCATACACCAATATCCCTTATGAATACAGATACAAACATTCTTAACAAAATATTATCAAATAGAATTCAACAATGTATAAAAAATTATACACCATGAAAAAGCAAGGTTTATTCCAGATATGTAAGTCTGGTTCAACATTTAAAAATTAATCAATTCAATGCAACATATGAATAGGCTAAAAAACAATCACCCAATTCTATCATTTGACAAAACTCAGTGTCCATTCATCAAAAAATTTCTCTGCAAACTTAGAATAGAAAGCAGCTTTCTCATTTTGATAAGGTATATCTACAAAAGAACTACAGCTAGCATCATACTGAATGGTGAAAAACTGAATGCTTTCTCACTGCTATTCAGAACAAGGTAAGGATGTCTGCTGCTTTTGCCACCACTATTCAACATCATATTGGAAGTTTTAGTCAGTATAATAAGACAGGAAAATAAAATAAAAGATATACGGATCAGAAAGGAAGATATAACTGTGTCTATTTGCAGATAACCTGGTGGTTTTTAGTGGAAAATATTAATGAATCTACAAAAATATTCTAGGGCTAAGAACTGAGTTTAGAAAGGTCACAGGATATAAGATCAACATACAACAATCAATTGTATTCTCATATTCTAGCTGTAAACTTGTGGAAACCAAAATTTATATCTTATAATCAGCCAAAGTAAATGAAATATTGATGTGTAAATCTAACAAAACATGTACAAGACTTAGATATTTAAAACTACACAACATGAATGAAAGATATAAAAGAAGATCTAAATAGATGGAGAGTCATACCATGTTCAGGGATTGAAATATTTAACATAGTAAAGTTGTTAATTCTCCCCAGGGTTTGACACAATTTAAAAAATCCCACCAAGGTATTTTGTAGAAATAGACAAACTTATACTAAAACTTATGTGGAAAGTCAAAGGAACTAGAATAGCTAAAACAATTTTGAAAAAGCCTAATAAATTGGGAGGTATTGCTCTCCCTGATTTCAAGGGTTATCTCTACAGCAATTTATATTAGCAGTATTGGTGAAATATTGGAAGAGAATAGACTCCAGACATAAATTCACACATGATGGTCAACTCATTTTTTACAAAAGTGCAAAATCAATTCAATATGGAAGGATAGCCTTTTCAACAAATGGTGCTAGAGCAATTAAACATCCATAGAAAAAAAGCAAACAAAACCTCAACCTAAACCTCATACCTTGTATAAATATTAACTAAAAATGTCCAAAAACAGAAATGTAAAATATAAAAGCTTAATAAAAAACATCAGAGAGAAACTTTGCAGCCATGGACTAGATAAAGGATACTTTAATTTTTTTAATAGACAAGTACAAATTGTACATATTTATGGTATATAGCATGATTTTTTGATATGTGTATACACTGTGATTGGATAAATTAAGCTATTTAACGTACACATTAGCTCAGATACTTATATTTTTTTAAATACGGAGAACACTTAAAATCTACTTTCTTAGAAATTTGTAAGTGTGCAATATATTGTTAATTGTAGTAACCATGATGTAAAATAGAACTCTTGAACTTATTTCTCCTGTCTAACTGAAAATTTATGTACTTTAACCTACTTTTCCCTAATTCCTTCAACCTCCCAGACTCTGGTAACCACCATTTTACTCTCTGTTTTTTTTAATTCAACTGTTTTATACTCCACATGTAAGTGAGATGATATGGTGTGTGGCTTATTTCAGTTAATATAATGGTCTCCAGGTTCATCCATGTTGTTACATATGACAGAATAGTCTTTTTTTTTCAGAAGATTGAACAGCATTCCATTGTATATATATACAACATTTTCTTTGTCCATTGATCCTTTAATGGACACCTAGGTTGCTTTCATATCTGGCAATTGTGACTAATGCTGCAATAAACATGAGAGCATGTGGATATCTCTTTGACATACTGATTTTATTTTCTTTAAGATATACCAGTAGTGGAATTGGTAGATCATATTGATAGTTCTATTTTTAAGTTTTTGAGGACTCCCCATACTGTTTTTCATAGTGGCTGCACTAATTTACATTTTCACTAATGGTGTGTAAGGGTTCCCATTTCTCCACATCCTTGTCAACACTTAATAGTTTGAATATTTGTCTCCATTCAAATTTCATGTCGAATTGTAATCCTCAATTTTGGAGATGGGGCCTAGTGGGAGGTGATCAGATCATGGAGTAGATCTCTCTTGGCTTGGTGCTGTCCTTATGATAGTGAGTGAGTTTTCATGAGATCTGGTTGTTTAAAAGTACGTGTCACCTCTCCCCCAACCTCTAACTCCTGTTTTTGTCATGTGAAGGGCCTGCTCCCATTTTGCCTTCTGCCATGAGTAAAAACTCCTTGAGGCCTCCAAGAAGCCTAACAGATGCAGGCACCATCCTTGTAGAGCCTGCAGAACTATGAGCAATTAGATCTCTTTTCTTTATAAATTACCCAGTCTCAATTTTTTTTTACAGCAATACAAAAATGGCCCAATACTTTATCTTTGGTCTTTTTGATAATAACATTTTAACAGGTGGGAAGTGACATCTCATTGTGGGCTTAATTTGTATTCCCCTAATGATTAATGATGTTGAGCACTTTATTATGCACCTGTTGGCCTTTTATATGTCTTCTTTTGAGAATTGCCTATTCAGTTCCTTTGCTTATTTAAAAATGGGCTATTTTCCCTTACTATTGAATTAAGTTCTTTATATATTTTTAATATTAACCCCTTATCAGCTATATGCCTTGCAAATATATTCTCCCATTCCATTGGTTGTCTCTTCACTCTGTTATTATTTTTTTTTTTACTGTGCAGAACCTTTTTAGTTTTATGTAATACCATTTGTCTATTTTCACTTTTGTTGCATGTGCTTTTGAGGTCATATAAAAAAATCATTACCCAGACAAATGTCAATAAGCTTTTTCCCTATGATTTTTTTAACACTTTTGCAGTTTCAGGTCTTACCTTTAAGTCTTTAATCCAATCGAGTTGATTTTTTCATATGGTGTGAGATGAGAATTTTAAAAATGAGAACTATTGATAACTAACCAGCATAAATGAATCTCAAAGCATTATTATTAGTGAAAGAAAGCAGGAAAAAGGCATATTTCACCTATATATAATTCTAGAAAATCTAATCTATAGTGATAGAAGGCAAGGCTGTGGTAACTGGAACAGGGGTTGGACAGAGGGAGGGAAAGTATTACTATAAAGATGCACAAGGAAACTTTTTGGGCTAATGGATATGCTCATTACCTTGATGGTGGTAATGGTTTCATGGGTGTATAAATATGTCAAAATATATCAAATTGCATAATAAAAATCTATAAAGTTTATTGTTTGTTAATTATTCCTTGATAAAGCTTTGTGGGTTTTTTTAGAGGCAGGGTCTTGCTCTGTGACCCAGGCGGGAGTGCAGTGTCATGATTCTCACTCACTGCAGCCTTGAGTTCCTGGGCTCAAGGGATCCTCTTGTCTTGGCCTCCCAAAGTTCTGAAATTATAGGCATAAGTCACCATTCCTGACCTGATAAAGATTTTTAAAGTAGAATTTTTGAAATGTTCTTAGAACTATTTACTTAATATCTGTGCTTTTTGGAAGAGGAAAAAGAAGAACAAACTAAACCAAAAGTTAGCAGAGGGAAAACAATAATAAATATCAAAACAGAAATAAATCAAATGGAGAATAGAAAAACCACAGGAAAAGTCAATAAAACTAGATTTCTTTTACTTTAAAAAGTAAACAAAATAAACCAACCCTTAGCAAGACTAATAATCAAATACAATGAGGAATAAAAATGGAAACGTTACAACAGATGCTTCAGAAATAAGATTCTAAAGGGACTATTATATGCCAACAAATTGGATAACCTAGATGAAATGGATAAATTCCTTTAAAAGTACAATCTGTGTAGATTGAATCAAGAACAAATAGGAAGCATAAACAGACTAATAATAAATAAATTGAAAGAAATTAAAAACTTATCTACAAAGAAAAGCCCAGGACCAGATGGTTTCATGGCTGAATACTACCAAACATTCAAAGAACAATTAATAGAAATACTTCATAAACCCTTTACAAATAGAGCTAGAGGTTATATTTCCTAACACATTTTAGGAGGCCAGCATCACTTTGATACCTAAGCCAGATGAAAATACTGCAAGAAATGGAAACTATAAGCCAACATCTCTGAAGAACTTTGATGCAAAAATCTCCAGTAAAATACTAAGAAACAAAATTCAACAACAGATCAAAAAGATTATGCATCATGACCAAGTGAGATTTATTCCTGGCATGCAAGTCTTGTTTAACATACACAGTTCAATCAATGTGATGCATCACATTAACAAACTGAAAGATAAAAACCACATGATTTCAACTGATGCAGAAAAAGCATTCAACAAAGTTCAACATCATTTCTTAATAAGCACTCTCAACTGTTTAGGTATGGAAGGAAAATTCCTCAACATAGGAAAAACCACTTATGAAAAATTCACAGCTAACATTAAAATCAATGGGGAAAACTGAAAGCTTTTCCACTAAGATCCAGGACAAGGCAAGGATTCCCACTCTCACCATTTCTATTCTTGTTAGAATTGGAAGTACTAACGAGAGCAATCAAACAAGAAAAAGAGATATCCAAATCCAAAAGGAAGAAGTAAAATTATCTACATTTGCAGATGACATGAGTCTACATATACAAAATTCCAAAGACTCCACCAAAGAACCTGTTAGAACTAATAAATGAATTCAGTAAGGTTGCAAGATACAAAATCAACACACACAAATTGGTAGCATTTCTATACACAAGTTGGTAGCATTTCTATACACAAATAACAACCTAACCAAAACAAAAAACAAGAAAACAATCCCATTTATGAAAGTATCAAAAAATGGTAGAAACAAATTTAACCAAGAAAATGAAAGGCCTGTACACTGAAAACTGTAAAACATTGATGAAAGAAATTTAGGAACTCATAAATAAATAGAAAAATATCTCATGCTCATGGATTAGAAGAATTAATACTGTTAAAGTGCCCATACTACCCAAAGCAATACACATATTCAGTGCAATCTCAATCAATATCCTGGTGGCATTCTTCACAGAAATAGAAAAACAAATCCTAAAATTCAAATGGAAACTCAAAAGACCCCAAATAGCGAAAGTAATTCTGAGATAGAAAAAAAAGTTAGAGTCATAACACTTCCTGATTTCCAATTTTATTTACAATGCTACAATAATAAAAACAGTGAAACTGGCATAAAATAGACACATAGACCAGAGGAACAGAATACAGAGCCCAGTAATAAATCCAAACTTATATTGTCAACTAATTTTTGACAAAGGAACTAAGAATACACAATGGTGAAAGGATAATCTCTTAAATAAGTGGTGTTAGAAAACTGGATTTCCGCATGCAAAAGAATAAAATTGAACCCTTACTCCATACCAAAGTTTAACTCAAAATGGACAAAAGACCTAAATATAATACCTGAAACCATAAAACTCCTAGAAGAAAACATAGGTGCAGATATACAACTTTTTTTGGATATGACACCAAAAGCTTAGTATACCAAATAAAAAAACAAATAAATAGAACTACATCAGACTAAAAAGCTTCTGCATAGCAAAGGAAACAATTAACAAAATGAAAATGCAACCTGTGGATTGGGGAAAAATATTTGCAACCTGTATACATGATAAGGAGTCAATATCCAATGTATAAGGAACTCATAAATCACAATATAAAGAAAACATATAATCCAAGTGAAAAATGGGCAAAAGACCCAAATAGACATTTCTCAAACAAAGACACACAAATGAAAAACAAGTATCTGAAAAGTTGTTAAACATCATTAGTCATCAGGGAAGTGGAAATCAAAATCACTATGAGATATTACCTCACACCCATTAGGATAGTTACTACCAAAAGGCAAAATAAAACAAGTGTTGAAGATCCTATGGAGAAAAGAGAACCCTTATACAATGTGGTAGGAATGTAGATTGGTGCAGTCATTATGGAAAACAGTATGGGGATTCCTTAAAAAATTAAAAATAAAACTACTGGATGATCCAGCAATCCCTCTTGTGTGTATATACCCAAGGGAAATGAAATTCTGACCTCATGGAGATAGCTGCACTCCCATGCTCATTGCAGCATTATTCACAATAGCCAAGATATAGAAACAACCTAAGTGTCCATTGACAGATGAATGGTTAAGGAAACTGGGGTGTTTATATACAATGGAATATTATTCAGCCTTATAAAAGAAGGGGATCATGTCATTTGCCACAATGTAGAATAGACCTGGAGGACATTATGGTAAATGAAGTATGCCAGATACAGAAATAAAATTACTGCATGATGTGACTTATATATGAAGTCTTTTAAAAATGCAAATATACAGAGATAGAGAATAGAACAATGATTACCAAGAGCAGGGTCAATATTGGGGAGAAAATGGAAGATGTAGATCAAAGTATACAAATAACAGATATGTAGGATGAACACTCTAGAAATCTCATGTACAACATGAGGGCTATATTTAATAATAGTGAATTGAATTCAGGATTTTTACTAAATGAGTAGATTGTGCAGCTGCCCTTGATGCACACAAAAATGGGTAACAGAAAGATGACGGATATGTTAATTTGATTCACTATTATAACAATTTTGTTATTTGTCTAATAACATCATGTTGTATACTTTAAATGTACACAGTAAAATTTATGTTAAAAATTTGTGTATTTTATCTTAGGCAAATTATACTTCAATCAAGTTTATTTAATAAAAAGAAAAACAGAAAAAAAAGCAAAATCCACCATTGGCATTTAGATGTATACATATTGGCCTGTTTACTATGCACATGCATAAAGATATATATGTATTTTAAAAGCATAGGACTATACCTGCTATTTTAAATTTGATTTTTCACTTAATTAATGAAATATATCTGTGTACTCCAAATAATATAAATTGACACAATCTTTTTAATGGTTATATAATATTCCATTGTACATATACACTACATTGTATTCAGTGGATCACCTATGGCTGACATTTGTTCACAATATTTCAATATTATATACAAAACTGGGATGATAATCCTTGTGCATGTATCCTTGCAACGTTATTTTATTATTTTCTCATAATATATTATTGTAAATTATTTCTAGGTAAAATCCTGTCCTTTTACATAGGGCTTTTGATGCATATTGTGAAATATCCTTCCAGAAAGCGTTATACCAACTTATATTCTCATAAGAAATATATGAATGTGCCCATTTCTACATATTCAATCATCCTTGAGTATTTCTATATTTTTCATGGCTAAACTGATGTGTGAGAAGTGGTTTTCTTATAGTTATTTTAAATTATATTTGTTTGAATAGTGAGGATAAATATTAGTCAGTTTCATCCAGAGAAACAGAATATATATATATGAAAAAATCTATTTTATATATATATGAAAAAATCTATTATAAGGTAATAAATTGCCTCATGCAATTATGGAGGCTGAGAAGTCTTGTAATCTACTATCTGCAAGCTGGAGACCCAGGAAAACTGACGTTGCAGTGTTTAAAGGCCTGAGAGGTGAACAGACAATGGAATAGATTCCCATCCTTGTTTGAATGCCTGAGAAACAAAAGTTTATATTTTTATACAAAATAACTATTTTTATATTAAAATCATTAACCCTTTTTGTGTCATGCATATTTCAAATATTTTTCCTAATTAGTTGTTTATCTTGTCTCTTGTCTTTTGTCATATGGAAGCTTTTAATTTTATGTTCTACTTATAATTTATATTGTAGATGTTAAATTTTGTTCTATTTATAATTTTGTTCTATTTCTAATTTCTATTTTCTAATTTCTATTATAGTTTACATTATTTTCTATATAATATGTTCTATTATAATTTTATATTATATTGTAGATGTTAAATTTTGTATGGCAAACAGGGGCCAGGTTTTATCTTGTCTTTTTCACAATACTTTGTGGTGCATTCATTTGACACTTATAAAATGTAAGAGTGCCTGACACTATAAAAGTTGAGCACTAAAAACAGTGCCTGTCATATCCGAAGTGCTCAATAAATTTTAGTTACTGTTATTATTGTTATCATTATTGTGATGGTTGGGAATGCCCAGATAGCTGATAAAACATTATTTCTGGCCATGTCTGTGAGGATATTTCTGCAGGGGATTAGAATAACATTTTTGGACTGAGTAAAGAAGATCCTCCTCCACCAATATGGGCTAGCATCATCCAATCTGTTGAGAGCGTGAATGAAACAAAAGGCAGAGGAAGGATGAATTATCTCTCTCTCTTCTTGAGGTGGGACATATTTTTTTCTCCTGTCTTTGGACACTGGAGATCTTGGTTATTGAGCCTTAGGACTCCAGGACTTACAACCCCCTGCCCCAGTTTCTCAAGGCTTTGGCATTGGACTAAGAATTACACTTATCAGCTACCCTGGTTCTCCAGTTTGCAGACAGCAGATCATGGGACTTCTTGGGCTCCAACATCACGTGAGCCAATTCCCATAATCGCTCTCTGTCTCTCTCTCTCTCTTTATCTCTCTCTCTCTCTCTCTCTCTCTCTCTCTATATATATATATATATATATATATATCTGTGTGTGTGTATGTGTGTAGATATAGGGATATATATAGATAGCCTATTGGTTATGTTTCTATAGAAAATCCTGACTAGCAAAATTATTAAATTAAAAAGTGAGTCTGATGACCTGGGAAATGGGATAGTCACATCAAGTACAATAGCCTTCATTATGTGGCCTTTGGCCTGAAAGAAATATAAAGTTTACCTCATCCAAACATCAACCATTGACTCCTTTTTGAATATTTTACAGGAAGAATGAGTAGCTTGATCTTTGAGGGCTGATATAAATTATTCCTCAAGTCTAGTTGTCCTTCTTCTTGCTTACAAACCTAATCTGAATCAAGTCTAATTGTCCTTCTTCTTGCTTACAAACCTAATCTGAATCTGCCTGTAAATATGATAATTTAAAGGAAATGTTTTGCTAATAAAATGTCTTAATAGTTGAGCCTGAGTGTGATGAGAAAACTTTCAAACATCCTGTATTTCCAGCTCCTATAGCTGCAGGCATCATACTGAATGAAAATAAACAGAGATGGTAATGATGCCATCAACAGGAACCTGCAGTGGTTGCCAAGCAGCTGAAGGAATCCAAGAACAGACTGATGCCAGGTAAAGGGAAATTGTCTCAGCTCAGGAATAGTAGCATGTGATTAAAGTAGGTGAGAAATGGACCCAGTTGAAGATAAAATAGATGCAATTGGCCATCTCTCTCTAGGAGGACAAATGATAGGTAGAGATGGGTCTTTATCATGGTCATATTTGTACCTCAGCCAAATTATATACAGATGTTTAAAGCACCTAGAGTATATGAGTTTGGAGTGTTGTATAATAAATATAGCATATTAACAGTCAATTCATTGGTTTTATGAATGAGATTTAGGTAAAAGTAACACTGAAAATTGATGTCTGAACTTAATATGGTGTTGCAGCTTTTAATTATAATCACAAGCTATCTCTTACCTGGATCAACGAGAAGAAACTTTAAAGGAATTCATCAAAGACTAATAAATTTTGCATGAAAATTGAGGCATGTACTTTATTGCTTATAATATTGATGCTTTTAGTGGGTTGTACAAATGTAGGCTTTTAATTACAACAGAAAAAAATCACATAATAATTTTTTTGAAACTACCGTCTATTGGTAATGTTGCCCCTATGGTTTATTGCAGAATCTAACCTGGCTGATGGTGGGTCAGAATGCCCCCATAGCCTCAGTCCTGATGTAAAAAACATGGCATAATAGGACTTTCCAGTGCTTATCTCCATGCAGAAATATCCATTTGAATAACTTGACACAAGCAAAAATATCACCACAATACCTAGGAAACCACATGAAAGATTACCTGGGTGTACCACAGAAATAAAAGACAAAAGATGCATTGAAGTGGGTAGGAAGGACACTTTTACCTTACCCACATCATCGCTCCCTCAACCCAAAGCAGCACAGTATGAAGAAGGGTACCATCCACTTGTGGGAAGGAAAGAGAAGTGAGCATCATATTTCCCCCCAGACCCGCACCATTGGGCCCACCCCGGGAAAGCCCAGCATCAGGCAGGCACCCAGGGCCCCAGACTCCAGGTAGGTATTCATAGACTGAGATTCCAGACCTGTCCTGATGCCAGGCAAGATACCACAGCTCCAGGCTGCAGATCTGCCCTGTAGACTCAGTCTCCAAACTTGACCCACCACCAGGCCAAACCCAGCAGTCTCAGGCTCAGCTACAGCAGCCACAGGCATTTGACTGGCCCCAGTGACAACCCTGTTCCCAAATACTCAGGCTGCAGGTGGCAGAGTAATCTGCCGATTCAGTCTGTAGACCCACCCCAGGTCTTCCTCCAGCACAGGGATGGTCCCGAAGGCCTCAGGCTTTAGGCCTGTCCCAATACCAGGTTGGCCTCTGCAGTCCTAGTCATCAAGCTGGCATGTAAGAACCCGGTCTCCAGCCTGACCCCTATAGATACAGGCTCCAGGTACACTCATTGCCAGCCAATCCCTGCAGCCCCAAGACTCTAGGTGCACCTTAAGCACCAGACCAGCTCATAGCTAGGTAGACTCACACAGCCCCAGGGTTCAGCATGCCTAGCCTCAGGTACCGCAACAGCACACATAGACACAGGCTCCAGGCCTATTCTGTACCATCCTGGTCCAGGCGGCTCCACACTTTGTACCAACTCCTGTGGCCCCATGCTTTATCAGACATACGGTCCAGGTCTGTCTCAGTAGACCAAAGCACAAGGCTAAGCTCCATAAACTGAGGTTCCAGGATGACCCCTGCACACCCAAACTCCAGACTAGCCCTTGTGAACTCAGAATCCATGCCCAACCTTGCAGATGAAGGCTCCAGACCCATCCCAGTGCCTGGCTGACCCCTGCAGACTCAGGCTCATGGCTTACCCCAGTACCAGATCAGCTCCTGTGGACCTAGTGTTCGGTTTGGCTCTCATGAACACAATGCAGGTTCCAGGTCCACCCTTATAGACCTAGACTCTAAGCTCACACCCATGGACTCAATCAACAGTTCCATTCCAGTGGATAAGGGCTCCTAGCTCAAGCCACAAACCCAGGACCCATGTCTGTCCATTTGCTGATCCCAGCACCAGGCCAGCTTGTTTAAGGACTCTGGTAGCAAGGCTGCCCACAGACCAGATGTCTTTCCCAGAATCTCTGGAAAGGCTGACTAGTGAATGGACTTCCCAGACAAAGCCAGTCGGCCAAGACTGAAATAAGTTCCTACTTCTTCAAAGCACAGACACCAACACATGACCATAAGGACCAAGAACAATCAAGGAAAAAGAAAAACACAAAAGGAACAAAAGAACGCATATATAACCAATGCTAAAGAAGTGGAAATTTATAAACTTCCTGACAAAGTATTCAAAATAATTGTTTTAAGGAAGCTCAGCAAACCTCCAGAAAATACAAAAAAAAATTTGAGAAAATTAGGACAACGGTATGTGACTAAAACTAGAAATTTAACACAGATTGAAACTGTAAAGCCATCCCCAGAAATTCTTGAGCTAAAAATTTAATGAACAAAATGAAAAATGCAATGGAAAACATCAACAGCAGAATTGATCAAGCAGAATAATGAATCGGTGATTTTAGAGACAGGTTATTTGAAAATATTCAGTTAGAGAAAACAAAGAAAAAAGAATGAATAAACCATATGGGATTTATTGGACAGCATTGAAAAAGCAAATATTTAAGGTATAGAATGTAAAGAAAGAGAAGAGAGAAACAAGGAGGTAGAAAGTTTATTTAAAGAAATAATAGCAGAAATCTGGAATTTGGATGTAAATATCCAGGCACAGAAAGGTCAAAGGTTTACATGCATATTCATTCCAAATAATACTACAAAAAGTGATATGGTTTGGCTGTGTCCCCACTCAAATATCATCTTGAATTGTAGTTCCCATAATTCCCACATGTTGTGGGAAGGACCTGGTGGGAGGTAATTGAATCATGGGGATGAGTCTTTTCACTGGTGCTCTAGTGATAGTGAATAACTCTCATGAAATCTGCTGGTTTTATAAAGGGGAGTTTCCCTGGACACAGTCTCTTGCCTGGCACCGTGTAAGATGTAACTTTGCTCCTCATTCACCTTCTGCCATGATTGTGAGGCCTCCCCAGCCATGTGGAGCTGTGAGTCAATTAAACCTTTTTCCTTGATAAATTACCCAACCTTGGGTATGTCTTTATTAGTATCATGAGAACAGACTAATATGGTAAATTGGTACACATAGAGTGGGGTACTGCCATAAAGATATCCAAAAATGTGGAAGTGACTTTGGAACTGGGTAACGGGCAGAGATTGGAACAGTATGGAGGGCTCAGAAGAAGACAGGAAAATGTGGGAAAGTTTGAAAATTCCTAGAGACTTGTTGAATGGCTTTGACCAAAATGCTTACAGTGACATGAACAACAAGGTCCAGGCTGAGGTGGTCTCAAATGGAGATTTGGAATTTGTTGGGAACTGGAGTAAATGTCACTCTTGCTATGCAAAGAGAGTGGCAGAATTTTGCCCCTGCTCCAGAGATCCGTGGAACTTTGAACTTGAGAGAGATGATTTAGGGTATCTGGGGGAAGAAGTTTCTAAGTGGTGAAGCATTCAAGAGGAAGCAGAGCATAAAAGTTTGGAAAATTTGCAGGCTGATGATGCAATAAAAAAGAAAAAAACCATTTTCTGGGAGAAGTTCAAGCCAGCTGCAGAAATTTGCATAAGTAACAAGGAGCCAAATGCTAATTGCCAAGACAATGGGGAAAATGTCTCCAGGGCATGTCAGAGGTCTTCACATCAGCCCCCCCCCATTACAGGCCTGGAGGCCTAGGAGGGAAAAATGGTTTCCTGGGCCTGGTCCAGGGCCACCTTGCTGTGAGCAGCCTTGGGACTTTGTACCCTGCATCCCAACTTCAGCTCCAGCCATGGCTAAAAGGGGCCAAGGTACAGCTTCAGCCATGGCTTCAGGAGGTGCAAGTTCTTAGCCTTGGCAGTTTCCACATAGTGTTAAGCCTGCAGGTGCACAGAAGTCAAGAACTGAGGTTTGAGAGCCTCTGCCTACATTTCAGAGGATGTATGGAAATGCATGGATTTCCAGACAGAAGTTTGCTGTTGGGGAAGGAGGGGAGCCCTCATGGAGAACCCTGCTAGGACAGTGCTTAAGGGAAATGTGGGGTTGGAGAGTCCTCACTGGGGCACTGCCTAGTGGAGCTGTGAGAAAAAGGCCATCATCCTACAGACCCCAGAACAGCAGATCCACTAACAGCTTTCACCATGTGCCTGGAAAAGCCATAGATAATGCCAGCCCATGAAAGCAGCCAGGAGGGGAGCTATAGGTGGTGCTGAATAAGGCCATGGGAAACCACCTCTTGCATCAGTGTGACCTAGGTGTGACAGACATGGAGTCAAAGGAGATGATAATTTTGGAACTTTAAGGTTTAATAATTCCCCTATTAGATTTTGGACTTGCATGGGGCCTGTAGCCCTTTTATTTTGGACAATTTCTCCCATTTGGAATGGGTGTATTTACCCAATGCCTGTACCTTCATTGTATCTAGGAAGTAACTAACTTGCTTTTGATTTTACAGGCTCATAGGTGGAAGGGAATTGCCTTGTCTCAGATGAGACTTTGGACTGTAGAGTTTTGAGTTAATGCTGAAATGAGTTAATACTTTGGGGGACTGTTGAAAGGCATGATTGGTTTTTAAATGTGAGGACATGATATTTGGGAGGTGCCAGAGGTGGAATGATATGCTTTGGTGGTGTCCCCACCTAAATCTCATCTTGAATTGTAGCTCCCATAATTCCCACATGCCATGGGAGGGACCCAGTGAGAGGTAATTAAATCATGGGGGTGGGTCTTTCCCATGCTGTTCTCATGATAGTGAATAAGTCTCATGAAATCTGATGGTTTTATAAAGGGGAGTTCCCCTGCACATACTCTCTTACCTGCCACCACGTAAGACGTGACTTTGCTTCTCATTCACCTTCCACTATGATTTTGAGGCCTCCCCAGCATGTGGAACTGTGAGTCAATTAAACCTCTTTACTATATAAATTACCCATTCCCAGGTATTTTCTTATTAGCAGCATGAGAACAGACTAATACATCAAGACACGTTAATCAAGCTGTCAAAAATCAAAGACAAGGAGAGGATCCTGAAAGCATCAAGAGTAATAAAGCACATGACATATAAAAGAGTTCTAGTAGGCTAGCAGCAGTCTTCTCAGCAAAAATTTTTAGGCCAAAAGAGTGGTGTTATATATTTATAGGATATAAAGGGGTAAAAAACTGCCAAACAAGAACACTTTAGCCGGCAACACTGTCCTTCAGAAATGAAGGACAGATAAAGACTTTCCCTCACAAAGAAAAGCTGAGAGAATTCATCACAACCAGACTTGTCTTGCATGAAATGCTAAAAGGAAATCTTCAAACTGAAAGCAAAGGATACTAATGAGTATCATGAAAACATCCAAAAGTATAAAACTCACTAGAACAAGTAGATACACAGTCAAATTCAGAATACTTGAATACTGTAATGGTGTATAAATCACTTATATATTCAGTATAAAGGTTGAAGATAAAGCTATTAAAATATTTACAATACTGTGTTATAATATGTTCCACATAAGCCTCATGGTACTCACAAAGTCATAACCTATAGTAGAGACATAAAAGATAAAAATCAATGAGTCAAATCACACCACTAGAGAAAAATTACTTAGCCACAAAGAAAGACAGCAAGAGAGAAAGGAAAAAAACCCCAAAGTATCTAAAGAAATAATGAGAAAATAATTAGCAAACTGGTATGAGTAAGTTCTTACCTGCCAATAATTACCTTTAATTTAAATGGATTAAAATCTCTAACTAAAGACACTAAATGGCAGATTGGATTAATGAAAAACTAGAAACAAATATATGCTGCTTGCAGGAGACTCACTCTTCTGTAAGGTCACACATAGACTTAAGGTGAAGTAATAGAAAAAGGTATTCCATGCAAATGAAAATCAAAAAAGAGCAGAATACCTCTAAAAGTATAAAATGAGACAGAAAATGTTTATATAATCATATAAAGATCAGTGCATCAAGAGGATATAAAAATTGTAAATATATATGCACCCAATATTGGAGCACCTAAATATACTAAGCAAAAATTAGTACTTCCAAAGAGAGAGAGAAATGATAATACAATAATACCAGGGCTTCACTACAGTACTTTCAGAAATGGACAGATTATTAAGACAGAAAATCAATAAGGAAATATTGGACTTAAACCACACTTTAGACTAAATGGACATAACAGATATATACAGGACATTCCTTTCAACAGCAGCAGAATGCACATTCTTTGCACGTGCACATGGAAAATATGTTAGGCCACAAAATAACTCAACAAATTTAATCAAGTATCTTTTCCAACCATAGCAGTCTGAAAGTAGAAGTCAATAATGGGAGAAGTTTCAGAAAATATATAAATACCTGAAAATTAAGCAACATCCTTCAGAACAACCAATGGGTCTAAAAATAAATTGAAAATGAAATTAAAATAACATCTTGATACAAGCAAAAATGGATGTGCAAAATACCAAAACAAACTGGATGTAGCCAAAGCAGTTGTAAGAGGAAAGTTTATTGCAATAAATTCCCACATCCAAAAATAAAAAATATGCCAAATAAACAAGCTAACATTAAAAAAACTCTAACATTACACCTCTGGAAACTGAAAAATACAAGAAATAACTAAGCCAAAAATTAGCAGATAGAAGGGAATAATAAAGATTATAGCAGGAATAAATGAAGTAGAGACTGGAAAAACAATAGAAAAGATCAACGAAAGCCAGAGTTGGTTTTTGGAAATATAAACAAAATTGATAAACCTTTAGCTAGTCTGAAAAAGAAAAAAGAGTAAAAACTCAAATAAAATCAGAAATGAGAGAGGAGGCATTATAATTGTTTCCACAGAAATACAAAGGGTTATATAGAACTGCTATGAACAATTATATGCCAACAAATTGGAAAACTTAGAAGAAATGGATAAATTATGACACACATACAACTTGCAAAGATTGAATCACAAAGAAATAAAAATCTGAACACACCAATAATGAGTAAGGAAATTAAATCACTAATAATAAGTCGCATGAAAGAAAAGCCTATGACTTAATAGCTTTACTTTTGAATTCTACCAAACATAAGTTAGTCCTGAACTAACACCAATCCTTCTCAGTCTTTGAAAAAATTGAAGAAGGAACACTTCCAAACTAACTTTACAAGGCCGGCATTACCCTTACTCAAAGCCAGATAAGAATGCTACATGAAAAAAAAAAGTATGAGCCAATATCCGTGATGGGCATAGATGCAAAAATCCTTGAAAACAAATTACTAGCAAATTGAGTTCAACAGCACATTAAAGTTCATTCACTATGATCAAGTGAGATTTATGTCTGGGATGCAAGGATGGCTTGACATATGCAGATCAATAAATGTGATGCACCAACCACATTAACAGAATGAAAGATAAAAACTATATGATCATCTCACAAGATGCAGAAAAAAAAATTGACAAAATTCAACATCCTTTCATGATAAAAACCTCTAACAAATTAGGTTTAGAAGAAATGTTCCTCAACACAATAAAGACCATATGAAACAAGCCCATGGCTACCATCATACTCAATGGTGAATACATGGAAAGTTTTCCTCTAAGATCAGAAACAAGACAAGGATATTCACTCTCACTACTTCTATCCAACATAGTACTGAAAGTCTTGGCCAGTGAAATTAGGCAAGAGGAAGAAATAAGTTTAAATTGGAAAGAAGTGAAATTTTCCCTGTTTGGTGATGACATCATCACATATATGGAAAACCCTTAAAAACCTGTTAAAACTACAACAAATTCAGTGAGGGTACAACGTACAAAATCCACATACAAAAATCAGTAGCATTTCTTCAATCTCATTCAGGTAGCTGCAAATGTCATTAATTCATTCCCTTTTATGGCTGAGATTATATATATATATATATTCCTAAGCTATGGAAATAGTATATATATATATATATATACACACACCACTCTTTCCTAAGCTATGGAGATGCAAAGGCATAAGAATGCCACAATGGACTTTGGGGACTTGGGGGGAAGGGTGGGAAGGGAGGAGTGATAAAAGACTATAAAGAGTGTGTAGTGTATTCTGCTCCAGTGATGGGTGCACCAAAATCTCACAAATCACCACTAAATAACTTACTCATGTAACCAAATAACACTTGTTCCCCAGTAACCTATGGAAATAAAAAAAAATTAAAAATCACTAGCATTTCTATATACTAACAAAAATTATCTTAAAATGAAAACAAGAAAACAATTCCACTTACAAAAACAATTACAAACTACTGAGAAATAAATTTAACCAAGAAAGGAAAGACTTGTACACTGAAAATTCTAATATATTGATGAAAGAAATTGAAGAAGACACAAATAACTGGAAATATATTCTATGTTCATAGATTGGAGGAATTAGTATTGTTAAAATATCCATACTACCCAAAGTGATCTACAGATTAAATCTAATCTCTAGCAAAATTCCAATGACATTTTTCACAGAAATAGAAAAAAAAGTTCTAAAATTCATATGGAACCACAAAAGACTGAATAGCCAAAGCAATCTTGAGCAAGAAGAGCAAAACTGGAGGCATCTCTCTACCTGACTACAAATAAAATAGAAGGGCATAATAATAAAAATAGAATAATACTGGCATAAAAGTAGACACAGAGCAGTGAAATAAATATAAAGTTAAGAAATAAATTATGCATTTATGGTCAATTGATTTTTGACAAAGTTTCCAGGAGCACAGAATGGGGAAAAAAAATCTCTTCAATAGGTAGTATAGGGAAATATGGATATCCACATGCACATGAATGAAATTAGATCAATTCCTCACACCATATCCAAAAATCAGTTCAAAACTGATAAAAACTTAGAGACTTGAAACTAAAACCACTAGACGAAAACATAGTGGAAAAGCTCCATGATATTGGTATGGACAATGATTTTTGGATAAGATCCCAAAAGCACAGCCAAAAAAAGTGAAAATAGACAAATGGAATCATATCTAACTAAAAAGCTTCTATAAAGCAAGGGAAACAATCAACAGGGTGAGGTAATGAACTACAAAATAGGAGAAAATATTTGCCAAACATACATGTAATAAGGAGTTAATCTCCGAAATATATAAAGAACTCAGACAACTCAATAGCAAGAAAACAACTCAATTTAAAAATGGGCAATAGATGGTGCATAGGAGACAGGGCTAATGTGCAGCTCCCACTTAGACAGACAGACTAGCATTTGGAGACTCACACCATGGACTTTTGTTCCAAGAACCACTGCAGAAATGTACCAAGAAAACTGAAAGAATTCACAGATCCTTTGAAAGAAGTGGCAAGCTGCTGCAAATTCTGTGAGACATGAAAAACTGTGAGTTCCCAAAGTGTGAAAGGGAAAAACCTGTCCACTGGGGAGCCTGAAAATCCAGATTATAGAAAAAGAATTTAACTATACCTAGGGCTGAAACAGATTTAGCATGAAATACAAAAGTAGGCTTAGCAGCGGGGAGAGCCTTGTAGGCACTCCCATTCTCCAGCTGGAGCCTAGGGAAGCCATCCCTGACTATATCTCACAGGGGTCCTTGGAGAAGGCAGCTGGCAGAATTTGGAAGGGGTCACAGGGTGAAAGAAGTTTCCAATTGAGCTTTGTAATAATTTTGACTGGGCACAAACTCTTTTGAGCAGAACCTGGGGGCAAACAGGAACTGCTGCAGAAAAGAGCACAGGGGCCATGGATGACAGTGTAGGCAGATTTTGGGTCGTGGTGGTGGGGGTGTGGTGGCAAGGCCTGAAAGCCCTGCTTGCTTTCTCAGGAGAAAAGTTTGTAGCCTAGGGCAATGTCTGAGTCTTGTGCACAGGCTGCCTGGAGATAAACTCAGAGCTGTTAGTGGGGCACAGTGGGAGTGAGACAGGTCTAGTCAACTGCATGGAAGCTGGGTGAGTCTATCTCTGCCAGCTTTGCCCCACTTTCCTGGTGACAGGGGCAGCCATAATTCCTTCTGAAACATAACCCATTGGCCTGAGTACCACGGCCTCATCCACCCCCCACTTAGCTAGACATCCCCAAGGAGAATCTGAGCTCAGACCCACCTAACCCTGCCTCTACCTGATGGTATTTCTCTACCCACCTTTGGTAGCTGATCACAAAATACATAAACTCTTGGGAGCTTTATGGCTCTGGTCATAGCCTAAGAAACCCAAATACTTATCCTGGCCAACTTAGGGCAAGCTTGTATCCCCACTTCTACTATCATAGCTAGTGCTTTCTTGAAAGTGCCACCTTCTGGCTGGAGGCCAACCAACTCAGGACATTACAGCAACTCATGACAGAATAACCCTGCTACAAGGACAGAGAAAAGAACAGCTAATTCCACTGCCTTCTACATCCTGGGTAACCAGAGATCCTGAGTCTGTCCATGTGACAACTTCACTGCTAGCAAACCCAGTCTTGGAGAAAGCCAGAACAATAAACATATCACCACCAAGGATTCTCACAGAGTCTACTTCACTCCCCTTCTACATCTAGCAGAGAAGGTGCTGGTGGCAAGGCAGCTTGCCACTTCTTTCACAGCTGGGAAGTCTGAAGATAGACCATATCACAGGAATTTATTTGCAAATACTCCCCAGCACCAGTCTGGAGCCTGGTAGACCCACTGAGTGGCTAGACCCAGAAAGCAATAAAAATTACTGCAGTTTGGCTCTCAGGAAGCCCCATCCCAAGGAGAAGGGGGAGTGCCACATATCAAGGGATCACCCTGTGGGACAAAGGAATCTGAATAGCAGCCCTTGAGTTCCAGATCTTTCCATTGAAATAGCCTAAACAAATGAGAAGGAACCAGAAAATTAATTCTGGAAATATGACAAAACAAGGTTCTATAACACCTCCAAAAGACCATACTAGCTACCCAGCAATGGATCCAAATGAAAAAGAAGTCTATGAAATGCCAGATAAAGAATTCAGAATGTTGATTATTAAGCTACTCAAGGAGATACCAGAGAAAAATAAAAACCCACTTAAACAAATTTTAAAAATACAAGATGTGGATAAATAATTCTCCAGAGAAATAAATATCATACAGAGGGTTCCAAGATGGCTGAATAGGAACAGCTCCAGTCTACAGCTCCCAGTGTGAGCAATGCAGAAGATGGGTGATTTCCACATTTCCAACTGAGGTACTGGGTTCATCTCACTGGGGCTCATTGGACAGTGGGGGCAGAACAGTGGGTGCAGCCCACCGAGTGTGAGCCTAAGCAGGGTGAGGCATCACCTCACCCTGGAAGCACAAGGGGTCAGGGAATTCCCTTTCCTAGCCAAGGCAAGGGGTGAAAGATGGCACCTGAAAAATCGGGTCACTCCCACCCTAATACTGCGCTCGGCAGTATTAGGCATATAGTAATATGTTCAGCAGGGCATAGCCGAACAAAAGGCAGCAGAAACTTCTGCAGACTTAAATGTCCCTGTCTGACAGCTTTGAAGAGAGTAGTGGTTCCCCAGCACAGTGTTTGAGATCTGAGAATGGACAGACTGCCTTGTCAAGTGGGTCCCTGACCCCTGAGTACCATAACTGGGAGGCACCCCCAGTAGGGGCAGACTGACACTTCACATGGCCAGGTACCCCTCTGAGACAAAGCTTCCAGAGGAACAATCAGGCAGCAACATTTGATATTCAGCAATATTTGCTGTTCTGCAGCCCCCACAGCTGATACCCAGTCAAACAGGGTCTGAAATGGACCTCCAGCAAACTCCAACAGACCTGCAGCTGAGGGTCCTGACTGTCAGAAGGAAAACTAACAAACAGACAGGACATCCACACCAAAACCCCATCTGTAAGTCACCATCATCAAAGACCAAAGGTAGATAAGACCACTAAGATGGGGAAAAAACAGAGCAGAAAAGCTGAAAATTATAAAAATCAAAGCACCTCTCCCCTTCCAAAGGAATGCAGCTCCTCACCAGCAATGGAACAAAGCTGGACAGAGAATGACTTTGATGAGTTGAGAGAAGAAGGCTTCAGATGATCAAACTTCTCCAAGCTAAAGGAGGAAGTTCGAACTCAACACAAAGAAGCTAAAAACCTTGAAAAAAGATTAGATGAAGGGCTAACTAGAATAACCAGTGAAGAGAAGTCCTTAAATGACCTGATGGAGCTGAAAACCATGGCATAAGAACTACGTGATGAATGCACAACCTTCAGTAGCCGATTCAATCAACTGGAAGAAAGAATATCAGTGATTGAAGATCAAATGAATGAAATGAAGCGAGAAGAGAAGTTTAGAGAAAAAAGAATAAAAAGAAACGAACAGAGCCTCCAAGAAATATGGGACTACGTGAAAAGACCAAATCTACATCTGATTGGTGTACCTCGAAGTGATGGGGAGAATGGAAACAAGTTGAAAAACACTCTTCAGCATATTATCCAGGAGAACTTCCCCAACCTAGCAAGGCAGGCCAACATTCAAATTCAAGAAATACAGGGAATGCCACAAAGATACTCCTCGAGAAGAGCAACTCCAAGACACATAATTGTCAGATTCACTAAAGTTGAAATTAAGGAAAAAATGTTAAGGGCAGCCAGAGAGAAAGGTCGGGTTACCCACAAAGGGAAGCCCATCAGACTAAGAGTGGATCTCTCAGCAGAAACCCTACAAGCCAGAAGAGAGTGGGGGCCAATATTCAACACTCTTAAAGAAAATAATTTTCAACCCAGAATTTCATATCCAGCCAAAATAAACTTCATAAGTGAAGGAGGAATAAAATCCTTTACAGACAAGCAAATGCTGAGAGATTTTGTCACCACCAGGCCTGCCCTACAAGAGACCCCGAAGGAAGCACTAAATATGGAAAGGAACAACCGGTACCAGCCACTGCAAAAACATGCCAAATTGTAAAGACCATCGATGCTAGGAAGAAATTGCATCAACTAATGAGCAAAATAATCAGCTAACATCATAATGACAGGATCAAATTCACACATAACAATATTAACCTTAAATGTAAATGGGCTAAATGCTCCAATTAAAAGACACAGACTGGAAAATTGGATAAAGAGTCAAGACCCATCAGCGTGCTGTATTCAAGAGACCCATCTCACGTGCAGAGACACACATAGGCTCAAAATAAAGGGATGGAGGAAGATCTACCAAGCCAATGGAAAACAAAAAAAGGCAGGGGTTGCAATCCTAGTCTCTGATAAAACAGGCTTTAAGCCAACAAAGATTGAAAGAGACAAAGAAGGCCATTAAATAATGGTAAAGGGATCAATTCAACAAGAAGAGCTAACTATCTTAAATATATATGCACCCAATACAGGAGCACCCAGATTCATAAAGCAAGTCCTTAGGGATCTACAAAGAGACCTAGACTCCCACACAATAATAATGGGAGACTTTAACACCCCACTGTCAACATTACACAGATCGACGAGACAGAAAGTTAACAAGGATACCCAGGAATTGAACTCAGCTCTGCACCAAGCAGACCTAATAGACATCTACAGAACTTTCCAACCCCTATCAACAGAATATACATTCTTCTCAGCACCACATCCCACTTATTCCAAAATTGACCACATAATTGGAAGTAAAGAACTCCTCAGCAAATGTAAAAGAACAGAAATTATAACAAACTGTCTCTCAGACCACAGTGCAATCAAACTAGAACTCAGGATTAAGAAACTCACTCAAAACTGCTCAACTACATGGAAACTAAACAACCTGCTTCTGAATGACTGACTACTGGGTACATAACAAAATGAAGGCAGAAATGAAGATGTTCTTTGAAACCAATGAGAACAAAGACAAAACATACCAGAATCTCTGGGACACATTTAAAGCAGTGTGTAGAGGGAAATTTATAGCACTAAATGCCCACAAGAGAAAGCAGGAAAGATCTAAAATTGACACCCTAATATCACAATTAGAAGAACTAGAGAAGCAAGAGCAAATGAATTCAAAAGCTAGCAGAAGGCAAGAAATAACTAAGATCAGAGCAGAACTGAAGGAGATAGAGACACAAAAAAACCTTCAAAAAATCAATGAATCCAGGAGCTGGTTTTTTGAAAAGATCAACAAAATAGATAGACCGCTAGCAAGACTAATAAAGAAGAAAAGAGAAGAATCATAGAGGCAATAAAAAATGATAAAGGGGATATCACCACTGATCCCTCAGAAATATAAACTACCATTAGAGAATACTATAAACACCTCTACACAAATAAACTAGAAAATCTAGAAGAAATGGAGAAATTCCTTGATATACACACCGTCCCAAGACTTAACCCAGGAAGAAGTTGAATTCCTGAATAGACCAATAACAGGCTCTGAAATTGAGGCAATAATTCATAGCCTACCAACCAAAAAAAGTCCAGGACCAGATTGATTCACAGCCGAATTCTACCAGAGGTACAAGGAGGAGCTGGTACTATTCCTTCTGAAACTATTCCAATCAATAGAAAAAGAGGGAATCCTCCCTAACTCATTTTATGAGACCAGCATCATCCTGATACCAAAGCCTGGCAGAGACAAAACAAAAAAAGAGAATTTTAAACCAATATCCCTGATGAACATTGATGCAAAAATCCTCAATAAAATACTGGCAAATCAAATCCAGCAGCACATCAAAAAGCTTATCCACCATGATCAAGTGGGCTTCATCCCTGGGATGCAAGGCTGGTTCAACATACACAAATCAATAAACTTAATCCAGCATATAAACAGAACAAATGACAAAAACCACATGATTATCTCAATAGATGCAGAAAAGGCCTTTCACAAAATTCAAAAGCCCTTCATGCTAAAAACTCTCAATAAATTAGGTATTGATGGGACGTATTTCAAAATAATAAAAGCTATTTATGAGAAACCCACAGTCAATGTCATACTGAATGGGCAAAAGCTGGAAGCATTCCCTTTGAAAACTGGCACAAGACAGGGATGCCCTCTCTCACCACTCCTATTCAACATAGTGTTGGAAGTTCTGGCCAGGGCAATCAGGCAGGAGAAAGAAATAAAGGGTATTCAATTAGGAAAAGAGGAAGTCAAATTGTCCCTGTTTGCAGATGACATGATTGTATACTTACAAAACCCCATCGTCTCAGCCCAAAATCTCCTTAAGCAAGTTCAGCAAAGTCTCAGGATACAAAATCAACGTGCAAAAATCACAAGCCTTCTTATACACCATTAACAGACAAACAGAGAGCCAAATAATGAGTGAACTCCCATTCACAATTGCTTCAAAGAGACTAAAACACCTAGGAATCCACCTTACAAGGGATGTGAAGGACCTCTTCAAGGAGAACTACAAACCACTGCTCAATGAAATAAAAGAGGATACAAACAAATGGAAGAACATTCCATGCTCATGGATAGGAAGAATCAATATTGTGAAAATGGCCATAGTGCCCAAGGTAATTTATAGATTCAATGCCATCCCCATCAAGCTACCAATGACTTTCTTCACAGAATTGGAAAAAACTACTTTAAAGTTCATATGGAACCAAAAAATAGCCTGCATTGTCAAGACAATCCTAAGTCAAAAGAACAAAGCTGGAGGCATCATGCTACCTGACTTCAAACTATACTACAAGGCTACAGTAACCAAAACAGCATGGTACTGGTACCAAAACAGAGCTATAGACCAATGGAACACAACAGAGCCCTCAGAAATAATACCACACATCTACAACCATCTGATCTTTGACAAACCTGACAATAACAAGAAATGGGGAAAGGATTCCCTATTTAATAAATTGTCCTGGGAAAACTGGCTAGCCATATGTAGAAAGCTGAAACTGGATCCCTTCCTTACACCTTACACAAAAATTATTTAAAGATGGTTTAAAGACTTAAATGTTAGACCTAAAACCATAAAAACTCTAGAAGAAAACCTAGGCAATACCATTCAGGATATAGGCATGTGCAAGGAATTCATGTCTAAAACACCAAAAGCAATGGCAACAAAAGCCAAAATTGATAAGTGGGATCTAATTAAACTAAAGAGCTTCTGCACAGCAAAAGAAACTACCATCAGAGTGAACAGGCAACCTACAGAATGGGAGAAAATTTTTGCAATCTACTCATCTGACAAAAGGCTAATATCCAGAATCTACAAAGAACTCAAACAAACTTACAAGAAAAAACCAAACAACCCCATCACAAAGTGGGCAAAGGATATGAACAGACACTTCTCAAAAGAAGACATTTATGCAGCCGACAGACACATGAAAAAGTGCTCATCATCACTGGCCATCAGAGAAATGCAAATCAAAACCACAATGAGATACCATCTCACACCAGTTAGAATGGCGATCATTAAAAAGTCAGGAAAAAACAGGTGCTGGAGAGGATGTGGAGAAATAGGAACACTTTTACACTGTTGGTGGGACTGTAAAGTAGAGTTCAACCATTGTGAAAGACAGTGTGATGATTCCTCAAGGATCTAGAAGTAGAAATACCATGTGACCCAGCCATCCCATTACTGGGTATATACCCAAAGGATTATAAATCATGCTGCTATAAAGGCATATGCACATGTATGTTTACTGCGGCACTATTCACAATAGCAAAGACTTGGAACCAACCCAAAGTCCATCAATGATAGACTGGATTAGGAAAATGTGGCACAATCATCCCTACTATCTTCCATCTAGTCATACTCCTATTCACCATTCTCAACTACTCATAAATGCCCTGGTCTTGTTTACACTGCCAGTTTGCACTGTTTCTCCAAGCCATCACAGCTGATATGTCCTGGTGCTATCCCCAAACTGCCACTCTTAACTCCCTCTTAAAGTAAATAAATAATCTTTGCTGGCAGGGTATGCTGAACCTCCTTAGGCACTCCCTAGTTAGATGTCCTAGGTCCTCCCAATTCTTAGTCCTTTAATACCTGTTTTTCTCCTTGTCTTATTCCGTTCTTTTTTCAATTCATACAAAACCGTATCCAGGCCATCACCAATAATTCTATATGACAAATGTTTCTTCTAACAACCAGAAAATATCACCCCTTACCACAAAATCTTCCTTCAGCTTAATCTCCCCCACTCTAGGTTTCCATGCCACCCCTAATCCTGCTCGAAGTAGCCCCGAGAAACATCGCCCATTCTCTCTCCATACCACCCCCCAAAATTTTCGCTGCCCCAACACTTCAACACTATTATGTTTTATTTTTCTTATTAATATAAGAAGACAGGAATGTCAGGCCTCTGAGCCCAAGCTAAGCCATCATATCCCCTGTGACCTGCACATTTACATCCAGATGGCCTGAAGTAACTGAAGAATCACAAAAGAAGTGATATTTAAATGGCCTGTTCCTGCCTTAACTGATGACATTCCACCACAAAAGAAGTGAAAATGGCTGGTCCTTGCCTTAACTGATGACATTACTTTGTGAAATTCCTTCTCCTGGCTCATCCTGGCTCAAAGTCTCTCTCACTGAGCACCTTGTGACCCCCCCTCCTGCCTGCCAGAAAACAACCCCCTTTTTCCTTTACCTACCCAAATCTTATAAAACAGCCCCACCCCTATCTCCCTTCACTGACTCTCTTTTCGGACTCAGCCCACTTGCACCCAGGTGAAATAAGCAACCTTGTTGCACACAAAAAAAAGAAAAGAAAAGAAAAGAAAATGTGGCACATATACACCATGGAATACTATGCAGCCATAAAAAAGGATGAGTTCATGTCCTTTGTAGGGACATGGATGAAGCTGGAAACCATCATTCTCATCAAACTATCACAGGAACAAAATACCAAACACTGCATGTTCTCACTCATAGGTGGGAATTGAACAATGAGAACACTTGGACACAGGAAGGGGAATATCACACACTGGGGCCTGTTGTGGGGTGGGTGGAAGGAGGATGGAAAGCATTAGGAGATATACCTAATGTAAATGATGAGTTAATGGGTGCAGCACACCAACATGGCACATGTATACGTATGTAACAAAACTGCACATTGTGCACATGTAGCCTAGAACTTAAAGTATAATTAAAAAAATAATAAAAAAGAAATAGATGTCATAAAGAAAAAACAGTTGCAACTTCTGGAAATGAAAGACACACTTAGAGAAATACAAAATGCACTAGAAAGTGTCAACAATAGACTGGAACAAGTAGAAGAAAGAAATTTGGAGATCAAAGACAAGTCTTCCAAATTAACCCAATTGAACAAAGACCAAAAAAAATTTTTTTTTTTTTTTTTTTAGAAATGAACAAAGCCTCCAAGAAATTTGAGATTATGTTAAATGGACAAACCCAAGTATAATTGGTGTTCCCAAGGAAGAAGAGAAATCTAAGTTTGGAAAACGTATTTGAGGAAATAATAAGGAAAATTTCCCTGGCCCCTCTAGAGATCTAGACATCCAAATACAAGTAGCTGAAAGACTAACTGGGAAATTCATTACAAATGGATCTTCCCCTAGGTGTATAATTGTCAGGTTATCTATAATCAAGATGAAGGAAAGAATCTCAAGAACTGTGAGGCAAAAGCATCAGCTAACCTATGAAGGAAAACCTATCATATTAACAGCAGATTTTTCAGCAGAAACCTTGCAAGCCAGAAAGGATTGGGGGCCCATCTTTAGCCTCCTTAAACAAAATAATTTCCTCCTGAGAATTTTGCCAACAAAACCAAGCTTCATAAATGAAGCAGAGATAAAGTATTTTTCAGACAAACAAATGCTGAGACAATTTACTACTACAAAGCCAGCACTGCAAGAAATGCTAAAAGAAGTTCTAAATTTTGAATCAAAACTTTGAAATACACCAAAATAGAACCCCCTTAAGGCATAAATCTCAAAGGACCTATAAATCAATAACACAATTTTAAAAACCAAAGTATTTAGGCAACGACTAGCATGATGAGTAAAATAGTACCTCACATCTCAATACTAATGTTGAATGTAAAAGGCCTAAAACCTCCACTTAAAAGATACAGAATGACAGAATGGATAAAACATTTACGAACAAAGTATCTATCTTCACGAGACTCACCTAACACATAAGGACTCACATAAACTTACGGTAAAAGGGTGGAAGAATAGATGTTCTATGCAAATGGAAACCAAAACTGAGCAACAATAACTATTCTTATATCAGACAAAACAGACTGTAAACAACACCACCTAAAAAAGACAAAGAGGAACATTATATGATTAAAGAAGTAGTCCAATAGGAAAAGATCACAATCCTAAATATGTGTGTGAGCTCCCAAATGTATAAAACAATTATTACTAGATCTACAAAATGAGATATATGGCAACACAATAATAGTGGGGGACTTTCATACTCCACTGACAGCACGAGACAGGTCATCAAAACAGAAAGTCAACAAAGAAGCAACACTCTTAAACTATACCCTGGAACAAATAGACAACAGATATTTATAGAACATTCTATCCAACAACTGCAGAATATATATTCTTCTCATCATCACATGGAACATTATCCAAGATAGACCACATGATAGGCCACAAAAAAAGTCTCAATAAATTTTTTAAAAATTGAAATAATATCAAGTACCCTGTCAGACCACAATGGAATAAAACTGGAAATTAACTCCAAAAGAAATCTCCAAAACTATACAAATACATGGAAATTAAATAATCTGATCCTGAATGATCTTTGGTTTAACAATAAAATTAAGATAAAAATTTTAAAAATATTTGAACTAAATGATAATAGTGACACAGCTTATTAAAACCATTGGGATACAGCAAGAGGAGTGCTAAGAAGAAAGTTAAATGCCTACATCCAAAAGTCTTAAAGGGCCCATATAAACAATCTAAGGTCACACATCAAGGAACTAGAAAAACAAGAACAAACCAAACCCAAATTCAGCAGAAGAAAAGAAACAACAAAGATCAGAGCAGAACTAAATGAATTTGAAACAAAAAAATACAAAAGATAACTGAAACAAAAAGCTGGTTCTTTGAAAATAAAATAAAAATTGATAGACCATTAGCAAGATTAACCAATAGAAGATGAGAGGAGATCAAAATAAGCTCAATTAGAAAGGAAATGAGAGAAAAAACCAATACCACAAAAATACAAAAGATCATTCAAGGCTACTATGAATACCATTATGTGCACAAACTTGAAAATCTAGAGTAGGTGGAGAAATTCGTGGAAATATACAACCTTCCTAGATTAAATCAGGAAGAAACAGAAACTCTGAACAGACAAATAAGAAGTAGTGAGATTGAAACAGTAATAAAAAATATTGCCAAGAAAATAAATTCCAGGACCATATGCATTCACAGCTTAATTCTATCAGACATTCAAAGAAGAATTGGTATCAATCTTACTGAAATTATTCCAAAAGATAAAGAGGGAATCCTCCCTAAATCGTTCTATGAAGCCAATGTCACCCTACTATCAAAACTAAGAAAGAACATAACAAAAAAAAGAAAACTACAGTCCAACATCTTTGATGAACATAGATGCAAAGATCCTGAACAAAATACTAGCTAACTCAATCAAACAGCAAATCAAGAAGATAATATACCATGATCAAGTAGGTTTAATACCAGGGATGCAGGGATAGTTTAACATATGGAAGTCAATAAGTGTAATACCTCACATAAACAGAATTAAAGACAAAAATTACATGATCATCTCAACAGATGCAGAAAAAGCGTTTGATAAATCCAGCATTCCTTTATGATTAAAACCTTCAGAAAAATCAGCATAGAAAGGATATACCTTAAGGTGATTAAAGCCATCTATGATAAATGCACAGCCAACATTATGCTGAATGAGGAAAAGTTAAAAGTATTCCCCATGAGAACTGGAAAAAGACAAGGATGTCAACTTTCATCACTTCCATACAACATAGTACTGGAAGTCCTAGCCAGAGCTATCAGGCAAGAGAAAGAAATAATGGGCATTCAAGTTGGTTAAAAGGAAGTTAAATGGTTGCTGTTTGTGGATGACATGATTGTATACCTAGAAAACCCAAAAGACTCATCCAAAAAGCACCTAGAACTGATAAACAAATTCAGTAAAGTTTCAGGATACAAAATTAATGTACACAAATCAGTGGCACTGCTACACACCAACAGTGACCAACCTGGGAATCAAATCAACAACTCAACTCCTTTTACAATAACTTGAAAAAAATACTTAACAAAATAGCTGCAAAAAATAAAACACTTAGGAATATACCTAAGCAGAAAGGCAAAAGACATCTACAAGGAAAACAACAAAATACTGTTAAAATAAATTATAGATGACACAAACAAATTGAAACACATCCCGTGCTCATGAATGTGTAGAATCAATAGTGTAAAAATGACCATACTGCCAAAAGCAATCTACAAATTTAATGCAATTCTCATCAAAATACCAACATCATTCTTCACAGAACTAGAAAAACAATCCTAAACTTCATATGGAATCAAAAAAGAGCCCACACAGCCAAACCAAGATTAAGCAAAAAGAACAAATCTGGATGCATCACATTACTCGACTTCAAACTATACTATATGGCCATAGTCACCAAAATAGCACAGTATTGGTATAAAAATAGGCAAATAGACCAATGGAACAGAATAGAGAAGCCAGAAATAAAGCCAAATACTTACAGCCATCTGATCTTCGACAAAGCAAAGAAAAACATAAAGTGGGGAAAGGACACCCTATTCAACAAGTGGTGCTGGGATAATTGGCAAGCCACATATAGGAGAATGAAACTGGATCCTCATCTCTTATCTTATACGAAAATCAACTGATGATGGATCAAGGACTTAAATCTAAGGCCTGAAACCATAAAAATTCTAGAAGATAACATTGGAGAAACTCTTTTAGACATTTGCTTAGACAAAGAGTTCATGACTGAGAGCCCAAAAGCAAATGCAACAAAAACAAAGATAAATTGATGGGATCTAATCAAACTAAAAAGCTTCTGCACAGCAAAAGAAATAGTCAACAGAGCAAACAGACAATCCCACAGACTGGGAGAAAATCTTTGCAAACTATACATCCAAAAAAGGAATAATATCCAGAATCTACAAGGAACTCAAATTAGCAAGAAAAAAATAAGCTCATCAAAAAGTCAGCTACAATGAGTATGTTTATTACAGCACTATTAACAATAGCAAATACATGAAATCAACCTAAATGCCCATCAATGAGAGGCTGAATAAAGAAAATGTGGTACATATGCACCATGGAATACTATGCAGTCATGAAAAGGAATGAGAGTATATCCTTTGCAGGGACATGGATGGAGCTGGAAGCCATTATCCTCAGCAAACTAATGCAGGAACAGAAAATCAAACACTATATGTTCTCACTTATAATTGAGAACTGAAAAATGTGAACACATAGACACAGAGAGGGGAACAACCCACACTGGGCCTGCTAAGGGAGTGGGGTGGGGAGAAGGAGAACGTCAGGAAAAATAGATAATGCATGCTTGGCTTGATACCTAGGTGATAGGTTGAAAGGTGCAGCAAATCACCATGACACACATTTACCTATGTAACAAACTTGCATATACTGCACTTGTACCCTGGAACTTAAAATAAAATAAAATAAAATAAAATAAAAAAGAGAAAGAGAGATCTATTTTCAACATGTGAGGACATAGCAAGAAGGTGGCTGTCTACAAGCCAGAAAGAGAGCCATCACCAAAAACCACCATGCTGTCATCTGGATCTTGGACTTTCCAGCCTCCAGAACTGTGAGCAAATAAATTTCTAGTTTTCTTTTTTTTTTTAAGTTAGCTAAGAACATGAATAGACAACTCACAAAAGAAGACATATAAATGGCCAACAAACATGAAAAAATGCTCAACATCACTAATTATCAGGGAAATGCAAATCAAAATCATGGTGAGATATAACTTACTCCTGCAAGAATGGCCATAATTTAAAAGTTAACAAATAATAGATGTTGGTGTGGATGTGGTGAAAAGAGAATACTTTTACACTGCTTGTGGAAATGTAAACTAGTACAACCACTATGGAAAACCATATGGAGATTCCTTAAAGAACTAAAAGTAGAGCTATCATTTGATCCAACAATCTCACTACTGGGTATCTACCCAGAGGAAAAAAGTCATTATATGAAAAAGATACTTGCACACACATGTTTATAGCAGCATAAATTGCAATTGCAAAAATATGGAATCAGCCCAAAAGCCCATCAATCAATGAATAGATAAATAAAATATTATATAATAATGAAATAATATATGCACGTACATACATATCATGGAGTACTACTCAGCCATAAAAAAGGAATTAAATAATGGCCTTTGCAGCAACCTGGAAGATGTTGGAGACCACTATTCTAAGTGAAGTAACTCAGGAATGGAAAATCAAATATCATATGTTCTCACTCAAAAGTGGAAGCTAGGCTATGAGGATGGAAAGGCATAAGAATTTTATAATGGATTTTGGGGACTTGTAGCAGAAGGGTGGGAGTGGTCTGCAGGATAAAGGCTACACATTGGGTACAGTATACACTGCTTGGGTGACAAGTTCACCAAAATCTCAGAAATCACCAAAGAACTTTTTCTTGCAAGCAAACACCACCTATTCCCCCAAAACTATTGAAATTAAAAAAAAAAAAGAATAAAATGGGCAAAGGCTCTGCATAGCCTTTTTCAAAGGAAGATATGCTAATGGTCAGCAGATATATAAAACCATGTTCAACATCACTAATCATCAGGGAAATGACTATTAAAACTACAGTGAGATTAGATGTTGCCAAAAGGACAAGAAATAAATGTTGGCAAAGGTATGGAGAAATGGGAAGAGACCCTTTTACACTGTTGGTGGGAATGTAGATTGGTGCAGTCATTATGGAAAGCACTATGTAGGTTCTCAAAAATATTAAAAATGAAACTTTGATATGACCCAGCAATCCCACTACTGAGTATATCTATAAAAGTTATCAATATGTCAAGGAAATATCTGCACTCCCATGTTCATTGCACCATTATTCATAATAGCCAAGATATGGAATCTACCTGAGTGTATACCAACAAATGAATGGGTAAAGAAAATGTGTTATATCTATAAAATGGAGTACTATTCAGCCTTATAAAAATAAGGAAACCCTGTCAGTTGTGACAACATGGATAAACTTGGAAGATATTGTGTTAAGTGAAATAAACCAGGCACAGAAGACAAATATTGCATGGTCTCATTTCAGCTAAATAGGAGAAATAAGTTCAAGAGGTCTATTGTACAACATTGTGACTCTAGTTAATAATAATATATTGTACAGTTGAAAATCACTAAGGGAGTAAATTTGAATGTTATCACCACAAAAATGATAAGTATGTGAGGTAATGCATATGTTATTTAATTTAGCCATTTCACAATATATACATATTTCAAAGCATCATTTTATGCCCAATAAGTATATGCAATTATTTTTGTCAACTGAAAGAAAAGACAGTAGGAAGGAAGGAAGGGAGGAAGGGAGGAAGGGAGGGGAGAGGAGGGGAGGAAGGAAGGAAGGAAGGTCCCATAATTTAACTCACTGCCTGAAATGCTGATGTAATTCTTCTCTCCCTTTGCCTCTCCTAGTAGATTATGGAGGAACTCTTGGAGGCTTCTGCATCTTCTGATTTCAGTAGTAGCTGTTCATGCTGGTTTGGTGGAGGAGCGTAATAGTGTCTCACCACAAAAATCTTGGAGAAAGCTGGATTTAGATTGTAAATAAAAATGACCTGCAAATTATATTTAATTCATTTTTTGTTTTCTTTGGCTTTCAAAAGGGACTTGCCCCACTTCAATAAGTTAAAGCTGATGAGAAAGTAAGAAGAGAATAGATGATGCTTCAAGGGCCTGTCCTTGGACTTCATTCTTCTGCATCTCTAATTGCCTATAACTCTTAATTTAGATCATCTTCTCCTTTTTGAAATTTTATTCTTTTGGTTTCCATGACACTACACTGCCCTGGTCTTATCCTACCTCTCTCACCACCACTTTCTTCTTCTTCTTCTATCTTCTTTTTTGGATCACTTTCATAATCTTATTTCCCAAGCATGTGTGCTTTGGTTCAGTCTTTGGCTCAGTCTTTGGCTATCTGCTTTTCTCTTTGCATGTACTCTCTCACACTGCTTAAAATGCCAAAATGTGCCTGAATCCCAATTCTTTCTCCAGGTCCTTTCATATTAAACTCCTTACTGGATAGTCCCAGTTGGTTGTTTCACCTAAACTTAAAAGATCTTGAAATAAGTTCACTAGTTTGCTACTCTTTCTGCAAAAATAATTTTTTTCTGACTTAACTATTTCTGTTAGCAGACTATTTTCCTAGCTGTGAAACCTGAAACCTTTGCTTCTTTTTGTCAGTTTTTTGTACACCCAGTCAGTCACAAAGTTCCATCTATTCTTCTTTCCCAATTACTCTTATGTTATCCCTGTGTGTTTTTGTTTCCACTGTCCCCAACCCATAGTTATGGTCCTTATTATTTCACACCTGGTTTACTGTGCTAACCTCTCTGTCTCTTGTATTTCTTTCCTCTAAACCACTTGAACAAAAGATTAAGCTCATCCTCTTAATATACTATTCTCATTGTGTCATTAAATGCCTAATCTATTGTCTCTTCATTGAAGTCTTAATTCCTTATTTTGGTATTTAATCTTCCTAATAATATGGCCCCAATAGTCTTTCCAAACTTATCTTTCATCATCTGTTAGAAGAATTTAACTCAGTTTCCCTACGTGCAGTTTTCTATGCTCCTGTTGCTGTGTTTTTTTTTTTAAGAGCGGTTTTTTTTTTATTTTTTAGTTTTTTAATTTATTTTTATTATTATTATACTTTTAAGTTTTAGGGTACATGTGCACAATGTTCAGGTTAGTTACATATGCATACATGTGCCATGCTGGTGTGCTGCACCCATTAACTCGTCATTTAGTATTGGGTATATCTCCTAATGCTATCCCTCCCCCCTCCCCCCACCCCACAACAGTCCCCAGAGTGTGATGTTGTGTTTTAATCTTATATTGTTAAAATCCTACATGCAGTTATTATTGTATCAGACAAGCAATGTTTACTTAGATTTACTCATATGTTTACTACTTTCCTTGTTCTTCATTTCTTCTTTTTTTTTCCTGGAGTATATCTTTTAGAATAGCTTTAGTTGGCCGGGAGCGGTGGCTCACGCCTGTAATCCCAGCACTTTGGGAGGCCGAGGCGGGCGGATCACGAGGTCAGGAGATCGAGACCATCCTGGCTAACACGGTGAAACCCCGTCTCTACTAAAAATACAAAAAATTAGCCGGGCGTGGTAGCGGGCGCCTGTAGTCCCAGCTACTCGGGAGGCTGAGGCAGGAGAATGGCGTGAACCCGGGAGGCGGAGCTTGCAGTGAGCCGAGATCGCGCCACTACACTCCAGCCTGGGCGACAGAGCGAGACTCCGTCTCAAAAAAAAAAAAAAAAAAAAAAAAGAATAGCTTTAGTTATACTTCAGATCTACCAATGGACCTCTTAGTTTTTGTTTGTTTGAAAAAGTCTTTATGTTCTCTTTATTTTTAAGTGATATTTTGTTGACTGCAGATTTCTAAGTTGGCAGTTACCTTTAAGCTAATTGAAGTTATCATTCCCTTGTCTTCTGTTTTTCTTGTTGTTGTTGTTGCTTTTGAGAGTCAGTTGTCAGTCTTTTCACTCCTTTGTTGGTAATCTGCCATTCTAAAATCAGGCGTTTTAAAATTTTCTCTCTATCTGTTTACTGTAATTTTACTACAATGCTTCCAGGTGTGACTTTGTTTATATTTATTTTGCTTTATATTTCTAGGAATTTAAATATTATAGATTGGGTTTTTTTATTAGTCTAAAAAATTGTCAATCATTATCTCCTCACATAATGCCTCTGCCCCATGTTTTTCTCTTCTCTCTTTTGTATTCCAATTAAACATATGTCAATTTTCTTTTTTGTCTCTTACCCTCTATTCTGTATATTCCATTATTTTACTCTATGTGCTGTATTCTAATACTATGTTTTGACTTATTTTAAGTTCATCAATCTCTCTTCTGCTATGTGTAATCTGCTGTTATATCTGCCAAAGAGCCTCTAGTTTGATATTAAATGTTTCAGTTCTGAAGTTATGTTTTGTTCTTTCTTATATCTGCTATGTCACTTTCATATTTTCATATTCTGTACAGAAATATTCATACTTGTCCTTTATTTCTTTAAGCAGAGTAAATATATATTTTATAGTCCGTGGCTGATAAGTACAAAATCTGAAGTTTTGTAGACCTGTTTCTGCTGTTTTTCTGCTGGTTCATTCAAATAATATATTGTTTTTATGTATGCCTGGTTGTCTTTTAATGTAGGCTAACAATTGCATCTTAATACTTCTTAATAGGAATAATTCAAGGTTGAGGTAGAAGGTACCCTCACCAGAGATGCTTCTGCCAGGCACCAGGGGGGCTTAACAATTCGGGACCATGTTAACCTAAGTTCATGGCATGACATTCCCTGGACCACTCATAAACTTGATTGCAAGTCTGTGGAAGGGAAAGCCCAGTTCCCCTTTACACTTGAGGATGTCGCCCTTTTGGGTCCAAGCTTATTGGAGTTCATAAGAATCTCCATATTGATAAGATATTGGGCTTTGACTTCTGTCCCTCTCACCCTGTAATACTGGCAAAACTACTACTCAATTTCACTGCTATCTCTTTATGACTGTCAAAGACTTCAGGGCAAAAGTAGCTTTCAATACTAGGCTTATCTCTTTGAGATATTGCTTTCTCTTTGATTTTGATAAGTAATTCCAATTTTGCTACTTTCAAGATGATTTTTAAATATTTCTCAACTGGGAGCCATCAGTAGGAACTACATAATTATCAGAAGCAGAGGTTGCTCTGTTTTTCTTTTCAATGTATGCTCTACTAAAGCCAAAATGATTCATGCCCTGTTACCTAAAATGTGATCTGCATATTCCCAAGTACCAGTCTTTTCTTATGCTATATCTTATAATTAGCTCCATTCTCTTTGCTTTTCCATTTAAACCACTCACCTGCATATCATTTGTCTATTGTAATATTACCTACACATTAGGCCTGATTAATTCTCACCTCCTCTATATAGTCTTCCCTTGCCACTTCAAATTACAATGAATTATCCTCTGAACTATTATGAGGACAGTTTTCCTATCCTACTCCTTTGTGATATGTCACATCTTGCCTTTTGTCTACTGCATTTCATTGACTCCAAGATGCCATTCTGATTTCAGAAAAGTTAACATGAGAAAAATGTACATAATAGAATTGATGAAATATGGTTTTATGTAAATTGCATCATTTCTTATGTGCATGCCTAGATTGTAAACTGCTCAAAATCAGAGTCTGTGTCTTAGACTTTTCTATAACCCTTTGCAATATATGTCACATGCTAGGATCTAAATATATATATTACTTGGTTGATTGGTTCTTCCTGTGTTTTGATTGGAAAGTTTAAAATTGTGGCTCTAGAAAAATCTTTCATATTTCTTTAGTGGTTTTTTAAAAAGTCAGAAAATTATGGAGGAAAGAAAAGAGCTCTTTTAAAAATATCATAAAATATCAAAAATGTTATAATTTGCATCATTTGTGTAGCCTATCTTTTTTAAGTTAAATTTTTAATTTTGAGATAATTGTAGCTTCACATGCAGTTATAAAAAATACAGAAGTATGTCAGGTACAGACATATCTTCTTTTTTTATGGTTCACAGATATTGCACTTTTTACAAATTGAAGTTTTGTGGCAACCCTGCATCCAGTGCCATTTTTCCAACAGCATGTGCTCACTTCATATCTCTGTGTCACATTTTGGTAATTTTCACAATATTTTAGATTTTTTCACTATTATTGTATCTGTTATGGTGATATGTGATCTGTGATCACATTTGGTGTCAAACTATGGTAATTGTACTGGAGCACCACAAACCATACCCATATAAGATGGCAAACTTAATGCATAAATGTGTATGTTCTGAGTGCCTCACTGTTCAGGCCTTCTCCATCTCTCTCCCTCTTCTTGGGCCTCCCTATTTTCTGAGACACAACAGTATTGAAATTACGCTAACTGATAACACTACAATGTCCTCTAAACATTCAAGTGAAAGTAAGAGTCATCTGTCTCTCATTTTAAATCAAAAGACAGAAATGATTGAGCTTAGGGAGGAAGGCGTGTTGAAAGCTGAGATAAACTGAAAGCTAGGCCTCTTGCACCACTTAGCCAAGTGGTGAATGCAAAGGAAAAGTTCTCAAAGGAAATTAGAAGTATTACTCCTGTGAACACACAAATGATAAGAAAGCAAAACAGCGTTACTGCTGAGAGGGAGAAAGTTTTAGTGGTCTAAAGAGAGGATCAAGCCAGCTACAGCATCCCCTTAGGCCAAAGCCAAATCCAGAGCAAGGGCCTAACTCTCTTCAGTTGTATGAAGTTTAAGAGAGGTGAAGAAGCTACAGAAGAAAAGTTTGAAGCTAGCAGAGGTTGGTTCATGAGTTTTAAGGAAAGACATCATCTCCATTACATTGAAGTGCAAGGTGAAGTAGCAAGTGTTAAACGTAAAAGTTGTAGCAAGTTATTCAGAAGATCTAGTTAAAGTAACTTATGAAGATGGCTACACTTAAACAACAGGTTTTCAATGTTGATGAAGCAGGCTTCTATTGGAAGTAGATGCCATCTAGGACTGTTATAGCTAGAGAGGAGAAATCAATGCCTTGCTTCAAAGCTTCAAAAAACAAGCTGACTTTCTTGTTAGGAGCTAATGCAGCCTTTGGTTTTAAGTTGAAACCAATGCTCATTTACCGTTCCAAATATTCTAGAGTCCTTAAGAATTATGCTAAACCTATTCTTCCTGTGCTCTATACATGGAACAACAAAGCCTGGATGACAGCACATCTGTTTACAGCATGGTTTACTGAATATTTTAAGTCTACTTGTGAGACCTACTGCTTAGATAAAAAGATTCCTTTCAAAATATTACAGTTCATTAACAATACGCCTACTCACCCAAGAGCTCTGATGGAGACATACAAGGAGATTAATGTTGTTTTCATGCCTGCTAACACAATATCCATTCGGCAGCCCATGGATCAAGGAGTAATTTTGACTTTCAAACCTTATTATTTAAGAGATACATTTCATAAAGCTGTAGCTCCTATAGATAGTGATTCCTGTCATGGATCTGGGCAAAGTAAATTGAAAACTTTCTGAAAAAGATGGACCATTCCAGTGCCGTTAAGAATATTGGTGATTCATGGGAGGAATTAAAAATATCAACATCAACAGGGGTTTGGAATAGGTCGATTCTAACCCTCATGAATGACTTTGAGGGGTTCAAGACTTTGGTAGAGAAACTAACTGCAGATGTGGAAATATCAAGAGGAATAGAATTAGAAGTAGGCCCTGAAAATGTGACTGAATTGTTACAATCTCATGATAAAAATTTAATGAATGAGGAGTTGCTTCTTACTGTTGAACAAATAAAGTGATTATTTGAGATGGATTCTACTCCTGGTGAAGATGCTGTGAACATTGTTGAAATAACAATTATTTATTTATTTATTTATTTAGACAGGGTCTCACTGTGTTACCCAGGCTGGAATTCAGTGGTGTGATCTTAGCTCACTGCAACCTCCATCTTCCAGATTCAAGCGATTCTCTTTCCTCAGCCTCCCAGGTAGCTGGGACTACAGGCACACACCACCATGCCTGGTTAATTTTTGTAGTTTTAGTAGAGACAGGGTTTCACCATTTTGGCCAGGCTGATCTTGAACTCCTGAGCTCAGGTGATCTGCCCACCTCAGCTTCCCAAAGTGCTGAGGTTACAAGTGTGAGCCACCACACCTGGCTGACAATGAATAATTCAGAATATCATGTAAACTTAGTTGATAAAGCAGTGGCAGGGTTTGAGAGGATGGGCTCTAATTTTGAAAGAAATTCTGTTGTGGGTAAAATGCAATCAAACACCATTGCATGCTACATAAAAATCTTTTGTGAAAGGAAGAGTACACCAATGTGGCAAACTTCATTTTTCTGTTATTTTAAGAAATTACAGCTGGGTGCCCAGGTGCATAGGTGCAGCCTGTAATCTCAGCCTGGACAATATAGGGGAAGCTCATCTCTAAAAAATAGAAAGAAAGAAAGAAAGAAAGAAAGAAAAAGAAATAGGCACAGCCACATAAACCTACCTTCAGCAACAACTACTACCCTGATCAGTCAGCAGCCATCAACATCAAAGCAAGACTGTTCATCAGCAAAATGATTACAACTCACTGAAGGTTCAGATGATCATTAGCCTTTTTAGCATAAAGTATTTTTAATTAAGTTATTACATTGTTCTGTAGACATTATGCTATTGCATATTTAATAGACCACAGTTAGTGTAAACATAACTTTTATATGCACTGGGAAACCAAAAAAAAAAAAAGTGTGACTTGCTGCACTGTGGTGGTCTGGAACTGAACCTGCAATATCTCTGAGGTATGCCTGTGCCTTTTCCCTAGTTTACCTCAATGGCAGTATCTTCTGAAGTATAGTACAATACCACAACCAGGATATGAATATCAATACAGTAAAGGTACACAATAGTTCTGTCACCATAAGGATACATCATATTGCCTTTTAATAATCACACCCACATTTCTTCTGCCTGCACCCTTCCCTTAAACATTTGAAACCACTAATCTGTTTTCCATTTCAACCCTGTTGTTGTTTCAATAAAGTAAATAAATTATTGTAGTATGTAACCTTTCATAATTGTCTTTTTTTCATTTAGCATAATTCTATAAAGATTAATCCAAGTTGTTACATGTATCAACTGTTAATTTCTTTCTATTTATGGCCAGTATTCCATGGGGTTGATGTGCCACAGTTTGTTTAACCATGCACCCATTGAAGGACATCTAGGTTGTTTCCAGCTTTTAGCTATTACAAGTAAAGCTACTATGAACATTCATGTACAGGTTTTGTGGGGATGTAAGTTTTCACTTCTCCAGGATAAATGTCCAAAAATGCAATTGCTGAGTTGTATGGTAATTGCATGCCTAGTTTTTAAAGAAGCTGTCAAATTGTTTTTCAAAGTAGCTTTATCATTTCACATTCTCACCAGCAATATATGGGTGATCCACTTCTCTGCATCCCTACTAGCATTTGGTGCTATCATTATTATATTTTTTTTGTTTTATTTTAGCCATTTTCGTAGAAGCACTGATACCTCATTGTGGTTTTCATTTGGATTTCCACAATGGTTAAGTGATTTTGACTATTATCTTTTAAGGTGCTTATTTTCTATCTGTATATAGTCTTTGGTGAAATGTCTATTCATGTCCTTTGTCTATTTTCTAATCGGATTTTCCCCTACTGCTGGGTTTTAATAATTCTTATGTTCTGAAAACAAGTAATTTGTCAGGTTTCTGGCTTACAGATATTTCCTCCAAGTCTATACCTTGCCTTTTAACCCTCTAAAAATCTTAACTAGGCTCTTTCACAGGGCAAAAGCTTCTTAATTGGATGAGGTCCAATTTATCAATTTTTGCTTTTGTGTATTGTACTTTTGATATTTTGTCTAAGAACTCTTGGCCTAGACCTAGACCCTGAAGGTTTTTCTTAAAATTTTTATATTTTACAGTTCACATTTAATTCTGTAATCTATTTTGAGATACCATTTGTACAACATGTGACACTTAGGTCAATTGATTTTTGCTATGAATGTCTATTTTCTCTAACACTGTTTGATGAAGATGTCTTTCCTCTATTGAATTGCTTTTTTTCTTTTTGCATCTTTGTCAAAAGTCAGTTGGGTGTACATGTGTGGGTTTACTTCTGGGTTCTCTATTCTATCCTATTGATCTTTGTGTCTTTCCCTAAACCAATACCATATAGCCTTGATTAGTATGACTGTTACCAACAAAGCTGGTCCCCAAAGACGGGATTTTTTCCTGTTCAGTGTCACAGAGCCAATGCACGAAACCAAAAGTGAGTGTCAAGTAGTATAGGCTTCATTTGAAGACCATGGAATTGAGAAGTGGGAGCATGACTAACAAGTCAACTTCTCCACTAGTGTGGGGCTTAGGGGTTTAGAAAACAGGGTTTCTTTAATGAAGGGGTTGGACATTGAAAGCAAGGGGAGGAATATTCATGTCTTTTCTGGAAGTGGGCTGTGAACTTCCCAGAATGAGAAGGCTGCTTTCCATTTTGTTCTTTTATGGCTTATTCCATTCATTGTCATAGAAATTGTCACCTGTCATGGCACTAGTGGCAGTGTAATTTAGCATGGAAATGAGATTATCATGAAGCCTGAGGTCTTTTTGAAGTAATTCAGTTGGCTATCTTGGTTCTAACCAGTCTCAGCTGGTCCAGTTACAGAGGGAACTTTTTAACACAAGCATTCTCTTTCTTAAAGATAAGCAGAGTTAGGGCGGGGTAGAAATTCAGCTATGTCAAATAGACATTACACCGGGTAACATGACTATATAAGCGTTGAAATCAGATAGAGTGATTTTTCCACTTTATTCTTGTTTTTCAAAATGGTTTTATCTCTTCCAGTGTCTTTGCTTTTTCACATGCTATGGTCTGAATGTGTGATTCATATGTTAAAACCTAACGCCCAAGGTATTAATAGGCAAGTAAGGCCTTTGGGAGGTGATTAGGTAATGACGGCAGAGCCCTTATGAATGAGATTATTGCCCTAATAAAAGAGGCCCAAAGGATCTTATTTGCTCCTCCAGCATGTGGGGACACAGCAAGAAGGCACCATTTTTAAAGCAGAGAGCAAGGCCTCACCAGACACTGAATGTACTGGAGCCTTGAACTTAGACTCCCCACTTCCAAAACTGTGAGAAGTAAATTTCTGTTATTTATAAATTCCCCAGTCTAAAGTATTTTGTTACAGCAGTTTGAAAGAACTAAGACACCATATATATTTAGAACAGTCTTGTCTATAACTGAAAACAAACTTGCTGAGAATTGATAGAAATTTATTATACACATCAGTTTGGGAAAAGTAGGTATCTTTATTTTTCTGAGTCTTCCAATCCAATAACACAACATTTATCCACGTTTTTTCAGATCTTTTAAAATTTATTTTGTTAGTTGTCAATACTGTACATGTATTTCACATTTATACTTAAGTAATTTATTTTTGAATGCTTAATTGTACTGTATTTAAAATTTCAATGGCCACATATGTATCCATTTTGAGAATATAGAAATATGATTGACTTTTATATGTTTATTTTATATACTTTGCCCATGCTGAACTCATTTATTAGTTCTAAGAGATTTTTATAGATTCCTTAGAATTTTCTACTGAAATCATCAAGAGATGCACAAATAAAGATAGTTTTATTTCTTCATTTCCAATCTGTACTTTTAAATTTCATTTTCTTTCCTTATTGCTCTGGCTAGAATATTCAGTAATATGTCAAATAAGAGTGGTGAGAGTAGACATTCATGCTTTGTTCCCACCTTAAATAGAAAGCATTCAGTCTTTCACCGTTAAGTAAGTTTAGCTTTAGTTTTAATATGGATGCTCTTTATGAAGTGGAGAAAATTTCTTTCTATTTCTATTTTTTTCTGAGAGTTATTGCTTTCATCATGAATGAGTGTTAAATTTGGTCTAATGATTTTTCTGTATTGATTGATTGATATAATCATGAGATTTTTCTGTTTTAGACTGGTAATAAGATGGATTACACTGACTGTTTTTCAAATATTGAACTAAACTTAGATCCCTGTGATAAACTCCATTTGATCATGGTGTATAATCATTTTATGTATTGCTGAGTTTTACCACTAACATTTTGCAATTTATTTTTTTTTTTTGCAATTTGACAGAGAAAAGATATCTTCAACAAATGGTCTATATTCATAAGAAATATTGACCTGTAATTTTCTCATTTTGTATTGACTTTTTCTCATTTTGATATTAAGGTAATACTAGCTTCATAAAATTAATTCTCTCCTCTTCTTTTATATTTCCTGGAAAAGATTATATAAAATTGGCAATAATTCTTCTTTAAATGTTTAATAGAATTCTCCAGTGAAATCACATGGGCCTGGAAACTTGGATGGGGAATTTTAAATAAAGAATTTAATTTCCCTAGATATAGGGCTATTAAAATTATCTACTGTTGACCCTTAAAAAAACACTAGTTTGAACTGCATAGGTCCACTTACATGAGAATATTTTTCAAGCAAACACAGATTGAAAATGCAGTATTCATGGGATACAAAACCTCATACACAAAGGGACAGCTTTTTCTGTATGCATATTCCACAAAGCTTGAGCATGTATGGATTTTGGTATACACAAGGAATCCTGGAACCAATGCCTCATATATAGGGAGGGATGACTGTATTTCCAGTGAGTGCTGGAAATTTCTGTTGTTTTATGAATTGGTCTCATTGAAGTTGTTAAATTTATATGTGTAGAGTTGTTTGTAGCATTCTATTTTCCTTTTGATGTCTGCAGGGTCTGTAGTAATATCCTTTGATTTATTCCTATATTGCAATTGTGTCTTCTTTCTTTCTTTTGTTGGTCTTGTTGGTGGTTTGTCAAATTTATTCAGTTTTTTCAAAGAACCAGATCTTTGTTTAAGTGATATTTTGTTGTCAATTTCATTGATTCTTGCTTTTGTCTTTATTATGTGTGCTTCTGCTTCCTTTGGATTTATTGTCTCTTCTTTTCCTAGTTTCTTCAGATGAGAGCTTAAATTATTGATTTGAGATTTTTCCTTTTTTTCTAATGTTATTACTTAGTACTATAATATTCCTTTTAGCACTACTTAAGCTGTAGCTCACAAAATTTGATATATCATTTTCATTTTCTTATGTACTTTTGGTTTTTTTCTCTAATCACATAACAGATTATTCAATAATTTTTTTCTATTTCACTTGAGTCAAAACTTACTTGTTGACCCATGGGTTATTTAAAAGTGTGTTGTGTAATTTATAAGTATTTGGATATTTTCCTGTTATCTTTTCTGTTACTGATTTGCAGTGTGATTCCATTATGTCAGTGAAGATACTTTGTATCACCTCAATTTTTTAAATTTGTTGAGGAGATTTTTATGCCCTAGGATGTATTCTACTTTAGTATACGTTCTGTGAGCAGTTGAAGAGCATGTATTCAGGTGTTGGGTGGAGTGTTTCTTAAATGTTGATTAGATCTTGTTTGATGATGTTTTTGAATTCTCTATGTTTTCTGATTTTCTGTCTAGTCATTCTATCAATTTTGCAGAGATTAATGTTTAAATTTCCAACAATAATTGTGAAATTAAGTATTTCCTTTAGTTCTGTCAGTCTTTATTTCACATATTTTTCAGCTATGGTGTCTGCTACAGATGCATTAAGAATTGCTGTCTTCTTGGTGGATTGATACTTTATTTATTATATAATATCCCTTTCTGCTGTTGGTAATTTTCTTTGCTTTGAAGTTTACTTTTTCTGAAACATTCACTCCTGATTTTCTTTGATTAATTTTTATATATCTTTCTCATTATTTTACTTTCTACCTGCCTATATCTTTATATTTGATCCCAATTTTCTTGGACAGCAGAATTTGGTCATGTTTTCCAGTCCAACTTTCCAATCCATTTTCTAATTGATGCCATTTGTATTCATCCATTCTCATGTTGCTAATAAAGATGTACCCAAGACTGCCTGGGTAATTTATAAAGGAAAGAGGTTTAATTGACTCACAGTTCAACTTGGCTGGAAAGGCCTCAGGAAACTTACAATCATGGTGGAAGGGGAAGCAAACACATCCTTCTTCACATGGCAGTAGCAAGGAGAAATGCCGAGCAAAAGGGGCAAAAACCCCTTATAAAACCAGCAGATCTCATGAGAACTCACACAGTATCACAAGAACAGCATGGAGGTAACTGCCCCCATGATTCAATTACCTCCCACCAGGACCCTCCCCCACAACATGTTGGGATTATGGGTACAGCAATTCAAAATGAGATTTGGGTGGGTACACAGCCAAACCATGTAATTCTGCACCTGGCCACATGCAAATCTCATGTCATCACACTTCCAAACACAGTCATGCCCTTCCAACAGTCCCCCAAAGTTTTAACTCATTCTGGTATTAACTCAAAAGTCCAAGTCCCAAGTCTTATCTGAGACAAGGCAAGTCCCTTCCACCTATGAGCCTGTAAAATCAAAAGCAAGTTAGTTGCTTCCTAGATACAACGGGGGTACAGTCATTGGGTAAATAAACCCATTCCAAATGGGAGAAATTGACAAAAACAAAGGGGCTACAGGCCACAAGCAAACCCAAAATCCAGCAATGTAGGCATATCTTAAAGCTCCAAAATGATCTCCTGTGACTCCATGTCTCACATCCAGGTCACACTGATGCAAGAGGTAGCCTCCCATGGCCTTTGGCAGTACCACCCCTATGGCTTTGCAGGGTACAGCCCCCTTCCTGGCTTCTATTATGGGCTGGCCTTGAATGTCTGTGGCTTTTCCAGGTGCATGGTGCAAGCTGTTAGTGGATCTATCATTCTGGGGTCTGGAGGATGGTGGCCCTCTTCTCACAGCTCCACTAGACAGTGACCCAGTGGGGACACTGTGTTAGGGCTCCAACCCCACATTTCCCTTTGGCACTGCTCTAGCAGAGGTTCTCCATGAGGGCTCTGCCCCTGCAGCAAACTTCTTCCTGGACAGCCAGGCGTTTTCATACATCTTCTGAAATCTAGGCCAAGGTTCCCAAATCTCAATTCTTGACTCCTGCACACATGCAGGCCCAACACCACATGGAAGCTGCCAAGGCTAGGGGCTTTCACCCTCTGAAGCAACAGCCTGAGCTGTACACTGGCCCCTTTTACAGGCAGGTAATGAGTAATACTGACATCATGAAAAATGGGGTATCCATACCATCAAGCATTTACCCTTTGCCTTACAAACAATCCAATTATATAATTCTTGTTATTTTAGAATGTACAAATAAATTTGTATTGACTATATTCACCTTGTTGCACTACCAAATAGTAGGTCTTATTTGTGTAACCATTAGCCATCCCTGCCTCCCCTTCCAACCTGTCACTACCCTTACCCTTCCCAGCCTCTGGTAATCTTCCTTTAATCTCTATGTCCATGAGTTCAATTGTTTTGATTTTTAGATGCCAAAAATAAGTGAGAACATGTGATGTTTGCTAAACATTAATCACCAAGATGACAGGGAAAATGTCTCCAGGGCATGTCAGAGACCTTCATAGCAGCCCCTCCCATCACAGGCCTGGATGCCTAGGAGGGAAAAATGGTTTCCTGGGCCAAGTCCAAGGCCCCCCTACTGTGTGAAGCATTGGGCCTTGGTGCCCTGTGTCCCAGCTGCTCCAGCTATGGCTAAAAGGGGCAGGTAATGAGTAATACTCACATCATGAAAAATGGGGTATCCATACCATCAAGCATTTATCCTTTGTCTTACAAACAATCCAATTATACAATTCTTGTTATTTTAGAATGTACAAATAAATTAGTATTGACTATATTCACCTTGTTGTGCTACCAAACAGTAGGTCTTATTGTTCTTTATATATTTTTTTTAGCCATTAACCATTGCCACCTCCCCTTGCAACCCCTCACTCCCCTTACCCTTCCCAACCTCTGGTAATCTTCCTTCTACTCTCTGTCTCCATGAGTTCAATTGTTTTGATTTTTAGATGCCAAAAATAAGTGAGAACATGTGATGTTTGTCTTTCTGTGCCTGGCTTATTTCGCCTAACATAATGACCTCCAATTTCATTCATATTGTTGCAAATGACAAGATCTCACTGTTTTTATGGCTAAATAGTACTCCATTGTGTATAAGTACCACATTTTCTTTATCCATTCATCTGTTGATGGACACTTAAGTTGCTTTCAAATTTTGGCTATTGTGAACAGTGCTGCAACAAACATAGGAGTGCAGATATCTCTTTGATATACTGATTTCCTTTTCTTGGGGTATGTAACCAGAAGTGGGATTGCTGGGTCATAGGGTAGCTCTATGTTTAGTTTTTTGAGGAACCTCCAACCTGTTCTCCACAGTGGATGTACAAATTTACATTTCTAGTGAGAATGTATGAGGGTTCCCTTTTCTCAACATTCTTGCCAGCATTTGTTATTAACGGTCTTTTGGATACAAGCAATGATAACTGTGGTGAGATAATACCTCTTTGTAATTTTGATTTGCATTTATCTGAGGATCAATGATGTTGAGTATCTTTTCATATGCCTGTTTGCCATTTGCAAGTCTTCTTTTGAGAAATGCCTATTCAAATTATTTGCCCATTTTTAAAATCAAATTTTTAGATTTTTTCCCTATACAGTTGTTTGAACTCCTTATATATTCTCTAGTTATTGATTCCCTGCCAGATTAGTATTTTGCAAATATTTTCTCCCATTCTGTGGGTTGTCCCTTTACTTCATTGATAGTTTCCTTTGCTGTGCAGAAGCTTTTTAACTTGAAGTGATCCCATTTTTCAATTCTTGCTTTGGTTGCCTGTACTTGTGGCATATTGCTCAATAAATTTTTGCCCAAATCAATGTCCTGCCGAGTTTCCCTAAAGTTTTCTTGTAGTACCATAGTTTGTGGTCTTAGATTTATGTTTTTAATTCATTTTGATTTGCTTTTTTTATATGGTGATAGATGGAGTCTCATTTCATTCTTCTGCATATGGATATTCGGTTTCCCAGCACCATTTGTTGAAGAGACTGTCTTTTCCCCAGTTTATGTTCTTGGTTCCTGTGCTGAAAATGAGTTCACTGTAGCTGTGTGGATTTGTTCTTGGGTTCTCTATTGTGTTGCATTAGTCTATGTGTCTGTTTTTATGTCAGTACCATGCAGTTTTGTTTACTGTATCTCTGTAGTGTAATTTGAAGTCAGGCAATGCATTTCTTCCAGTTTTATTCTTTTTTGCTTAGGATGGCTTTGGCTATTCTTGGTCTTTGGAAGTTCCATGTAAATTTTAGGATTGTGTTTTCAATTTCTGAGAAGAATGTTGTTTGCATTTTGACAGAGATTGCATTGAATCTGCAGATTACTTTGGGTAGTATGAACATTTTAACAATATTAATTCTTCCAATCTATGAGCATGGGATATTTTTCTATTTTTTGCATCCTCTTCCATTTCTTGCATCAATGTTTTATAGATTCTGCCATAGAAATATTTCACTCTTTTGGTTAAGTTTATTCTTAGGTATTTTATTTCATATGCAGCTACTGTAAATGCCATTATTTTCTAAATTTCTTTTTCAGATTGTTCACTGCTCTCATATAGAAATGCTACTGATTTGTGTATGTTGATTTTGTATCCTACAACGTTACTGAATTTATCAGTCTTAATAATTTTTGGATGGAGTCTTCAGGTTTCTGAAAATATAAGACCATGTCATCTGCAAAGAAGTCTAATTTGACTTCTTACTTTCCAATTTGGATGTCCTTTGTTTCTTTCTCTTGTCTGATTGCTCTGTCTAGGAATTCCAGTACTATGTTGAATAACAGTGGTGAACATGGGTATTTTTGCCATGTTCCAAATCTTATAGAAAAGACTTTCAGATTTTACCCATTCAGTATGATACTTGCTGTGGATCTGTCATATATGACTTTACTATGTTGAAGTCCATTCCTTGTGTACCCAGTCATTTGATATTTTTATCTTGAAAGGATGTTAAATTTTATCAAATGCTTTTTCAGTATCAATTGAAATGATTACATGCTTTTTGTCCTTTATTCTGTTGGTATGATGTATCACACTGACTGATTTATATATTTCGAACCATCCCTGTATCCCAGGAATAAATTGCACTTGATCATGATAAATGATTTTTTAAAGTATTGTAGGATTTAATTGGCTAGTATTTTATTGAGGATTTTTGCATCAGTATTCATTGGAGATATTGGCCTGTAGTTTTTCTTTTTTTGATGTGTCTTTGTCTGTTTTTTTGTTTGTTTGTTTGTTTAATTTTATTATTATACTTTAAGTTTTAGGGTACATGTGCACAATGTGCAGGATAGGTACATATGTATACATGTGTCATGTTGATGTGCTGCACCCATTAACTCATCATTTAGCATTAGGTATATCTCCTAATGCTATCCCTCCCCCCTCCCCCATCCCATAACAGTCCCCAGAGTGTGATGCTCCCCTTCCTGTGTCCATGTGTTCTCATTGTTCAATTCCCACCTATGAGTGAGAATATGCGGTGTTTGGTTTTTTGTCCTTGTGATAGTTTACTGAGAATGATGATTTCCAATTTCATCCATGTCCCTAAAAAGGACATGAACTCATAATTTTTTATGGCTGCATAGTATTCCATGGTGTATATGTGCCATATTTTCTTAATCCAGTCTATCATTGTTGGACATTTGTGTTGGTTGCAAGTCTTTGCTATTGTGAATAGTGCCACAATAAATATACGTGTGCATGTGTCTTTATAGCAGCATGATTTATAGTCCTTTGGGTATATACCCAGTAATAGGATGGCTGGGTCAAACGGTATTTCTAGTTCTAGATCCCTGAGGAATCGCCACACTGACTTCCACAATGGTTGAACTAGTTTACAGTCCCACCAACAGTGTAAAATTGTTCCTATTTCTCCACATCCTCTCCAGCACCTGTTGTTTCCTGACTTTTTAATGATCGCCATTCTAACTGGTGTGAGATGGTATCTCATTGTGGTTTTGATTTGCATTTCTCTGATGGCCAGTGATGGTGAGCATTTTTTCATGTGTTTTTTGGCTGCATAAATGTCTTCTTTTGAGAAGTGTCTGCTCATGTCCTTTGCCCACTTTTTGATGAGGTTGTGTGTTTTTTTCTTGTAAATTTGTTTGAGTTCATTGTAGATTCTGGATATTAGCCCTTTGTCAGATGAGTAGGTTGCGAAAATTTTCTCCCATTTTGTAGGTTGCCTGTTCACTCTGATGGTAGTTTCTTTTGCTGTGCAGAAGCTCTTTAGTTTAACTAGATCCCATTTGTCAATTTTGGCTTTTGTTGCCATTGCTTTTGGTGTTTTAGACATGAAGTCCTTGCCCACACCTATGTTCTGAATGGTATTGCCTAGGTTTTCTTCTAGGGTTTTTATGGTTTTAGGTCTATCGTTTAAGGCTTTAATCAATCTTGAATTAATTTTTGTATAAGGTATAAGGAAGGGATCCAGTTTCAGCTTTCTACATATGCCTAGCCAGTTTTCCCAGCACCATTTATTAAATAGGGAATCCTTTCCCCATTGCTTGTTTTTCTCAGGTTTGTCAAAGATCAGATAGTTGTAGATATGCGGCGTTACTTCTGAGGGCTCTGTTCTGTTCCATTGATCTATATCTCTGTTTTGGTACCAGTACCACGCTGTTTTGGTTACTGCAGCCTTGTAGTATAGTTTGAAGTCAGGTAGCGTGAAGCCTCCAGCTTTGTTCTTTTGGCTTAGGATTGACTTGGTGATGCAGGCTCTTTTTTGATTCCATATGAACTTTAAAGTAGTTTTTTCCAATTCTGTGAAGAAAGTCATTGGTAGCTTGATGGGGATGGCATTGAATCTATAAATTACCTTGGGCAGCATGGCCATTTTCACGATATTGATTCTTCCTACCCATGAGCAGGGAATGTTCTTCCATTTGTTTGTATCCTCTTTTATTTCCTTGAGCAATGGTTTGTAGTTCTCCTTGAAGAGGTCCTTCAGGTCCCTTGTAAGTTAGATTCCTAGGTATTTTATTCTTTTTGAAGCAAAATACTAGCCTTGTAGTATGAGTCTGGAAGTATTCATCCCTCCTCTATTTTTCAGAATAGTTTGAGTAGGATTGGTATTAAGACTTTTTTAAAATGTTTGGCCGAATTCAGCAGTGAAGTCTTTAGGTCCTAGGCTTTTCTTTACTGGGAGACTTTTTATTTAGGCTTTGATCTAGTTATTTGTTATTGATCTGCTTAGGTTCTGGATTTCTTCATAGTTCAAGATTGGTAGCTTGTATATGTCTAGGAATTTGTCCATTTCTTCTAGATTTTTGAATTAATTGGCATATAGTTGCCTACAGTAGCCACTAATAATCTTTGATTTCTGCAGTATCCATTGTAATGTCTACTTTTCCATCTCTGATTTTATTTATTTTGGTCTTTTCTTTTTGTTCTTAGTCTGACTAAAGGTTTGCCAATTTTGTTTAACTTTTCAAAAAAACCAACTTTTTGTTTCATTGATCTTTTGTATTGTTTTCTTCATTTCAATTTATTTATTTCTGCTCTAATCTGTATTATTTTTTCTACTAATTTTGGGTTTGGTTTGCTCTTGCTGATTTAGTTCTTTAAGATGCATTGTTAATTGTTTATTGGAAGATTTCCTTCTTTCCTGGTGTAGACACTTATAGCCATAAACTTTCCTCTTAGTATTGCTTTTGCTGTATCCCATAGGTTTCAATATATTGTATTTGCATTATCATTTGTTTCAAGAAATTTTTCAATTTTCTTCTTAATTTTTTTATTAACCCACTGGTGATTCAGGAGCATATTTAATTTCTATGTATTTTTATAGTTTTTAAAATTCCTCTGGTTTGATTTCTAGTTTTATTCCATTGTGATCAGAGAGGATGCTTAATATTATCTCGATGTTTTGGAATGTTTTAAGACTTGTTTTGTGATGTAATATATGGTCTATCCTTGAGAATGATCCATGTGCTGAGGAAAAGAATGTGTATTTTGGCTGGGCAGGGTGGTTAACACCTGTAATCCCCGCACTTTGTGAGGCCAAGGCAACTTGCTTGAGCCCAGGAGTTTGAGACCAGCCTGGGCAACATGGTGAAACCCCATCTCTATTAAAAAATAAAAAAAAAAAAAGCTGGATGTTGTGGTGCACACCTGTAGTCCCAATTACTCAGGAAGCTGAGGTGGGGGCATCACTTGAACCCAGGAAGTCAAGGCTGCAGTAAGCCAAGATAACACCACTGCAATACAGCCTGAGCAATGGAAGTGAGACCCTATCTCAAAAAATAATAAGAAGAAGAAAGAAAAGAAAGAAAAAGGAATATGTATTTTGCAGCTGTTGGATGAAATGTTCTGTCAATATCTGTTAGGTCCATTTGGTCTATAGTGCAGATTGAGTCCAATATTTCCTTTTTGATTGTCTGTATGGATGATTTGTCCAATGCTGAAAGTGGGCTGTTTGCATTTCCAGCTATTATTGTATTGGGGCCTATCTCTTTCTTCAGCTCTAATATTCACTTTATATATTTGAGTGCTCCAATGCTGGGTGTACATATATTTAAATTCATTATTAATATATACTCTTACTGAATTGACCACTTTATCATTATATAGTGACCCTCTTTGTCTCTTCTCATAGTTTTGATTTTGAACTATATTTTATCTTATACAGGTATAGCTACTCCTGTGCTTTTTTGGTGTCCATTGGCATGGAACATCTTTTTCTATTCTTTTGTTTTCAGTCTGCATGTTTCTTCATAGGCTAAGTGTGTTTCTTGTATGTAGCAAATTATTGGGTCTTGGTTTTTTAATCCATTCCGCCACTTCAAGGCTTTTGATTAGAGATTTTAGTCCATTTACATTCAATGTTATTAATAAGTATGGGCTTACTCCCACCATTTTGTTATTTGTTTTCTGGTCGTTTGTTATCTTCTCCTTTTTGTTTCCTTTTTTCCTGCCTTCCTTTTAGGGAAGGTGATTTTCTCTTTTAGATTTTAATTTCCTGATCTTTATTTTTTATGCCTTCATTGAATGTTTTTTGATTCGAGGTTACCATGGGGCTTGAAAATTGTATCTTATAATCCATTGTTTTAAGCTGATAACAACTTAAAACTTTTCCATAAACAAACTAGCAAGCAGGAAGAAAACTAATAAAGACTCTACACCTTGTCTTCATCTCTCTTCTTCTCAACTTTTTGTTGTTTCTAATTTTTATCACATTGTACTATCTATGCCTTAAAAAGTTGTTGTACAGTTACATTGTTGTAATATTCTGTGTTTTTATGTATACTTACCCATGAGTTTTGTATCTTGAGGTGATTTCTCATTGCTCAAAAATGTCTTTTCCTTTCAGGTGGAAGAACTCCCTTTAGCATTTCTTGCATGGCAGGTCTGGTTTTGATGAAATCCCTGAGCTAATTATTTATTTATTTATTTGTCTGGGGAAGTTTTTATTTCTTTGTCATATTTGAAGTATATTTTCACAAGATATACTATTCTAGTGTAGAAGTTTTTTTCCTTCAGCATTTTAAATATGTCACCTCATTCTCTCCTGGCCTGTAAGGCTTCCACTGAAAAGTTTGCTGCCAGATGTATTGGTGCTCCATTGTATGTTATTTGTTTCTTTTCTCTTGCTGCTTTTAGGATCCTTTCTTTGTCCTTGATCTTTGTAAATTTGATTATTAAATGTATTGAGGTAGTCTTCTGATATGGTTTGGTGCTGTGTTTCCACCCAAATATCACCTTGAATTGTAATAATCCTCACGTGTCAAGGGCAGGACCAGGTGGAGATAACTAAATTATGGGGGTAGTTTCCCCCATGCTGTTTTTGTGATAGTGAGTGAATTTTTAAGTGATCTGATTTTTTTATTTCAAAGAATTTGTAATGTATGCATATGTAATAAAACAAGATATAAGCTTGTGACTCCAAAGCAATTTGATTGGTTCTCATGGATGCCTTACATATATCAAAGTCATTATTCTGGAGTTTGATTGTTCAATATATATTGTATCCCCATCTTCAAGGAACCCACAGTCCAGTAGAGAAAAGACAAGTAAATAGATAATTGTAATAAAGTGTGATGAAATACTGAAATATCAATACAAGCTGCTACAGTGCATGTAGGATGGTGTCATAATAGGTCACGGAAGTAGCAGGAGGGTAGTCAGGGAAAGATGAGTCCTGAAAGCAGAGTAGCGGTTATCCAAGGGAAGAAGGGCATTTCAGAAAGATAGCACAGCATGCACAACAGCACAAAGGGCCAAAGAGAATGTAATAACTTCTGACAATATTGTACAAACATAGGTTGAGTGTGGAGTGGAATGAAGAGAAAAGGTGGATGAAGTAGTCAGAGGATGGATCACAAAGGTTCTTTTTGACATTTTAAAAAGTATAGACATTATCCAGTAACTATGGATAGAATTATGACATTCCAAGGAGCATCACAATTATCCAGAATCTTTGAATTTTTTTTAAATTATTTTATTTAATTCAAGTTCTGGGATACATCTGCAAAACGTGCAGGTTTGTTACTTAGGTATCCATGTGCCATGGTGGTTTGCTGCACTTATCAACCTGTCATCTAGGTTTTAAGCCCTGCATGCATTAGGCATTTGTCCTAATGGTCTCCCTCCCCTTGTCCCCCAACCCCCGACAGGCTCTGGTGTGTGATGTTCCCCTCCCTGTGTCCATGTGTCCTCAGTGTTTAACTCCCACTTATGAGCAAGAACATGCGGTAACTGGTTTGTTGGCCACATAAATGTCTTCTTTTGAGAAGTGTCTGTTCATATCCTTCACCCACTTGTTGATGCGGTTGTCTGGTTTTTTTAAATGTACATTTGTTAAATTTCCTTGTAGATTCTGGATATTAGACCTTTGTCAGATGGGTAGATTGCAAAAATTTTCTCCCATTCTGTAGGTTGCCTGTTCACTCTGATGATAATTTCTTTTGCTGTGGAGAAGCTCTTTAGTTTACTTAGATCCCATTTGTCAATTTTGCCTTTTGTTGCAATTGTTTTTGGTGTTTTAGTCATTAAGTGTTTGCCAATGCCTATGTCCTGAATGGTATGGCCTAGGTTTTCTTCTAGTGTTTTTGGGTTTGGGGTTTTACATTTAAGTCTTTAATCCACCTCGAGTTAATTTTTGTATAAGGTGTAAGGAAGGGGTCCAGTTTCCATTTTCTGCATATGACTAGCCAGTTTTCCTAGCACCATTTATTAAATAAGGAATACTTTCACAATTGCTTGTTTTTGTCAGGTTTGTTGAAGACCAGATGGTTATAGATGTGTGGTGTTACTTCTGAGGTTGGTCTTCTGTTTCATTGGTCTATATATCTGTTTTGGTACCAGTACCATGCTGTTTTGGTTACTGTAGCCTTGTAATATAGCTTCAAGTCAGATAGTGTGATGCCTTCAGCTTTGTTCTATTGCTTAGGATTGTCTTGGCTATACGAGCTCTTTTTTCTCTTTATTGGTTCCACATGAAATTTAAAGTCATTTTTTCTAATTCTGTGAAGAAAATCAATGGTAGATTAATGAGAATAGCATTGAATCTATAAATTACTTTGGGCAGTGTGGCCACTTTCACAATACTGATTCTTCCTACCCATGAGCATGGAATTTTTTTTTCCATTTGTTTGTGTCCTCTCTTATTTCCTTGAGCAGTGGCTTATATTTTCTCTTGAAGAGGGTTTTCACCTCCCTTGTAAGTCGTATTCTCAGGTATTTTATTCTCTTTGTAACAATTGTGAATGGGAGTTCACTCATGATTTTGCTCTCTGCTTGTCTATTGTTTGTGTATAGAATTGCTTGTCATTTTTGCCCATTGATTTTGTATCCTGAGACTTTGCTGAAGTTGCTTATTAGCTTAAGGAGTTTTGGGGCTGAGACGATGGGGTTTTCTAAATATAAAATCATGTCATCTGCAAACAGGGACAATTTGACTTCCTGTCTTCCTATTTGAATACACTTTATTTCTTTCTCTGGCTTGATTGCCCTGGCAAGAACTTCCAATACTATGTTGAATAGGAGTGGTAAGAGAGGGCAACCTTTTCTTGTGCCAGTTTTCAAAGGGAATCCTTTCAGCTTTTGCCCATTCAGTATGATATTGGCTTATGGGTTTGTCAAAAATGGTTCTTATTATTTTGAGATATGTTCCATCAATACCTAGTTTATTGAGAGTTATTGAATGAAGAAATGTTGAATTTTATTGAAGGCCTTTTCTGCATCTATTGAGATAATCATGTGTTTTTTGTCATTGGTTCTGTTTCTGTGATGGATTATGTTTATTAATTTGCATATGTTGAACCAGCCTTGCATCCCAGGGATAAAGCCAACTTGATCGTGGTGGATAAGCTTTTTGATGTGCTGCTGGATTCAATTTACCAATATTTTATTCAGGATTTTCACATTGGTGTTTATAAGGGATATTGGCTTGAAATTTTCTTTTCTTGTTGTGTCTCTGCCAGGTTTTGGTATCAGGATGATGCTGGCCTCATGAATGAGTTAGGGAGGAGTCCCTTCTTTTCAATTGTTTGGAGTAGTTTCAGAAGGAATGGTACCAGCTTTTCTTTGGACCTCTGGTGGGATTCGGCTGTGAATCTGTCTGGTCCTGGACTTTTTTTTTTTTGGTTGGCAGGCTATTAATTACTGCCTTAATTTCAGAACTTGTTATTGGTCTATTTAGGGTTCGACTTCTTCCTGGTTTAGTCTTGGGAGGGTGTCTGTGTCCAGGAATTTCTCCATTTCTTCTAGATTTTCTAGCTTATTTGCATAGAGGTGTTTATAGTGTTCTCTGATGATAGTTGGTATTTCTGTGAGATCAGTGGTGATATCCCGCTTATCATTTTTTATTGTGTCTATTTGAGTCTTCTCTCTTTTCTTCTTTATTAGTTTAGCTAGTAGTCTATCTATTTTTTTCATCTTTTCAAGAAACCACCTTCTGGATTCATTGATTTTTTGAAGGGTTTTTCGTGTCTCTTTGTCCTTCAGTTCTGCTGTAATTTTAGTTATTTCTTGTCTTCTTTTGAGTTTGTTTGTTCTTGCTTCTCTAGTTCTTTTAATTGTGATGTTTGGGTGCTGACTTAAGATCTTTCCATCTTTCTGATGTGGGCATTTAGTGCTATAAATTTCCCTCTAAACACTGCCTTAGCTATGTCCCATAGATTCTGATACATTGTGTCTTTTCTCTCATTGGTTTCAAATAACTTATTTATTTCTGCTTTAATTTCGTTATTTACCCAAAAGTGTTTCTGGAGCAGATTGTTCAATTTCCATGTAGTTGTGTGGTTTTGAGTGAGTTTCTTAATCCTGAGTTCTATTTAGATTGCAATGTGGTCTGAGAGACTGTTTGTTTTGATTTCTGTTTTTTTTTTTTGTATTTGCTAATGAGTGTTTTCCTTCCAATTATGTGGTCGATTTTAGAATACGTGCCATGTGGTCCTGAGAAGAATTATATTCTGTTGATTTGGGCTGGAGAGTTCTGTAGATGTCTATTAGGTCTGCTTGGTCCAGGGCTGAGTTCAAGTCCTGAATATCCTTGTTAAATTTCTGTCTTGTTGATCTTCTATTATTGACAGTGGGGTGTTACAATCTCCTACTTTTATTTTGTGGGAGTCTATGTCTCTTTGTACATCTCTAAGAACTTGTTTCATGAATCTGGGTGCTCCTGTATTGAGTGCATATATATTTAGGATAGTTAGCTCTTCTTGTTGCATTGATTCCTTTACCATTATGTAACGACTTTCTTTGTCTTTTTTGATGTTTTTTATGGCTTAAAGTCTGTTTTATCAGAGACTAGGATTGCAATCCCTGCCATTTTTGCTTTCCATTTGTGTGGTAAATACTCCTCCATCCATTTGTCTTTATCCTGTGTGTGTCTTTGCACATGAGATGGGTCTCCCAAATATAGCACACAGATGGTTCTTGACTCTTTACTCAATTTGCTAGCGTGTGCTTCTAACTGGGACATTTAGCCAATTTACATTTAAGGTTAATATTGTTATGTGTCATTTTGATCCTGTCATCATGATGCTAGCTGGTTATTTTGCACAGAGTTGATGCAGTTTCTTCATAGTGTCATTGGTCTTTGTATTTTGGTGTGTTTTTGCAGTGGCTAGTACTGGTTTTTCCTTTCCATATTTAGTGCTTCCTTCAGGAGTTCTTGTAAGGCAGGCCTGTTGGTGACAAAATCTGTCAGCATTTGGTTGTCTGTAAAGGATTTTATTTCTCCTTTGCTTATGAAGCTTAGTTTGGCTGGATATGAAATTCTGGGTTGAAAATTTTTTTCTTTAAGAATGCTGCATATTGACCCCCATTCTCTTCTGGCTTGTAGGGTTTCTGCAGAGAGATCCGCTGTTAGTCTGATGGACTTCCCTTTGTAGGTAACCAGACCTTTCTCTCTGGCTGCCCTGAACTTTTTTCCTTCATTTCAACCTTGGAGAATCTGACAATTATGTGTTTTGGGGTTGCTCTTATCTAGGAGTATCTTACTGGTGTTCTCTGTACTTCCTGAATTTGAATGTCGATCTGACTTGCTAGGTTGAGGAAGTTCTCCTGGGTAATATATTGAAGTGTGTTTTCCAACTTGGTTCCATTCTCCCTGTCACTTTCAGGTACGCCAGGCAATCATATGTTTGGTCTTTTCACATCGTCCCATATTTCTTGTTGGCTTTGTTCATTCCTTTACATTCTTTTTTCTCTAATCTTGTCTTATTTCAGTAAGTTGATCTTCAATCTCTGATATCCTTTCTTCTGCTTGATCGATTCAGCTATTAATACTTGCGTATGCTTCACGAAGTTCTCATGCTGTGTTTTTCAGCTCCATCAGTTCATTTATGTTCCTCTCTAAGCTGGTTATTCTAGTTAGCAGTTCCTGTAACCTTTTATCAAGGTTCTTAGCTTCCTTGCATTAGGTTAGAATATGCTCCTTAAGGTCGGAGGAGATTATTACTCAGCTTCTGAAGCCTACTTCTGTCAATTCATCAATCTCATTCTCCACCCAGTTTTGTGCCCTTGCTGGAGAGAAGTTGCAATCATTTGGAGGAAAAGAGGTATTCTGGTTTTTGGAATTTTCAGCGTTTTTGCACTGGTTTTTCCTCATCTTTGTGGATTTATCTACCTTTGATCTTTGAGGCAGATGACCTTTGGATGGGGTTTTTGGATGGAAGTCCTTTATGTTGATGTTAATGTTATTGCTTTCTGTTTGTTAGTTTTTCTTTTAACAGTCAGGCCCCTCTTCTGCAGGTCTGCTACAATTTGCTGGAGGACCACACCAAACCATGTTCACCTGGGTATCACCGGTGGAGGCTGTAGAACAGCAAAGATTGCTGCCTGCTCCTTCCTCTGGAAGCTTCATCCCAGAGGGGCACCAGCCTGATGCTAGCCAGAGCTCTACTGTATGAAGGGTGAGGCACGGGGGTCAGGGACCCACTTGAGGAGGCAGTCTGCCCTTAACAGACCTTGAGCACTATGCTGGGAGAATCCCTCTGGACAGGATCAGCTGCTCTCTTCAGAGCTGACAGGCAGAAACAATAAAATGCACTAAAGCTGCTCCCATAGCTACCCCTTCCCCCAGGTGCTCTGTTTCAGGGAGATGGGGGTTTTGTCTGTGAGCCCCTGACTGGGGCTGTTACGTTTCCTTCAGAGATGCCCTGCTTAGTGAGGAGGAATCCAGAGAAGCAGTCTGGCCACAGCCGCTTTGCCACACTGTGCTGAATTTGCCCAGTCCACACCTCCCAGCCTCCTTAGCACTGCCAGAGGAAAGCCGCCTACTCAAGCCTCAGTAATGGTGGACGCCCCTCCCCTCACCAAGCTCCAGTGTCCCAGGTTGACTTCAGACTGCTGCGCTGGCAGCAAGAATTTCAAGCCAATGGATCTTAGCTTGCTGGGCTCCATGGGGATGGGATCCGCTGAGCTATACCACTTGGCTCCCTGGCTTCAGCCCCCTTTCCATGGGACTGAACGGTTCTGTCTCACTCGGGTTCCAGGTGCCACTGGGGTATGAAAAAAAAATCCTGCAGCTAGCTTGGTGTCTGTCCAAACAGCTGCCCAGTTTTGTGCTCAAAACCCAGGCCCCTGGTGGTGTAGGCACACGAGGAAATCTCCTGATCTGCAGTTGCAAAAACTGTGGGGAAAGTACAGTAACCCGGCTGGGTAGCACAGTCCCTCAGGGCTTCACTTGGCTGGGGGAGGAAGGTCCCCCAGCTTCTTGTACTTCTCTAGTGAAGCAGCACCCCACCCTGCTTCTGCTTGCCCTCTGTGGGTTGGACCCACTGCATAACCAGTCCCAATGAGATAAACTGGGTATCTCAGTTGGAAATGCAGAAATCACCCTCCTTCTCGGTTGGTCTCACTGGGAGCTGGAGAACAGAGCTGTTGCTATTCGGCCATCTTGGCCCCTCTCAGTATGATGGTTTTTTAAGGGGCTTCCCTCTTTGCTTGGCACTTATTCTCCCTCCTGCTGCCCTGTGAAGAGGTGCCTTCTGCCATCATTGTAAGTTTCCTGAGATTTCCCCAGTGATGTGAAACTGTGAGCCAATTAAACCTCTTTTCTTTATAAATTACCCAGTTATGGGTAGTTCTTCATAGCAGCATGAGAACGGAATAACACATCTTCTTTGGGTTAAATCTGCTTGGTGTTCTATAACCTTCCTTTATTTGGATATTGATATATCTCTCTAGGTTTGGGAAGTTATCTGTTATTACCCCTTTGAATAAACTTTCTATCCACATCTCTTTGTCTACCTTGTTTTTAAGGCCAGTAACTCTTAGATTTGCTTTTTTGAGACTATTTTTTCTTGATTCTATAAGCGTGCTTCACTGTATTTTATTCTTTATTCTTTCATCTCCTCTGACTGTGTATTGTCAAATAGCCTGTTTTAAAGCTCACTAATAATTTTTTTCTGCTTGATCAATTCTTCTATTAAAAGACTCTGATTCATTTTTTAGTATACCAGTTGCAGATTTCAGCTCCAGAATATCTGCTCGATTTTTAAAATTTAAAAAATTTTAAATAATTTTAAAAATTATTTCAATCTCTTTGTTAACTTTGTATGCTAGAATTCTGAATTCCTTCTCTGTGTTATCTTGAATTTCTTTGAGTTTCCTCAACACAGTTGTTTAAAATTCTGTCTGAAAGTTCACATATCTGTGTTTCTCCAGGACTGGTCCCTGCAGGCTCTTTTAGTTAATTTAGTGAGTTCATGTTTTCCTGGATGGTTGTGATACTTTAAAATGTTTGTCTGTGTCTGGGCATTGAATAATTATTTATTTATTGTATTCTTCTCAATCTGTGCTTGTTTGTATTCATCCTTCTTGGAAGACTTTCAAGATATTCAAAAGGACTTAGGTAATGTGATCTAAGCTGTATCTGCTTTAGGGTACACCCCAACCCCAGTAATGCTGTGGTTCTTGCAGACACATAGAGGTAACATCTCAATGATCTTTGACAATATCCAGGAGAATTATCTGGGTTACCAAGCAGAGACTCTTTTTTTCTTTCTCTACTTTCTCCCAAAGAAACAAAAGTCTCTCTATTCTGAGTCACTCCACCACCAGGTGACTATTCTGAGTCACCTGGTGGTGGAGTGACATAAGCATCCCTGTTGCCACCACCACTAGGACTGCACTGAGTCAGACCTGAAGCCAGCACAGCACTGGTCTCACCCAAGAGTTGCTGTAACCACTGCCTGGCTCCTGCCTATGTTCACTCAAGGCCCTAAGACTCTACGATCAGCAGGTGGCAAAGCCACCCAAGTGTATGTCCTTCCTTTCAGGGTGGTGAGTTCCCCCGAACTCTGGGTGGGTCCAGAGGTACCATCTGAGAGTCAGGGACTAGAGTCAAATACCATAGAAGTCTACTGGGTGTTCTATTGTACTGCAGCGGAGCTGCCACTCAAACCATGAGACACAGTCCTCTCCACTCTTTTCTCACCTTTTCAAAAGCAGAGGAGCCTCTCCCCATGGGCACTGCCCCCACAGGCCCATGAGAAGTACTGCCAGACTACTGCTGATGTTTCTTTAAGGCCCAAGGCTCCTCAGTCAGCTGTAGCAAATAGTGCCTGGCCTAAGACTTTACCCATTAGGGTGGTTGGCTCCCCTCTTGCTCAGGGCAGGTTCAAAAATACTATCGAAGAGTCAAGTCCCGGAATTGGAGAACCCAAGAGCCCACTGGGTTCTCCATCCCTCTGTGGCCGAGCTGGTATCTAAGGCACAAGACAAAGTCCCTTTTACATTTCCTTCCACTTTTCTCAAGCAGCACTCTTGCCCCATAGCCACCACAGCTGGGAATGTGCTGAGTCTTACGTTGAACCAGCATGTCTCAGTGTCTCAAACCACAAGACAAAGTCCTTGACATAGCACCTGGCCCAAGGCCCTTTGTCATAGTACCTGGGTATCACTGATGGTTATTTGGGGTCCAAGGGCTCTTTAAGTAACAGGTGATGAATCCTGCCAGGACTTGGTCCTTTCCTCCAAGGCACTGGGCTCCCTTCTGTCCAAGAGTGTATCTAGAAAGGTCGACCAGGAGCTAGGGCCAGGAAAGAGGCTTCACAACTCTAATCCATGCCCTATCCTGCTGTGGCTGAGCTTGTATCCAAAATGCAAGACAAAGTTCTCCCCACTTTTTCCTTTCCTCTCTTCAAACAGAAGGAAGAGGTCTCTTTTGAAGCCATGAGCTGTGAAGCCTGGTGTGATGTGAAGGGTGTTGCCTGTACTCCCTCAGCTGTCTCAGCTGGTGTCTCAGTAGGCCTCATGCTTTCTAGTCCACTGTCTCTGGGCCCAGTTCAGCACTAGGGCTCACCTAAAAATTTCAGTCCCTGTGCCCTAGACTGCCTTTCAAGTTTATTTTGGGCCCCAGAGCATTTTATCCCATGGTGGCAAGGCTTGTAAGAACTCAAGTTCCAACCGCTGTGCTCGGCCATTCCCCTCTGGCTATGGCTATTGTAAATGCTCCCTTGTGGCTGGATGTCAGCTGAGTTTGGTCTAATTTTACTTTTGGCCATAATAGGGCAGCACTGAGTTCAGTGTCTCACAATTGCTGTGCTCTACATCTACCCAGCACACAGTAACACTCTCTGCATCATGCTGCAGCTGCTGGAAGATGGGGGAGGGGTGGCATTGGTAATACAAGACTGTTTTCCTACCTCTTTAGTGCCTCTTTTAGCAATATAAAGTTAAAAGCAGGTACTGTGAGTGCTCAACCAATTTTTGATTCTTATGAAGGTGCTTTTTGTGTGTAGATAGTTGTTGAATTAGTGTACTTGTGGGGGAGGTCAAATTAGTGGAATCTTCTATTGCGCCATCTTGCTACACTCTCTCAGTACTCCATTTCTTAATAGCTGAGTAATATGCCATTGTATGGATACGGACATCGTTTTAATTCATTCATCACTTTATGAACGTGTGTTGTTTACACCTTTTGGTTATTGTGCATAATGGTGCTGTATAAATTTGTTTACAAATGTTTGAACATTTGTTTTTAGTTCTTTTGAGTATATATCTAGGAGTGGAACTGCTGGGTCATGTAGTATTTGTATGTTTAACTTTTTGAGAAATCACCAAATGGTTTTTCATAGTAGCTGCACCTTTTTACATTTTTACCAGCAATGTATGAGGGGTCCAATGTCCTACATAGTCATAAACACTAACATCTTCTCCTCCTCCTTCTCCTCCCCTCCCTCCTTCCCCTCTTCCTCTTCTTCTTTTTATTGCTGATGTTATTATTATTATTGTCATCTTAGTGTGGGTAAAGTGGTATCTCATTGTGCTTTTTTTTTGCATTTCTTTAATAACCAGTGATGCTGAGAAACCTCTTGTGTGCTTGTGGGCCATTTGTAAATCTTCTTTGGAGAAATGTCTATTCAAGTCTGTTGACATGTTTATATTGGGTTGTTTGTCATTCTGTTGTTGAGTTGTAAGTGTCTTTTATATAGTCTGGATACTAGATCCTTATCAAATACATGATTTGTAAATATTTTCTTCCATTGTATGGGCTGTCTTTTTATTCTCTTGGTTATATCATTTGATACACAAATGTTTGTTAATTTTGGTGAAGTCTAAGTTATCTGTATTTTAAATTGCTTGTGCTTTTAGTGTCATTCCTAAGAAACCATTGCCAAATCCAGGACCCAAGATTTACCCCTATGATTTCTTCTAACAGTTTGGTGTTTTTAGCTCTTATATTCAGGTCTTTTTTCTATGATGAATAAATTTTTGTATATAGTGTGAGGTAAGAGTCCATTTTCATCCTTTTGCCTATGGCCATCAATTTGTCTCAACATAATTTGTTGCAGAGACAATTCTTTCTTCATTGAATGATCTTGTCTCCCTTACTGAAGATCAATCAACCATACATTTGAGGGTTTATTTCTATAATCTCTATTTTATTCTATTAATATATATGTGTATATTTATGCCAGTAATACACTGTTTTGATTACTATAGCTTGTAATGAGTTTTGAAATGGGGAAGTGTGAGTTTTCCAATTTTCTTTTTCTCAAGGTTGTTTGGTTATTTGGGTCCCTGGAAATACCATTATGAATTTTGGTGTCAACCTTTCCATTTCTACAAAAAAAGTTGTTGAGATATTTATAGCTATTGCATTAAATTTGTAGGTTACTTTGGGGAGTATTACTGTCTTAACAATATTAAATCTTCTAATCTGTGAGCAAAGAATGACTTATTTATTTAGTTTATCCTTAATTTCCTTCAGCAATATTTTGTAATGTTTAATGTACAAACCTTCTGTCTCCTTAGTTAAATTTATTTCTATGCATTTTATTATTTTGATGCTATGGTAAGTTGAATTATTTTATTAATTTTCTTTTCAGATTGTTCATTTTTAGTGTATGAAAATATAACTAATTTTTATGTGTTGCTCTTGTACCATATAACTTCAATGCATTCCATTTGTGTTTTTTAAAAAAATCTGTTTAGTTGCTGACATCTTTTTTTTAATGTGTTGAGGCTTTCTATTTTGTCATTTGTTTCAAGCATGTCCATAAATACCTTTTGATGCATAATTTTATGAATCCCTTGTTACATTATTCTAATATCTTTCCTATCACACTGTTGACATCTATTCATTGTTATTTTCCATTCAGTTAGATATCTTCTTGATTCTTGTTGTCAGTGATTTTTGATTGAAATCTGGATTTGGGATATTATGTCATGAGACTCTGGTTCCTATTTAAACCTGCTTCTGCTGGACTCCTCTAATACTGCTCCAGCAGAGGAAACAGGAGTGCTACCTCATTAATTCCAGGTGGAAGTAGAAATCCAGTTTCCCTACTCAGCTTCCACTAATACCTGAGGTAGGGGGCGGTGCTCTTCATGACTGCTGAGTGAGGGTGGGAGATCCTGTTCCCCAATAGGCCTACGGTGATACCTCCCTGGATGGGAAGATTAGGTCCTCCTCACTACTGCTCCCAATATGGCCTCCACTGACACCACCATATTGTGCTCTCACTACAACTCTGTGGTGGGGAAATTCTTGACACTCTTCTAGGCCTTTTCTGACACCATCCCAATGCAGGGAGGGCATGGTGGCTTATTATTGCCAGACGCCAAGTAGAAGTCCAGGTTCCCCACATGGTCTCCACTGATACTGAGGTGGCAAGAGTCAGAAGTGAGAATCATACTACTTCCCAGAAGGGATGAAGTCTATGCTTGGTACTTCTCTGTAGTTGGCCTTCTCTGATAGCACCCCAGCAGGGAGTTTGGGGCAACTTATTATACTCTGGCTAGCATGGCCTTTGCTGGAGGGTGTGTGTGTGTGTGTGTGTGTGTGTGTATGTGTGTGTGTCCACAGTGTTTTCCATGGTGTTTGGCTGGAATATAGTGTTTATTAGTCTAAAAGTATTTCATCTGGCTAAGCTGCCCCTTTTCTGGTCCTTTGGCTAGAGGAAGCAGGATATTGCCGGGTTTTCTTTTTGTCTGGGTGCATTGGCATGTTGGGGTTTCTGGTTCTTTCAGCATGAAGCAGAAAGAAAACCTAAGGAACTCACCACCATGTTGTCTTTTGGATCCTGAGGTTTTAAGTCAGTCTGCCCTCTCCTCTCTTTTGTTCGTATTATATATAATGTTCATATATAAAGTTAGACTTGTGGAAGGAATAGAGGAAAGAACGTCTACTATACCTCACCAGAAACAGAAGTTCCTAAGAGGTTTTAGAACTGTGTAGACTATTTCTTAAGACTTTTTCGTTCTATTCTCACCACATATTTGTAATTGAAAAGCAAATAATATTCACATATTAGAGATGAAGAAATTGAGGCACTGAGGTGTTAGGATATTTCCCCCAAGTCATGTAGTGATTTCTAATTGAATATAAATAGAAAGCCCAGATTTTCTGACAAATAACTCACAGTATTTCTATTAGACCATCCTTTGTAATACAAATAAGCACCCAGTATTTTATGTGCAAGGAAAGGACTTTGTTGTAATAATAAAATGCATTCATGCTACAGCATGTTGTATCAACACTGAGAGTTCTTACAGAGCCGGAGGAACTTCAGCAGATAGGGAGCCACAATTTATAAGTTATAATCAGATAGGACATACCCCAGGTGGAGCAGCAGCTGTTTTAGGGACCCACATTGGCAGACACCAGGTAAGTGAGTTAATGTAAATTCTCTGGGATTCTCAGTCAGTTTACATTTTCCAAAGATGGCTCCTAGGAGAAGCACAAATCTTCAACCTCAGGTCAATTTAGAAATGTAACGTTATTGGGAAAGGTCTCAGCTTTTTAAAGAAACACTTGCTGCTTTTTAGAGCTAGTAGTTGCCAATCTGTGCTGGGTGACTTTACAAGGCAAAATAAAGGACCAATGGCAATTAGAGGCAGACATCTTGTATATGTCTTATAAAAGTCTTATACATGCCTTTACAAGTACACATGTTGAATAAGTCTTACACATCTTAGTATAAGACTTTTCTAACCACCAAAGTTATCCATTATAGAATGGGCTGCTTCATTATGTAGTGAGTCCTTTATCACTGGATAGCTTCAAGCTAAGGGATCCTGAAGAATTGATACTTACACTTGGTGGCCATTTGGCCTAGAGAAGTCCTGTTTTACTCTTGGGCAAAATCTACTTTGCAATACATTCCCTCTCTGTCTTAGGCTGCTCAGGCTGCCATAGCCACATACCATAGACTAGGTAGTTTAAACAACATAATTTTTTTTCTTGAGGCTAGAAGTCTGAGGTCAAGGTTCCACTTTGATTGGACTCTGGTGAGGGTTCTCTTCCTGACTTACAGGCAGCTTCCTTGATGTGTGCCACATGGCCTTTCTTCTATACACATTCATATATTGGGACAGGGAGATTTTTTTTCTTTTCTTATAAGGTTACCAATCCTATCAAATTAGGATCCCACCTTTATGACCTCATTTTATCTTACTTACTTTATACAAGCACTATCTACAAATACAGTAACACTAGGGTTTTGTACTTCAATATGTTAATTTGGTAAAAGGACATAATTCAGCCCAAAGCACTCTCCCTGTCCTTGCTCAAGCTGTTTTTGTATAAGAGTAATTAAATAGGACACAAGTTTAGGGAGCATGTTGCTTGGTTGTATTTGATTCATCTCTCAAACTGATTTGGTATAGTGCTTTTTCACATAATAGATTCCTACTATATGTTTGTTGAATGAATGAATAAATGAATAAGCACTTACACAGGTGGAATAAAATGTTTTAGCTCTAACAGAGAAATACCATCTGTCTCTTTCCAAGTTTCACCACTCACTGTATTGTGCCAACTCTTTGGCATGGATTTCAAAGTTCTTCATAACATAGTCCATACTTACTTTGCTTGCTTCATCTTCCACTGCTTCTGTCTCTCTCAGAACCTAGCCACCAAATTCCTTGCTCTCCCCTAAACACACTAAGCTCTTTGATAACTCCAAACTTCTGCATGTGCACAAGTCCCTTTGCCTAAAATGGTCTTTTATCTTTTTGACAAGGCAATTTCTTTAAGACCCATTTAACATGTCACAATTTTTATGAAGACCTTTCCTGATTCCTACCAAAAAACCCACTGGTTCATTTCTTTGTAATTCCACAGCATTTTCTTCATGCTTCTATGATAGCTCTTCTCTCATAGGCTTGTAGTTATTTTTTATATCTGTTTCCCTCACTAGACTAAATTCCTCAAAGGCAGGAACCCTTGTCTCATTACGATTTGTACTCCTAGCACCTAGGAAACAGTACATAGTGGGCATCCAGTAAATGTTGGAAACATATGTCTTTTGAGTTGCACAATCTGACATAATTTTGGCTACTCTTTTAAACTTGTAAGTGACGTTTAATTTATTTGAAATATTAGTAGTGACAAAATAAGAAATAGCAGAATTCAGCATATAAACTTGCATTTTATATATATATATACATACATATATAATTTGCATATATATATTGTTTACAAGAAATTTTGTGACATATGGATGCGGTTTGTTACTAAAAGGCTAAAAGGTTAGGGCTGGTACATTTGATGTCTCAAAAGTTAAATGGCAGTTAAATAGCCCTGGGGAATAGTGTGATTGTGCATACAAAAGCGTTTATACTGGTAATTTGTTCTTTCTGATTCAGCATGATTTTGACTTTGGCATGTAGCCTTGTAAATTAACAGAATTAATATGCATTATATCTAGAGAAAGGTAGTTAATTCCACTTTCCACTATACATATTAAATCTGTGCATTTTCTCTAGCTTGGCTCTATGCAGGCATATGTGACAAAGATCCGTACCTACTTTTCAGATATAGACACTTGACAAATTCAGTTATTGAAGATGTTTTTCATTAAATTTTAAATTTCTAATATCAGTCCTGTAATGGAGATGGGGAGATATAGAACATTAAGGGAGCAGAGATTAAAGGAAAATTGGCTTGGTTTCAGAAACACATAGAAAAAAAGGAGATTCAAACAAAAGTTGGAAGAAATTAGTTATCACTAGATCTTTATCTACAGAGATTTGTTCACATGGGCTAAGTGAAAAGTTGGAACAATATTTTGACCAATATCAGCTGAAACATAAGAGAGTTACCTTTCTAGTCTATGTTATCCAGATCAGGGCGTCTCAATGTGGTCCCTTTACCAGCAGCATCAGCACCACCTGAGAAATTATTAGAAATTGAGATTATCAGATCCTGTTAAAGACCCACTGAATCAGACTCTTGGAGTATGGCTCAACAATGGTTTTTTTTTAACACACCCTGTGGGTGATCCTGATATAAATTCAAGTTTGAGAACTACTGCTCTAGATTTTTGTGCTTTATGAATTCCCTGGATAATTACACATCTTTATTCCTTATTTTGTTCCTGTTTGGGGCTGATGATAAATTGTTTTCAGGTGTTAGCTATTATTAATATTGTTAAAATTGTCTCAGCTCCTTTTGTACTTGGGCTTTGTGCTTGGATTCCTAACTTAGAAGCCCCAGGGCTTTTTTTTTTTTTTCATCCTTGAATCTCTAATTTTATTCCCCAGCCTTATAATATAAGCTTTATCTTGCCAGTTGTAGAAATCCGTAAAGCACAAATTAAGATCAGATAATAGAAATCACATACACTTTTTTTGGGGGGTGTGCAGAATGTGTATGGGAGTGTACTTTGCCTAAAATCCTGTTATTCCATCTCTGGGTGGTTTCCTAAAGATACAATAAAACAAGTGTGGAGATAAATATCTATACAGCTTTTTATTGTAAACTTGTTTGCAATGTTGAAAAACTGAAAAGTTCAAATGTTCATCAATGAGAGTTGGTTATAAAAATTATGTTATATAGGCATGGGTAAAGATTTCATGACAAAGACACCAAAAGCAATTGCAATAAAAGCAAAAATTGACAAAGGGGATCTAATTAAACTAAAGAGCTTCTGCACAGCAAAAGAAACTATCAACAGAGTAAACAGATAATTTACAGAATGGGAGAAAATTTTTGCAAACTATGCATCTGACAAAGGTCTAATATACAGCATCTATAAGAAACTTAAACAAATTTACAAGAAAAATGAAAATAACCCCATTAAAAAGTGGATACAGGGCATGAATAGACATTTCTCAAAAGAAGACATACATGTAGCCAAAAATCATATGAAAAAAAGCTCAACATCACCAATCATTACAGAAATGCAGATCAAAACCACAAAAAGATACCATCTCACACCAGTCAGAATGGCTATTATTAGAAAGTCAAAAAATAACAGATGCTGGTGAGGTTGTGGAGAAAAAGGTATGCTTTTACACTGTTGATGGGAGTGTAAATTAATTTAACCATTGTGAAAAGCAGTGTGGTGATCCCTCAAAGACCTAGAGGCAGAAATACCATTTGACCTAGCAATCTGATTACTGTGTATATACCCAAAGAATATAAATCATTCTATTATAAAGACATATGCATGCATATATTCATTGCAGGACTATTTACAATAGAAAAGACATGGACTCAACCTAAATGCCTATCAATGATAGACTGGATAAAGAAAATGTGATACATGTACATCATGGAATACTATACAACCATAAAAAACAACAAGATTATGTCCTTTGCAGGGACAGGGGTGGAGCTGGAGGCCATTATCCTTAGCAAACTAATGCAGGAACAGAAAACCAAATACTGCATGTTCTCACTTATAAGTGGGAACTAAATTATGAGAACACATGGACACATAGAAGGAAACAACACACACTAGGTTTTATTGGAGGGTGGAAGGTGAGAGGAGGGAGAGGATCAGGAAAAATAGCTAATGGATACTAGGCTTAATACCTGGGTGATGAAATAATCTGTATAACAAACCCCCATTACATACTTTTACCTATGTAACAAACCTGCAAATCCTACATATGTACCCCTGAACTTAAAATAAAAGTTCCAAAAAGTAAAACATAAAAAAATTATGTTACATACCTATTATTGAATATTTTTGATACAGTTTGTCTCTGTGTTCCTACCCAAAGTTTATCTCAATTTGTAGTCCACACGAGTCAAGGAAGGGACCTCAGGGAAGTGACTGAATTGTGGGGGGTGGTTTCCCCTGTGCTGTTCTCATGATAGTGAGGGAGTTCTCATGACAGTTGATGGTTTTAAAAGTGGCAGTTTCTCCTGCATGCTCTCTCTCCTGTGAAGAAGGTGCCTGTTTCCCCTTCACCTTCCACCGTGATTATAAGTTTCCTGAGGTCTCGCCAGCCATGCAGAATTGTGAGTTAATTAAACCTCTTTTGTTGATGAATTACACAGTCTCAGGTAGTATCTTTATAGCAGTGTGAAAACAGACTGATACAGAGAATTGGTATCAGGAGTTTGGGGTACTGCTATAAAGATAAACTGAAAATGTGGAAGCCACTTTGGAACTTGTTAATGAGCAGAGGTTGAAACAGTTTGGAGGGCTCAGAAGAAGGCAGGAAGATGTGGAAAATTTTGGAAATTCCCAGAGACTTGTTGAATAGTTTTGACCAAGATGTTGTTAGTGATATGACAATAAGGTCCAGACTGAGGTGGTCTCAGATGGAGATGAGGAACTTGTTGGGAACTGGAGAAAAGGTGACTCTTGCTATGTTTTAGCAAAGAGACTGCAGCATTTTGCCCCTATCCTAGAGATCTGTGGAACTTTGAACTTTAGAGAGATGAGTCAGGGTATCTGGCAGAAGATATTTCTAAGTAGCAAAGCATTCAAGATGTGACCTGTCTTCCTGAAAGCATACAATTATATGCATTCATAAAGAGATGGTTTGAAACTTATGTTTAAAAGGGAAGCAGGACATAAAGGTTTGGAAAATTTGCAGCCTGACCATGTGGTAGAAAAGAAAAACCCATTTTCTTGGGAGAAATTCAAGCTGGCTGCAGAAATTTGCATAAGTAATGAGGACCTGAATGCTAATTTGGGGGAATTATCTTCAGGTCATGCCAGAGGTCTTCATGGCAGCCCCTCCTATCCAAGGCCCAGAGACCTAGGAGGGAAAAATGGTTTCATGGGCTGAGCCCAGGGCCCTGCTGCTCTGTGCAGCCTCAGGACATGGCAACCTGCGTGCCAGCTGGTCCAGCTCCAGCTGTGGCTAAAAGGGGCCAAGGTATAGCTTGAACTGTTGCTTCAGAGGGTGCAAGCCCCAAGCCTTGGCAGCTTCCACGTGGTGTTGGGCCTGCAGGTTCACAGAAGACAAGAGTTTGGGAGCCTCTTCCTAAATTTCAGAGGATATATGGAAATGCCTAGATGTCCAGGCAGTTAGTCTGTTGTGGGGTCATAGCCCTCATGGAGAACCTCTACTAGGGCAATGCAGAGGGGACATGTGGGGTAGGAGCCCCCACAGTCTCCACTGGGGCACTGTCTGGTGGAGCTGTGAGAAGAGGGCCACTGTCCTCCAGATCCCAGAATGGTAGGTACACCAAGAGCTTGCACCTTGCACCTGGAAAAGCCACGGGCACTCAATACCAGCCCGTGAAAGCAGCTGTGGGGGTTGCATCCTGCAGAACCACAGGGGCAGAGCTGCCCAAGGTCGTATGTGCCCACTCCTTACATCAGCTTGCCCTGGATGTGAGACATGGAGTCAAAGGAGGTTTTGGAGCTTTAAGATTTAATAACTGCCCTGCCAGGTTGTAGACTTGCATGGGGCCTGTGGCTCCTTTATTTTAGCTAATTTCTCCCACTTGGAATGGTTACATTTATCCAATACCTGTAACCCCATTGGATCTTGAAAGTAACTAACTTGCTTTTGATTTTATTGGCTCATGGGTGGAAAGGTCTTGCATTGTCTCAGATGAGACTTTGGACTTAGACTTTTGGGTTAATGCTGGAATGGGTTAAGACTTTGGGGGACTTTTGGGAAGGCATGATTGGTTTTGAAATGTGAAAAGGACATGAGATTTGGGAGGGACAAGGGGCAGAATGATATGGTTTGGCTCTGTGTCCCCACCCAAATCTCATCTCAAATTTTAATCCCCACATGTTGAGGGGGAGACCTGGTGGGAGGGGATTGGATCATGAGGGTTGTTCCCCCATGCTGATCTCATGATAGTGAGTGAGTTCTCATGAGATCTGATGGTTTTAAAAGTGGCAGTGTCCCCTGCCCATTCTCTGTCTCTCTTCCCACCTTGTGAAGAAGGTGTCTGCTTCCCCTTTGCTTCTGCCATGATTGTAAGTTTCCTGAGGCCTCCCCAGCCATGTGGATCTGTGAGTTAATTAAACCTCTTTTGTTTATGAATTATCCAGTCTCAGATAGTATCTTTATAGCAATGTGAAAATGGACTGATACAGTTTTATATATGTGGAAAAGATTAGTAGCTCAGTATGTACTAATGGCATGAAAAGATGCTCAAGATATGGTAAAATGAAACCACAAAATCACACTGTAGATCAGTATTGTTTACATGATGTCACCACTTGAGAGAAAAAACTACCATTTGAATTTTCAGCATAAACATGTTTTTTGTTTATAAAAAAAGATAAATGAGATCTATATTTATTTGCAACAAATCATTATCATAATATGTTTTTAACTTAAAAAAAGCACACTACATGATAGCATTGCATCTACTTTCTCATGGCAGCATGAAAAACAGAAAATATAAACAAAATGCCATGCAGCAAGAACTTTTGGGTGTGATGTCTATCTTGACAGTGGCCTGAGTTGCGTAGGTGCATGCATTTATTAAAAGCTCATTAAATGGTTAAATAATTAAATATATGCATTTTAATGTATGTAATTTTATCTAATTAAAGGGTCATAAGCAAACACTGGGCTCAAGTTAAAGATATGCTGCTGCTGGAAGTCATTTTTGTTGAAAAATGATTTAGGGGTATGTAGGGGTAAATTGTACTAATGTCAGCAATTTAGTTTGAAAGGTATCAAAAATTAAGGTGGACTGATATGTGATAAAGCAAAGAGAATGTTAACAGTTACAGAATCAAGGTAGCATGAATATAGAGATTCATTGTGCACTTCATTCAATTTTTCTGAATGAAAATTATCATAATAAAATTTTGAAAAGTATTATGCATAGTATGTTTTCATTGTAACTCAACTTTTTCTGATTCTCCATGATTTTGAGTTTGGCATATACTCTGTAAGTTAACAGAATTAATACAAAGTTACAATATAAAATATTTTGAATTCACATGGAAAGATATCCAATCTTCTCAATGAACAAAACAACTTACAAAAAGTCATATATATACTATGATCTCATTTGCGTATACCTATGTAACAAACCCACATGTTCTGCACATGTATCCTGGAACTTAAAGTAAAATAAAAATAAAATAATAAAAAAATAAAGCAAATATGTTTATATAGTCAAATTAAATAGCTGGAAGAACATACATGAAATTGTTAACACTGGTGATCCCTGGGGTTTTTGATAATATTGGAGGTTTTAATTTTCTCTTACAATACTCTTGTATATTCAGAAAAAAAACCATAATAGATATCACCATTAAAAATTTAATAAATTGGTTTTAATGATGACAGAAGGTATAATTTAGAGGGAAAATAGGAGCTTTCCAAATCTCTGCTTGTATACCTCTGGAAATCAGGAGCTACCTATTTCAAGAGACAGTCTGTTCCTTTGTTGGAATAAGCTCCAATTGTAAGAATGTTTTTGCTTATGGAAAACTGAAATCTGCTGGCCTCAATTTTTTTCTTACTAGAACAATACTAAACAAGATGACATTCTAATGCATAGTGATTTCAGTATAAAAGTAACTGAGGCAACTAACCTGCACAAGGTGTGGGTGATGGACATAGACAAGAAGGAGCAATAATGATGGTTGTAACAAGAGTTTTTGAAATGAAGACACAGTAACTGCTAAGAGATTTGACACAGGAGCTACCTAGAGTGAGAGGTGACAGTCATAGTATTCATTTGCAAGCTTTCTGGGGTCCTCAGTTGTTTTCAGCAGGCCTGGGTGCATTATCTTATAAGCGACACTGCCATTCTGGTGATTCTGCTTAGCAGGAACACTACTTGATGTTGCAAACCAGGACTGAAATAAATAGCTGTGCCACTAGAAATCCTCAGCAATCAGAAAACAATGAAGTTCTAATCAAACTACCAAGATGAAAATTGTCTTTAAGTATACAACTTTGTCTGAGATGTATGTTTGAGGAAAAATCTCATGAAGTTTGCAGATGATGCTGAATTACACAGGGGCTACTGCATATTCTCAAAAGCAGAATTCACTTCAAAAAGACCTTGACCAATTGGGGGAAATGCCCCTACAGACACATAATGAAACTTAAAAGGGAAAAATACAAATTGTTACTTTTAGAATGGACTGATGATTAGACACCTGTGTAGAAGGAAAAGACTGGCAAGGATGGAGAAAATAAAAACTTGGCATAATCTATAGCATAAAGCTATTGCAGGAAAAGTATCTAACCAAATATTGGGGTAAATTTAAGGTAAAAATATTCTGGGCGATGATCCTGTATATTGTAAAATTGTTAGATCTCTCTCTCTCTCCATGCCTCTCAAACCTCCTTACCCATTTGTTTATATAACACTGTGCCTTTTCTCAGAAATATAATTAGGCATCTTAGAATTACACATAAAATAAAATATAATGCCAATTAAAAATAGATGGCCAAAAAGAAACAAGTGTGAGAACATGAAAAGACTAGAATTGGGACTCAAATAATGCAAACTATAAAGACATATGTCCTTTCTGTTGGTGGAAAGTAGATTTAGCTTTAAGCTTTTTAGCTACCAATTTGAAAGAGAAGAAAGAAAGAAAGCAGGCAAGGTATACAGTTTAGAAGTTAATGGTGTTTATAGTAGGCCACTATTTTAATAAGGTGTAGACAAAGAGGAAATGTGATTAAAGAAATTGAAATATCAGTTTTACGAGGATAAGGTAAAGGAATTGAGGCTATTTAGTCCAAAGAAGAAAGAGCTAGGGGATGACTTGATGACTACATTCAAATGTTTCAGGGGACTTTATGTGAGAAATTAAAAGCAATTGTTTTCTGTGCCCAAGGAGAATAATAAAAATAAACAGACTTAATTTAATGAAGCGACATAAAATGTAGTGTCAATCTGGAAAAAATGCAATATATATCAGATAGGAATTTATATCCAGAATATTTAAAGAACTTCTACAAATTGATAACAATACAACAAACTACTTAATTGAAAAATGGCCAAGGAGGTGATCATGCAAATGACAGAAGAGGAAATAAAAATAGCCAATACAAACAAAAAGATGCTCAACTCCAATAGCAATCGGAAAATACAAATTGTATTATTTCCATTTTTTTCTCATCAGACTAAAAAATTTTTAAAGACATGATAATAAGTGTTGAGATGCTCAACTCCAATAGCAATCGGAAAATACAAATTGTATTATTTCCATTTTTTTCTCATCAGACTAAAAAATTTTTAAAGACATGATAATAAGTGTTGAGAAGAATATGAGTAGATACATATACACATAAACTGATAGTGGAAATGCCAATTGGTATAGCTACTTGGGAATATAATTTGATAGTGTCTATTAAAGTGGGAAATATTTATACCCTATGACACTTCGGTTTTATTTCTCATATTTAGATTCATTATTGTTATTCACTGTTATCCAGTTCTCCTCTCCTGGGCACACAGTAGGACTGTACTCAGTGATTCTTTATGGCTGGTCGGGGCTATGTGTCTAGTTTTGGTCAATGAGTTGTTGTTTCTGTGACAAGTGGGAAACTATGAAGAACTTTCTTTCATTCATGGATATTGTCAATGTTTAAAGTGGTATCTGCTCCAGCAGCCTGGGTGCCTAAGTGATTCCAATGAACAGAGCCCTCTAACAGTCCTTAATGGACATGTAGCTTGAGCAAGAAATATACCAGAAATATACCTTTTTTTAATCAATTGAGATAGAATTCCAAAGTTTATTGTTAAGTAAAAATACATGCAAATGATATACATAATACTATACCATTTGTGTAAAAAATGTAAACTGCAAAGTACTACTGTATATCTTCAATAGCTATACATAGATTTTCAATGCATACAAAAGAGTCAATAAGTATATATATATATCTCACAAAATATAGTGATTACTTTGAGGGGATGACTATTAGACAAGAGACAAGATTTGGGAATAATGTAAAATAGGATTTAGCCTAGTCTATTTTTTTTTACTTTTTAAAGAGAGAATATGTTAATTTTAAATAAAATTAATTTAAAATGGCAAAAGTATGTAAAGTAGGGAAGAAAGAACTCTTTGCTGTTAGAGTTTTAAAATATCAATGGAATATAAACTCAATGGAGGATAAATTGGCCTTATACATCCATATAAAAATACACATACCCTGTGATTTAGTATTCTAGTGGCCCCTGCATAGATAATGTGTGTACTAGGATGTTTATTACAGCACTGTTTTAATAGAAAAAGATTGAAAGAAACTTATAACCTTCATTAGAAAATTCATTAAATTAGTTGTTGTACATTTATACAATGGGATATTTGGTACCAGTTTTTTTAAAAAAGAGGCAGCTCTATATTACTGATATAGAAAGGTGTCCAAGACAAATTATTAAGTGAGATAAGCAATTTAGACAACATTGTATATAGTATGTTACTATTTATACAAAGGAAAGTTAAAAAAAGAATGCATCTGTAATTCTCTTCCTCAAACCAAGGAACACAAGAGCAGAACGGCAATCTCACTGGACATATTGTTAATTTTGTACAAGATAAGGAGGTGACAAAGGGCCTCAGCATGCCTATGAATTGGGAAACATAGCCAATCCCAACCAAGAAAGTGCAATATAATTTTTACTTCATCCTAGAACATTTGTAAGTACAATAATAGTAAAGGATTACTTTTGCAATTACATCTCTACAGGACTAAACAAACCTTGTCTGAGTAAGCAATGATTACAGGGGAATGAGGATGAAGTGTAAGCAATGGAGACAACTGGGCAGGGGTATGCAGGGAGATGAGGAGCCATCGAGGCTAGGGAGGAAAAGAATTTTAACAGCATGGGTCTTATGCTAGAGGAGACAATACAGGATAAGAATTTCTAAAAGCATGGTCTTGTGAATGTGTAATTGGTATGTGGGTAGTGTATCCTCTTGAGGCCGAACATTAGACCACTTCATATTCCATTTAAAACTGATGCTCACAAGCATCCAGTCCTACTCTGTTATTAGATCCAATTCTCTTCTGGCCTGGGATGCTCCCATATCATAGATCAGAAAGTGAATATGAAGTTAAACTGGGTGCAATGTAAAGTGAAATTATAACCTCTCTGTCAGTTTACATGCTAAGATGGACATTCACAGGTATTCAAAGTTACTATTGGTTGAATATAAGCAGTTTATTAGTAATATAAAAAAGGTTTCAAATAAGAGTGAAATAAAAATGAAAAGAAGCTGCGATGAGCTTCCATCTGCTCACTTTGTAGGTTTTGTTTGTTTCATTACCATTATTATGCTATGAGTCTCAATATGCGGATTCAGCCCTCAAGCCACTATTTTATCCTCCTCAGGTACTTTGTCCCACAATAAGATTACAGTGCTATCAGAATGAGGCCAGTAGGTATTTTGATTCGTTCAGTATCATGATGAAATCTACAAGACACATATTTTATCTTCAAGTTGGATCACAGACATTAGTTTTTCCTCAATATCTTTTTATGGCCTCAAATAGAAGTCTTTGCTAAAATAATTGAATTTAAACATTAAATACCAAAGTAGACAATTCACACAGAAAAGATTTACACAAAGTGTGATACTATACTTGGATCACCTGCATCAGGAACAACTGGAAGCTTGTTAAAACTGCAAATTTCTGGGCCCTAAACCAGCTCTATTAAATCAATCTCTGTGGAGGTGGGGCTCAGGAATCTGTATTTTAATAAGCTTCATCAGTTGTTTCTGGCACACACGTAGATTGATGAATCATCAGCCTTATATATGACAACTGTGGCAGCAGAGTTAGGCAGAATAAAGTAGCGAAAAAACATTTTTTTTTTCTAAAAGAAGTGGTAATTTAAAAACTGATTGATGTGTGGAGCAAGAGGTTAGATAAGTTGAACATTTCCCTAAGTTACCTCACCAAGGATGTAAAAAAAAGATCAAATTTCCTATTTATGCTAGGAAAATTTAGCCTGGAGGAAGCTGCAGAGGATAAATGTATGTTCATGCTGATGGTAACACCGATAGACATCTGCTAGATATCTTTCAGTAAAGTAAATTCATTAAAAGTACAACTAAATGTGATTGAATTTTTCAATCTTTGCAAGTCTTCATATTAATAATTCACAGATCAGAAAAAAAACAATCCTTTGTCAGGCCATGCATGTGTCTCCTGATTTTTGTTGCAGAAAATATGGTTGCCTTAGTTATACAGGACTGAACCCAGGGATTAAGTGCAGCACAGACAAGGAGATTTGTGTGTCATCCACAGAAATGATAATTGAATCCAGGAGACAGATGGTATTGACCCTGGTACAGTAAACCTACCATGTCCAGAATTGTGCAACTTGGTGGTTTTAGAATGTCAGTAGAAGCCAATGCTATGGGCAATCAGCATGTAGCTGCTAATCTCTCTTGATAGCACTTTTAGCTTGATTGATTTATTAATTCAGTCAAGGAAGAGGTACCTCCATATCTCTTGTTGACAGCTTTTAGAATAACTAACTTTTCTCTCTTTTTTTATAGTGAAAAGGTCTATAAGTCCCACTGATTTGGGGATCCCTAACCGTTCCTCCAAGAACAGACAGGGCTTCATTTGAGTAATAATAAAAAAATCCCAAATGGGAGTCATAAGGCCAGTGGAAAATGCTTTGATTCAGAAGTATGGGAACAGATAATACAGAAGAAGCCAAAGATATGAGATGCAAACCCAATGAAGACTGATATCCCTGAGGCCTAAACTGGGGAGTATGTTTAAGATTGTGTAATGACTCATGCTATCAACAGCAGCAGAGAAGTATATGTAATAAAGAAAAATTGTCCTTGATGTGGCACTGAGTTTTTCAGTGACCTTAACTAGCCAAGTTGAGGGTGGAACAATCCAAAGACTTTTAATAGTACCGTATTAACAACATACTCCAGAAATTTGGTGATGAAAAATAGAGAATGAAAGTTTATTGATGCCTACTATGTACCTGCCACTTTACATTTATCTCATTTCTACCTTACAATAAAGGTGAGGAAATGGGGGCTCAGAGAAGTTCTGTAACTTACACAAGGTTAAAATGGCTTATAGGCTGGGCGCGGTGGCTCACGCCTGTAATCCCAGCACTTTGGGAGGCCGAGGCGGGCGGATCACAAGGTCAGGAGATCGAGACCATGCTGTGAGTGGTGAAACCCCATCTCTACTAAAAATACAAGAAATTAGCTGGGTGTGGTGGCAGGCGCCTATAGTCCCAGCTACTTGGGAGGCTGAGGTGGGAGAATGGCATGAACCCGGGAGGCGGAGCTTGCAGTGAGCCGAGATTGCGCCACTGCACTCCAGCCTGGGTGACAGAGCAAGACTCTATCTCAAAATAAATAAATAAATAAATAAATAAATAAATAAATAAATAAATAAATGGCTTATAAGTGACATAATTGGGATTTGAACTTAGTTCTGCCTTATTCTAAAACCTGTGTGCATTCCACTAGAAGAGTCTGGCCACATAACATTTAACAGGATTTTATGACCCACTAGCCTTTTACCCTTTAGGTTCCTACTTTGGGCACAGGAGTAACATCAAGGTTGAGGTAGTAATTGTTGGGATTGGTTGGCCATAAGTTGGAGGAGAGGACAGAAGGCCTTTATTTGAATTAATTCATTTAAGCCTCACAGTAATCGTATGACGTAGGTACTGTTATCCATTTGGTAGCTGAGGAAAAACGAGGTACAGAACATTAAAGTAACTTATTCAAGGTCATCCAGCTAGTACATAGCTGGATTCAAACCACATTTGTTTGACTCTAAAGCGCCTATGTTTGCATTGTGTCATATTGCCTCAGAGAAATGAAAAATAGAAATTAGGTGTTTATCTGTCCATACTTACAGGTTGAAGAACCAGAAGAGAAGATAAGAATGAAAGGCAAGTTGTTTAATTTCAAATTAACATATCCCTCTTGTGGCCCTGAATTCACTCTTTCTCTCTGCCTGCCTAACTCTGGAGCTTTACTGTATTATTCAATAAAATGTCTCCCTCATCCCTCTTCTCCACGTTATTGGTCCTATTTCAAACCTCTTATTACTGTGGTCCTGTCTTTAAACATAACAATCCCATAGCATATTCTTACTACATCCCTAAAAACATCTCTGGTTCTTTATCATCTCTCTCTTTATTCCAGTTCATTATGTAGAACAACCTCAACTCCCTACCAAATCTTGGAACACAGTTCATCTTACCTCTCCATTTTATCTTACCAGGGTGGAATTCTGGCTCTTTCCTGAAAACACAGACTTCTCTACTGCTTCAACAAGGAGGCCTTTTCAAATATTTGGAGGTCCTTTCAAGTCAGTGGAAGTGAAGAGGAGGTGTGTCTGTGGCACACTCAGAACTTCACCACATAATGTAAACCATGAAGTATCAGAGCTAAATGGGAACCTTACTGATCACTAGTACAAAACCTTCCCCACCATGTTCTACAGACAACAAATGTGAGGCTCAGAGGGTTTTCCTTAAACTTCATATATCTCAAGATTTATTCATATGCTAATTATAACTATGATAGCTCAGACCCACTTCTCTCCTTTTATCACCTTCTTTGTGGATAACTAGCATATAGACGACTTTTTCCTCTTCACTTCTTCCCCAGCCATTTTCTCAGCAACATCTTTGTTGAGCCATGTATTAGTAAATATTTATTGTTGGTGACCTGTCAGATGCCAGAGACAGAGAAGTCATTGTTCCTCTAAATATTTGCCTTTGTGTTACATTTGCTACTCACCAACAATGATAGACCTTCATTCTATCCAGCTCTCTTTTAAACCACAATCTTCTTACAAGCTCTCTGATCTCACTGTGGCACTCAATTATCTGCTGTTATTCACTTCATTCAGATAACTGATGAACTTCATACTTTACTGGACTCCATCCCCAGCCTGACCATCATTACTCACTCCTATACCCATTATATTCTTGAGTTCTTGTAACTTTTACTTCTTGTCTAACTCACTAACTCCTGTCTCAAGGATCTTCTATAATTATCTCTACCTAATCCTTATCTCTACCAATCCCTTACCTGTTCAATTCTCCTTCTTATCCATGACCTCTCTCCACCTCACCTTCCATAGTAATATGTCTCTGCTTATGTGTCTGCTTTTGCCTGCTGACCACACCTTGACTTAGTCCTTCATCCTTGTATCGTCTGTTTGGTACTTGCCTGCTCACCATTAGACCATTGCTCCCAATTGGGAAGGTATGCCAACTATCATCCCAGAATCTCCCTCATAGTGAGTCTTGATAACCATCTAGATTACACTCTATGCCAGTTCAGCTACTTCTCAAGTCTTTTTTGATATTCTCTCCCACTACATGTCTGCTCCTTTCATGAGAAGAAAAAAAATGAAGTGAATAACATAGTTTGTTATAATATTGGCAGTTTAATGAAAGAAACTGATATTTGATAACAAAGATCCTAATTGCCATTCTTACTATTATTGCTTATGCTTATCATTTGGTTTATGTTCTGTGTAGTGTATAGAGAAGTGAGGAAAATGCTGCTAGTTATAAAATTTGTACTTATTTTGAGTTTGGTAGATCAACCCAGACTAAGGTGTATTTCGTTTGGAGACAGCGAGGTGATAGGCATGAACAGCAGTTAGTACAATCTGTAGGGAGGAACAACTAGTAAATTTATGATTTGAGGTCGAGGTTATACCTGTAGTGTGAAAAATAAACATTTGTTAACTAAAATTGTTATGCCTGGTTAGCAGTGACCAATATATAAAATTATTTGTGGAACTTCTTACCCATACCATGAAATACAAGACACATGGACTTCAAACATTGAAGTAAATTTGAAAAATGCTAGTGCTTAATCATAGGAACAAATGACTTTAATGAAGGCACATTCTCTTGCTAAAACCAGTCAAATGAATAGCCTTGGTTGTAAAAATTGAAGTGGGTTCTTATTTTTTAATTATGAATTGTCCTTCAGTAAAAGGTGGGATTATGATTTGCTATGGTGAAAGCTTCATTTCTTGTCATTTCTACTAGAGAAGGGAGGGCTATCTTCACTACCTCACCTCCACCTGAATGCTTCTGCCAAACAGAGCCAATTCTTTGTCATTTCCTGAATATACTCATTCATGTAGTTAGAGCTTGGGAGGGCTTCAGAACTCCCATAACCTCCATCAGCCCTCCAAAGCTATCACAAATAACTACCCAAGCTATGGAGTAGTGACATGTCTTCCATGAAAATGTGTTTTGTTTTTAGTTTTTTTGTTTTCTTTTTTACTTTACGAGAAGTCTCCTAAACATTGCTGCCATCCAGATTACCAACCTGAGTGACTCCTATATAAACTATCTGGACCTGCCATTGCTTTTAATAATGCTGGCCTCCATACTTGCAATGAATCCCTGATCCCAGTACTGACTGAGCAAATTCTGCTCTTCCTTCAATAACCACCGCAAATGTTGCTTTCTCTGAAAAGTCCTCTCTCATGCTGTACCCCAAATAGTGAATTTTTATTTTGTGATGTTATAATATTTTGCTAAAACAATGACATTTCTCGATTTACATTTTAACAATATTTTATATGAGTGTTCCCCATGTTAGACACTCAGCTTCCATATTCAAGATGATGTATTTGATATCCTAAGCTCCCAGTACAGTGACCTGACACAGGTAATTAATTAGCTAATACATGAATACATTATATTGTAAATTTTAAAATCAATAAGTGCAAAATTCTGATTATACCAGTTCAAAAATTGGGACAACCTAGATTGACCAGACTCAAGATTACCTTAGAAATTTATTTCTTCATATTTGCAAAATAATAGTAACTTTAATCAAGGACCCTAGGAAAATTTTAAGTTATTTTATATAAGAGAATTGATATACAGGAGGGAGGCAAAGCAAGATGGCTGAGTGTGTTGCGGGAAGTCACGGACCCCAAACAGAGAGACCGGCTGAAACCATGGCAGAAGAACGTGGATCGTGAAGATTTTATGGACATTTATTAGTTCCCCAAATTAATACTTTTGTAATTTCTTATGCCTGTCTTTACTGCAATCTCTAAACATAAATTGTAAAGATTTCATGGACACTTATCACTTCCCCAGTCAATATCCTTGTGATTTCCTATGCCTGTCTTTGCTTTAATCTCTTAATCCTGTCAGCTGAGAAGGATGTACATCGTCTCAGGACCCTGTAATAATTGTGTTAACTACACAAATTGTATAGCATGTGTGTTTGAGCAATATGAAATGTGGGCACCCTGAAAAAAGAACAAGATAACAGCAATTGTTCACAGAATACGAGAGATAACCTTAAGCTCTGACCGCAGGTGAGCCGGGCAGAACAGAGCCATATTTCTCTTCTTTCAAAAGCAAATGGGAGAAATATCGCTGAATTCTTTTTCTCAGTATGGAACATCCCTGAGAAAGAGAATGTGCACCTAGGGGTAGGTCTCTGAACTGGCCCCCCCAGGGCGTACCTGTCTCTTATGGTTGAGATTGCAGAGGTGAAATAAACTCCAGTCTCCCATAGCGCTCCCAGGCTTATTAGGAAGAGGAAATTCCCACCTAATAAACTTTGGTCAGACCGGTTGATCTCAAAACCCTGTCTCCTGATAAGATGTTATCAATGACAGTGGTGCCCGAAACTTCATTAGCAATTTTAATTTCGCTTAGGTCCTGTGGTCCTGCGATCTCGCTCTGCCTCCACTTGCCTTGTGATATTCTATTACCCTGTTAAGTACTTGATGTCTGTCACCCACACCTATTCGTATACTCCCTTCCCTTTTGAAACTCCCTAATAAAAACTTGCTGGTTTTTGTGGCTTGTGGGGCATCACGGATCCTACCAATGTGTGATGTCTCCCCCGGACGCCCAGCTTTAAAATTTCTCTCTTTTGTACTCTGTCCCTTTATTTCTCAAGCCAGCCGACGCTTAGGAAAATAGAAAAGAACCTACGTGATTATTGGGGAATTCTCCACCAATCATCCTCCTCACAGGAACACCAAATTTAACAACTATCTATGCAAAAAAAAAAAAAAAAGAAACCACCTTCCTAAGAACTAAAAATCAGGTGTGTGATCACAGTTCTTGGTTTTAACTTCATATCACTGAAAGGGGCATGGAAGAGGGTAGGAAAGACAGTCTTGAATGGCTGACACCACTCCTCCCTCATCTCCTGGCAATGGCTGCATAACAGAGAGAGAATCTGTGCACTTGAAGGAGAGAAAGTGCAGCAATTGTGGGGCTTTGGATTGGAACTCAGTTCTGCCAACACTGGGGAGAACTCAGCCAATGCCCATGGAGGGAGCATTTAGACCAGACCTAGCCAGAGAGGAATCATACCTCCCAGCAATGGGAACTTGAGTTTGGGCAAGCCCTGCCACACTGGGCTAAAGTGTTCTAGGGTGCTAAATGAACCTGAAAGGCAATCTAGGTCACAAGGACTGCAACTCCTAAGCAAGTCCTAGTTCTGTACTGGACTTGGAGCTAGTGGACTTGGGGGGGCACATGACCTAGTGAACACCAGCAGGGGTGGCTAAAGGAGTGTTTGCCTCACCCCTTCCCCAAACCCAAGCAGCACAGCTCACGGCTCCAAAAGAGACCCCTACCTTCTGCTTGAGGAGAGGAGAGGGAGGACTAAAGAGGATTCGTCTTGCAACTTGGATATCAGTTCAGCCACAGCAGAATAGGGCACTGGGCAGACTTGTGAGGCCCCTATTCCAGGCCATAGCTCCCAGATGACATTTCAAATTCTGGGCCAGAAGAGAACCCACTGCCTTGAAGGAAAAGACCCAGTCCTGGCAGGATTCATCACCTGCTGAGTAAAGAGCCCTTGGGCCCTGAATAGTCAGCAGTGGTAACTAGGTAGTACACACTGTGGGCCTTGGGTAAAACTCTAAGACATGCTGGCTTTAGGTGTGACCCAACATATTCACAGCTGTTGTGGCTACAAGGAGAGCCTGCTTCTGCTTGAGAAAATGAGAGGGAAAAGTAAAAGGGATTTTGTCTTGAAGTTTAAGTTCTGGCTCAACCACAGTGAGGTAAAGCATCAAGTGGGCTCTGGGGGTCCCCAATTCCAGGCCTTGGCTCTTGGACAGCATTTATGGACCTACCCTGAGCCAGAGGGAGCCAACTGCCCTGAAGGGTAAATAAAAAGCCTGATAGCATTCACCACAATCTGACTGAAGAGCCCTTGGGCCTTAAGTGAACATCAGTGTTACCCTGGCAGTATTCCCCATAAACCTGTAGTGGTCGTGGACATAGGGAGAGACTCCTCTGCATGAGGAAAGGGGAGGGAAGGGTGGGAAAAATTTTGTCTTGTATTTCTGGTTCCAGCTTAGCTGCAGTAGAATAGGGTACCAGGTAGATTTCTGACTCCAGGCCCCGACTCTGAGACAGCATCTCTGGATGTGCCCAGGGTCCAGGGGGCCTCACCACCATGAAGGGAAGTTCACAAGACTGACTGGCTTCACCACCTCCTGATTTTAGATTACTAGAGCCTTGAGCAAACATAGATGGTAGCCAGGTAGTGGTTACAGAGGGCCATGGGTAAGACTCAGTGTGTGCCAGCTTCAGGAATGACCTAGCACAGTTCCAGTGGTGAGGGCTAATCACCAGAAAGAATCAGTGAGTTTTAAGATAGAATATTTGAAAATATATAGTCAAGAGAGACAAAAGAAAAAAAGAATAAGAAAGAATGAAGATCAATCAATGAATGGATAAAGAAATTGTGATATACATATATGATGGAACACTACTCAGTCATAAAAGGAATGAATTAACAGCATTTGCAGCAACCTGGATGAGACTGGAGACTATTATTCTAAGTGAAGTAACCCAGGAATGGAAAACCAAACATCATATGTCCTCACTGATATGTGGGAGCTAAGCTATGAGGACACAAAGGCATAAGAATGATAGAATAGACTTTGGGGACTTGGGGGAAAGAGCATGAGCGGGGTGAGGGATAAAAGACTACACATATGGTGCAGTGTATACTGCTCAGGTGATGGATGCACCAAAATCTTATAAATCACCACTAAAGAACTTATGTAACCAAATACTACCTGTACCCCAATAACTTATGGAAACATTAAAAAACAAATAAAATGAAGAGGAAAGAAAGAAGCTTGCTACAAGATCTAGAAAACAGCCTCCAAAGGACAAATTTAAGTGTTATTGGCCTAAAAGAGGAGGTGGAAAGAGAGATAGGAGTAGAGAGTTTACCAGAGGGTTGATATCAGAGAACTCTCCAAACCTAGAGTAAGACATCAACATTCAAATACAAGAAAGTTATAGATCATAAAGCAGATTTAACCCAAAGAAAACTACCTCAATACATTGAATAATCATACTCTCAAAGTCCAAGGATGAATAAAATATCCTAAAATGGGTAAGAGAAAAAAACAAACAAATAACATACAATGGAGCTCCAATATGGCTGGCAGCAAACTTCTCAGTGGAAGGCTTACAGGCCAGGAGAGAGTGGTATGACATATTTAAAGTGCTGAAGGCAAAAAAAAACCATTGTATCCCAGACTAGTATATTTGGCAAAAATGTCCTTCAAACATGAATGAGAAACAGATTTTTCCAGTCAAACAAAAGCTGAGGAATTTCTTCAACACCAGATCTGTCCTACAAGAAATGCTGAAGGGAGTTCCTCAGTCTGAAAGAAAATAATGTTAATAAGCAATAAGAAATCATCTGCAGAAAACCAAACACCACATGTTCTCACTCATAAGTGGGAGCTGAACAATAAGAACACAAGGACACTGGGTGGGGAACAACACAAACCGGGCCCTGTTGTCAGGGTGGGAAGAGGAAGAGAATTAGGACAAATAGCTAATGCTTAATACCTAGGTGATGGGTTGATAGGTGCAGCAAACCACCATGGCACACGTTTACCTATGTAACAAACCTTCATGTTCTGCACATGAATCCTGGAACCTAAAATAAAATAAATTTTTTAAAAAAAGAAATTATCTGAAGGTACAAAATTCACTGGTAATAGTAAGTACACAGAATCACACAGAACGGTACAACACTAATTGTGGTGTGTAAACAACTCATATCTTAGGTAGAAACATGAAAAGATGATATCAAACAAATATGATAACTACAACAACTTTTTAAGACAGAGATAGTCTTTATACCATATTGTATGGTATAAATACATACAATATGGTATAAATAGAAACAACAAAACGTTTAAAAGTGGGGCAATGAAGTCAAAGTACAGAGGTTTTTAGTTTTCTTTTTGCTTGTTTGTTTATGTAATTAATGATACATTGTCACAGTTTAAAATAATGTCTTATAATACATAATTTGCAAGCCTCATGGAAATGTGGGGTTCATGTCCCCACACAGAGTCCCTACTGGGGCATTGCCTAGTGGAGCTGTGAGAAAAGGGCCACTTTCCCCCAGACCCCAGAATGGTAGATCCACTGACAGCTTGCACCATGCACCTGGAAAATCCACAGACACTCAATGTCAGCCCATGAAAGCAACCAGGAGGGAGGCTGTACCCTGCAAAGCCACAGGGGCGGCGCTGCCCAAGACCATGGGAACCCACCTCTTGCATTAGCGTGACCTGTATGTGAGACCTGGAGTCAAAGGAGATCATTTTGCAACTTTAAAATTTTACTGCCCTTCTGGATTTTGGACTTGCATGGGCCCTGTAGCCCCTTTGTTTTGGCCAATGTCTCCCATTTGGAACAGCTGTATTTACCCAATACCTGTACCCCCATTGTATCTAGGAAGTAACTAGCTTTCTTTTGATTTTACAGGCTCATAGGCAGAAGGGACTTGCCTTGTCTCAGATGAGACTTTGGACTGTGGACTTCTGGGTTAATACTGAAATGAGTTAAGACTTTGGGGGACTGTTAGGAAGGCATGATTGTTTTAAAATGTGAGGACATGAAATTTGGAGGGGCCAGGGATGGAATGATATGGTTTGTCTCTCTGTCCCCACCCAAATATCATCTTGAATTTTACCTCCCAGAATTCCCACATGTTGTGGGAGGGACCCAGGGGGAGATAATTGAATCGTGGGGTCCAGTCTTTCCCATGATATTCTCATGATAGTGAATAAGTCTCACAAGATCTGATGGGTTTATCAGGGGTTTCCACTTTTGTTTCTTCCTCATTTTTCTCTTGCCACCACCATGTAAGAAGTTCCTTTTGCCTCCTGCCATGATTCTGAGGCCTCCCCAGCCATGTGAAACTGTAAATCCAATTTAACCTCTTTTTGTTCCTACTTTCTGGTATGTGTTTATCAGTCGCATGAAAATGAACTAATACAGCATATAAACAAAAACCAGGAAAGAGCAGGATAGTAGCTAAATTTATATCAGATAAAGTAGATTTCAAGACAAAAACTAAAAGAAGAGACAAATAATATAGTTATAAATCCATCAATTTGGCATGAGGAAATAACAATTGTAAATATGCATGCATCCAACACTACAGCACCAAAATATATAAAGCCAGTATTATTAGAGCTAAAGAGAGAGACTCCAATACAATAATAGCTGGAGACCTTAGCACCACACTTTCAGCATTGGACTTTACATGTACAGTACATCTACATATACATATACATGTACAGTAGGTACATATAAAATAATATACCTAGGAATAAACTTAACCAAAGAAGTAAAATACCTCTACAATGGAACCTATATAACATTAATGCAAGAAATTGAATAGGACACACAAAAAAATGGAAAGATATTCCACGTTCATGAATTGGAAGAATCAATATTGTTAAAATGTTTGTACTACCCAAAGTAATCTATAGATTAAATGCACCCCTCCTCTAACAAAATGCAATGACATAAATGCTTTCAGACAGAAAATCAATGAAAAAACATCAAACTTAATCTGTACTATAGACCAAGTGGACCTAATAGATATTTATAGAACATTTTATCCAACAGCTCCAGAGTACACATTTTTCTCCTCAGCACATGGATTATTCTCAAAGATAGATCATAGGTTAGGCCACAAAAAGAGTATGAAAACATTCAAAAATTGAAATATCAGCCATCTCTGACCACAATGAAATAAAACTAGAAATCAACAACAGGAGGAATTTTGGAAACTATAGAAACACATGGAAACTATATAATATACTCTTGCATTGGGTCAATAAAGAGATTAAGAAAGAAATTGAGAAGTTTCTTGAAACTTTCAAACTCATTCTATGAGATCAGTATTACCCTGACACCAAAACCAGACAAAGTTGCATCAAAAAAGCACAAATATAGGCCAGTATCTGATAAACATTCAGGAAAAATTCTCAACAAAGTGCTAGTAATCCAAATTCAACACCACATTAAAATATTCATTTGTCATGACCAAGTGGGCTTCATCCCACGGATGCAAGGATGATTCAACATATGCAAATCAATCAATGTGATACATCATAACAGAATGAAAGACAAAAACCATACGATCATTTCAAATTGATGCTGGAAAAACATTTGATAAAATCCAATATCTCTTCATGATAGAAACCTTCAAAAATCTGGGTACAAAAGGAACATACCTCAAGATAATAAAAGCCATATGTGACAGGCACACAGCTGGTATCACACTGAGTGGGAAAAAGACTGAAAATCTTCCCTTTAATATCTGGAACATGACAAAGATGCCCTCTTGCACCACTGTTATTCAACATAGTACTGGAATTCCTAGCTAGAGCAATGGGACAGGACAAAGAAATAACAGGCATCCAAATTAGAATGCAAAAAGTCAAATTATCCCTGTTGCAAGATTATATCTTGATATAATCTTATATCAAGAAAAACCTAAAGAATACACAAAAAAACTATTAGAACTGATAAACAAATTCATTATAGTTGCAGGATACAAAATCAACATACATAAATCAGTAGTACTTCTATATGCCAACAGTGAACAATCTGAAAAAGAAATTAAGAAAATAATCCCATTTACAGTAGGTACATATAAAATAATATACCTAGGAATAAACTTAACCAAAGAAGTAAAATCCCTCTACAATGGAATCTATAAAACATGAATGCAAGAAATTGAATAGAACAACCCCCCAAAAATGGAAAGATACTCCATGTTCATGAATTGGAAAAATCAATATTGTTAAAATGTTTGTAATACCCAAAGAAATCTAGATTTAATGCACCCCTCCTCTATCAAAATGCAATGATATTGTTCATAGAAACAGATAAAACAATCCTAAAATTTGTATGGAACCTAAAAAAAAACAAAATAGCCATAGCTATACTGAGCAAAAAAGAATAAATATGGAGGAATCACATTACCTGACTTTAAATTACACTACAGGGGTATAGTAAACAAAGCAGCATAGAATTGGCATAAAAGGAGACACATAGACCAATGAAACAGAATAGAGAACCTAGGAACAATCCATACATCTACAGTGAATTCATTTACAACAAAGGTGCCAAGAACATACATCAGGGAACTAACAGCCTCTTCATTAAATGATGCTGGGAAAACTAGATATCCATGTGCAGAGGAATGAAACTAGACCCTTGTCTTTTACCATATACAAAAATCAAATTAAAATGGATTAATGACTTAAATCTATAACCTCAAACTACGGAACTGCTAAAAGAAATATTTGGAGAAACTCTCCAGGACATTGCACTGGGCAAATATTTCTTGACTGATACCCCACAGGCCCAGGAAAACAGAGCAAAAATAGAAAAATGGAATCAAATGAAGTAAAAAAGCTTCTGCACAGCAAAGGAAAAAATCAACCAACTGAAGAGACAACCCACAGAATGGGAGAAAATATTTGCAAACTACTCATCTGACAAGGGATTAATAATCAGAATACATAAGGAGCTCAAACATCTCTATAGGAAAAAAATCTAGTTATACGATTTAACAATAAAATGGACAAAAAGTCCGAATAGATATTTCTCAAGATTTACAAAGCCAAATACGTATATGAAAAGATGCTCCACATCATAGATCATCAGAGAAATGCAAATAAAAATGACAATGAGATATCTTCTTACCCCAGTTAAAATGGCTTGTTTTGTTTTGTTTTTGAGATGGATTCTCACTCTGTTGCCCAGGCTGGAGTGCAGTGGCACGATCTTGGCTCACTGCAACATCTGCCTCCCAGGTTCAAGTGATTCTCCTGCCATAGCCCTCTGAGTAGCTGGAATTACAGGCGTGCGCCACCCCACTCAGCTAATTTTTTATATTTTTGTTAGGGACGGGGTTTCACCATGTTGGCCAGGTTGGTCTCGAACTTCTGACCTCAAGTGATCCACCTGCCTTGGCCTCCCAAAGTTCTGGGATTACAGGCATGAGACACCACACCCGGACTAAAATGGCTTTTGTCCAAAAGATAGGCAATAACAAATAATGGCGATAATGTGAAGGAAACAGAACACTTAGGCACTGTTGGTGGGAATGTAAATTAATACGACCACTATGGAGAAAAGTTTAGAGGTTCCTCAAAAAACTGAAAATAGAGTTACTATATGATACAGAAATCTCACTGCTAGGTATCCACCCAAAAGAAAGAAAATTAGTATATCATAGAGATATTTCCACTCCCATATTTATTTTATTTCATTTTTAAACTTTTATTTTAGGTTTGAGGACATATGTGAAGGTTTGTTACATAGGTAAACACATGTCACAGGGGTTTGTTGTACAAATTATTTTATGACCCAGGTATTAAGCCCACTATCCAATAGTTATCTTTTCTGCTCCTCTCCTGCCTCCCACTCTCCCCCATAAAGTAGACCCTGGTGTCTGTTTTTTCCTTCTTTGTGCTCATAAATTCTTATCGTTTAGCTCCCCCTTATAAGTGAGAACATGTGGTATTCAATTTTCTGTTTCTGAAAGTTTGCTAAGGATAATACCCTCCAGCTCCATCCATGTTCCTGAAAAAGACATGATTCCATTCTTTTTTATGGCTGCTTAGTATTCCATGATGTACATGTAACACATTTTCTTTATCCAACCTGCCACTGATGCACTCCCATGTTTATTGCAGCATTATTCACATAAGCGTTCATCAACAGACGAATGGACAAACTGTGGTACTTATACACAATGAAATACTCTTCAGCCATAATAAAGAATAAGATCCTGTCATTCGCAACAATGTGGTTAGAAATGGAGATCATTATGTCAAGTGAAATACACCAGGCACAGAAAGACAAACTTCATATATTCTGGTTTATCTGTGGGAACTAAAAATTAAAACAATTGAATTCCTGAAGATAGAGTAGAAGGATGGCTACCAGAGGCTGGGAATAGTGCGGTTGGGGAGAAGTGGGGATGGTAAATGTGTAAAACAAATAATTAGAAATAATTAATAAGATTAGTATTTAATAGCAAAACAGGTTGGCTGTAGTCAACAACAATTTAATTGTACATTTAAAAATAACTAAAAGGTACAGTTGGATTGTTTGTAAGACAAAGGAAAAATGCTTGAGATGATGAATACTCCATTTGCCCTTATGTGATTATGACACACTGTATTCCTGTATCAAAATACCCCATATTCCCATAACTATATACACTTCCTATGTACAAAAAAGTGCAAAACAAAACATTTTAAAAATGGGATAAAAATAATAAAATATTGGATATACTAAATGTACTAATTAACAATTATTCCTCTTTTTTTTTTTTTTTTTGGAAGACAGGGTCTCTCTCTGTCACCCAGGCTGGAGTGCAGTGGCACAATCATGGCTCAATACAGCCTTCACCTTGTGGGCTCAAGCAATGCTCCTACCTCAGCCTCTCAAGTAGCTGGGACTACCGGCATGTGCCACCATGCAAGAGTAGTTTTTTAATTTTTTGTAGAGACCGGGTCTCATTATGTTGCCCAGGCTGGTCTCAAACTCCTAGGCTCGAGCAATCCTCCTGCCTCGGCCTCCCAAAGTGCTGAGATTACAGGCCTGAGGCACTGCACCTGGCCTATTCTTATTCATTTTTAATTTTTTAAATATGTACAACATTTATTTGAAAACGAAGAAAACATTACGTTAAATACTGAAAGTCAAGGGAAGCTCCACCAATGAGGACATGGTTGAGCTAAGTCATTATCAGCACTACAGCTTCAACTGGAGAAAAAATAAAACAAAATTTTTATTAGTCTCAAAGGTAATGCATTTAGCCCAAATATATTTTTTAAATTTTTTTATTTCAGTAGTTTTTGGGGTACATGTGGTTTTTGGTTACATAAATAGTTCTTTAGTAGTGATTTCTGAGATTTTAGTGTACCTATCACCCAAGCCGTGTATACTGTACCCAGTATGCCGTCTTTCACGCCTTACCCCACTCCCAACCTTCCCCACAAAGTCCCCCAAATCCATTATGTCATTCTTATGCCTTTGCCTTTACATAGTTTAGTTCCCACTTGTAAGTGAGAACATACAATACTTGGTTTTCCATTCCAGAGTTACTTCACTTAGAATAATGGCTAACAGCTCCTTCCAAGTTGCTGCAAAAGACATTATTTCATTCTTTTTTATGGCTGAGTAGTATTCCATGGCATATGTATATACCACATATGCTTTATCCACTCATTGGTTGATGGACACTTAGGTTGTTTCTATATTTTTTCAATTGCTAATTGTGCTTCTATAAACATACACGTGCATGTATCTTTTTCATATAATGACTTCTTTTCCTTAGGGTAGATACCCAGTGGTGAGATTGCTGGATTGAATTGGAGCTCTACTTTTAGTTATTGAAGGAACCTCCATACTGTTTTCCATAGCAGTTGTACTAATTTACATTCCCACCAGCAGTATCAAAGTGTTCCATTTTCACCACATCCATGCCAACATCTATTGTTTTTTGAGTTTTTAATTATGGCCATTCTTGCAGGAGTAAGGTGGTATCTCATTGTGATTTTAATTTGCATTTCCCTGATAATTAGTGATGTTGAGCATTTTTCATGTGTGTTGGCTGTTTGTATAAGGATAGTCTATTTGTGTGCTTTGCCTACTTTTTGATGGGGTTATTTGTTTTTTTTTTTTCTTGCTAATTTGAGTTCCTTGTAGATTCGGTATATTAGCCTATTGTTGGATGCATAGCTTGTGAATAGTTTCTCCCACTCTGTGGGTTGTCTGTTTACTCTGCTGATTATTTCTTTTGCTGTGCAGAAGCTTTCTAGTTTACTTAGGTCCCATTTATTTATTTTTGTTCTTGTATTTGCTTTTGGGTTCTTAGTCATGAATTCTTTGCCTAAGCCAACGTCTAGAAGAGTTTTTTTGATGTCATCTTCTATAATTTTTATGGCTTCAGGTCTTAGATATAAGTTGATCCATCTTGAGCTGATTTTTGTATAAAGTGAGAAGTGAGGATTTATTTCTTTATTCTACATGTGGCTTGTCAATTTTCTAAGCAGATTAAATTAAGGACTACTTTTAGCATATGGTTTTTTGTTAGCCAACATTCTTGTCAGTAAAGACACATAGTGGGGAATAAACTCAAGGTGGGAAAAGAGTGTCTAATTGAATTTGGACCACAGCTCATCCAGCAGGGAGATAGTCCTAGAACAAATTACGTGTAGGAAAAAATATCTAATGAAATCCCTTTCTTTAGTTTAAGCTGCAATATCTTTAAAGCCTCCAGAACAAATATATTATTTTCTTTTTCACACACACACACACACACACACACACACACACACACACACATTTCTCTTCATCCAAATCTTTTCTCAGGAAAGTATTTGAAAGAATTTGAGAGCATTTCTTTTTCTATGGCTCCACATCTTCAAATTTAATTTTAATAGATATCAAAACCTTGAAGTACAAAATAAAGTTTTGGGTGTGTTTTCAACCAGATGAAAAGGAAACAACTGGGTCCGAGGGAGAAGAAAGCTTATTTAGATCTGTGAAATCACTCCATTGTAACTGTTGTCTTCCAACACAACTCTGACTTTTACCAGCTTACTGTAGGCTAAAGGCAGAGACATCAGGATATCAGATTCACCTTTTTGTGATGGTATACACTTTTTCCTACTCTGACAAAAATTCAGTTGAAGTTATAAATCTTATTCTTCATTATGAAGTTGGTAAATATGTCCTCCTGGAGACAAAGAAAACCTTTCTTTTTTTCTACCTTAAATGAATACTGAGTGAGCATCTGAAAGCATTTTTTTTTTTCCAGAAGTAGGTCTTTTGAGTACCTTAGTCTTTTGCCTTAGCTAACCTCGGCTAACCTTAAAATTTCAGTGTAAATTTTGTTACTAAATAGAAGTTGCTGCACTTTTAATGTGTGTGGCATCTTTCCACCAGTACTGTAGTTTAATCTTATTATAAATAGGTTTAATTGGTGACCAGTTTAACAATTGTGTAATATCTCTGGGAACAGCGAATGGAGTAGAGGGCCAGAAACTGATTTTGGTTACAGTTGACATCAAGATTGTACTTCCTCTGAGAGGAGTCCAAGTATTAATATGCAGTCAAATTGTATGGTGGGAGAGGTCTGAGGAGAGAGGAATCCAAATAGTATCTGGTATTTATGGAACACTAACAAAATCAAGGTAATGAGATTCCTCTCTAGGCTTTAATGTCTTAACGTGGTTCACTGATGTCCATATCTGTAAAATGGGCAGAATTTCCTGTCCCTACCTATCCGAAGAGGCTGGCTAAGAATACATGAGGTATTTGTGGTGTCTTTTAAAATAGGCTCTATTTATATTTAATAAGTTACTGTCATTGTAAAGGTAAGCCATAGAATAAGAGTTATTTGCAATTCATATATCTGAAAGAGGATAGGTAAAGGATTCATAAAGAATACCACAGTCATAAAAAATAATGCAATAGTATTCTTTGCAGAAACATGGATACAGCTGGAGGCCATTATCCTAAGTGAATTAATGCAGAAACAGAAAATCAAATATTGCATGTTCTCATTTATAAGTGGGAACTAACAATAGTACCTATGAACATTAAGATGGAAATGATACTGGGGAATCCAAAACAGGGTGGGTGAGGAAAGGCGGATAGGATTGAAAAACTACCTATTGGGTACTAGGTTAAATATTCGGGTGATTGGATTCAACAGAAGCTTGATTCCCAGGATTATGCAATATACTCACATAACAAACCTGCTCATGTACCCCCCGAATCTAAATTTTAAAAAAGAATATATGAAGAACATCCACAAATCAATTTTTAAAATATGGCATACCCAATTGAAAAATGGATAAAAGATTTAAATAGGCATTTCTAAAAAGAAGATATTTTAAAAGTCAATAAATATACAAAAGATGCTCAACCTCACTAGTCATTATTGAAATGCAAATTAAAACCACAATGAGATACTACCATATATTGACCCAGAATTGCTAAAATGAGAAAGACAGCAAATATCAGAAACAATTGGAACTCAGATAGAGGTAGTGGGAGTATAAATTCAGACAATTATTCTGGAAAATTATCTCACAATATTGTCTAAAAGCTGAACATATGCATATCCTACAACCCAGCAATTTCACTCCTATATACTCACACAAAATAAATGATGTAACATGATTGACACAAGACATGTACAAGAATGCTCATAGCAGTAGTATTCATAACAGTTAAACACTGGATTCAAATACCCATCAACAATATGGATAAATACATTCTAGTAAGCCAAAAAGAACACACAAAAGAGTACCTACAGTATGATTTCATTATGTGAGGTGCAAACGTAGGCAACAGTAATACATGATGTTATGAGTCAGGATGCTAGTTACCCTTTGTAAGGTATTGACTAGAAGACTTGAGGGGGCTTCTGGGATGCTAGTTTTGTTCTGTTTTTCCATCTGGGTGCTGTTACGTGGAGACACTCAATTTGTGAAAAGTAACTGGGCTGAAAACGTAAATTTTTACTTTTTTGCATATGTTATGTTTCAATACATTTTAAAAGAGAATAACTGACATTTTTAGGGGGGATATCCACCACTTCAAGTATTTATCATTTCTTTGTGTTAAAAACACTCTAATCCACTTTTACTTATTTTTTTTTTTTTTTTTTTTTTGAGACGGAGTCTCGCTCTGTCGCCCAGGCTGGAGTGCAGTGGCGCAATCTCGGCTCACTGCAAGCTCCGCCTCCCGGGTTCACGCCATTCTCCTGCCTCAGCCTCCCAAGTAGCTGGGACTACAGGCGCCCGCCACTACGCCCGGCTAATTTTTTGTATTTTTAGTAGAGACGGGGTTTCACCGTTTTAGCCGGGATGGTCTCGATCTCCTGACCTCGTGATCCGCCCGCCTCGGCCTCCCAAAGTGCTGGGATTACAGGCGTGAGCCACCGCGCCCGGCCTTACTTATTTTTATAAAATAAATTATTATTGACTGTAGTCACTGTTTTACTATCAAATACTACACTTCATTCATTCTATCTAACTGTGTGTTGGCACCTATTAACCATTCCCAATTCACCCCACACCCACTACACTTCCCAGCCTCTGGTAACCATCCATCTACTCTCTATCTCCATGAGTTCAATCGTTTTAATTTTTAGCTCCCACATATGACTGAGAACATACAAAATTTGTCTTTCTGTTCCTAGCTTATTTCATTTAACATAACATCTTCCAGTTCCATCCACACTGTTACAAATGACAAAATTTTATTTTTTATGGCTGAATAATATTCCATTGTGTACATGTTCAACATTTTCTTTATCCATTAATGGACACTTAGGTTGATTCCAAATCTTGACTTTTGTGAATATTGGTGCAATAAATATGTGAGTGCAGATATCTCTTTGGTATACTGATTTCCTTCCTTTTGGGTACATACTCAGCATTGGGATTGGTGGAGCATATGGTAGCTCCTTTATTTTAAAAAAGCTTATTTATTTATTTAATTGTGTGTGTACGCTGTAGGTGTATATATTTATGAGGTACATGAGGTGTTTTGATACAGGCATGCAATATGAAGTAAGCACATCATGAGGAACGAGGTGTTTTAGTTTTTAGAGGAACCTCCATATTGTTCTCCATAGTGGTTGTACTGGTTTATATTCCCAACAAAAGTGTACATGTGTTTCCCTTTCTCCACAGCCTCGCCAGCATTTGTTATTGCCTGTCTTTTGGATATAAGCCGTTTTAACTGGGATGAGATGATATCTCATTGTAGTTCTGATTTGCATTTCTCTGATGATTAGTAATATTTAGCATCTTTTCATATACCTGTTGGCCATTTGTATGTCTTCTTTTGAGAAATGTCTATTCTTTGCCTACTTTTTGATGGGATTATTTGGGCTTGTTTTCTTGTTGAGTTGTTTGAGCTTTGTATGTGTTCTGATTATTAATCCCTTGTCAGATGGGTAATTTGTAAATATTTTCTCCCAATCTGTGGTTATCTCTTCACTTTGTTGATCGTTTTCTTTGCTGTGAAGAATCTTTTTAACTTGATGTGATTCCATTTGTCCATTTTTGCTTTGGTTGCCTGTGCTTGTGGGCTATCAGTCAAGAAATCTTTGCCCCATCCAATTCTGCAGAGTTTCTCTAAGTTTTCTTTTAGTAATGATATAGTCTGACTGTGTCCCCCTACAAATCTCATCTTGAACTGTAGCTCTCATAATCCCCATGTGTCTTTGGAGGGACCCGATGGGAGGTCATTGAATCATGGAGGCAGGTTTGTCCTGTGCTGTTCTCATGATAGTGAATAAGTCTCACTCATGATAGTGAATAAGTCTCAGGAGAGCTGATGATTTTATAAGGGGCAGTTCCCCTGCACAGGCTTTCTTGCCTGCTGTCATGTAAGATGCTCCTTTGCTCCTCCTTTGCCTTCCACCATGATTGTGAGGCTTCCCCAGCCATGCGGAACAGTGAGTCCAATAAACCTCTTTTGCTTTATAAATTACTGTCTCAGGTATGTCTTCATTAGCAGCATGAAAATGAATGAATACAAGTAGTTTCATAGTTTGAGGTCTTAGATTTAAGTTTGAAATCCATTTTCTTTTGGTTTTTGTATATGGTGAGAGATAGTAGTCTAGTTTCATTCTTCTGCATATGGATATCCAGTTTTCCCAGCACCATTTACTGAAGAGACCGTCCTTTTCCTAGTGTATATTCTTGGCACCTTTGTGAAAAATGAGGTCACTGTAGATTTATGGATTCATTTCTGGGCTCTTATTCTGTATCACTATTCTGTGTGTCTGTTTTTATGGCAGTTCTATGTTGGTTTGTTTACTATAGCTCTGTAGCATAATTTGAAGTCTGGTAATGTGATTTCTCCCATTTTGTTCTTTGTGCTCAGGATGACTTTGGCTATTCTGGGTCTTGGGTGTTCCATCTAAATTTTAGCATTATATTTTCTATTTATGTGAAAAATATTGCTGGTATTTTGATAATGATTTCATTGAATCTGTAGATTGCGTTGGGTAGTATAGACATTTTAATAATATTAATTTCTCCTGTCCATGAACATAAAATATTTTTTTAATTTTTTTGTCCTCTTCAATTTCTTGCATCAAATTTTATGGATCTCATTGTAGTGATCTTTCACTTCTTTAGTTAAGTTTATTCTTCAGTATTTTATTTTATTTGTAGCTAGTGTAAAAGGGATTACTTTTTATTTCTTTTTCAGACTGCTCACTGTCGGCATGTATAAATGGTGCTGATTTTTGTATGTTGATTTTGTATCATGCAACTACTTTACTGAACATATTTATCAGTTTTCTAATAGATTTTTGTTGGATTCTTTAGGTTTTTCTAGATATAAGGTTGTAGTATCTGCAAACAAGGAAAATTTGAATTTTTCCATTCCAATTTGGATGCTCTTTATTTTTATTTCCTGTCTAATTGCTCTAGCTAGGACTTCCACTACTGTATTAAATAACAATGATGAAAGTAGGCATTCTGCCTTGATCCAGATCTTAGAGGAAAGGCTTTCAGTTTTTCACCATTTAATACTAGTTGTGGATCTGTCATATAAGGCTTTTATTATGTTCAGGTATGTTCCTTCTATACCCAGTTTGTTGAGAGTTCTTATCATGAAGGAATGTTGAATTTTATTGAATACATTTTCAGCATCAATTAAAATATTTATATCGGTTTTGTCCTCTGTTCTATTGATATGATGTACAACATTGATTATTTTGCATATGTTGAATCATTCTTGCATCCTTGGGATAATTCTCATTTGGTCATGATGAATGACCTTTTTGTTGTGTTGTTGAATTTGGTTTCTAATGTTTTGCTGAGGATTTTTGGCAACTATTTTCATTAGAGATATTGACCTACAGTGTTTTTTTTTGTTGTGTCCATATCTGGTTTTGCTATCAGAGTAATAGTGGCCTCATAGAATGAGTCTGAGAGTAATAGTGGCTTCATAGAATGAGTTTGGAAATATTCCCTCCACCTCAAATTTTTGGAATACTTCAAGTGGGATTAGTATTAGTTCTTTAAACGTTTGGTAGAATTTAGCAGTGAAGTCATTGGGTCCTGGGTTTTCTTTGCTGAGAGAGTTTTTATTAAGAGTTTGATCTCATTACTTGTTATTAGTCTATTCAAGTTTTTCTTCATAGCTAAATGTTGATAGGTTTTATGTGTCTAGGAATTTATTCATATTTTCTTGATTTTCCAATTTATTGGCATACAGTTGTTCATAGTAGTCTCTAACAATCCTTCAAATTTCTGTTGTATCAGTTATAATGTCTCCTTTTTCATCTCTGCTTGTATTTATTTGGGTCTTCTCTCTTCTTAGTTTGGCTAAAAGTTTGTTGATGTTATCTTTTAAAAAGAACCAACTTTATGTTTTGTTGATCTTTTGTATTATTTTTGTTTAAATTTCATTTATTTCTGGTCTGGTCTTCATTATTTCTCCTACTAATTCAGGGTTTGGTTTGTATTCTTTTCTAGTTCTTTAAGTTGTATTGTTAAGTTGTTTATTTGAAGTTTTTCTACCTTTGATGTAGGCCCTTATTGCTGTAAACTTTTCTCTTAGTATCACCTCTGTAATATATAATAAATTTTGCTATGTTGTGTTTTCACTGTCATTTGTTTTAAGAAATTTAAATTTTTTATTTTAATTACTTTATTGATCCACTGGTTGTTCCAGACCATATTGTTTAATTTCCATGTATTCATATAGTTTTCAAAGTTCCTCTAGTTGTATTCCATTGTGGTCATAGAAGATTCTTGACATAATTTTTCTTAAATTTTTAAGACTGTTTTGGTGTCCTAACATGGTCCATTTTTGAGAATGATTGTTGTACTGAGGAGAAAAATGCAGGTGTTGGATAAAATATTCTGTAAATACCTATTGGGTCAATTTGTTCTATGGTATTGATTAAATCTGATGTTTCTTTGTTGATTTTCTGTGCAGGCTGTTATTGTATTGGAGTCTCTCTCTCTCTTTATCTCTAATCATATTTGCTTTATATATCTGTGTGCTCCAATGTTGAGTGCATATATATTTACAATTGTTATTTCTTCTTGCTGAATTGACTCTTTACCATTATATAATGACTTTCATTGTCTCTTTTTCCAGTTTCTGTCTTCAAATATATTTTATCTGATGTAAGTATGACTATTCCTGCTCTTTTTTGGTTTCCATTTGCATGGACTATCTTTTTCCATCCCTTTATTTTCATTCTGTGTGTGTTTTTATAGATGAAGTGAGTTTCTTGTAGCAACATATAGTTGGATCCTTTTAAAAAATTTATTCAGCCATTCTATGTCTTTTGATGGGAGAGTTTAGTTCTTTTATATTCACTGTTGTTATGATAGGTAAGGACTTCCTACTTCCATTTTTTAATTTGTTTTCTGGTGGATTGTGGTTCCTTCCTTCCTTCCTTCCTTCCCTGCTTCCCTCCCTCCCTCCCTTCCTCCCTTCCTTCCTTCCTTCCCTCCTTCCTTCTTTCCTTCCTTTGTGTAAAAATAACTTGCTATGGTAATATGCTTTACTTTCTTCCTTTATATTTTTTTTGTTTCTGTGTTTTAGGATTTTTTATTTGAAGTTACCATGAAGCTTGCAAATAACCTCTTATAATCAAGTATTTTGAACTGATAAGAATTAAACTCTGGTTACAAAAACAACAACAAACAAGCATAAAGAAAGCTAAGAAAGTGTCTGTGCTTTAACAAATAAAAACTGCATTTTAACTCCCATCCTGCTTTTTAACTTTTTGTTATTTTTATAAAAACCTTTTTATGTTTACACACCACAATTATGTTTTTGTCCAGAAATTAAAGATTTATTCATTAAAATTAAAAACTCACCTTATTGATACAATATCAGAAAATATTAAAGCACTTCACATATATTGACTCTTTTAATTCTCAGAAAACCCCATGAAATATTTAGTTATATTATCCTAATAATCATAATGAGGAAACCAAAATACAAGTCATTTTGCCCAAGGTGACACAGCTCGTAGGTGCTGAGTTCTGATTTGATCTGTAGCATGCCAATTCTAGAGCCTGTGCTCTTATGTTTATGTTTTTTTACATGAACTGGGAGACAGATTTGAGAAAATTACACCAAATGCAGGATAAAGATAACACATGTGGACAAGATATTGTTATATAAAGGATAGACTTCATGTAACAAGAAGAAAAGTCATATATTCACCTAATGGGCATTTCAGAAGGAGATATTTAGTGAAAAAGAGCAATATGCAAAAATTTATGGTTGAGAATTATCTAGGACTAATAAGATGTAAATTCAAGAAGCATGAGTTATTTTTTTTAATTTTGTATTTTTTTTATTATACTTTAAATTTTAGGGTACATGTCCACAACATGCAGGTTAGTTACATATGTATGCATGTGCCATGTTGGTGTGCTGCACCCAGTAACTCGTCATTTAACATTAGGTATATCTTCAAATGCTATCCCTCCCCACTCCCCACACCCCACAACAGGCCCCGGTGTACACACCACAATTATTGTTAGACGTTCTGTATTTGTCTGTACTTACTGTTACCAGTGCGTTCTGTACTTTCAGATGATTTCTTATTGCTCATTAATGTCCTTTCCTTTCAGATTGAAGAACTCCCTTTAGCATTTCTTGTGGAACAGGTCAAGTGTTGATGAAATCCCTCCACTTTTCTTTTGTCTAGGAAAGTCTTAATCTTTATTTCTCCTTCATGTTTGGAGACTATTTTTGCTGGGTGTTATATTCTAGGATGAAGGTTTTTTTTTTTTGTTTGTTTGTTTTTCCTACAGGACCTTGAATATGTTATGTCACTGTCTTTTGGCCTGTAAGCTTTCCACTTAAAAATCTGCTGCCCGATATATTGAAGTTCCTTTATATGTAATTTGTTTCTTTTCTCTTGCTGCTTTTAGGACCTTTTCTTTATCCTTGATCTTTGAGAGTTTGATTATTAAATGTCTTCAGGCGGGATTATTTGGGTTAAATCTTCTTGGTACTCTATGACCTTCTTGTACCTGAATATTGATATCTTTTTCTAAGTTTTAAAGTTCTCTATTCTTATTCCTTTGAATAAACTTTCTACCCCTATCTCTTTCTCTATCTTTTCTTTAAGGCCAACAACTAGATTTACCCTTTTGAGACTGTTTTCTAGGTGTCATAGGCATGTTTAATTCTTTTTTACTGTTTTTTTTTTCTCCTCTGACTGTATAATTTCAAATAGCTAGTCTTCAAGCTCTCTAATTCTTTCTTCTGCTTGATTAATTCTGCTGTTGACAGACTGTCATGCACTTTTCAGCTTGTCAACTGAATAAGCTCAAGAATTTCTGCTGATTTTTAAAAATTATTTTCATCTTTTTGTTAAACTTATCTGATAGAATTCTGAATTTTCTCTGTGTTTTCTTGAAGTTTGTCGAGCTTTTTCATAACAGCAGAGAATTTTGAATTCTCTCTCTGAAAACTCACATATCTCTGTCACTCTGGGATTGATTACTGGTGATTTATTTAGTTCATTTGGTGAGATTATGTTTTTCCTCGGTGTTTTTGATGCTTTGGATATTTGTCAAAGCCTGGACACTGAAATGTTATTTATTCTCATCTTCACAGTCCGTGCCTGTTTATACCCATCCTTCTTGAAAAGGCTTTTGAGGTATTCAAAGGTTTTCAGGTATTGAAAGGTAAACAAAGGAGTGTTGTGATCCAAACCTTTGGTCACTCCAGCCATGTCTGCACTAGGAAGTGCCCCAAGCCCAGTAACACTGCAACTCTTGGACCACTTTGGTAGGCTTGGGTAGGATCCAGGAGAATTCCTTAGATTACCAGGTTGGTTCTCTTGTTCTTTCCTCACTTTTCCCCAAGCAGAAGAAATCCTTCGTTCCATCCTGGACTGCCTGAAGTTGTGGAAAGAATGTTGCAAGTAATCCCATGGCCACTACATCTGGGACTGCACTGTGTCACACCCAAAGCCAGCACACTGCTTGGTCTCACCCAAGGCCCATGATTACTACTGCCTGGCTACTGCTGATGTTTATTCGAGGCTCAAGGGCTCCTTAGTCAGCAGGTGATGAACCCTGCCAGGACAGGGTCTTTCTCTTCACCACTGCTGTTTTCCTTCTGGCCTAGGGTGGGTTTAGAAATGCCATCCGGGAGCTGGGGTCTGAGACTGGGGGCTTCAGAAATCTGCTTGGTGCTTTATTTTAATGTGGCTGAATTGCAAGACAAAGTTTTCTTCCCTCTCCTTTCTGCAATCAGAAGGAGTCTCTCTCCAAGCTTTACTGCCTGGAGCTGTGGGATGGGTGACACCTGCACTCCCTCAGCTGCCACAACTGATATTTCACTGGGTTGCATGCACTCCAATTCCACTAGTTCTAAGCCTAGCACAGAACCCAGACTTGCCCAAAAACTACAGTCCTTGTGGCTTGACTACCTTTCAAATTTATTCAGGACCTCAGGGCATTTTAATCAGCTGGTAGTGGAGCTAGCTGGAACTCAGGTTCCTACTTCTGGGATGGAGAATTCCCCTATGGCTGGAGCTAGTTTAAATGCTCCCTTCATGGGTGCTGGCAGAATTCTGTGTTGTATTTCACTGTGATAGATAGGGCAGCGCTTAGTTTCAATGCAACGTCATACAATCACTTCGCATTCCCTCCCTCAAGCACACAGATTCTCTTTCCATACTATGTGGTGCTGGAGATTGGGGAGGGTAATGTAGGCAATGGAAGACCATCTTTCCTACCCTCTTCAGTGCCTCTTTCCTTGATATAATGTTCAAAGCAGGTACTGTGTTTGCTCACCTGATTTTTGGTTCTTATGAAGGTGCTTTCTTGCAACGATACCTGTTCAATTTTGGTGTTTCTGTTGGGGGACAATTACTGGAGGTTTCTATTCAGTCATTTTGCTCTGGCTCCCTCCTTGTGCCATGTTTTTATTAGGGCCCTGAGCTCCCTAGTTGGTTCTGGCATTGGTTGGGTATATGCTAGCAGGCAAATAGTTTGCTCTCTCTGTGTCTAGTTTATCATATGAAAATGGTTTAACACTTACTCTACCTTATAGGAATTTATAAGTTTCAGTTAATTAATGAATTGTAAAGGCAGTTAATGAAAGGAGCTTATATAAAGCAAAATATTAGTATTATTAAGATGTTTCAAGAGGAAGTTTCTTATTATAGTTAATAATACTATATTGTATACTTGAAATTTTCTGAAAGAGTAGATCTAAAGTGTTATGACAAAAAAAGTATTTGAGGTGATGGATGTGTTAATTAACTTAATTGTAGTAATCATTTTATAATGCATATGTACATCAAATCATCACATTGTACACCATAAATATATACAACTTTTATACATTTATACTTCAGTGAAACTGGGAAAAAGTAAATTTTTTCTGAAGAGGAAACCTCTTTTGCCATAGTCTTTTCCTTCCCCATTGGAATTAGAAATGCAGCCTACAGGCCGGGCGTGGTGGCTCATGCCTGTAATCCCAGCACTTTGGGAGGCTGAGGCGGGTGGATCACCTGAGGTCGGGAGTTCGAGACCAGCCTGACCAACATGGAGAAACCCCGTCTCTACTAAAAATACAAAATTAGCCGGGTGTGGTGGCACATGCCTGTAATCCCAGCTACTAGGGAGGCTTAGGCAGGAGAATTGCTTGAACCTGGGAGGCGGAGGTTGCCATGAGCTGAGATCATGCCATTGCACTCCAGCCTGGGCAACAAGAGCAAAATTCCGTCAAAAAAAAAGAAAGAATGCAGCCTACAGTTCTTTTTTACAGTAGCAATGTAAAGTGTGCAAAAGAAAAACAACCTGCCCAATTTCTTTTGAATACTGGGACATCAGCAAGTTTTTTCTGAAAAATATTTTGAACAGTTCCACGAAAGTTTCTGCAGTAGTACAAAATTTCATTCTTATTTTTTCTATTTTTTAAATTTATTTTATTTATTTTATTTTACTTTAAGTTATGGGATACATGTGCTGAATGGGCAGGTTTGTTACATAGGTATACATGTGCCATGGTGATTTGAACCCATCATCTAGGTTTTAAGCTCCGCATGCGTTAGGTATTTTTCCTAAGGCTCCCCCTCCCCTAACCCTCCACTCCCTGACAGGCCCTGGTGTGTGATGTTCCCCTCCCTGTGTCCATGTATTCTCATGGTTCAGCTCCCACTTATGAATGAGAACATGTGGTGTTTGGTTTTCTGTTCCTGTATTAGTCTGCTGAGGATGGTGGTTTCCAGCTTCATCCATGTCCCTGCAAAGGACATGAACTCATTCTTTTTTATGGCTGCATAGTATTCCATGGTGTATATGTGCCACATTTTCTTTATCCAGTCTATCATTGATGGGCATTTGGGTTAGTTCCAAGTCTTTCCTATTGTAAATAGTGCTGCAATAAACATACGTGTACATGTGTTTTTATAGAAGAATGATTTATAATCCTTTGGGTATATACCCAGTAAAGGGATCGCTGGGTCAAATGGTATTTCTGGTTCTAGATCACTGAGGAATTGCCATACTGTCTTCCACAATGGCTGAACTAATTTACACTCCCACCAACAGTGTAAAAGCTTTCCTGTTTCTTTGCATCCTCACCAGCATCTGTTGTTTCCAGAGTTTTTAATGATTGCTATTGTAACTGGTGTGAAATGGTGTCTCATTGTGGTTTTGATTTGCATTTCTGTAATGACCGCTGATGATAAGTTTTTCTTCATTTTTCTTGGCCGCATAAATGTCTTCTTTTGAGAAGTGTCTGTTCATATCCTTCACCCACTTTTTAATGAAGTTTTTTTTTCTTGTAAATTTGTTTAAGTTCCTTGTAGATTCTGGATATTAGACCTTTGACAGAGAGATAGTGGGAGATTTCAACACACCACTGTCAATATTAGATCAATGAGACAGAAAATTAACAAGGATATTCAGGACTTGAACTCAGCACTGGACCAACCAGACCTAATAGACATCTACAGAACTCTCCACCCCAAATCAACAAAATATACATTCTTCTCAGCACCACATTGTACTTATTCTAAAATTGACCACATAATTAGAAGTAAAACACTCCTCAGCAAGTGCAAAAGAACAGAAATCATAACAAACAGCCCCTCAGACTACAGTGGAGTCAAATTAGAACTCAGGATTTAAAAACTCACTCAAAACCACACAATTACTTGGAAACTGAATAACCGGCTCCTGAATGACTACTGGGTAATAACAAAATTAAGGCAGAAACAACAAAGTTTTTTGAAAACAATGAGGACAAAGAGACAACATACCAGAATTTCTGGGAGACAGCTAATGCAGTGTTTAGAGGGAAATTTATAGCACTAAATGCCCACATCAGAAAATGGGAAACATCTAAAATCAACATCCTAAGATCACAATTGAAACAACTAGAGAATCCAGAGCAAACAAATTCAGAAGCTAGCAGAAGACAAGAAATAACTAAGATTAGAGCAGAACTGAAAGATAGAGACACAAAAAGCCCTTCAAAAAAAAAAAAATCAATGGATTCAGGAGCTGTTTTTTTTTTTGAAAAGATTAACAAAATAGACCACTAGCCAGACTAATAAAGAAGAAAAGAGAGAATAATCAAACAGACACAATAGAAAATGACAAAGGGGATATCACCACTGATCCCACAGAAATACAAACTACCATCAGAGAATACTATAAACACTTCTACGCAAATAAACTAGAAAATCTAAAAGAAATGGTTAAATTCCTGGACACGTTCTTATTTAAAATTTAGTAATCATGCCCCACTGTACATAAACAGGAAGTCCAAAACTATTTCAGAAAGAAAAAAAATAGATGGGTAGGTGGAGAGGGAGCACTAAAATTGAACCAAATAAATGTGCAGTGCTTTTGACCTACTCTCAAGTAATAACAATCTTGTTTTAAAATGCTGCTTCTGCTGATGTCCTTGGAGGAAAATGTACCATAAAGTTTAATAAGGTCTCAATTTTAAGAAAATTCACTTCCAGTAGCTTTCAAGACCCCAAACAGCAGCTGGTACAATTGCCCTGTGTTGTTTCCTTGGAGACCTCATACTCCTCATAAGAGGAGAAACTCAAAGTGTTATTGCTGTGACCCTGTATGCATAGAGGCCTAGTTGCAGCTAAAACTAATGGGCATTTCAGAAACCTCAATAAAGTAAGAAACAGCAAACTAGCATTACTGAAACATAACTAATGTGGTCAGAAACTAAATTTTCTTTTAAGAAGTTCAGTCAACCCTATCAGAGACAGGAGCTGGATGTGCTGTACTCTGTAGCAGAGTGAAATAGGTTATTGTTTGATTCTGTTATTAGAGTCAAATCTTTCATAATCTCTCAACTAGCTACATATATATGAGATATAGAGTGGGTCCCATATTTTGAGAAAATTGGTCTTTATCTGTAATTAAGTCAGAGTTTTTAATCACTCAACTTCATTTTCTGTCAATACAGAACAGCCGCAAGTGCTTCCATTTATCATGGTCTAACTCATTCTGCCCACCCTCCTGTCTGTCCTTATCTTTTCTCTTATCTAACATTCAGTCTTCATACTTCTTTCACCTGCTTGTCTGTTTACCCACTGCTTTCCAGCCCGTCTTCCTTCATTCCTCTCTTCCTTTTCCTTCTTTCTACCTTCCTTACTTCCTTTCTTTCACATTCTCTCTACCTTTATTTTCTAACTGTGATGGTAGACATCTTGCTGTATTGAGCTAGAAATGTGCACATGTAGGAGTTGTTAGAGATTGTGACCATTGTGATTATATGAGTGTGGAGGACCTATACAGGAGGATGTAAACATCTACTGAGGATGTTTGTATATATGTGAATAAGGACATTCACAGAAGCTCCAACAAGCAGAAGAATTTTGTGGTTGTTTTTTTGTTTTGTTTTGCAACAGAGTCTCAGTCTCCCAGGCTGGAGTGCAGTGGCTTGACCTTAGCTCACTAGCTCACTGCAACCTCTGCCTCCTGGGCCCAAGCCATTCTCCTGCCTCTGCCACCCAAGTAGCTGGCATTAGAGGCACCCACCACCACGCCCAGCTAATTCTTGTATTTTTAGTAGAGACGGGGTTTCACCATGTTGGCCAGGCTAGTCTTGAACTCCTGACCTCAGGTGATCCACTCACCTTGGCCTCCTAAAGTGCTGGGATTATAGGTGTGAGCCACCGTGCCCAGCCAGAAAATACTTTTAATCATTCTCTTTTCCTAACCAAGTGACTTAAAGATCCTTTTTTAGAGTTTTCATTGTTGATGGCCGGATCGGGAAAGTTTGCTACCTCCTCACTCTGATGTGACCACCCACAATGTTAACATACATACTTTTTCTTTTTTTTTTCTGTTTGGGAGAACAATGTAGGATAAGGTCCATGGACAGCTTCATGGGCATATGACCTGTAGAGTCACATAGGACTCCACACTCAGAAGAGCACGGTGCATGCTGGATTTAGTGTTCTGCTGTCACCATCTTGACATTCTTAACAATTTTATCTTTAAAATTGTGTTTTGTAAGTGTAGTCAGATGGGACAATGGAAGACGCATATGAGCAGAGGAAATACATGCAATATGCATATCCACCACAATTCCACCCTATTTGTATGTAGTGTTCATGGATGCCCCAGAGCACAGAATTCCTGTGGACCCACTCAGTGTGGTAGTTCAGTGAGACTTAAAATGAGTAAGAAAGTTGCTGTTAGAGAGGTCACAGTTTCCATTCCTATGAGAACTTAGCTCTAACAGGGAAAGAAAGCAACAGGATTCTAAAAAATATGAACTATCAGGGACAATTACGATATTATTTCTTATTTATGTTACTTCCCCATATCAACCAACTACTTAAGATGAAAACAATACAAATAAGAAAACGGAAAGGTAGAAGAAACCATTTTTCCTTTCCCTCTCAATCCTTTCATATTCATTAGTAAGCTGAAGATACTGTTGGTAGAATATGAGTGTAACAATAACTGAAAGAAAAACAGTTGAGTTAATTCTGTGCAGTGTTTCTACTGTTCTGGTAAGAACAAAATGCATGTGCATGTTTGGGCTATAAAATATGAATTATATCGTTTCAGTGATTCCATATGATTTCAATGCCCTTATATTTGCATCTGAAACTGAACATTGCACAATATAAAGATTAATGTTAAAATTCATGCTAATGACTCAAAATTTTATTATTTTACTATTTAACATAGCATTAAACAACAGAGAGGGGTGTGACAGGCTGCAGAAGAAAGGGAAAAAAGCTTTATATTTTAGTACCTCTAAAGGCATTTTTTTTTAAACAAGAAGCCCCACACATTTGTTTTGCACTGGCCCCTGCAAATTATGTGGCTGGTCCTATTCAGGTATGATAATAACTCTGTTGCTTTTAGTTTCTGATTTTGTTTGGGAATGGAGTGCTCATTTTCACCTAACAGCAGTGGGCTAGTCAATAATTTCAATGCTCAAAAATAGTTGCAGTGCTGTTCATAATAACCAAGATTTGGAAGCAACATAAGTGTCCATGAATAGACGAATGAATAAAGAATATGTGGCACTTATACACAATTGAGTACTATTCAGCCACAAAAAATACAATGTTGTCATTTACAACAACATGGATGGAACTGAAGGTCATCATGTTAAGTGAAATAAGCCAGGCACAAAAAGTCAAATTTTACATGTTCTCACTTATTTGTGGGATCTAAAACTCATAACAATTGAACACATAGAGAGTAGAAGGATGGGTTACCAGAGACTGGGAAGGATAGTGGGGGTTGGGGAGAGGTGGGGATAATTAATGGGTACAAAAAGTAGTTTGAAAGTATGAATAGTACCCAGTATTTTATAGCACAACAGGGTAACTATAATCAAAATAATTTAATTGTACATTTAAAAAAACTAAAATAGTATAGTTAGATGGTCTGTAACACAAAGCATAAATGTTTGAGGGAATGGATACCCCATTTTCCATGATACAATTATTACATATTAAATACCTGTATCAAAATATCCATGTACCCCATAAATATATACACCTACTATGTACCCATAAAAATAAAAGCAAAATATCAGAACAGAAACAATGATTTATCTTCTTTCCTGTTAATGCCTAATTTCATAATTTCATTGTTATGTAGGTTCTCTATTAGATTCACAGAGCCTGCCCATTAGAGCAATGTGACTATAAATGGCATTAGAAATGAGATCAGAGTAAAATTTTCCTAGTTTGGTTATACATACATTCAACATATATTATTGGTTGCTTACTGTGTGGTAAGCCCAGTTCTAGGTGCATGAGTTATGGCAATGAACAACACAGGATAAGTTCATGACCTCATAAAGCTTAAATACTTTATTTTAATAATATTTAATATATTACTAATTAATGAGGAATGATGAATCTTGACATCTCCTGTCAGCAAATAACATATTTTGTGGTTCCATATTTGTCATAAGTTTACACACCTCTGTCTACATAATCATAATAAGGAGTGTTAAGTGGTTTAGATGATGGAACTCTTTTCCCTAAATGGCAGGTTTTTTTCATTAAAATTATCAAACTAATTGTTTCAATTCTTTGTCTACATAACAATCACAAAATATTTTTTCTCTTTGACGTTATCTGGCCCATGGGCAGTAGTGTGGCCTAGCAGTTTAAAGTGCTGCATGAAGTTATCTAAGTCTAAAGGCAAATAACAGCCTCCTCATTCATCCTGGCTGAAAACCTGACTGTTGCCTTTTGTCTCCTCCTTTGCAGCCCACATCTAATAAGTCCCACTCCATAGTAGTCCTGAGATCCATTTCTTCCTCTTCATTACCTATCCACTACTCATTATCTCTCACCTCGACCACTGCAATACTTTGCTATATGATCTCCTAGCTTCTGAATCCTGAGACCACTCTCCTGACAGATGTCATATTCATCATTCTAAAACACAACTCTCATTGTGTCACTTAAGATCTCAGTTCCTTCAGTGGCTTTCTTTTGCCTATGGGATGCAATTCAGAACCCCTCAGCTTGGCATTCAAGATCCTCCACAATATGGTCTTAATGTACATCTTCAACTTCATTTTTGTACATCCTGAACCTTAGCCAATACAGACATCTTGTTCTTTCTTCAAATATTTTGTGCTGCTCATGATATCCTCTCTCCTTTAACCCACATCTCTACACATACAAATCCTATTTTTATTTTTTTTTTATTTCCATAGGTTTTGGGGGAACAGTTGGTATGTTCCTGGGTTACGTGAGCAAGTTCTTTAGTGGTGATTTGTGAGATTTTGGTGCAACCATCACCCGAGAAGTATACATTGAACCCAATTTGTAGTCTTTTATCCCTCACGCCCTTCCCACCCTTGACCACTGAGACCCCAAAGTCCACTGTGTCATTTTTATGCCATTGCATCCTCATACCTTAGCTACCACTTAGGCGTGAGAACATACAACGTTGGGTTTTCCATTCTTGAGTTACTTCACTTAGAATAAGTCTCCAATCCCATTCAGGTTGCTGCAAATGCCATTAATTTATTCCTTTTTATGGCTGAGTGTATTCCATTGTGTATATATATGTATATATCACAGTTTCTTTATCCACTCATTGATTGATAGGCATTTGGGTTCATTCCACATTTTTGCAATTGGGAATTGTGCTGCTATAAACATGTGAGTGCAAGTATCTTTTCGTATAATTACTTATTCACCTCTGAGTAGATACCCAGTAGTGAGAGTGCTGGCTCAAATGGTAGTTCTACTTTTAGTTCTTTAAGAAATCTCCACACTGTTTTCCATAGTGGTTGTGCTAGTTCACAATCCCACCAGCAGTGTAGAAGTGTTCCCTTTTCACCACATCTATGCCAACATCTTTTTTTTTCTTTATTTCTTCTGAAAAAACAAAAAACAAAGAAAACAGGATACATGTGCAGAACATCCAGGTTTGTTACATAGGTATATGTGTGCTATGGTGGTTTGCTGCACCTATTGACCCATCCTCTAAATTCCGCCCCCTCACCTCCCAGCCCCCAACAGGCCCTGGTGAGTGTTGTTCCCCTCTCTGTGTCCATGTGTTCTTAATGTTCAACTCCCACTTATAAGTGAGGACATGCTGTGTTTGGTTTCCTCTTCCTGTGTTAGTTTGCTGAGGATGATGGCTTCCAGCTTCATCCATGTCTCTGCAAAGGACACGATCTCATTCCTTTTTATGGCTGCATAGTATTTCATGGTGTATATGTGCCACATTTTCTTTATCCAGCCTATTATTGATGGGTATTTGGGTTGGTTAAATGTCTTTGCTATTGTAAACAGTGCTGCAATAAACATACATATGCATGTGTCTTTATACTAGAATGATTTATATTCCTTTAAGTATATACCTGGTAATGGGATTTCCGCGTCAAATGGCATTTCTGGCTCTAGATCCTTGAATAATTGCCATGCTGTCTTCCACAATGGTTGAACTAATTTACATTCTCACCAACAGTGTAAAAGTGTTCCTATTTCTCCACAGCCTCACCAGCATCTATTGTTGCCTGACTTTTTAATAGTCACCAGTGTGACTGGTATAAGATGGTATCTCATTGTGGTTTTGATTTGCATTTCTCTAATAATCAGTGATGTTGAGCTTTTTTTCATGTTTGTTGGCCATGTAAATGTCTTCTTTTGAGAAGGTCTGTTCATATCCTTTACCTACTTTTTGATGGGGTTGTTTGTCTTTTTCTTGTTAATTTGTTTAAATTCCTTGTAAATTCTGGATATTAGACCTTTGTCAGATTGGTAAATTGCAAAAATTTTCTCCCATTCTGTAGGTTGCCTGTTCACTCTGATGATAGTTTCTTTTGCTATGCAGAAGCTCTTTGGTTTAATTAGATCCCATTTGTCAATTTTGGCTTTTGTTGTAATTGCTTTTGGCATTTTAGTCATGAAGTCTTTGCCCCTGCCTATGTACTGAATGGTATTGTTTAGGTTTTATTCTAGGGTTTTTATGGCTTTTGGGTTTTACATTTAAGTCTTTAATCCACCTTGAGTTAGTTTTTACATAAGATGTAAGGAAGGGTTCTAGTTTCAGTTTTCTGCATATGACTATCCAGTTTTCCTAGCACCATTTACTGAATAGGAGATCCTTTCCCCATTGCTTGTTTTTGTCCAGTTTGTCGAAGACCAGATGGTTGTAGATGTGTGGTGTTATTTCTGAGGTCTCTGTTCTGCTCTATTGGTCTATATGTCTACTTTGGTACCAGTACAGTGCTGTTTTGGTTACTGTAGCCTTGTAGTATAGTTTGAAGTCAGTTAGCATGATGCATCCATATTTGTTCTTTTTGCTTAGGATCGTCTTGGCTATATGGGGTCTTTTTTGATTTCATATGAAATTTAAAATAGACTTTTCTAATGTTGTGAAGAATGTCAATGGTAGTTTGATGGTAATAATATTGAATCTGTAAGTTACTTTGGGCAGTATGGCCATTTTCAGGATATTGATTCTTCCTATCCATGGGGTTGGAATGTTTTTCCATTTGTTTGTGTTCTCTCTTATTTCTTTGAACAGTGGTTTGTAGTTCTCCTCCGGTATTATTTCTGGAATTTTAGCCTTAATCCTCATTCTTGAGCCTTCTCAATGATACTGAAGCCACCTAGAATCCCTTTAAAAATGTGTTTATTGCTTTTAATAGCTAGAGTGGGTTTCGTTGCTTGCAACTATGAACACTAACGGATATACTCCTTATTAATCATTTTATATTCTTACAAATTTCTCTTGTGTATGCCCTCAGATCAGATAAGATTATTTACTCATGGCTCCATGCTTCCCTCTTTTTACCGTGCACTTTATTCTCTCTACACTCTGAAGCCTAGATAATTCCTACTACTCTTGGATATTGAAACACTTTGAGCATATGTCCTAGGACCCTTGTCCACCTTTTTAATTTACTTCAGCATAGAGTTCACAGCCTTCTTTAGCATCCCAAAGTAGGCTGTCTTCCAGTGAAGTTCATATTCCAGAGGGTGTCCTCGAAGGTATAGCACCTGGTACATAGAATTTCCCAAAATGTTCCTCCCCTTAAAACAGCCTGACTTCAATGTTTTGCCAGGAGGTTTTCCTTTCATTAAGTTCAATATTTGAATTTTAAAAAATAGTTTATTACAAAAGTAGTACATAAATACATCCTCATTAGAAAGAATTCAAGCATCATAGGAAAAGCAAAGAAATCATCTGTTAATAAACACTTCCCAATCCCAGAGCAATAAATGTACTGTTATTCCTGCTCTATCTCCAAGCACATAATAGGCAATCAATTACTATTTGTTAAATAAAAATAATTCTCAAAAATCACTGGGGAATTATTGTTTCTGGTCCACCATATAAGAAACTGGAAGTCACCACTCTGTTCTAAGAAGTAAAATGCTAAACAAATTAAAAAAATCAACAACTCTTCTTAAGTCTATCAGATAGATGAGATTACAGGACAAATCATTACCCTTCAAATTTGGGAGAAAAAAAGGCAAATGCAGAAAATTGTAGCTTGCTGGAACAGAAACCCACAAGCATAAACTTCCACAGGAACAAATGTTGAGGTGGGGAAACCTGAACTATAACTGACTAATTGATGGAGGCTTAGTGTGGACAAGTCTGAGAAATAAAAACTTCAAGGGGACCCAGGCATTGGGAGGTTTCCCACACTTTTGTGAGTTTTACCTCCTGGAGCACTACCAGGTTCTCACAGTAAATATTAGGGGAAAAAAATCCCTTCATGCTTCCAGCAGGGGAAGGGAAAAAGGGGCCATTTTGAAATATGCCAGAGCATTCTGTTCTTCACAAGGTCTGCCCTCAGGAGAAACCCTTTAACCAGAGCCTCACCTGCTGGGATGTAAGCAGAACCTAACTGACCTAGAGGAAGGGAAATACCCAACTCCAGCTTGCTCTAGCCATATGTCACACTGTAGGAGAATAGAGACTGAGAAACAAATGTGAAGTTCAGTCTCTAGAGTACATAATCACTAAAAGACTGAGACCTCCTTGTAAGACTATAGAACATTTTCCTCTCCCCCACATTTTATTACTACATTACTAAAGGCCTATTTACAGCACTTGCTTTTACCCTGTACATCATATCTGGGTATCGAGGAAAAAATGACAAGATGTACAAAAAGGCAAAAAAGGTAATTTGCAGAGACATCAGACCACACTCAGATATGTCAGGAATCTTGGAGTTATCAGACTGGGAATTTAAAACAAGTATGATTAAGATGCCAAGGATTATAAATGATAAAGTAGAAAGCATACAATGACAGATGGGCAATGTATGGAGAGAGATGGAAATTCTAAGAAAGAACCCAAAAGAAATGCTATAGATCAAAAACACTGTAACAGAAATGAAGAATGCCTTTGATGGACTTATTGGTAGACTGAACACATAAGGAAATAATCTCTGAGCTTGAAGAATTCTATATATAAAATGCTAAAGTTGAAAAACAAGATAAAAAACACTTAAAAACAACAGGGTATCTAAGAACAATGAGACAACTTAAAAAGGTATATATGCATGAGAATTAAAAAGGAGAAGAGACAAAGGAACAAAAGAAATCTTTGAAACAATAATGATGATAATTCTCCCAAATTAATGTTAGACATCAAATCAGAGAACACCAAGCAAGACAAATAACAAAAACTACACTTATGAATATTATTTTCAAACTACAGAAAATTAAAAATAAAGAAAAAATTTTGAAAATGTCCAGAGTGCAAAAACACTTTATCTAAGTGCAGCAAAGATAAGAATTACATCTGACTTCTCCTAAGAAATTATGCGACAAAGAAGATAGTGAAGTGAAATATTGAGTATTGAGAGCAAAAATCCACTAACCTAGAATTTTGTACCCTTTGAAATTGTCCTTCAAAAGTCAAAGAGAAATAAAGATTTTCTCAAACAGACAAAAATTGAGGAAATTTGTTGCCAGTAGACCTTCCTTGCAAAAAATGTTAAAAGAAATTCTTCAGAGGGTAGAAAAATGATAAAGGTCAGAAGCTCAATCTATGTAAAAAAAATGAAGATCATCGAAGAAGCAATAAGTTATGGAAAAATTAAGATTTTTATTTTTTATTCTAATTGATTGAATAATAATAGCAACAATAGATTATACATACATAGATATGCACTTGTGTATAAGTGAAATGAATTACAGAAATTATACAAGGGATGGGAGGAAGAAATTAGACTTGTTTTATTATTATAAGTTACTCACACTACCTGTGACATGGTGTAGTGTTATTTGAAAATGGACTTTGGATTAATTGTAAGTATATATTGCAAATTCTAGGGCAATCACTAATAAAGGAATACAAGAAGTATAAGTGATATGTTAATGAAGGACAGAAATTAGAATCATACAAAATGGTCAATTAAAATTAAAAGGCAAAAAAAGAGTGAAAGACAAAAATAGGAACTAAGAACAAGGGCAACAAATAGATAACAGTAACAAGAGGGTAACTCAGCAAGATGGCCGAAGACAAACACCTCCGGTCTGCAGCTCCTAGTGAGACCAATGCAGAAGGTGGTTGATTTCTGCATTTCCAACTCATGTACCTGGTTCAACTCATTAAGACTGGTTAGACAGTTGGAGCAGCCCATGGAGGGTGAGCAGAAGCTGGGTGGGGCGTCGCGTCACCCAAGAAGCACAAGGAATCGGGGAACTCCCTTCCCCAGCCAAGGGATGCCATGAGGGACTGTGCCGTGAGGGACAGTGCTAGCCAGCACAGATACTACACTTTTTGCAACCAGCATACCAGGAGATTCCTTTGGGTGCCTACACCACCAGGGCCCTGGGTTTAAAGCACAAAACTGGGTGGCCGTTTGGGCAGAAACCGAGCTAGCTGCAGGACTTCTTTTTCATACCCCAATGGCGCCTGGAACCCTTCCTCTTCTCTGGGCAGGGAATCTCTGAAAGAAAGGCAGAAGCCCCAGTCAGGGGCTTATAGATAAAACTCCCATTTCCCTGGGACAGAGCACCTGGGGGAAGGGGTGGCTGTGGGTGCGGTTTCAGCTGACTTAAACATTTCTGTCCCTGGCTCTGAAAAGGGCAGTGGATCACCCAGCACAGCGCTCCACCTCTGCTAAGGGACAGACTACCTCCTCAAGTAGGTCCCTGACCCCCGTGACTCATGACTGGGAGACACATCCCAGCAGGGGTTGACAGATACCTCGTATAAGAGATCACTGGCTGGCATCTGGCAGGTGCCCCTCTGGAAACGAAGCTTCCAGAGGAAGGAGCAGACAGCAATCTTTGCTGTTCTGCAGCCTCCACTGGTGATACCCAGGAAAACGATCTGGAGTGGACCTCCAGCAAACTACGGCAGACCTGTAGAAGAGAGGCCTGGCTGTTAGAAGGAAAACTAACAAACAGAAAGCCATAACATTAACATCAACAAAGAGCATGCCTACACAAAAACCCCATCCAAAGGTCATCAGCATCAAAGATCAAGGTACAAAAATCCATGAAGATGAGGAAAAGCCAGTGCAATAATGCTAAAAATTCCAAAAACCAGAATGCCTCTTCTCCTCCAAAGCATCAAACATCCTCGCCAACAAGGGAACAAAACTGGACAGAGAGTGAGTTTGATGAATTGACAGAAGCAGGTTTCAGAAGGTGAGTAATAACAAAGTCCTTGAGGTAAAGGAGCATGTTCTAACCCCGTGCAAGGAAGCTAAGAACCTTGATAAAAGGTTACAAGAACTGCTAACTAGAATAATCAGTTTAAAACAGATTATAAATGACCTGATAGAGCTGAAAAACACAACACTAGAACTTCGTGAATCATACACAAGTATCAATAGCTGAACTGATCAAGCAGAAGAGAGGATATCAGAAATTGAATATCACCTTAATGAAATAAAGCATGAAGACAAGATTAGAGAAAAATGAGTGAAAAGCAATGAACAAAGCCACCAAGAAATAAGGGACTATGTGAAAAGACCAAATCTATGTTTGACTGGTGTACCTGAAAGTGACAGGGAGAATAGAACCAAGTTGGAAAACACTCTTCAGGTTATTGTCCAGGAGAACTTCCCTATCCTAGCAAGACAGGCCAACATTCAAATTCAGGAAATACAGAGAACACCACAAAGATACTCCTCGAGAAGAGCAACCCCAAGACACATAATCGTCAGATTCACTAAAGTTTTAATGAAGGAAAAAATGTTAAAGGCAAGCCAGAGAGAAAGGTCAGGTTACCCACAAAGGAAATCCTATCAGACTAACAGTGAATCTCTCTGCAGAAACCCTACAAGCCAGAAGAGAGTGGGGGCCAATATTCAACATTCTTGAAGAAAAGAATTTTCAACCAAGAATTTCATATCCAGCCAAACTATACTTCTTAAGCAAAGGGAAGTGAAGAAGAAATAAAATCTTTTCCAGACAAGTAAATCCTGAGGGATTTTGTCACCACCAGACCTGCCTTACAAGAGCTCCTGCTCTCCCATGCTACTCCCGTCAAGCTACCAATGACTTTCTTCACAGAATTAGAAAAAAACTACTTTAAATTTCATAAGGAACTAAAAAAGCCCATATAGGCAAAACAATCCTAAGCAAAAAGAACAAAGCTGTATGCATCATGCTACCTGACTTCAAACTATACTACAAGTCTGCAGTAACCAAAACAGCATGGTACTGGTACCAAAACAGATATATAGACCGATGGAACAGAACAGAGGCCTCAGAAATAATACAACACATCTACAACCATATGATCTTTGACAAACCTGACAAAAACAAGCAATGGTGAAAGGATTCCCTATTTAATAAAAGGTGTTGGCAAAACTGGCTAGCCATATGCAGAAAACTGTAACTGGACCACTTCCTTACACCTTATACAAAAATTAACCGAAGATGGATTATAGACTTAAATGTAAGACCTAAAACCATTACAACCCTACAAGAAAATCTAGGCAATACCATTCAGGACATAGGCATGGGCAAAGACTTCATGACTAAGCACCAAAAGCAATGGCAACAAAAGCCAAAATTGATGAATGGGACCTAATTAAACTAAAGAGATTCTTCACCACAAAAGAAACTATCATCAGAGTTAAGACAACCCACAAAAATGAGAGAAAATTTTTGCAATCTATTCATCTGACAAAGGGTTAGTATCCAGAATCTATAGGGAATATAAACAAATTTACAAGAAAAAAACAAACAACCCCATCAAAAAGTAGGCAAAGCATATGAACAGTCACTTCTCAAAAGAAGACATTTATGTGGCCAACAAACATATGAAAAAAAAAGCTCATCATTGCTGGTCATAAGAGAAATGCAAATCAAAACCACAATCAGATATCATCTCATGCCAGTTAGAATGGCAATCATTAAAAAGTCAGGAAACAACAGATGCTGGAGAGGATGTGGAAAAATAAGATGCTTTTACACTGTTGGTAGGAGTGTAAATGAATTCAACCATTTTGGAAGACACTGTGGTGATTCCTCAAGGATCTAGAACCAGAAATACCATTTGACCCAGCAATCCTATAACTGGGTATATACTCAAAGCATTATAAATCATTCCACTATAAAGACACATGCACACATATGTTTATTGCAGCACTATTTACAATAGCAAAGACTTGGATCCAACCCAAATGTCCATCAGTGATAGACTGGATCAAGAAAATGTGGCACATATACACCATGGAATACTATGCAGCCATAAAAAAGAATGAGTTCATGTCCTTTGCAGGGACATGGATGAAGATGGAAACCATCATTCTCAGCAAGCTAACACAGCAACAGAAAACCAAACATGTTCTCACTCATAAGTGGGTGTTGAACAATGGGAACACTTGGACACAGGGAGGGAAACATCACACAGCAGGGCCTGTCAGGGGTTGGGGGGAAGGGGAGGTATAGCATTAGGAGAAATACCTAATGTAGATGATGGGTTGATGGGTGCAGCAAACTACCATGGCACACGTATACCTATGCAACAAACCTGCAAGTTTTGCACATGTATCCCGTAACTTATAGTGTAATTAAAAACAATAAAAAAGAAAACAGTAACTAATATCATAGATATAAATTTAACTCTGTTAGGAAACATTTGGAACATCAATGGCCTAAATGTACCAATTAAAAGACAGAGATTGTCAGTGTGGGTGAAGAAACAAAATCCAACTGTATGTTGTATATAAGAAACTCACTTTAAGCTTGAAAACACATATACATTAAACGAATGGGGAAAGATATACCATACTAATACTAATTAAAAGAATGCAGAAGCAACTATATTAATTTCAGGCAGAGCAGATTTCAGATAAAGAAAAATTATCAGGAATAAAGAAGGGCATTACATAATGTTAATTTAATTCTCCAAGGAGATATAATAATCCTTAATGTATATGTGCCTAACAATGCAGCATCAAAATACATGAGGCAAAAACTGATAGAACTTCAAAGAGAAATAGATGAATACACTATTAGAGTTAGATACCTCAACAACCCTTTATAAGAGATGAACATATCTATCAGGCAAGAAAATCTGTAAGGGTGGAGTTGAGCCCAACAACATCACAATGGAATTAAACTAGAAATCAAGAGAAAGATAGGTGGAAAATCCAAAAAAAAAAAAAACCACTCCATATTAAACAATACAGTTTTAAATAACACATGGGTCAAAAAATTCAAGAAAAATTTAAAAGTACTTTGAATTAAATAAAAATGAAAACATATCAGTATCTATGGGACACAGTGAAACAATCTTACAGAAAAATTTATAACATTGAGATGAGAAAAAAATTTAAAATAAATCACCAAGTATGCACCTTGGGAAGCTAAAAAAAGAAGAGCAAATTAAATTATAAGTCAGTAGAAGAAAAGAAGTACTAAAAATTACCACAGAAATCAATGAAAGTGACAACAGAAAGTCAATTTTAAAAAATCAATGAAAACAAAATCTGGTTCTTTGAAAAGATCAATAAAGTTGATAAGCATCTAGCTGAGCTAAGAAAAAAACAAAAAGAGAGGACACAAATTACTAATATTTGAAATAAAAGAAAGTTTGACCAGTTATTTGAAAGACAAAATCTATCAAAACTCACCACAAGAAAAAATAGATAATCTGAATAGGCCTATGTCTATTAAATAAATTGAGTCAACAATTAATAATCTCCCAAAGAAGAAAGCATCAAGCCCAGATGGTAAATTCTATCAAGGTGAATTCTAACAGATATTTAAGGAGAAATTTATATTAATTCTCTATAATATCTTTCAGAATATAGAATCAGAGAGAATACTTCCTATCTCTTTCTATGAGGCCAACATTGCCCTAAAACCAAAACCAGACAGAGGCATTACAAGAAAACAAAACTATAAACCAATTTCTCTCACAAACATAGGTGCAAAAATCTTCAACAAAATATCAAATCGAACAATGTATAAAAGGAATTTTACACCATAGACAAGTGGGATTTATGCCAGGTATGCAAGACTGGTTCAACATTCAAAAATCAAATAATGTAATCCATCACACCAATAAGCTAAAGAAGAAAAATCACATGGTCATATTATTAGATGCAGAAAAAGCATTTTACAAAATTCAACATTTATTCATGATAAAAACTCCCAGTAAAACAGGTATGGAGTAGAACTTTCTCAATTTGATAAAGAATGTCTACAAAAATCCTGTAGCTAATATCATACTTAATGGTGAGAAGCTCAAAGCTTTCCCACTAAGATGAGGAAGAAGGGAGGATATCTTCTTTCACCATTGCTTTTCAGTATTATCCCAGAAGCCCTAGATATTGCAGCAAGACAAGAAAAGAAATAAGAAGTACATAGATTGGGGGAAAAATTAAAGCTGTCTTTGTTCACAGGTTACATGATTGTCTATATAGAAAATCTGAAAGAATCTACCAAATCAAACCCTCTTGGAACTAATAAGAGATTATAGCAAGGTTGCAGAATACAAGGCTACTATGTAAAAGTCAAACTCTTTTCTATAAACCAGCAATGAATAAGTGGAATTTGAAATTAAAAAACAATAACATTTATATTAACATAAAACTGAAATACTTAGATATAAATTTAACAAAACAGGTACAAGATCTGTATGAGGAAAACTACAAAACCCTGATGGAAAATGTCAAAAAGGAACTAATTAAATGAAGAGATATTCTATGCTCAGGAATGGGAGGGCAATATTGTCAAGATGTCAGTTCTACCCAGTTTGATCTACAGATTTAATGCAATCCAAATCAAAATCCTAGTAATTATTTTGTGGATCCTGACAAACTCAATCTAAAGCTTATATGGAGAGGCAAAATACTTAGAATAGAAAGCACAATATTGAAGAAAAACAAATTCTGGGAACTGACACTACCTGACTTCAAGACATACTATAAAGCTACAATAATCAAGACAGTGTGGTATTGGTGAAATAATAAACAAATAGATCAATGGGGAAAACTAGAGAGCCCAGAAATCAACCCATATAGTCAACTGATCTTTGACAAAAGAGAAAAAGCAATAAAATAGAGCAATGATAATATTTTCACCAAATGATCATCATACTACTGGACATTTACACAAAAAGCAATGAAAGTAGACACAGACTTTACAACCCTCACAAAATTAAAATAGTTAACAAACCTAAATGTAAAATGATTAACTTTAAATCATTTAGAAGGAAACATAGGAGAAAACCTAGAGGACTTTGGGTATTGCAATGATTGCTTTCAGTAAAACACCAAATACACAATTCATTAAGGAAATAATTGACAATCTGAACTTCATTATAATATAAAACTTCTTCCCCATGAAAGAAAATGTCAAGAGAATGAGAAGACAAACCACAGACTTCTTGGAGAAAATTTTATAAAATATTTTTATATATGTCTTTGCAAAAGACATATATATTAAATGACTGTAATCAAAAACATACAAAGAACTTTTATAACTCAATGAGAACCAAAAATCCCAATTAAAAAATAGAGCAAACTAAATAAGTAAATCTGATTTCATCTTGTTAATGGTAACAATTCTTTTTGATTTGCAAGTTAATCTAAACCATTCCTGTAAGAGTTACCTCATGTTATTAGGTGTGCCTACTGGGCCAGCTCTGCTGGAAAACCTTGTCTACCCACAGAAAATGAAGAAGAATGAATAAACAATGACAGAAGATTTCAATTTATCACCCAAGCCACAATGCATGCCTTCAAATCTCTTTTAAGTTACAGGTTATATTTTTTTTTTCCCCTTGGTTTAAGAACTTGAAGATAGTTTAATGAATATATGGTCATAATTTTGTAACAGAAATACTTGGTAGTTTGAAAATTAATTAGACCCTTTGGAATATATTTTCTGCTTTGGTAATAAGTCCACTTACATTGTTGAAGTTATCTATGTTAGTCTCACACTTTTACATTATTTGATTCTGCTATTTTCCACACTTTTCATTTTTTATGGAATGTGGTTTTCTTCTAACTTACACTTTGTCAATAAATGCTGAAATTCTTAATTTAAAAAATGGGACAGGAATAGGAACAGTTCCAGTCTACAGCTCCCAGTGTGAGCAACACAGAAGACGGGTGATTTCTGCATTTCCAACTGAGGTACTGGGTTCATCTCACTGGGGCTAGTCAGACAGTGGGTGCAGGACAGTGGGTGCAGCCCACCGAGCATGAACCAAAGCAGGGCAAGGCATCACCTGACCCAGGAAGTGCAAGGGGTCAGGGAATTCCCTTTCCTAGCCAAGAGGAGCTGTGACAGATGGCACCAGGAAAATTGGGTCACTCACACCCTAATACTGCACTTTTCCAATGGTCTTAGCAAACAGCACACCAGGAGATAATATCCTATGCCTAGCTCAGAGGGTCCCATGCCCACGGAGGCTCAATCATGGCTAGCACAGAAGTCTGAGATCCAACTGCAAGGTGGCAGTGAGGCTGGGGGAGGGGCACCGCCTTTGCTGAGGCTTGAGTAGGTAAACAAAGCCTCCAGGAAGCTCGAACTGGCTGGAGCCCACTGCAGCTCAAGGAGGCCTGTCTGCCTCTGTAGACTCCACCTCTGGGGGCAGGGCATAGCTGAGTAAAAGGCAGCAGAAACCTCTGCAGACTTAAATGTCTCTGTCTGACAGCTTTGAAGAGAGTAGTGGTTCTCCCAGAATGGAGTTTGAGATCTGAGAATGGACAGACACTCTCCTCAAGTGGGTCCCTGACCCCCGAGTAGTCTAACTGGGAGGCACACCCCAGTAGGGGCAGACTGACATCTCACATGGCTGGGTATCCCTCTGAGATGACGCTTCCAGAGGAACGAGCAGACAGCAATGTTTACTGTTCAACAATATTCGCTGTTCTGCAGCCTCCACTGCTGATAAACAGGCAAACAGGGTCTGGAGTGGACCTCCAGCAAACTCCAACAGACCTGCAGCTGAGGGTCCTGACTGTTAGAAGGAAAACTAACAAACAGAAAGGACATCCACACCAAAACCCCACCTGTACATCATCACCATCATCAAAGACCAAAGGCAGATAAAACCACAAAGATGGGGAAAACACATAGAAGAAAAGCTGAAAATTCTAAAAATCAGAGTGCCTCTCCCCCTCCAAAGGAACGCAGCTCCTAGCCATCAATGGAACAAAGCTGGATAGAGAATGACTTTGATGAGTTGAGAGAAGAAGGCTTCAGATGATCAAACTTCTCCGAGCTAAAGGAGGAAGTTTGAACCCATCACAAAGAAGCTAAAAACCCTGAAAAAAGATTAGACGAATGGCTAACGAGAATAACCAGTGTAGAGAAGTCCTTAAATGACCTGATGGAGCTGAAAACCATGGCATGAGAACTACATGACACATGCATAAGCTTGAGTAGCCGATTCAATCAACTGGAAGAAAAGGTATCAGTGATTGAAGATCAAATGAATGAAATGAAGTGAGAAGAGAAGTTTAGAGAAAAAAGAATAAAAAGAAATGAACAAAGCCTCCAAGAAATATGGGACTATGTGAAAAGACCAAATCTACGTCTGACTGGTGTACCCGAAAGTGATGGGGAGAATGGAACCAAGTTGGAAAACACTCTGCAGGATATTATCCAGGAGAACTTCCCCAACGTAGCAAGGCAGGCCAACATTCAAATTCAGGAAATACAGAAAACACCACAAAGATACTCCTCGAGAAGAGCAACTCCAAGACACATAATTGTCAGATTCACCAAAGTTGAAATGAAGGAAAAAATGTTAAGGGCAGCCAGAGAGAAAGGTCAGGTTACCCACAAAGGGAAGCCCATCAGACTAAGAGTGGATCTCTCGGCAGAAAACCTACAAGCCAGAAGAGAATGGGGCCAATATTCAACATTCTTAAAGAAAAGAATTTTCAACCCAGAATTCCATATCCAGCCAAACTAAACTTCATAAGTGAAGGAGAAATAAAATCCTTTACAGACAAGCAAATGCTGAGAGATTTTGTCACCACCAGGCCTGCCCTACAAGAGCTCCTGAAGGAAGCACTAAACACGGAAAGGAACACCCGGTACTAGCCACTGCAAAAGCATGCCAAATTGTAAAGACCATCGAGGCTAGGAAGAAACTGCATCAACTAATGAGCAAAATAACCAGCTAACATCATAATGACAGGATCAAATTCACACATAACAATATTAACCTTAAATGTAAATGGGCTAAATGCTCCAATTAAAAGACACAGACTGGAAAATTGGATAGAGTCAAGACCCATCAGCGTGCTGTATTCAGGAGACACATCTCACATACAGAGACACACATAGGCTCAAAATAAAGGGATGGAGGAAGATCTACCAAGCAAACGGAAAACAAAAAAAGGCAGGGGTTGCACTACTAGTCTCTGATAAAACAGACTTTAAACCAGCAAAGATCAACAGAGACAAAGAAGGCCATTACATAATTGTAAAGGGATCAATTCAACAAGAAGAGCTAACTATCCTAAATATATATGCATCCAATACAGGAGCACCCAGATTCATAAAGCAAGTCCTTAGAGACCTACAAAGAGACTTAGACTCCCACACAATAATAACGGGAGACTTTAACACCCCACTGTCAACATTAAACAGATCAACGAGACAGAAAGTTAACAAGGATATCCAGGATTTGAACTCAGCTCTGCACCAAGTGAACCTAATAGACATCTACAGAACTCTCCACCCAAAATCAACAGAATATACATTCTTCTCAGCACCACATCCCACTTATTCCAAAATTGACCACATAGTTGGAAGTAAAGCACCCTCAGCAAATGTAAAAGAACAGAAATTATAACAAACTGTCTCTCAGACCACACTGCAATCAAAGTGGAACTCAGGATTAAGAAACTCACTCAAAACTGCTCAACTACATGGCAACTGAACAATCTGCTCCTGAATGACTACTGGGTACATAACAAAATGAAGGCAGAAATAAAGATGTTCCTTGAAACCAATGAGAACAAACACACAACATACCAGAATATCTGGGACACATACAAAGCAGTGTGTAGAGGGAAATTTATAGCACTAAATGCCCACAAGAGAAAGCAGGAAAGATGTAAAATTGACACCCTGACATCACAATTAAAAGAACTAGAGAAGCAAGAGCAAACAAATTCAAAAACTAGTAGAAGGCAAGAAATAAATAAGATCACAGCAGAACTCAAGGAGATAGAGACACAAAAAACCCTTCAAAAAATCAATGAATCCAGGAGATGGTTTTTTGAAAAAATCAACAAAATTGATAGACTGCTAGCAAGACTAGTAAAGAAGAAAAGAGAGAATCAAATAGACACAATAAAAAATGATAAAGGGGATATCACCACCGATCCCACAGAAATACAAACTACTATCAGAGAATACTATAAACACCTCTACACAAATAAACTAGAAAATCTAGAAGAAACGGATAAATTCCTGGACATATACACCGTCCCAAGACTAAACCAGGAAGAAGTTGAATCCCTGAATACACCAATAACAGGCTCCAAAATTGAAGCAATAATTCATAGCCTACCAACCAAAAAAATTCCAGGTCCAGACAGATTCACAGCCGAGTTCTGCCAGAGGTACAAAGAGGAGCTGGTACTATTCCTTCTGAAACTATTCCAATCAATAGAAAAAGAGGGAATCCTCCATAACTCATTTTATGAGGCCAGCATCATCCTGATACCAAAGCCTGGCAGAGACACACACAAAAAAAGAGAATTTTAGACCAATATCCTTGATGAACATTGATGCAAAAATCGTCAAAAAATTCTGGCAAACTGAAACCAGCAGCACATCAAAACTTATCCACCATGATCAAGTGGGCTTCATCCCTGGGATGCAAGGCTGGTTCAACATATGCAAATCAATAAATGTACTCCAGCATATAAACAACCAAAGACAAAAACCACATGATTATATCAATAGATGAAGAAAAGGCCTTCAAAAAAATTCAACAGCACTTCATGCTAAAAATTCTCAATAAATTATGTATTGATGGGATGTATCTCAAAATAATAAGAGCTATTTATCACAAACTCACAGCCAATATCACACTGAATGGGCAAAAACTGGAAGCATTCCCTTTGAAAACTGGCACAAGACAGGGATGCCCTCTCTCACCACTCCTATTCAACATAGTGTTGGAAGTTCTGGCCAGGGCATTCAGGCAGGAGAAAGAAATAAAGGGTATTCAGTTAGGAAAAGAGGAAGTCAAATTGTCCCTGTTTGCAGATGACATGATTGTATATTTAGAAAACCCCATCATCTCAGCCCCAAATCTCCTTAAGCTGATAGGCAACTTCAGCAAAGTCTCAGGATACAAAATCAATGTGCAAAAATCACAAGCACTCTTATACACCAATAACAGACAAACAGAAAGCCAAATCATGAGTGAACTCCCATTCACAATTGCTTCAAACAGAATAAAATACCTAGGAATCCAACTTACAAGGGATGTCATGGACCTCTTCAAGGAGAACTACAAACCACTGCTCAATGAAATAAAACAGGACACAACCAAATAGAAGAAGATTCCATGCTCATAGAGAGGAAGACTCAATATCATGAAAATGGCCATACTGCCCAAGGTAATTTATAGATTCAATGCCATCCCCATCAAGCTACCAATGCCTTCCTTCACAGAATTGGAAAAAACTACTTTAAAGTTCATATGGAACCAAAAAATAGCCTGCATTGCCAAGACAATCCTAAGCCAAAAGAACAAAGCTGGAGGCATCATGCTACCTGACTTCAAACTATACTACAAGTCTACAGTAACCAAAACAGCATGGTACTGGTACCAAAATAGAGATATAGACCAGTGGAACAGAACAGAGCCCTCAGAAATAATACCACACATCTACAACCATCTGATCTTTGACAAACCTCACCAAAACAAGAAATGGGGAAAGGATTTCCTATTTAATAAATGGTGCTGGGAAAACTGGCTAGCCATATGTAGAAAGGTGAAACTGGATCCCTTCCTTACACCTTATACAAAATATTAATTCTAGTTGGATTAAGGACTTAAATGTTAGACCTAAAACCATAAAAAACCTAGAAGAAAACCTAGGTAATACCATTCAGGACCAAGGCATGGGCAAGGACTTCATGTCTAAAACACCAAAAGCAATGGCAACAAAAGCCAAAATTGACAAATGGGATCTAACTAAACTAAAGAGCTTCTGCAGAGCAAAAGAAACTATCATCAGAGGCCGGGCGCGGTGGCTCACGCCTGTAATCCCAGCACTTTGGGAGGCCAAGGCAGGCGGATCACGAGGTCAGGAGATCAAGACCACAGTGAAACCCCGTCTCTACTAAAAATACAAAAAATTAGCCGGGCGCAGTGGCGGTCGCCTGTAGTCCCAGCTACTCGGGAGGCTGAGGCAGGAGAATGGCGTGAACCCGGAAGGCGGAGCTTGCAGTGAGAGGAGATCGCGCCACTGCAGTCCCGCCTGGGCGACAGAACGAGACTCTGTCTCAAAAAAAAAAAAAAAAAAAAAAAAAAAGAAACTATCATCAGAGTGAACAGGCAACCTATAGAGTGGGAGAAAATTTTTGCAATCTACTCATCTGACAAAGGGCTAATATCCAGAATCTACAAAGAACTCAAACAAACTTACAAGAAAAAAACAAACAACCCCATCAAAAAATGGACAAAGGATATGAACAGACACTTCTCAAAAGAAGACATTTATGCAGCCAACAGACACATGAAAAAATGCTCATCATCACTGGCCATCAGAGAAATGCAAATCAAAACCACAATGAGATATCATCTCACACCAGTTAGAATGGTGATCATTAAAAAGTCAGGGAACAGCAGGTGCTGGAGAGGATATGGAGAAATAGGAACCCTTTTACACTGTTGGTGGGACTGTAAACTAGTTCAACCATTGTGGAAGACAGTGTGGTGATTCCTCAAGGATCTAGAAGTAGAAATACCATTTGACCAAGCCATCCCATTATTGGGTATATACTCAAAGGATTATAAATCATGCTGCTATAAAGACACATGCACACGTATGTTTATTGTGGCACTATTCACGATAGCAAAGACTTGGAACCAACCCAAATGTCCAACAATGATAGACTGGATTAAGAAAATGTGTCACATATACACCATGGGACACTATGCAACCATAAAAAAGGATGAGTTCATGTCCTTTGTAGGGACATAGATGAAGCTGGAAACCACCATTCTCAGCAAACTATCGCAGTCACAAAAAACCAAACACCACATGTTCTCACTCATAGGTGGGAATTGAACAATGAGAACACTTGGACACAGGGTGGCAACACCACACACTGGGGCGTGTCATGGGGTAGGAGAAGTGGGGAGGGATAGCATTAGGAGATACACCTAATGTAAATGACAAGTTAATGGGTGCAGCACACCAACATGGCACATGTATGCATATGCAACAAACCTGCATGTTGTGCACATGTACCCTAAAACTTAAAGTATAATTAAAAAAAAACTAAAAAAAAATGGGGCAAAGACTTTAAGAGACATCTCACTAAAAAAATATGCTGATGGAAAATAAGTACATGACAATATGTTCCACACCATATAACAACAGAGAAATGTAAATAAAAACAACAATGAGATACCACTGCACACCTATTAGAATGGCCAAAATCCAGAACACTAACACCACCAAATATCAGTGCAGACGTGGAGCACCAGGAACTCTCATTCATTGCTGATAAGAATGCAAAATGGTACAATCACTCTGGAAAACAGTTTGGCAGTTTTTACAAAACTAAACATCCTCTTGCCACACAATCCAACAATCATGAAACTTGATATTTATTTATTTAAAGGAGTTGAACATTTATATCCACACAAAAACCTGCACACAAATGTTTACAATTGCTTTACTCATAATTGCTAAAACTTAGAACAACCACGATGAATGGATAGAGTGATACATTCAGACAACAGAATATTATTCTGCACTAAACAGAAATAAACTGTAAAACCATGAAAACACATGAAGGAAACTTAAATGAATATGACTCAGTGAAAGAAGACAATCTGAAAAGGTTACCTACTGTATGATTCTAACTGTATGATATTCTGGGAAAGGCAAAACTATAGACATAGTAAAAAAGATTAGTGGTTTCCAGGGGTTGGGGGGAAGGAAGGAAGAATAAGTGGAATATGGAGGATTTTTATGGCCCCAAAGCAACTCTATATGGTACTATAATATTGAATATATGTTACCATACATTTATCCAAACCCACAGAATGCATAACACCAAGTGTAAATCCTATTGGACTTTGGCTGATAATGATGTGTCTATGTAGGTTTCTCTGTTATAACAAATGTACCACTCTGGTAGGAGACGTTGATAATGGGTGAGGCTATGCATGAGTGAGAGAAAGAGATATAATGGGAACCTCTGTACTCTCTGCCCAGTCTTGCTAATTCCCTCTATTTTCACCAAAGGGAGAGGAAATGACTTAAGTTCAACAAAACAGAAGTTATTTGTTAAGATTTTCATCTTTGAGTAAGTAGAAAACTCTGCTGCTGTACTCCATGGGGCCTCCATCTTGCGGCTTAGCAATAGGTCCTGCCTCCTTAATTCCAGACAATTTTCCAAGCCTGATCCTCTAACAAGCCATTGATTGTCTGAGCTCATGATGATCTTCCAATAAGCTCCCTTTTTCCTTAAGACCATCACAGCCAATTTCTTTCTGGAAATCGAGAACCTTGACTGACTTATCTTTATTGGATGACCATGCCAACGTGCCTTATTTCCTTCTCCCTTCTCCCTAGAGCTTCATTTTCATGAAGATACTAACACAAATTCACATATAATTATATTCTTCCTTTCATTGGTCATTGCTGTTGCATGAGCAAAACTGTAGATTTTTATAACTAGAAAAAATTACATGTATCACTTTGTTTAATACTTTTACTTTAAGGAAAGGAAACTGAAACCCAGAAAGATGTTGAATCCAGTATCCCAGTTTCTACAACCCTCATCTCTTGATTCTCAGTCTACACCATTATGTCTCTTTGCGTCTGTATAGACTCCTTGAGGGAGTCCTAATTAAATAGCTCCAAAATGTCTTTAAGATGTAAGAATAAGATTACCTAATTTACCTTTCATTTTATCTGGGGTGGTAAGTAAAATGACTTCCACAGTGAAAACATTTTTCTCCTTTAAATGTAATGCACTTTGTCCTTTGTTGTTGTTTGTTTTTTGTTGGTTTGTTTTATTTACTTTTTTGTTTTGTTTTGAGACGGAGTCTCGCTGTGTTGCCAGGCAGGAGTGCTGTGGCGCGATCTCGGCTCACTGCAACCTCCGACTCCCTGGTTCAAGCGATTCTCCTGCCTCAGCCTCCTGAGTAGCTGGAATTACAGGCACACACCACCACGCCTGGCTAATTTTTGTATTTTTAGTAGACACAGAGTTTCATCGTGTTGGCAAGGATGGTCTCGATCTTCTGACCTGGTGATCCACCCATCTCGGCTTCCCAAAGTGCTGGGATTACATGCTTGAGCCACCACGCCTGGCCTGCACTTACTTCTTTTGAAAAATTTTTCAAATGCAAAACAATACTGAGAAATGAACAATTAATAATATTTCCACCACTCAGAGTTAATAACTACTATCCCATTGTAGTATTTACTTGTAATCTTTTTATTTTTAAAACATAGAAAAAGGCACATAAAAATTAAAACTTCCTTTAAGAACTACCCCCTTTCCTATTGCACTCATTTACTGCCAAGGGGAAACTATTGTGTATAACTTTCTAGTTCATTTTCTATACAAACATATTCTATCTATAACAAATATTTAACATTGTGTTATTACATGTTTTAAATGTACATAAAACATGGTGTTTTGCATTTTATGACTTCACTCAGTGTTTTGCATTTGAGGTATACCCATGTTGATATAGCTCTACTCCATTCTCTTTAGTTGCTAAATTTTATCTTACCCTAGAAATAAGGTTTCTTTTTATTATTATTATAATACTTTAAGTTCTAGTGTACATGTGCATAACGTGCAGGTTTGTTACATAGGTATACATGTGCCATGTTGGTTTGCTGCACCCATCAACTCATCATTTACATTAGGTATTTCTCTTATGCTATCCCTCCCCCAGCCCCCTAGCCCCCGACAGGCCCTGCTGTGTGATGTTCCCCGCCCTGTGTCCATGTGTTTTCATTGTTCAACTCCCACCTATGAGTGAGAACATGTGGTGTTTGGTTTTCTGTCCTTGTGATAGTTTGCTGAGAATGATGGTTTCCAGCTTCATCCATGTCCCTGCAAAGGACATGAACTCATTCATTAATATGCCTGCATAGTATTCCATGGTGTATATGTGCCACATTTTCTTAATCCAGTCTATCATTGATGGACATTTGGGTTGGTTCCAAGTCTGTGCTATTGTGAATAGTGCTGTAATAAACGTACATGTGCATGTGTCTTTATAGAAGCATGATTTATAATCCTTTGAGTATATACTCAGTAATGGGATTGCTGGGTCAAATGGTATTTCTAGTTCTAGATCCCTGAGGAATCGCCACACTACGTTCCACAATGGTTGAACTAATTTACACTCCCACCAACAGTGTAAAAGTGTTCCTATTTCTCCACATCCTCTCCAGTATCTGTTGTTTTGTGACTTTTTAATGATCACCATTCTAACTGACATTTTCTTTGTGGTTTTGATTTGCATTTCTCTGATGAGCAGTAATGATGAGCATTTTTTCTTATGTCTGTTGGCTGCATAAATGTCTTCTTTTGAGAAGGTCTGTTCATATCCTTTGCCCAATTTTTGATGGGGTTGTTTGTTTATTTCTTGTAAATTTGTTTAAGTTCTTTGTAGATTCTGTATACTAGCCCTTTGTCAGATGGGTAGATTGCAAAGATTTTCTCCCATTCTGTAGGTTACCTGTTCACTCTGATGACAGTTTCTTTTGCTGTGCAGAAGCTCTTTAGTTTAATTAGATCCCATTTGTCGATTGTAGCTTTTGTTGCCATTGCTTTTGGTGTTTTATTCATGAAGACTTTGCCCATGCCTAGGTCCTGAATGGTATTGCCTAGGTTTTCTTCTAGGGTTTTTATGGTGTTAGGTCTTATATTTAAGTCTTTAATCCATCTTGAGTTAATTTTTGTATAAGGTGTAAGGAAGGGATCCAGTTTCAGCTTTCTACATATGGCTAGCCAGTTTTCCCAGCACCATTTATTAAATAGGAAATCCTTTCCCCATTACTTGTTTTTGTCAGGTTTGTCAAAGATCAGATGGTTGTAGATGTGTGGTGTTATTTCTGAGGCCTCTGTTCTGTTCCATTGGTCAATCTCTGTTTTGGTACCAGTACCATGCTGTTTTGGTTACTGTAGCCTTATAGTATAGTTTGAGGTCAGGTAGCTTGATGCATACAGCTTTGTTCTTTTTGCCTAGGATTGTCTTGGCTATGTGGGCTCTTTTTTGGTTCCAAGGGAACTTTAAAGGAGTTTTTTCCAATTCTGTGAAAAAGGTCAGTGGCAGCTTGATGGGGATAACATTGAATGTATAAATTACCTTGGGCAGTATGGGCATTTTTGTGATATTGAGTCTTCCTATCCATGAGCATGGAATGTTCTTCCATTTGTTTGTGTCCTGTTTTATTTCATTGAGCAGTGGTTTGTAGTTCTCCTTGAAGAGGTCCTTGACATCCCTTTTAAGTTGGATTCCTAGGTATTTTATTCTCTTTGAAGCAATTGTGAATGGGAGTTCACTCATGATTTGGCTCTCTGTCCCTTATTGGTGTATAGGAATGCTTGTGATTTTTGCACATTGATTTTGTATGCTGAGAGTTTGCTGAAGTTGCTTATCAGCTTAAGGAGACTTTGGGCTGAGATGATGGGGTTTTCTAAATATACAATCATTTCAACTGAAAACAGAAACAACTTGACTTACTCTTTTCCTAATTGAATACCCGTTATTTCTTCCTCTTGCCTGATTGCCCTGGCCAGAACTTCCAACACTATGTTGAATAGGAGTGGTGAGAGAGGGCATCCTTGTCTTGTGCTGGTTTTCAAAGGGAATGCTTCCAGGTTTTGCCCATTCAGTATGATATTGGCTGTGGGTTTGTCATAAATAGCTCTTATTATTTTGATATATGCTCCATGAACACCTAGTTTATTGAGAATTTTTAGCATGAAGTGCTGTTGAATTTTTTTGAAGGCCTTTTCTGCATCTATTGATATAATCATGTGGTTTTTATCTTTGGTTCTGTTTATATGATGGATTATGTTTATTGGTTTGCATAGGTTGAACCAGTCTTGCATCCCAGGGATGAAACTGACTTGATCATGGTGGATAAGCTTTTTGATGTGCTGCTGGATTCGATTTGCCAGTATTTTATCGAGGACTTTCGCATCGATGTTCATCACGGATATTGGCCTAAAATTCTCTTTTTGTTGTGTCTCTACCAGGCTCTGGTATCAGGATGATGCTAGCCTCATAAAATGAATTAGGGAGGAGTCTCTCTTTTTCTATTTATTGAAATAGTTTCAGAAGGAATGGTACCAGCTCCTCTTTGTACCTCTGGTAGAATTTGGCTGTGAATTCCTCTGGTCCTGGACTTTTTTTGTTGGTAGGCTATCAATTTTTGCCTTAACTTCAGATCGTGTTATTGGTCTATTCTGAGATTCAACTTCTTCCTGGTTTAGTCTTGGGAGGGTGTATGTGTCCAGGAATTTATCCATTTCTTCTAGATTTTCTAGTTTATTTGCATAGAGGTGTTTATAGTATTCTCTGATGGTAGTTTGTATTTCTGTGGGATCGGTGGTGATATCCCCTTTATCATTTTTTATTGTGTTTATTTGATTCTTCTCTCTTTTCTTCTTTATTAGTCTTGCTAGTGGTCTATTTCGTTGATCTTCTCAAAAAACCAGGTCCTGGATTCACTGATCATTTTGAAAGTTTTTTCGTGTCTCTATCTCCTTGAGTTCTGCTCTGATCTTAGTTATTTCTTGCCTTCTGCTAGTTTTTGAATTTGTTTGCTCTTGCTTCTCTAGTTCTTTTAATTGTGATGTTAGGGTGTCGATTTTAGATATTTTCTGCTTTCTCTTGTGGGCATTTAGTGCTATACATTTCCCTCTACACATTGCTTTAAATGTGTCCCAGAGATTCTGGTACTTTCTGTCTTTCTTCTCATTGGTTTCAAGGAACGTCTTTATTTCTGCCTTTATTTCGTTATTTACCCAGTAGTCATTCAGGAGCACGTTGTTCAGTTTTCATGTACTTGTGCAGTTTTGAGTGAGTTTCCTCATCCCGAGTTCTAATTTGATTGCACTGTGGTCTGAGAGAGAGTTTGTTGTGATTTCTGTTCTTTTACATTTGCTGAGGAGTGTTTTACTACTAATCATGTGGTCAATTTTAGAATAAGTTCGATGTGGTGCTGAGAAGAATTTATATTCTGTTGATTTGGGGTGGAGAGTTCTGTAGATGTCTATTAGTTCTGCTTGGTCCACAGCTGAGTTCAAGTCCTGGATATTGTTGTTAATTTTCGGTCTCATTGATCTGTCTAATATTGACGTTGTGGTGTTAAAGTCTCCCATTATTATTGTGTGGGAGTCTAAGTATCTTTGTCGGTCTCTAAGAACTTGTTTTATGAATCTGGGTTCTCCTGAATTAGGTGCGTATATATTTAGGATAGTTAGCTCTTCTTGTTGAATTGATCCCTTTACCATTATGTAGAGGCCTTCTTTGTCTCTTTTGATCTTTGCTGGTTTAAAGTCTGTTTTATCAGAGACTAGGATTGCAACACCCCCTCCCTCTTTTTTTTGCTTTCCATTTCCTTGGTAAATATTCTGCCATCTCTTTATTTTGAGCCTATGTATGTCTTTGCATGTGAGATGGGTCTCCTGAATACAGAACACCTGTGGGTCTTGACTCTTTATCTTATTTGCCAGTCTGTGTCTTTTAATTGGGGGCATTTAGTCCATTTCCATTTAAGGTTAATATTGTTGTGTTTGAATTTGATCCTGTCATTTTGATTTTAGCTGGTTATTTTGCGCATTAGTTGATGCAGTTTCTTCATAGCATCGATGGTCGTTACCACTTGGCATGTTTTTGCAGTGGCTGGTACCAGTTGTTTGTTCCTTTCCATGTTTAGTGCTTCCGTCAGGAGCTCCGGTAATGCAGGCCTGGTGGTGGCAAAATCTCTCAGCATTTGCTTGTCTGTAAAGGATTTTATTTCTCCTTCACTTATAAAGCTTTGTTTGGCTGGATATGAGATTCTGGGATGAAAATTCTTCTCTTGAAAAATGTTGAATATCAGCCTCCACTCTCTTCTGGCTTGTAGGGTTTCTGCCAAGAGATCCGCTGTTAGTCTGATGGGCTTCCCTTTGTGGGTAACCCAACCTTTCTCTCTGGGTGCCCTTAACATTTTTCCTTCATTTCAACCTTGTTGAATCTGACAATTATGTGTCTTGAGGTTGCTCTTCTTGAGGAGTATCTTTGTGGTGTTCTCTGTATTTCCTGAATTTGAATGTTGGCCTCCCTTGCTAGGTTAGGGAAGTTCTCCTGGATAATATCCTGAGAAGTGTTTTCTAACTTGGTTCCATTCTCCCCATCACTTTCAGATACACAAATCAAATGGATATTTGGTCTTTTCCCATAGTCCCATATCTTTTGGAGGCTTTGTTCATTACTTTTCACTCTTTTTTCTCTACTCCTGTCTTCTCACTTTATTTCATTAATTTTATTTTCAATCACCGATATCCTTTCTTCCACTTGATCGAATCAGCTATTGAAGCTTGTGCATGCATCATGAAGTTCTCATGCCGTGGTTTTCAGCTCCATCAGGTCATTTAAGGTCTTCTCTACACTGTTTATTCTAGTTAGCCATTCATCTAACCTTTTTTCAAGGTTTTTAGCTTGCTTGCAATGGGTTAGAACATGCTCCTTTAGCTTGGAGAAGTTTGTTATTACCGACCTTCTGAAGCCTACTTCTGTCAACTCATCAAACTCGTTCTCTGTCCAGTTTTGTTCCCTTACTGGTGAGGAGCTGCAATCCTTTGGAGGAGAAGAGGTGCTCTGTTTTTTGGAATTTCCAGCTTTTCTGCTCTTGTTTCTCCCCATCTTTGTAGTTTTATCTACCTTTGGTCTTTGATGTTGATGGCCTACAGATGGGGTTTTGGTGTGGATGTCCTTTTTGTTGATGTTGATGCTATTCCTTTCTGTTTGTTACTTTTCCTTCTAAGAGTCAGACCTTTCAGCTGCAGGTCTGTTGGAGTTTGCTGGAGGTCCACTCCAGACCCTGTTTGCCGGGCTATCACTTGTGGAGGTTGCAGAACAGCAAATATTGCTGCCTGATCCTTCCTCTGTCAGCTTAATCCCAGAGGGGCACCTGCCTGTTTGAGATGTCTGTCAGCCCCTACTGGAGGTGTTTCCCAGTCAGGCCACATGGAGGTCAGGGACCCTCTTGAGCAGGCAGTCTGTCCATTCTCGGAGCTCATATGCCACACTAAGAGAACCAGTGCTCTCCTCAAAGCTGTGAGACAGGGACATTTAAGTCTGCAGAAGCTATTTGCTACCTTTTGTTCTACTATGCCCTGACCCTAGAGATGGAATCTATAGAGGCAGTAGGCCTTGCTGAGCTGCAATGGGCTCCATCCAATTCATGCTTCCTGGCCTCTTTGTTGACACTGTGAGCTACTCAAGCCTCAGCAATGGTGGGTGTTCCTCCCCCAGTCAAGCTGCAGAGTTGCAGGTCAATCTCAGACTGCTGCGCTAGCAGTGAGCAAGGCTTTGTGGGCATGGGACCCACTGAGCCAGGCACGGGAGGGTACGTTCTGGTCTGCCAGTTGCTAAGACTGTGGGAAAAGTGCAGTATTTGGTCAGGAGTGTACTGATTCTCTAGGTACAGTCCGTCACAGCTTCCCTTGGCTAGGAAAGGGTAATCCCCTGACCCCTTGCATTTCCCAGGTGAGGCGATGCCTTACCCTGCTTCGGCTCAACCTCCATGGGCTGCACCCACTGTCCAACCAGTCCCAATGAGATGAACCAGGTACCTCAGATGGAAATGCAGAAATCACCCATCTTCTGCATCAGTCTCGGTGGGAGCTGCAGACCAGAGCTGTTCCTATTTGGCCATCTTGACTTTCATTTCAAAATAAGGTTTCTTATGAGTAAAGGTTTTGTGCTAAGGCTTTATTAGGAAGTGATATCCCAAGGCAGCAAGAGCAAGAAATAAAAGGAAAGCAAAAGAGAGAAGAAGAGAGTAGGAAAGAAGAAAAGATTGTTTGCTAGCCTTTTTCAACATCTTATTTTTTATTGATATATGTTTGTCCTTGGTGGTATTAATCCCTTTGTTTCCTGTACAAAGGTTTCCAAGTTTTGTCATCTGGACTATCCAGCAGCTACTGGGGATGCCAGGTCCCATACCTCATTGTGTTACAATTTATCTGAATCTGAAACTGGTGGCAGAAGCCAGAGACTCCATAGATCCAGCTGGATGAGGCCTGGGAATTGAAGCCACTGCAGTTCCTGGCTCAGCAGGTGCAATGGAGATTGTGTCATGCAAACAGGTTCTCCAGTGAGCAAACAGTTAAATGCCCAGCAGGCAGCTAAAAGCAAGGTACATTTAATGAAATGCATAATTAAGGCCTTATACATATTCCATCATATGATAAGATTATATTTGTTTATACATCCTTCCACTGATGGACATTTATGTTGCTTCCATTTGTTTACCATTGCAGAATATGCTGAAAAATAAACATTTATGTAAAATGTAGAATAAGCAAATCACCAGAGACAGAAAGTGGATTAGTTTGTCTAGAGCTGGGGGTGTGTACTGGAAATTATAGAGCTTATGAATAAATCATGCAGTGTTTCTTTTTGGGGTGAAAAAATATTCTAAAATTGATTTTAACAATAGTTACACAACTCTGAGAATATACTAACAGCCATCATATTGTACATTTTAAGTGGGTGAATTATATGGTATGTGAATTATATCACATTTTAAAATGATTATTAATTATCATTCTTATTTGAATCTTCCTGATTATTAGTGACATTAAACATCTTTTTGTACATGTATGGAGAATCGTACTTCTTCTGTGAGTAGCTTGTTCTTGCTCTTGACCGTTTATCATAATAATTATTATTATTCTCTATTTGGAGGAGTTAAAAGAAATATACTCTCTGGGACAACTGGATACCCACATGCAAAAGAAAAAAGTTGTACCTTTATCTCATAACATATAGAAAAGAACTGAGAATATACTAAAGATCTAAATGGAAGAGCAAAAAATATACAATTCTTAGGAAAAAACATAGGGGTAAATCTTTAAATGATTGGCAATGGTTTTGTAGATATAACATCGAAAGTACAAACAACAAATAGAGAATCCAGAAATAAATCCATACATCTGTAGTGAACTCATTTTTTACAAAGGTGCCAAGAACATACATTGAGGAAAAGACAGTTTCTTCAACAAATGGTGCTGTGAACACTGGATATTCCTATGAAGAAGAATGAAGCTTGATTCTTATCTCTCATCATATAGAAAAACAAAGTCAAAATTGATTAAGACTTAAATCTAAGACATGAAACTACGAGAAGAAATCCTTGGGGGAACTGTCCAGGACATTAGTCTGGGCAAAGATTTATTGAGTAATGCCCTACAAGCATAGGCAACAAAAGAAAAAAAATGTACAAATGGCATCACATCACATTAAAAAGCTTCTGCACAACAAAAGAAAAAAATCAACAAAATGAAGAGACAATTTGAATATATAAGTTTTAGCTCCTTATATATTCTGATTATTAATCCCTTGTCAAATCAATAGTTTATGATCATTTTCTCCCAAATGGGAGAAAAAAATCTAATAATACAATTTAAAAATAGGCAAATATTTTTCAAAAGAAGATGTCCAAATGGCAAACAGGTATACAAAAAGTTGCTCAACATCATTGATCATCAGACAAATGCAAATCAAAACTACAATGAGATATCATCTCACCCCAGTTAAAATGGCTTATTTCCAAAAGACAGGCAATAACAAATGCTGGCAAAGATGTGGAGAAAGGGAAAACCTCATATACTATTGTGGGTACATAAATCAGTACAACCACTGGGGAGAACAGTATGAAGGTTTTTCAAAAAACTAAAATTAGAATGATCATATGATTCAGCAATACCACTGTTAGGTATATACCCAAAAGAAAGAAAATCAATGTATCAAAGACATGTGTATCCCCGTGTTTATTCCAGCACTATTCACAATAGCCAAGATTTGGAATCAGCCTAAGTATCCATCAACAGACAAAAGAATAAAGAAAATATGGTACATATATACAATGGAGTACTATTAAGCCATAAAAAAGAATGAGATCCTGCCATTTGTAATAGGATGCACAGAACTAAAGGAAATTATGTTGACAGAAATAAGTGAGGCACAGAAAGACAAACTTAGCATGTTCTCACCCATTTTGGAAAGCTAAAAATTAAAACAATTGAACTCATGGAGATAGAGAGTAGAATGATGGTTACCAAAGGCTAAGAAGGATAGTAGGGAGGCAAGTGGGGACTGTTAATGGGTACAAAAATATACTTAGAGGGAATTAATAAAATCTAATATTTGATAGCACAACAGATGACTATAATTAACAATTTGTTGTACATTTTAAAATAACTAAAAGAGTACAATTAGAATGTTTGTAACACAAAGAAAGGATAAATTCTTGCAGTGATTGATACCCCATTTACCACAATGTGATGATTACATATTGAATGCTTGTATCAAAATATCTCATGTACTCCATAATTATATACAGCTACTTTGTACCCATACATTTTTAAAGTATAAGCAAAATAAAAAATAGACAAATTGGACTTTATTTAAATTAAAAATATTTGTGAATCAAAGGACACTATCAGGAAAGTGAAAACAACATGCAAAATTAGATAAAGTATTTGTAAATCATATATCTGATAAAAGTATAATATTTAGAATATGAAAAGAACTCTCATAACTCAATAGCAAAAAGATAAATGACCCAATTAAAAAATAGGCAAAGGGTTTGAATAGATGTTTCTCCAAAGAAGATACGCAAATGGCCAACAAGCACATGAAAAGGTGCTCAATATCTTTAATCATTAAGGAAATGTAAACCAAAATCACCACAAGATACCACTTCACACCTACAATAATGACTAAAATAAAAACAACAGAAAATAACAAGATTGACAAGGATGTGGAGATATTGGAACCCCCTTACATTGCTGGTTAGAATATAAAATGTTTGTAACTGTTCTGCAAATAATTTGGTCATTCCTCAAAGTGTAACATGGAATTACCATTCTATCCAGTCATTCCATTCCTAGGTTTAAACTCAAAATAATAGAAAACATATGTTCAAATAAAAACATGTATACAACTGGTCATACAGCAATATGAAGAGATGGTGGAGCCCGATGGCAACATAGATCTTTCAAGAGATTATCTGCCCACAAAAATATCAGTTTGAACAACAAAAAAAGTACTTTCAAAGGTACAGAAGAAACTAAGTGAAAGATCACAATACTTGAGTATAGCACAGAAATAAGAAAAGATTCATTGGAGATGATAGGAAGGAATTTTACATTACCCGCATCACCCCTCCCCCAACTTCAGGCAGCATAGCATGGAGAGAGATAACATTTGCTTGGAATAAATACAGGGAAATGAGCAAAGGACTTTGCCTTGCACCCCAATACTGAGTCTGCATAGTAAAACCCAGCACTGGACAGGCTTCTACAGCTTCAGACTTGATAGAAGAACCTGTGGACTGAGCCGTCAGACCTTTTCTAATTCCAGGAAGTACCCCACAGCCCCATACTTCAGACCTACACAGTGGACTTGATCTCCTGCTCACACCACGGCTATGTCAACGTCAGTCTCCTTGGGCTCTAGACAGGCCTCAGCAACAGGCCAGCCCCAATATCCCCAGGCTTCAGATCTGCCTCAGGACTGCACTGACACCAACAGCAATAAGCTTTAGGCCCACTGCCGAACCTCACCAGCCCTTCATGCCCTAGGCTTCAAGCCCTCCTCAGCACCATGAAGCCCCAACAGAAACAGTCTTTAGGCTGAGTTCCAGGGATACAGACTTCAGGCCAATTCCAGGAAACCAAATCAACAGGCCAACCAAAGTGGATCCAGGATCCAGGCCCTCCCACCTGCTGATCCAAGCATGAGGTAATCCAGCCCAAAGAATCCAGTGGCAAGCCCACCCATGGACCATACCAGACAGCCTTCCCAGAATACCTAGACAAGCTGACTGTTGAGGGGCTTTCCCAGACAATGCCAGTCTGCAAAGACTGGAATAAGTATATGCTTCTTCATATGTTTACACACCAATGCAGGGCCACAAGGGTCAAGAACTATCAGGGAAATATCACCAAAAGGACAAAATAAAATACCAATGACCAGCCCTAAATAAATTGAGATGTATAAACTGCATGATAAAAAATTTAAAATAACTTGTTTAAGGAAGCCCTACAAACTTCAATAAAGTACAGATAAATGATTCAATGAAATGATAAAGACAATGTATTACCAGAATTAGGAAGTTAACAGAGATTGAAATAATAAAAAATTGGATATTCTCAAGTTTAAAATACAATGAACAAAATGAATAATGCAAGAGAGAGCACTGACAGCAGGACTGATCAAGCAGAAGAAATAATCTGTGAACTCAGACAGGTTATTTGAAAATATATAGTAAGAGAAGAAAAAAGAAATGAAAAGGAATGGAGAATAAAAGAGTTATAAGACTGCATGAAAAGACCAAATTTTTGAGTCATAGGAGTTTAAGAAGGAGAAGAGAAAGATAAAGGGGTAGAAAAATTGCTTAATGAAATAATAGCAAAAACTTTTCAAATCTGTAGAATGATATAAATATCCAGATACAGGAAGGTCAATGGTCTTTAATCAGTCAATTCAAACAAAACTACTCCAAGACATATTGTAATCAAACCCTCAAAAATCAAAGACAAGATCCTGAAATCAACAAGAGCAAAGAAGCATATCACATATAAGGGAGTTCCAACAGGCTAACAGTAGTTTTCTCAGCAGAAACTTTAATAAGCCAGGAGAGAATGGGATGATATATTCAAAGTGCTGAGGGGGAAAAAAAAAAAAAAAAAAAAATCTGTCAAACAAGAATACTTTACCCAGCAACACTGTCCTTCGGATATCGAGGAGCATTAAAGATGTCTTCAGACAAAGAAAAGCTGAGGGAGGTTGTCCTCACCAGGCTTGTCTTAGAAGAAATGCTAAAGGGATATTTTTTAAGCCGAGTTATATTCCATTGCTGTCAGAGAAGATGCTTCATATTATTTCAATTTTTTGAACATTTCAAGACTTGTTTTGTGACTGAACATTTGGTGTATCCTTGAGAATTATCCACGTGCTGAGGGAAACAATGTGTATTCTCCAGCTCTTGAATGAAATGTTCTGTAAATATCTATTAACTCCATTTGGTCTAGACTGCATAATAAGTGTAATGTTTCTTTGTTGATTTTCTGCCTGGAAGATCTGTGGAATGCTGAAGGTGGAATATTGAGGTCTCCAGTTATTATCATATTGGGGCCTATCTTTCTCTTTAACTCTAATAATATTTCCTTTGTACATCTATTTCCTCCAATGTTGAGTGCATATATATTTAAAACTGTTATATACTCTTGCTGAGCTGACCCCTTTATTATTATATAGTGACGTTTGTCTTCTTATAGTTTTTGTCTTGAAATCTATTTTATCTAATATAAGTATAGTGCCTCCTGCTCTTTTTTGTCTTCCATTTTCATGGATTTTTTTTTTGTATCCCTCTGTTTCTAGTCTATGTGTGTCTTTATAGGTGAAGTGTCTTTCTTGTGGGCAACAAATCAATGAGCTTGTTTTTTCACCCCTCAGCCAGTCTGTCTTTTGATAGGAGAGTTTATTTCACTTACATTTGATGTATTATTGATATATAAGCACTTACTCCTGCCGTTCTTCATTTGTTTTCTCTTGTTTTGTGGACTTTTCCTCTTTGCTTTTTTCATTCCTGTCTTCTTCTAGTGAAGATTATTTTCTCTGGGGATATGATGTAGTTTTCTGCTTTTTATTTTTTATGTATCTATTTTATGTTTGCATGTTTGATGTTGCCATGAGGATTGCAAATGCTATCTTATAATCCATTATTTTAACCTGATAACAACTTAACACTATGCATAAACAAACAGAAAACTAATAAAAGCTTCCTTAACTTTGTCCTCTCACTTTTAAACTTTTTATTGTGTCTATTTATATCTTTTTGTACTGATTATGTCTTGAAAAGTTGTTGTAGTTACTATTCTTGATTGTTTTTATCATTTCTACTTAGGATAAGAGCAGTTTACACACAGTTACAGTGTTATACTATTCTGTGATTTTCTGTGTACTCACTGTTACCAGGAAGTTTTGTACCTTCAGGTGATTATTGTCCATTAATGTCTTTTTCTTTCTGATTGAAGTACTCCCTTTAGCATTTCTTGTAGAACACGTTTGGTGTTGATGAAACCCCTCAGCTTTTGTTTGTCTGGGATAGTCTTTATTTCTCCCTCATATTTGAAGGATATTTTCAATGGATATACTATTCTAAGGTAAAAGGTATTTTCCTTCAGCCCTTTAAATATGTCATGTCACTCTCTCCTGGCCTGTAAGGTTCCCACTATGTCATATCACCCTCTTCTGGCCTGTAAGGTTCCCACTGAAAACTTTGCTGCCGGACATATTGGAGCTCCATTGTACATTATTTGTTTATTTTCTCTTGCTGCTTTTAGAACCTTTTCTTTATCCTTGACTTTGTGAGTCTGATTATTAAATGCCTTGAGGTAGTCATCTTTGTTAAATCTGCTTGGTGTTCTATAACCTTTTTGTACTTGGATATTGATATCTTTCTCTAGGTTTAGGAAGTCCTCTGTTATTATCCCTTTGAATAAGCTTTCTACCCACATCTCTTCTGTACTTCCTCTTTAAGGCCAATTACTCTTAGATTTGCCATTTTGATACTATTTTCTAGGTCCTGTAGGTGGGCTTCATGGTTTTGTTTTTTCTGTTGTCTCCTTTGACTGTGTATTTTCAAATAGCCTGCATTCAAGCTCACCAATCCTTTATTATGCTTGATCAATTCTGCTATTGAAGGACTTACTGTTATTAAAGCCTCACCCTGTAGCCACAGTCACTCTTGGCCAAGAGGAGTATAGCCAGACTACCACCAATGTTCCCCTAACGCCCAAGGTTTCTTAAGTCAGCTTGTGGTGAATGCTGCCTCACCTGGGACTCACCCTTCAGGGCAATGGGCTCCCCTCTGGCCCAGGGCAGGTCCAAAAATGCCATCTAAGAGTCAAGTTTTGGAATTGGAGACCCCAAGAGCCCACTTGTTGCTCTATCCCCCTGTGGTGTTGTTGGTACCTGAAGCCAACATGCCTCAGAGGCTCACCCGAGGCCCTCAACATTATACTTGAGTATTGCTTTGCTGGTTTTCCAGGGACCAAGAGCTCTTCAGTTATCAGGGGATCAATACTGCCAGAACGTGGCCCTTCCCTTCGTGGCAACAGGTTCCCTTCTGTCCCAGGGTATGTCTAGAAACATCTGGGAGCTAGGTTCTGGAACAGGGGCCTCATGACTCTGACCAGTGCCCTAGCCCTACCCTGCTGTGGCTAAGCTGGTATCCAAGATGCAAGACAAAGTCCTCCCCACGATTTCCTCTCCTCTCCTCAAGGAAAGAAGGGTATCTTTTGGAGTCACAAGCTGTGCAGCCTGAGGTTAGGGGAGAGATTACATCAGCATTCCCTTGGCTGCCCCAGCTGGTGTCTCAGTATGTACCCCCTCACTCCCCCTACCCCAGTTTACAGTCTCTGGGTCTAGTTCATTTCATCCCTAGGACTCGTCTAAGTGTTGCAGTCTTTATGGCCTAGAATGCCTTTCAAGTTTACTTAGAGACCAAAAGCACTTTGGCCCTCCATGGTGAGGTTTGTGGGCACTCAAGTTTGGACAACTGGGATTGGCAATTCTCCTCTGTCTAAGGCCAGTCTAAATGGTCCCTCTGTGGGTGGACATCAGGTGAGTTTGACTTGGTTTTCCTTTCTGCTGTAGCAGTATGGCACTGAGTTCAATGACTCGCAATTGTTGTGTTCTCCCTCCCCCAGTGCCCAGAGATGTTCTCCACACAATGCTGTAGCTTGTGGGTATGGGGGATGGGTGGCATTGGCTATTCAGGACTGTTTTTTTTGGTCTCTTCAGTGGCCCTTTCAATCACATGAAGTTAGAACTAGGTATTTTAAGTCCTCACCTGATTTTTGGCTCTTACAAAGGCATCTTTTTCTGTGTAGTTCGGTATTAACTTGGTGTCCTTGTGAGGGGGATGATCAGTGGAGCTTTATATTTTTCCATCTTGTTCCACATCACTTCCATCTACAATAATTTTTAACATACACACAATATAAAAATACATGAAATTTGACATAAAAAATCCAAAATACTTGTGTTGGGGAGTGAAGTAATACTGTGGATGATATTTTTGTTATACAAATTAACTATAAAAGTTAAGTTGTTATCTTAAAATAACCTGTTATAACTATAAGATGACATGTAAGCTTTATGGTAACCACAAAAAAGTCTTAGAGTACATACAGAAAAAAATTAAAGTAGAGACCAAAACATACAACTAGAGAAAAATCACTTAACCACAACGGAAGGCAGCAAAGAAGGAAGAAATAAACAAAGGATCTACAAAGCAATTAGAAAACAATTAATAAAATGGCAGAAATAAGTTCTTACCTATTAATAATTACCCTGAATATAATAGATTAAACTCTGCAATCAAAATATGTAGAGTGGCTGAATGAATAAATAAGACCCAATGACATGCTACCTACAAGACATTCATATTACCTGTAAAGACACACTTAAAGTGAATGGACAGCAAAATACATTCCATGCAAATAGAAACCAAAAGGACACAAGAATAGCTAAACTTATATAAAATAATTGTAAGAAAAGACAATAAAAGTCATTACAGAATGATAACGGTGTTCCTTCAGCAAGAAGATATGAAAATATATAAATATATATGCACCCAACATCAAAAAACCTAAATATATAAAGCAAATATTATTGTGTTGGAAGGGAGAGATAGACAGAGATATAATAATAGTAGGGAACTTCAACACCCCACTTTCAATAATAGAATGATCATCCAGACAGAACATCAATAAGATAAATGAAATAAGACAGGGTCCAGTGATATACCCACATATAGATATTAAATAAAATTACCAAGGAAATTCAATGGAAAATGGACAGTCTTTTCAACAAGTGGTGCTAGAACAACTGGATATACATAAGGAAAACTATCATTTACATTTCAGCCAGGATTTCAAATTAATTCACATAAAGTTATATGTAGTATTGTTTTATAATTTCATAACTTCATCTGGATTTGCAGTTTTTCTTTTGATTTGTGATTTACTTATTTATACCTTCTCTTTTACTTTCCTTGACCATGCATATTGAAATTTAGTTTCATTTAGAATTTAATAAATGGTGCTGGGAAAACTGGCTAGCCATATGTAGAAAGCTGAAACTGGATCCCTTCCTTACACCTTATACAAAAATCAATTCAAGATGGATTAAAGACTTAAACGTTAGACCTAAAACCATAAAAACCCTAGAAGAAAACCTAGGCATTACCATTCAGGACACAGGCATGGGCAAGGACTTCATGTCTAAAACACCAAAAGCAATGGCAACAAAAGCCAAAATTGACAAATGGGATCTAATTAAACTAAAGAGCTTCTGCACAGCAAAAGAAATGACCATCAGAGTGAACAGGCAACCTACAGAATGGGAGAAAATTTTTGCAACCTACTCATCTGACAAAGGGCTAATATCCAGAATCTACAATGAACTCAAACAAATTTACAAGAAAAAAACAAACAACCCCATCAAAAAGTGGGGGAAGGACATGAACAGACACTTCTCAAAAGAAGACATTTATGCAGCCAAAAAACACATGAAAATCACCATCACTGGCCATCAGAGAAATGCAAATCAAAACCACAGTGAGATACCATCTCACACCAGTTAGAATGGCAATCATTAAAAAGTCAGGAAACAACAGGTGCTGGAGAGGATGTGGAGAAATAGGAACACTTTTACACTGTTGGTGGGACTGTAAACTAGTTCAACCATTGTGGAAGTCAGTGTGGCGATTCCTCAGGGATCTAGAACTAGAAATACCATTTGACCCAGCCATCCCATTACTGGGTATATACCCAAAGGACTATAAATCATGCTGCTATAAAGACACATGCACACGTATGTTTATTGCAGCATTATTCACAATAGCAAAGACTTGGAACTAACCCAAATGTCCAACAATGATAGACTGGATTAAGAAAATGTGGCACATATACACCATGGAATACTATGCAGCCATAAAAAATGATGAGTTCATGTCCTTTGTAGGGACATGGATGAAATTGGAAATCATCATTCTCAGTAAACTATCGCAAGAACAAAAAACCAAACACCGCATATTCTCACTCATAGGTGGGAATTGAACAATGAGAACACGTGGACACAGGAAGGGGAACATCACACTCTGGGGACTGTTGTGGGGTGGGGGTAAGGGGGGAGGGATAGCATTGGGAGATATACCTAACGCTAGATGACGAGTTAGTGGGTGCAGCGCACCAGCATGGCACATGTATACATATGTAACTAACCTGCACATTGTGCACATGTACCCTAAAACTTAAAGTATAATAAAAAGTATAATAATAAATAAATTAATTTAAAAAAAGAATTTTTATAGCTATATTGTCGAGTGTGTAGAAAGCTTTTGATAACAGCATATGAAGATTCTGAAAAAAGCAATTCACAGGGCACAGAAGAAAGCACAATAGAGTGGATAAGTAAAAATATTTAGAGAGACGAATGTTCCCTAAAGATAGAGAGGATCACTTCAGATTAGTCAGGGGGCTTGCAATATAAAAATAAAGGAAAGAGTGAGTCAAGGTTTTGAGAACAAGGTAAAGTCCTGAAGTCTGTGGAAAATTACTGATTCACATAACTCAGGGGCAAGGAAGATACAGGGCCACAAATGGCCGGGTTCTGTTTCTCATGGAGCAGAGAACAGTGAAGAACATGAGCTGCTTAGAAGGCCAGGTGAAACAGGTATCAGATTATGGGGTTAGAAAGCCTGATAGTGAATAAACTTGGGGGCAGGGAGAAGTAGGGAGGTGCAAGAAGAAGCATGTAGGAAATGAAGATTTTGTCAGTGTTCCCTTACAATATGGAAAGTAGTTGATATGGCAAGAAGCTTGTAAGTTTGCCACAGCCAGAAGGAAATCAGTGACTAAGAGATGTCAGATAATAATTTAAAAATTAACATTTAGTGAATAATTGACATTGTTTCAAGTGTTCCACACATATGACTCATTTTATCTTTAGAGCAACTCTACAGTTATGGTCTCTTTCCTATAAATGAGTAAGATGAGTCTTAGATTGAGTAATTTACCCACGGTTACCCATTTAGTAAAATGACAGAGCTGGGATTTGAGCGTGTTAGACACTAACTTTGTGTCTATTTTACCCTATAGTCCATATGCTATACACAGGGGTGTTTCTCCTTCTTTGCCTTTTTTTTAAATCCTCTTATCTGCTCATTTTTTCTCTTGTAATTCAATAGAAAATGTCTTACATATTTTGTTAAATCCAGAGGGTATGAAGGAAGCAAAGAACTCTTCACACAGCTACTGATTTTGGTAAATATTTCTGGTATTCGTGTCTCTGCAATTTATGGAGGGAATTCCCAATCTGCCATTTTATTTGTTCTGCCCAGACCCCATAAAGCCTCAATAAATGGGCAGTAAGAATGTGTGCCAGTGGGTGGCAAGAGTCAATGATTAAAAAAAGGGCCATATAGGCCTATTGTAGTTCTGAACAATTCCTGATTTCTGATTCTTTACTATGGATTTATAAAGGTTGTTGTGTAGTGAATTTTATTTAGAAGTCTTTGGTAATATAAAATGAGTTAAAAATCCTTTTGGAATTAACCTCATTGGAATATGTTTTCAGCAAGTTACGATTCTTGCACAGGAAATTTCTCATTGCATTCTCATTCATCAAAATACAGAATTTTCATTTCAAGTAGTTACTACTGCAGGCACAGAAAGGAGGTATGCAGCTGGAGAGTCAGACCTTTAGTGTCTGTGAGCAAAAGCCCAGTATTATAGTCAGAACATGGTATCCATGGTAACTAAACCAGTAGCTTTTTAACTTTTGAACCTATCAAAATTATTTCTTTAGTTTTCTTTCAATTTCCCCCTCTCCTTTTTTGGTCTATAGTCATAATCATTGTTGATTCATACAGCATTTTTTTTTTTTTTTGAGACGGAGTCTCACTCTATCGCCCAGGCTGGAGTGCAGTGGCGCGATCTCGGCTCACTGCAAGCTCCGCCTCCCGGGTTCATGCCACTCTCCTGCCTCAGCCTCCTGAGTAGATGGGACTACAGGCGCCCGCCACGACACCCGGCTAATTTTTTGTATTTTTAGTAGAGACAGGGTTTCACCGTGTTAGCCAGGATGGTCTCGATCTCCTGACCTTGTGATCCGCCTGTCTCGACCTCCCAAAGTGCATTATTTTGTTATTATACAATAAAAACATTGAATGATTATATTAGATTGGCGTTAGTATTTCTTATCAAGGGCAAATACATAAATCTTCATTAATCCAGACTCTTGTAATTAATAATCTTTGAGAATTGCAATAAGGTAGGGCTGGGCTAAAGTTATGTAGTAGCTAAAGAAAAAAAGGTTTTCCAAGAAATGATTGGAGGTGCACTTTTAAAAGTGTATTCATATACATGTAAATAATTGTTAGACTCACTGCAGCAAAGCCTTGATTTCTTGGACTGTTCAGGGATGGGAGGTTGTAGTTGATTTACTTTCCTGGTTAACTGAAAGTTAGGCAGAAAACAATTATATGTTCAATCCATGTTACAAATTCCTCTGAAAGGTGCTAGTTTGCTTTCCAGCTTTAGAAATAGAGTCTACTGAAGATAACTGGCTCTTTCTTCGATGCCAGAAGATCCCTGCAGACCCTGAGGCTCATGACTCTGAAAGTCAGTGAGCTTTGTTTGGAACCACATATGTAGCTGCCGAGATGGAGGATGTAGAAGAGAGGGTTCGGTGTGTGCTGATGCCAAAACATACTCTGAAAGTTTCTTTCATTTTGAAAACAAGTCCCTGATACCAGATTTTTTACCTGAGGCAAAAGGTTGTTTATGTTGAGAAAGCACAGTACTCCAGCTAATAGCACAGGCTCTGGAGTCAGCCTATCTGGACTCTACTTCTTACTACGTGTATAATTTTGAGGAAAGTACCTAATTTTTGGAAGTCACAGGTTTCCTCATCAGTAAAATGGGTATAATCATTGAATCTACTTCATAAGGTAATTGTGAGAAATAAATGTGACAAAAAATGTAAATGCTTACAACAAAGTCTGCCTGGTACATAGGAAGTACTCAACAAACTTTAGCTATTGTTATTTCCCCGAGAGATGGAGTGCCAATGGGGAATCTGTTTCATTGAAAAACTCTCATAGCTGGGTTAAGGGTAATTGCAGTTGTACTAAACATCCATTCTGAACTCTTTGTGGAAAACAGATACTTTCCTAAGCAAAATTTTGTTAACATAGTTGAAGTAACTGTCTTAATAAAGGTACATATCTTTAAAAATGGGTTTTTCAGATTTTCCACTATTTTAGCCTAGCCCTGCCTCCAGTGACTCACAACAGTATAGTGAGACTATATTGGGCATTGATTTAGCAGTCTCTATATGTGCCTTCAAATGTGTGCCAACACTAAAAACAATTCAAAAAGGAAATAGGTAGTTTTTTATTCTCTTTGTCTAATTTCTGCTTTTCAATGGTTAAAAGATGCCCTCAATTTTATATGTTTTTTTTTTCTTCTTCTCAGATAGCTCTAGTTGTTTTTGCATTTGGCTTTTTGCCTTTCTATCACCTGAGGTGCATGCTCATTTCCTTAGAAATATATTTCCTATATGTTTGAATTATTTAAATAAAATAAATCTAACCATACATATTAATATGGTCATTTTGCACTTCCACAATTGTGCTAAAATGTAAATCTATTGGAGAAGGTGGAAAAGTTATTAAAATTTATTTTAGTTTGGAGAATGCAAAGCCTTGACAGAGAATTCTAGCTTTGAAACACTAATATTTGGGAGGATTTGTAGCTCATTCTGTTCTAATCTACCTTTAGGTAGAGTTTCTATGGAATCAGACTAACTCATTTACCCTCACTCTTTCACACTTAACTACTAATCCAGTCTCTCACCTCTGCAAGTCCAAACCCCACCCTAGTCCCACTGGCTATGGATCACCTACCACCTATGGGTTTCCTTACTCTTTCTCCCACATTTTCCTTCTGGGCTTAAGTGATTTTTAGAGGGCTTAGAAAATGTGCGTTTTTCTGGATGCGTCCCTTTGTCCCTTTGTTTCTGCCTGAGAGTGTGTGCGTATCTCTGTAGCTGCTGAGGCCTCTGTTTACCATTGTGTACACACAAGTAGGGGACGTGTGTGTCTTCCATTGAAGAATAGGTGTTTGTGTATAATAGGCTGCCTATACTCTGTAAATGGTCCTTAGACAGGAGTATAAGAACATCCTTAATCCCTGTGGCCTTCCTTCTCAGAGCTACCTCAAATTTTCTGGCAGGATTCCCACATAAGGAGGCCCTGTCTCTGGGAGAGGCATGCAGAGGCTTGGGTTTTCCCATTCCTTTCTCCCTTTTTGTCTGTTTTGAGAACAGTGACCTCTGGTAACTCACCCTTTAACTCCCCCTTTCTCTACCCGTTTCCCGCCTCCTCCTGGAGGGCTGTGCCAGAATCTCCCCAGCAACATCTAAAGAGAAAAGGGGTGGGGCAAGCAGGGGAGGGGGACACAACCAATCGTTGGTTTGGGAAAAATATACAAGTTAATGAAATGTTGGCTCAGATATTGTTCCTGGATCTGTGGATGAATGTGAGTCTTCTATGTACTAAATGGACAGATTAGCAGTATCAAGCAATAGCATATTGATAAGAGGCCTTTTGATTAAGAAGGAAAAATGCTACCAAACTTAAAGCATGCTTTAAACATTTAGGAGTGCCAAGTTTGATTACACTGCAATCTCTCCCAAGGCCTTGTTAAAATTGAACAGAAAACGGATTCCTCCAACAAGCAGACTTACCTCTCAGTAGCCTGCTATGAATTCTAATCACCCTGTGGAATCACTGAAAATTCTTCCAACACAGACCTTTCTCTTAGTCATTTAATTGAGAAGATGGATATCTGGATTCTAGTCCCATTTCTGCCATTGACCAATTGTGTCACCTGAGACATATTGCTTAATATCTCTGTCTTACCTTCTCTGCCTATAAAGGAAAACTCACTCTGCTTACACCTTCCACATAAGTTCACATAATATGTGTTAGATATGGAGGAAAATGTGTGATTTACTTTGGGTGGAATATTTAGACCTTATGAGGATACCACTTAGCAAATCTGGAAGAGTTATTTCTCAAATAATTGGTCCCTAGTGACTTGGCATAGTGAAAGGGCCTTAAACATATCAGGAAATATAATATAATATAATATAATATAATATATAATAAATAATAATAAATAAATAAATATAATATAATATAATATAAATATAATAAATAATAAATATAATATAATAACCCTGCTTAAAGAACTTATTTGCCATCCATATATCTTATTTGCTGTAATGTCTATTTAGAGCTTTTGCTGATAGAATCAGTGCTACTCTTTTAAAAAGGTGTATTTGGAGGTACAATTGGCATACAGTATACTGCACATGTTTAAAGCATACAATTTGATGCTTTGACAAATGTATACACTGATGAAATGATTACTACAATCAAAAGATAGTGAATATGTCTGTCGCTCTCCAAAATTTCCTCACGCCCCTTTGTAATCCTTCATGTCCATCCCCACCTTCTCTACCCTTTCCCACTCCCAGGCAAACATTGATCTGCTTTATGCCATGACAGATGAGTTTGCACTTTCTAGAATTTTCTCTAAGTGAAATCACTCAATATGCATTCTTTTTTGACTGGCTTCCTCCAGTTAGCATAATTTTTTAAAAGATTAATTCACGTTGTGTGTATTAATAGCTTATTCTTTATGAATGAGTAGTAGTCAGTTAAATTATTATACCACAATGTTTTATCAATTCATCTTTTGATGGACATATGGGTTGTTCCTAGTTTTAACTATTAAAAATAATTATGCTATAGACATTTATGGGCATGTCTTTGTGTGAACACATGCTTTTATTTCTCTTGTGGAAATACCTAGGACTGAACTGGGTAGGTCATATGGTAGGGGAAAATTTACCTTTATAAGAAGCTGCCAACCTTTTTTCCAAAGAGATTGCACCATTTTACATTCCCATCACCACCAACGTATGATAATTCCAGTTGCTCCTCACATTCATCAACACTTGGTATGTCCAGTGTTTTTAATTTTAGTCATTCTTGAGTGTGTAAGTAGTGGTATTTCACTGTAGCTTCAATTTCTATCTCCCTATGACTAATGACATTGGAAATTTTTTATGGGCTTGCTTGTCATTCACATATCTTCTTTGATGAAATGTATATTTAAATATTTTGTCCATTTTATTTATTTGGTTGGTTGTTTTCTTATTGTTAGTTTTAATAATTCTTTATATATTCTAGATATAAATCTTTTAACAGGTATGAGATTTGCAAATATTCTCTCCAGGTCCATTGGTTGTATTTTCATTCTCCTAAGCATATCTTTGAAGAGCAGAAGTTCTTAATTTGGATGAAATCCAATCTTTGTTAGAACTACCCTAGAACCTTGATTTGAAAGAATTCCTTAGATATAGATCTTCAGGTGTGTTACTTGTCCTACTAGATGTTCTTACCTGGAGTGCAGCAACATGAAGGAGTCCCATTGAGTATTTAACAGCTGACAGTGCAGAATAAAAAACCCAGGGTTGTAGCACTTGCCAATCTCCATAGCTGATTTCAAATTACCAACCTGATGTCACTGAATGTGGACTTGGGAAGTGATACCATGGTGGAATGCACTGTACAGATACACAGCATTTCCATCATACAGATCCAATAGATACAAATATATAACCTAGAAATCATAGACAATAATAAAATGCAGTGAATGAATTAGGAAATAATAGTTTTGAATGTTTATTGCCTTTGTTTTTAATATAATTTCTTTAATTGTAAAATTATATAATTTACCTTTTTAGCAATTACTGCATTTAGCAACCAGTTTGCAAACTTCCTGAAAATTCCATAATCATCTCTTGCATGCCAGTTCATGTCAGCTCCAACACGTCTCTGTGTAGTCCCCTTGTGAAGCCCTCACAGAGTAAAAGAATAGAATTCAGGCTCAAAAAAAAATTTATAAGAAAAATTACATGTTCATTTTTATAATTTCTAAGTAAAATTTAGGATATCCTTTGATTATAAATGTATTTTGAAATTATAGGTAGATCCACTGCTGGATCTTTCATTTAAAATCTTAATAAAAAGTGTATATATTGCCATATGAATTTTTTAATTTTGATAACTAAATTTCAGTTCAATGTATTTACGTTGTATTCTTTTGTATTTTACACATTTTAAAAGGGCTTTAGAGGCTTCTCCAGATATTAAAGGTTTTCATGGAACACACAAAAAATTTTAAGGAACTCTCATAAGGCATTATATAAGTAGTATTGCTGTTCATAAATAGCTTCAGGGATGGATAAGCTGCAATCACTTTGCTTATGTGGCTATTACAAATGACTATCTCCCTTCTGTTACTTAGAAATCTTATGACATAAGGAATTTTGAAATCACGTAGATGTACATGCAAAACCCATTTCTGCTATTTACTGGCTACATAACTTGGATAAACTTAATTAGGTTCTCCGTATCTCATTTTATCAACTCTAATGTAGGGGTAATGATTCTTGCCTCAAAGGGTTATTATGAGGATAAAACTAGTGCATAGCATGCATTAGATGCTCAACAAATGCTTCCTTTTATTTCAGTACTCAATGTAAGGGAATCACTGACCGATTCCAGAGTACCTACTGCCTAATTCCATCATACTGTAATTATTAAGGCTTTTTTTGGGGAGGAGGTGTTCACAAATTGGAAAAGAAAACGATGCCCTTTCCTGCTTTCAATACCAAGAACTGGAGTCTAGAGAACTCAGCTGTATTATGTTTGTCTCAGCTTAAGGCTGGGGACCAGGAGGATTTCTAGGGCGAGGTTGCTGAATTCTGGCTTGCCAGCTTTGGTTGTTGTGCTACTTTAATCTGCCCCTGACTCAGTTTAGATCTTTACTAACTTTAGTCAAGATTCTGAGTGTCAAGCATTACCTCACTCAAGTACAGAGTCATTTCTTTAAGCTCTGAAGGTAGTACACAGCTTCCAGGACGTTGTTGTAGTGGCTTTCTATCTTTTTCAGTCTGTGGACCTCTACCAGTGGTAAAAGCTCTGTGGATCATGTGCACCTCCAACTCTCACTTGCCACAGTCAAGAAAACAAACCCAAACTCCTTAAAACTAATGGGAAGGCTGGCACTACTTTAAGTGAAACACCAATGAGATGACGTCTTGTTTAAATATTATAAGCAAATTATTTATTCATGCCAGGAAACAAAGTAGAGGCCTTGCTATACTGTAAATGTTAACACCTACAAGAGATCAGTCTATGGACCTGATCAGGATGACCTTTGGAGAACACCAGTGGTCCCATCTGGAAACATCATTTTGGGAAGTGTTGCTTTCCAGGAGTGCTTCATGCCCATTTGATCATATGTTAAATTCACGTATAAATTTTCTTCTCTTTCTTTTTGGTAGAGAGACAGCAGGAAATAGTGGAAACAGCACTGAATTTGAAGTCATACAGATCTGAATTTGAGTCTTTTCTGTGCTGATAACCAGCCATGGTTAACTTCAGCAAGATTTCTCTGAGCTTCAGTTGTGTCCTCTCTAAAATGGATATCTACTCTACAGATAATTGTGAAGGTTAACTAAAATGATGTGTTTTATGTAGCCAGGATGTAATACATACATAGCTCTCTAATTTATTTATTTTTTTCTAGCTCATAAAACTTAAGTGAAATAAACCAGAAACAATCCAATACTACACTAATGTCACATTTATAAATTCCAGCAGAAGAATTTGTCAAATGATGGGATCTCCAGGTTCTTTTATTACTTCAACCCCTTACCTCTTGATCCTGGACCCCTAATGCTTCACTGAAACCACTATCTTGATAAACAAGTTCCATGGCCTCCACTTCCAGTTTTTCTGACATATCCACTGTGCTTAGACTATTCCAACTGCTCGCTTCTCAACTTCTACAACGAATAATATTGAGACTGCTGGAAGAAATCACACAGTTGTGCAAATTGGTGTTGTGGCAAATTTGTGTTCTCCAATCTTATTTCATTCTCAATTTTATGCTTCCGGTACCTGTCCTTGTCTAGACCTCAGGGTGACAATTCCAAAACTTTCTACTCCATCACCTCCCCACTATCTTTAGAAGTTTATCTTAACTCTTACTTCACAGACAAAATTGAGACTGTTACAGATAGATGCTCTTAATTCATCATTTCTAAAAATCATCTTTTTGTGAACTCTCTCTCATTTCCTTTCCTCTGGGCTCCTAAGTTTCCTTCTTCTGTCCGAGTCTAATATCTCTACTTGTTTCTGGTGCCTAACACTTAACATTTCTTTAGGAATATCATTCTATTAACTATTCTTTCTCTTCTTTGCATCTTCAATGTTTCTTACTCCTTTCCATATACATATAAGCAGGTCCAAGTTGCTCAGGTGATGGGTGCACGAGGTTCTCACAAATCTCCACTAAAGAACTTACTCAGGTAACCAAATACCACCTGTACCCCAATAGCTTATGGAAAAATAAAATTTAAAGAAGAAAGAAAGAAAAGGAAAATTTACCAACCTCTCTGGATCCTGCACTCTCCTCAAGCTATTACCCTCTCTTCTGTTTCTTTCTTTCTTTTTTTTTTGAGACGGAGTCTCACACTGTTCCCCGGGCTGGAGTGCAGTGGTGCAATCTCGGATCACTGCAACCTCCGCCTCCCAGGTTCAAGCAATTCTCCTGCCTCAGCCTCCCAAGTAGGTGGGATTACAGGCGCCTGCCACCACACCCAGCTAATTATTTTTATTTTTATTTTTAGTAGAGACGGGGTTTCGGGCACGGTGGCTCACGCTTGTAATCCCAGAACTTTGGGAGGCCGAGGCAGGTGGATCTTTTTTTTTTTTTAACAAACTTTTTGTGAAGTGGTGCACACGACTCTGTCCAATTTCTTCCTCATTTCCCATTCTCTCCTCAGACCATTATAAAATGCTGTCTACTTCTAAATCTCCATTGAATCTGCTCTTTCAAAGGACATTAATGACCTATTAGGAAGAGACCATGGACCTCTTTCATTTCTCACCTTACTTGATCACTTTGGGTGAATTTGGCATTGTTGAAGATTCCCTTCTTGAAACTGTCTCCTGCTTGGGCTCCTGAGATACTATATTCAATCCCACTTCTTCGAAGTTTCCTTCTCAGGCTTCCTTACTGCCTTCTTCTTCTCTGCCTATCATTTTATTGGTAGTTTTCCCTAAAGCATCTTCCTTGGCTCTCTCATCTTCTCAATCTGCACAATATTTCTGATCAATTAATTTTCATGTTTTAACTACCACTCTTGATTAAATCTTTATCACCAGCTAGCTTTCCCTACTGTGTTTCAACTCTCTACAGGTCTTCTCTAGTTGGATGTTCCACAGATATCTCAAAGGTAATTTGTTAAGAAATGAACTCATCATACCCCTAAACCTATTTCCACTCCAATATTTCTTATCTCAGAGGATGAAAATATTAACCACCAACTCCTCGAGTCATAATATGGATTTTGTCTTAGATATTTCTTTCTCCTTCACTTTCCATCCATAAGTATGCCAATCATAGACTTGTTTACCCTTTGATGAATTCCTCACCCTTCCCTGGTCTGTTCTTTTTTGCAGAATGCTTGATTCCTGCAGTCTGTGTTTCCCAGGGTTCTTTGACAGGAGTTTCTGATTGAATTCAACCCATAAGAGACACTGGTAGGAAGTCGAAAGATGGGAAGAAAAGATACTCCAATGTCTAATTGTAACAGCTGTGTTTCCTCCATGTCTTCAGCTAATATTGGACAATTTTGCTGTGATTCAAGCCTCCATGGGGTGGCCTCTGCTCTCTGTCTCTGGCACCACAATCTCTTCTTATGGTCCTTTCAGCCTTAGGAGTTGTAGGGGCTTCCCACTGTTGCTAATCTTTATTATTATTTTTTTTTGTCATCTCAGTTATATCTAGAATGGCTTCCATTTTGCTGGTTGGACCATGAACTAATAAAGTCACCAAGAACTATGGATGCTGTGTACTTAATATCTTTCACATCTATATGTTCTACACAGTCTCACTGCTACTGCCTTACTTCAGGCTTTACTGCAATATTCTCCTAACTATTCCCTTCTTTTACACATCCTCTGTGTTACAGGCAGATTGATCTTCCTAAACCATAAACTTGACAATTTTATTCTACTGCCTAAAAAACCCTCCAGTAACTCCCATACAGAAGTGTTTCCCAAATACTGGTCACTTGCATTTCACCCTTATATTTTTTTGGCCATACCTGTGTACCATCTTTACTATTATTTAGGTAATATTTTACTTTAAATTTATTCATTTAAAAAATTAGCTTTGCTCTGAGCAATAACATCTGTGAAACCATAACTTTGGAGACTTAATTCATTTTTGCTAATACACATTAAAATACATATCACACTATTAAAAATAACAAACTCACTCATATGCCAGCCAAAATAATCTCTCATAAGTGCAGCACACTTTGGGACACACTGGTCTAAAGGATCAAGTCAAAATCCTTATTGGGGTTTATAATGTCTTTTATGGGGCCAGATAGCTTTTGAGCGTTACTTCTCCATGGGTCCTTATTTACACCCTATGTTCTGGCCACTTCCTCTGCCTCTAGTTCAAACTGATTACTTATTCCTTCATGATCCACCTTGTTCCACATATGGACGTATTTTCGCACTTGTCTATTTACATGTCTTTTTGTCCCTACTAAACTGGTTTAAGAAAATCATTGCTAATTGGTGCCCATGATATAGTATATGCCTATGTTGTTCTTGAGAACTAGATAATAATGATCTATTCTTTTCAAACATGTAATCTCTCTTTAAACAAGAATAACATGATTTTTTATTAAAAAGTCCTGTTTATTTGTTATCAAGTCCAGCCTGAGTCATCACTCTAAATTGGTATTTAGTTATTTTCAGCTTCATTTAACATATCAACTCATTTTGGTAAAATTTGTTAGACTACCAAACATAGATATCAGACTGGAACAAAGAAATTATAATATGCACCCACATTAATTTCAGTACTTCTTGTCTTCAAAGTATAATAAAAGTACCCAAATAGAGGAGAAAAAGCCATGTTTCTTTTTTTTCTATTCAGCAGTATGGCTTGGACTGACATCAGAAGTTCAGACATTTTGACTTTCTGTTGAGGGCAAGACTCAAAGGGAAGAACAAACGGGGCAAAGTTGTAAGTTTTACAACAAGCATCACAGACTCATAGAGCTGGACAATGCCTTAAAGATCATCTAGTCCAACATCCTCTTTTTACAGATGGGAGTGAATGAGGCCAAGAGAAAGGGAAATTCTAATGTAAGTAATAATTTATTTATTTGTGTATTTATTTATTAGCATACAGTTTATATATACAGTTGCTTTCACTGCTTGTTTGTGCTAGGAAGATGCAACTATCACACAGGCCTGGAACACTTGCAACCCTCATAGAAGATTGCAGAGTGACCTATGCACGTGTTTATATTCACGTGGATGAGATTTAGAAACTCTGTGGATCTCCAGCTGGACATAGTCTCCCAGGGTAGTCTTCTGGAGCTAGAGTCTCTGTGGAACACAGCTCAATGACTACCGCATTGATTTTGCATCTATTTTTACAAAATACATTTTTTTTTGTTATTATCAGTTTGTCTTCAAACTAACCCAAGGATAGTCTGGAGGAATCCTTTTTTCACAGACAGAAAATCAAAGCTTGCAAGCAGAAAGATTGCTCAGAAAGACTAAAGCAGTACTGGGATTAAAACTGCCTGAATCAGTAGTTCTTGACCCCAGAAGTATACAGCTAGTGGCTATATTTCAGACATCTGAAACCATTCTGGATTTAAACAAAAATTATCTCTTCTTTATTCTTTTGATTCCTGATTTGTGGTCAAGTCTTGATAATGAAACCCCAGAAACTTCAGGAAGAAACTAAGACTATGTAATGAGCCAACATAGACTACTTCTTCAGATCCAGTAACTGATTATCATATTAGGAGATAATACCACTGCCCCTTGTTCCCCACTCTCCATTGCCCTGCTCATTAGACAAGGATAAGAAAGGAAGTGAAACGCAAATCTCCACATTTACTTAATTATCAAGAGCTCTGATAAAACTTGTGATTAGGAAAGAGGTTGAAATTAATGGATAAAAATGAACTGTAGGGCTTACCTGTAGAATTATACTTAATCCATAATTTGCCTGTTCCCCATGACCCTGGTTAATTAAGAATTGACTGCACTACACAGTGTTCTTTTTTGACAGAAATAGCTGTCATGAGAGGGTATTGTGTTACCTCTCTATACTTATCAGACAAGAAAATACTTATCTGAGAAAAATAGTCAGTATAGGGAGATAGTATTATACACTAGTAGAAGACCAATCTTATTTTTAAATTATCTTCAATGATTGAGTTTTGGAAAACAAAATAAATAAGAAGTATGTACTTAGAATGAAATTCATATGGGAAATTCTGCCAGATGTAGATGAAAGTAGGCTCGGGGAACTTTACATACTGAACAGCAGTTGTAATCTGCAAGTTACCTTTTTGGAGAAGTGGCTGAATAATGCTATGTGCCCTTTCAGAAACATAATAAGCAGACACCAGAATGAGAATGGGAGCTCTCAAGATATCCCCTTTACCTGCCTCTTCAAACAGGTACTAGAAACTGATGTTGATTTCCATTAGGAGGCTCTGTGAGCTCACAAACCCATTTCCTCACCTCATTGGCAACTCATTTCTGGAGGACTAGGCTTTCCTAATATGCATCTTTTGGGCTTTGTTTGCCGAGGCAAGAAAGCTTAGATTTTCAAGTTTATTTTCTTAAGCCTCTGCATTATCTCTCACACGTCTTGCTTAAAAAATAGGTTAGTGAGAAGATAAGTATTGCAAAAGACAAAGAAACACAGGTATTTGTGACTCTGACTCAAGGGGAAAGGTTAAGTGAACTGATGTTTTCAACCATCTTGAAATTTTCAATAAAGGTGGGTGTTAATCATATACTGGAAAAATAGGCTACTAAAAAATGTAACAGAGCAATGACATCTAGAAAAAAAGTCACATTATAGTAGAGGAAAAATGAAGATTAAGGAAAAATTTTGATGATTTAACTAAAATTTCAACAGAAAATTCCTTAGCAAAGAAATAATGATAGTGGTCAGCAACCACTTAAAATAGCTGAGTGCAAACAGCAATGCCTTGGGGTACCACTGGGTGCCAGTGGTAGGCCTAGGGCTTTGGTAGGCGAAAACAAGAAAGAAAACAAAAAGAAGCAAGTAGGACAGTTGAAAATAAGGAAAGATGTAAAACAAAGAAGGAAAAGAGAAATATACATGGAGAGAATAGCCAGCAACGATTTTTCCACTATCTTCCTACAGTAGCAAGACCATGAATTATGGCTGAGTTAGAGTTTTAAATAAGGGAATAAAATAAAACATTATTTATATAACTATTATTTATTTTTTAAAAATTTAGAATTCAAGTATTCCAGGAAAACAACCTTTACCCATGAAATGGTTACATATGTTTTCACTACTTTAATTCCTTTTAGCGACTGTGGTTGTAGAATACAGTGACTAGAGTGAAGTTAGTTTCAGAATCATTTGGTACCTGTAAAATACTGTTTTTGTTTTTAAGATTGGTTTGTCCATTGTCTGGCTTAGTGGTTCTCAACATCAACATTTTTATGGCTACAAGGATGGGATTCTGTTATTTTCTTTTAAAAAAATATCTGGGGCCAGGAGCAATGGCTCATGCCTGTAATCCCAATACTTTGGAAGGCCAAAGCAGGAGGATCACTTGAGGCCGTGAGATCCAAACCATCCTGGGAAACATTGTGAGATCCTGTCTCTAAAAAAAAAAAAAAAAAAAGAAAGAAAGAAAATAAAAGAAAAGATAAGTAGAATCTGGTCATTAGTATTATTGTATTGTACAAACCCATTCACTAATAAGACTAGTAAATAACAGATTATCCATATTACAATAAAAACATCCTTTACATAAAGTGGCTCTTCGGAGGTATTGTAAAGATTTCAAAGTTAGCCTGCTCACTAATATTCATATGCTAAAATACATTTATTTTCCCAAGGCTGTAAGTGGTTTCCTTCTAAAACATGGTTTCCTTCTAAAAATTGATGGCAGCGCAACATGTGCTACTATTATTGCTGTCCCTACTTATCATAAATCCCTGTATCTATGACATGGGATGAAGACACAGCATGAATTGTGGGATTATGGAGAACTCACTGCTCTTCAGCATTAATCATTGGTGGATGACTGAAATAAACAGAATTTAAAGTATTCTGAGGTCATTGTTGCATTAATTGAAGGGCTGTGCTATCACACTTACCAAGATAATTTTGAAGAATTCTTGGATAGCACATTGTAAAGTATATAGAGTATGTTCTCTCTATACATAGAATTTATAATCAAATCCTTCAAAGTTACTCCTTTTTAAAACTTTAAAATATTTTAGCACAGTTAATGGTTAAATACATGGTTAGAAAATAAAATAGCACAGAAAGATTTACACTTTTTTTAAGCTTTTTAAACATTTTAAGATTTCTCATGTTATCTCAGTATCTGTAAGGAATATGTTTATATTGCCCATTCTTAATTGATTTGAGGCAGTATCTATTGATATTCTGCTATGCTAGTTGAAGATGTGGTGAATTTACATAAGTTCCTGTCCATTTCTAGTCCCAATACATTTTATGTCTCTATTCTCAGTTCTACCATTAGTTACCTCTGAAATGTTAAATATAATTTAACTTCCATTTCTCTTGATGCCCCACTTCATAAGATGAAGACATTAACACTCTTATTCTTCCTTTTATTGCTCCTCATGATCTCAAACCTCTTAATCTCTGTCGGTTACACCTTGATTTTTATATTGTCAAGATTCATAACATTTACATTCTATTAAGTAACCATATTTAAGTGTCATGCAATATGTCCTTAGTGTGATCCTAAAGTTGAATATCAGCAAGCAGTGTTTATATGATTATAACTATAGAATTCATTGTACAGCCACATTGTGGACTGAGAGTATAACTGCCTCTCTATAGAATCAATGTTATGCTTCCATACCAATCAGTAGAGAATATTCCAAGGATCAAGTTCAAATAGATTCTACCGTTTTTATACATCACCAGTTGCCTTGATAATACACTCAAGTTGTTCTAGAAATTAATAATAATATTAATGTTGCTCCCCTGCCTGCCACCATTTTTTTTCTTTTGATGGGTACCATTGGCATACCAAGGGCAGGGGAGCAGAAGGAGCCACCACCTTGACTCAACTGTAACATCAGGAACTCTTTAGAACTTAGACCAACAAAAGGTTTTACATTCGTATTAACTATAGTCACTGTCTGCTATTGACATTATAATTTATTCCTTCTTTCTAACTATATGTTTGTACCCATTAAACAACCACTCTTCATCTTCCCTCCTTCACCAAGCCTCTGGCATCTATCATTCTATTCTTTACCTCCATGAGATCAAATTTTTTACTTGCCACATATGAGTGAGAACATGTGGTATTTGTCTTTCTGTGCCTAGTTTATTTCACTTAACATAATGACCTCCAGTTAAATCCATGTTGCTGCAAATGAAAGAATTTCATTCATTTTTATGGCCAATTAGTATTCCACTGTGTAAATATACCACATTTTCTTTATCCATTCATCCATTGGTGGATACTTAGGTTGATTCCATATCTTTGCTATTGTGGATAGTGCTGCAATAAACATAGGAGTGCATGCATTTTTTAAAAATTTTTATCTTATTGATTGATACTATTTTACATATTTATGAGGTACATGTGAGTATTTGTTACATGCAAAGAACTTGTAATGAGATATCATGGTATTTGGGGTACCCATAATAATGACTATTTATCATTTCTTTGTGTTGGGAATATTTCAAGTCCTTTTGTCTAGCTATGTTGAAATATGCAATATGTATTCCTAACTATAGTGACCCTACTCAGCCATAGAAAATTAGAACTTATTTCCTCCATCTAAGTGAAAGCTTGTTCTCACCAACCAAACTCTCCTTTTCCCCCCCCCACCACTTAAACATATGGATATTCAATTTTCCCGGCACCATTTATTGAAGAGAGTGCTTATTTCTCCAATGTATGGTCTTGGTACCATTGTCAAAAATCGATTGGCTGTAAATACATGCATTCATTTCTTTTTTTTTTATTCTGTTTCATTGGTCTATGTGTTTGTTTTTATCCCAATACGATGATTTTTAATTACTCTAACCTTGTAACATATTTTGAAGTTAGGTACTGTATTACTTCTAGTTTTGTTCTTTTTGCTCAGGATTACTCTGGCTATTCTGAATCTTGTTTGTTCTGTGACATTTTAGGAATTTTTTTCTATTTCTGCAAAAAATGGAATTGATATTTTGATAAAGAATACATTAAATGTATGGTTTGCTTTGGGTCTTACGGTTGTTTTGATGATGTTAATTCTTCCAATCCATAAGCATGGAGTGTCTCTTCATTTTTTGGGCTCTCTTCAATGTCTTTCATTAGACTTTAGTAGTTTTCCTTATGGAGGTTTTTCACCTCCTTTGCTAAATTTATTACTAGGTATTTTTATTTTTTGTAGCTATTGTAAGTGGGATTGCCTTCTTAATTTATTTCTTAGCTAGTTTATTATTAGTATAAAGAAACACGACTGATTTGTATGTTAATTTCATATCTGGAGACTTTACTAAATTTATCAGATATAAGTGTATTGGTGGAGTTTTTAGGTTTTTCTAGATGTAAGATCATGTCATCAACAAAGATAGACAATTTAATTTTCTATTTTAAAGTTTGGATGTCTTTTATTATTTTTTCTTGCCTGAGTGCTCTGGTTTGGAATTCCAGTATTATGTTGAATATAAGTGGTGAAAGTTGACATCCTTGCCTTGTTCCAGTTCTCAGAGAAGAGTCCACGTAGTCTTTATTTGTTGAGGTATGTTCCTTCTGTGCCTCGTTTGTTGAGAGTTTCTATCATGGAGGGATATTGAATTTTATTGACTGCTTTTTCTGCAACTTGAGAGAGAATCATATGGCTTTTATTCTTCTTTCCATTGATTTGATGTATCATATTTATTGATTTGGGTATGTTGAATCACCCTTGCATCCCTGGGATAAACCCCACTTGACCATGCTGTATCATTTTTTTCATGTGATATTGAATTTGATTTGCTAGTATTTTGTTAAGAATTTTTCGCGAAGGCCCGCGGCGGGTGTTGATGCGATGTGATTTCTGCCCAGTGCTCTGAATGTCAAAGTGAAGAAATTCAATGAAGCGCGGGTAAACGGCAGGAGTAACTATGACTCTCTTAAGGTAGCCAAATGCCTCGTCATCTAATTAGTGAGGCGCATGAATGGATGAACGAGATTCCCACTGTCCCTACCTACTATCCAGCGAAACCACAGCCAAGGGAACGGACTTGGCGGAATCAGCGGGGAAAGAAGACTCTGTTGAGCTTGACTCTAGTCTGGCACGGTGAAGAGACGTGAGAGGTGTAGAATAAGTGGGAGGCCCCCGGCGCCCCCCGGTGTCCCCGCGAGGGGTCCAGGGCGGGGTCTGCCGGCCCTGCGGGCCGCCGGTGAAATACCACTACTCTGATCGTTTTTTCACTGACCCGGTGAGGCGGGGGGGCGAGCCCTGAGGGGCTCTCGCTTCTGGCGCCAAGCGCCCGGCCGCACGCAAAAGAGCTCCTGAAGGAAGCGCTAAACATGGAAAGGAACAACGGGTACCAGCCGCTGCAAAATCATGCCAAAATGTAAAGACCATCGAGACTAGGAAGAAACTGCATCAACTAACGAGCAAAATCACCAGCTAACATCATAATGACAGGATCAAATTCACACATAACAATATTAACTTTAAATGTAAATGGACTAAATGCTCCAATTAAAAGACACAGACTGGCAAATTGGATAAAGAATCAAGACCCATCAGTGTGCTGTATTCAGGAAACCCATCTCACGTGCAGAGACACACATAGGCTCAAAATAAAGGGATGGAGGAAGATCTACCAAGCCAATGGAAAACAAAAAAAGGCAGGGGTTGCAATTCTATTCTCTGATAAAACAGACTTTAAACCGACAAAGATCAAAAGAGACAAAGAACGCCATTACATAATGGTAAAGGGATCAATTCAACAAGAAGAGCTAACTATCCTAAATATATATGCATCCAATACAGGAGCACCCAGATTCATAAAGTAAGTCCTTAGAGACCTACAAAGAGACTTAGACTCCCACACAATGATAATAGGAGACTTTAACACCCCCACTGTCAACATTAGACAGATCAATGAGACAGAAAGTTAACAAGGATATCCAGGAACTGAACTCAGCTCTGCACCAAGCGGACCTAATAGACATCTACAGAGCTCTCCACCCCAAATCAACAGAATATACATTTTTTTCAGCACCACACCACAGCTATTCCAAAATTGACCACATAGTTGGAAGTAAAGCTCTCCTCAGCAAATGTAAAAGAACAGAAATTATAAGAAACTATCTCTCAGACCACAGTGCAATCAAACTAGAACTCAGGATTAAGAATCTCACTCAAAGCCGCTCAACTACATGGAAACTGAACAACCTGCTCCTGAATGACTACTGGGTACATAATGAAATGAAGGCAGAAATAAAGATGTTCTATGAAACCAATGAGAACAAACACACAACATACCAGAATCTCTGGGACGCATTCAAAGCAGTGTGTAGAGGGAAATTTATAGCACTAAATGCCCACAAGAGAAAGCAGGAAAGATCCAAAATTGACACCCTAACATCACAATTAAAAGAACTAGAAAAGCAAGAGCAAACACATTCAAAAGCTAGCAGAAGGCAAGAAATAACTAAAATCAGAGCAGAACTGAAGGAAATAGAGACACAAAAAACCCTTCAAAAAATTAATGAATCCAGGAGGTGGTTTTTTGAAAGGATCAACAAAATTGATAGACCACTAGCAAGACTAATAAAGAAGAAAAAAGAGAAGAATCAAATAGACACAATAAAAAATGATAAAGGGGATATCACCACCAATCCCACAGAAATACAAACTACCATCAGAGAATACTACAAACACCTCTACGCAAATAAACTAGAAAATCTAGAAGAAATGGATAAATTCCTCGACACATACACTCTCCCAAGACTAAACCAGGAAGAAGTTGAATCTCTGAATAGACCAATAACAGGAGCTGAAATTGTGGCAATAATCAATAGTTTACCAACCAAAAAGAGTCCAGGACCAGATGGATTCACAGCCGAATTCTACCAGAGGTACAAGGAGGAACTGGTACCATTCCTTCTGAAACTATTCCAATCAATAGAAAAAGAGGGAATCCTCCTTAACTCATTTTATGAGGCCAGCATCATTCTGATACCAAAGCTGGGCAGAGACACAACCAAAAAAGAGAATTTTAGACCAATATCCTTGATGAACATTGATGCAAAAATCCTCAATAAAATACTGGCAAAACGAATCCAGCAGCACATCAAAAAGCTTATCCACCATGATCAAGTGGGCTTCATCCCTGGGATGCAAGGCTGGTTCAATATATGCAAATCAGTAAATGTAATCCAGCATATAAACAGAGCCAAAGACAAAAACCGCATGATTATCTCAATAGATGCAGAAAAAGCCTTTGACAAAATTCAACAACCCTTCATGCTAAAAACTCTCAATAAATTAGGTATTGATGGGACGTATTTCAAAATAATAAGAGCTATCTATGACAAACCCACAGCCAATATCATACTGAATGGGCAAAAACTGGAAGCATTCCCTTTGAAAACCAGCACAAGACAGGGATGCCCTCTCTCACCACTCCTATTCAACATAGTGTTGGAAGTTCTGGCCAGGGCAATCAGGCAGGAGAAGGAAATAAAGGGTATTCAATTAGGAAAAGAGGAAGTCAAATTGTCCCTGTTTGCAGACGACATGATTCTATATCTAGAAAACCCCATTGTCTCAGCCCAAAATCTCCTTAAGCTGATAAGCAACTTCAGCAAGGTTTCAGGATACAAAATCAATGTACAAAAATCACAAGCATTCTTATACACCAACAACAGACAAACAGAGAGCCAAATCATGAGTGAACTCCCATTCACAATTGCTTCAAAGAGAATAAAATACCTAGGAATCCAACTTACAAGGGATGTGAAGGACCTCTTCAAGGAGAACTACAAACCAGTGCTCAAGGAAATAAAAGAGGATACAAACAAATGGAAGAACATTCCATGCTCATGGGTAGGAAGAATGAATATCGTGAAAATGGCCATACTGCCCAAGGTAATTTACAGATTGAATGTCATCCCCATAAAGCTACCAATGACTTTCTTCACAGAATTGGAAAAAACTACTTTAAAGTTCATATGGAACCAAAAAAGAGCCCGCATCGCCAAGTCAATCCTAAGCCAAAAGAACAAAGCTGGAGGCATCACACTACCTGACTTCAAACTATACTACAAGGCTACAGTAACCAAAAGAGCATGGTACTGGTACCAAAACAGAGATATAGATCAATGGAACAGAACGGAGCCCTCAGAAATAACGCCACATATCTACAACTATCTGATCTTTGACAAACCTGGGAAAAACAAGCAATGGGGAAAGGATTCCCTATTTAATAAATGGTGCTGGGAAAACTGGCTAGCCATATGTAGAAAGCTGAAACTGGATCCCTTCCTTACACCTTATACAAAAATCAATTCAAGATGGATGAAAGATTTAAACGTTAGACCTAAAACCATAAAAACCCTAGAAGAAAACCTAGTCATTACCATTCAGGACATAGGCATGGGCAAGGACTTCATGTCCAAAACACCAAAAGCAATGGCAACAAAAGCCAAAATTGACAAATGGGATCTAATTAAACTAAAGAGCTTCTGCACAGCAAAAGAAACTACCATCAGAGTGAACAGGCAACCTACAAAATGGGAGAAAATTTTCGCAACCTACTCATCTGACAAAGGGCTAATATCCAGAATCTACAATGAACTCAAACAAATTTACAAGAAAAAAACAAACAACCGCATCAAAAAGTGGGCGAAGGACATGAACAGACACTTCTCAAAAGAAGACATTTATGCAGCCAAAAAACACATGAAAAAATGCTCATCATCACTGGCCATCAGAGAAATGCAAATCAAAACCACAATGAGATACCATCTCACACCAGTTAGAATGGCAATCATTAAAAAGTCAGGAAACAACAGGTGCTGGAGAGGATGTGGAGAAATAGGAACATTTTTACACTGTTGGTGGGACTGTAAACTAGTTCAACCATTGTGGAAGTCAGTGTGGCGATTCCTCAGGGATCTAGAACTAGAAATACCATTTGACCCAGCCATCCCATTACTGGGTATATACCCAAAGGACTATAAATCATGCTGCTATAAAGACACATGCACACGTATGTTTATTGCAGCATTATTCACAATAGCAAAGACTTGGAACCAACCCAAATGTCCAACAATGATAGACTGGATTAAGAAAATTTGGCACATATACACCATGGAATATTATGCAGCCATAAAAAATGATGAGTTCGTGTCCTTTGTAGGGACATGGATGAAATTGGAAATCATCATTCTCAGTAAACTATCGCAAGAACAAAAAACCAAACACCGCATATTCTCACTCATAGGTGGGAATTGAACAATGAGATCACATGGACACAGGAAGGGGATTATCACACTCTGGGGACTGTGGTGGGGTGGGGGGAGGGGGGAGGGATAGCATTGGGAGATATACCTAATGCTAGATGACGAGTTAGTGGGGGCAGCGCACCAGCATGGCACATGTATACATATGTAACTAACCTGCACAATGTGCACATGTACCTTAAAACTTAAAGTATAATAAAAAAAACAAAAAACAAAAAACAAAAAACAAAAAAAGAATTTTTGCATCTGTGTTCATTAGGGATATTGGTCTTGATTCATTTTCTTTTTTTGTCGTGTTCATGTCTGGTTTTGGTATCAGAGTAATGCTGAACTCATAGAATGAGATAGGAAGAATTCCATCCTCTTTAACTTTTTGGAATAATTTGAGAAGAATTAATATTAGCTTTTCTTTAGAAGTTTGGTAGAATTTGGCAATGAAGTAATCTAGTCCTGGACTTTTCTTGATCGGGAGACTTTTTCTTACTGATTCATACTTCCTACCCATTATAAGTCTTTTCAGGTTTTCTGTTTCTTCCTGATTCAATCTTGTTAGGTTGTATATGTACAGAAATGTACACATTTCTTCTAGGTTTTTCAGTTTAGTGTATAGTTTTCATAATAGTATCTGATAATCTTTTGTATTTTTGTGATATCAGTTGTAATGTTCCCTTTTCAGTTCTGATTTATCTACTTGGGTCATCTTTCTTTTTGCTCTTGGCTAGTCTAGCAAATGGTTTGTTAATTTTGTTTATTGTTTCAAAAACCAATATTATTAATGTTTTGGGGTTTTTTTGTCTATATTTCATGTATTTCTTCTCTGATCTTTATTATTTCTTTCCATCTACTAATTTGGAGTATGGCTTGTTCTTGCCTTTCTAGTTCCTTGAAGAGTAGTATTTGAGATGTTTTTACTTTTTGGTTGGAGACATTAACTGTTATAAAATTCCCTGTTAACACTGCTTTTCCTACATCCCATAGGCTTTGGTATATTGTGTTTCTATTTTCATTTGTTTCATTATACATATTTAATTTTCTTTTTAATTTCTTCCTCAGCCCAAAGGTCATTCATGAGTATGTTGGTTAATTTTCACATATTTGTACAGTTTCCAAAGTTTATCTTGTTATTGATTTCTACTTTTATTCTATTGTAGTTTGAGAAAATACTTGATATGATTTCAATTGTAGAAAATTTGTCAAGGCTTATTCTATGTCTTACCATACAGCTTATCCTGGAAAATGTTCCATGTTCTGATGAAAAGAATGTGAATTCTGTAGCTGTTGGATAAAATGTTCTCAAAATGTGTGTTAGGTCCATTTGATCTTATGTGTAGTTTAAATCCAGTGTTTCTTTGTTATTTTTATGTCGAAGTAATCTGTATAATTTAAAAGTGGGGTGTTGAAGTCCCCAACTATTATTATATGGTAGTCTATCTCTCCCTTTAAATCTAATTATATTTTTTATATATCTGAGTGTTCTGGCATTGGGTGTACATATGTTTAGAAATGTTATAACCTCTTGCTGAATTAATCCCTTTATTATTATATAATGACCTACATTCCTTGTCTCTATTTTTTTAAATTTTTGACTTAAAGTCTCTTTGATATACAAATAGCTACTCCTGCTTGTTTTGGGTTTTCATTTGCATGCATTTTCATTTTCTATCCCTTTATTTTCATTCTATATGTATTTTTATGTGTGAGATGAGGTTCTTGTAGGCAGCATATTGTTGGGTAATTTTTTTTTTACTAATTCAGCTAGTCTATGTCTTCTAAGTAGAATGTTTAAGCCATTTACATTTAAGGTTATTATTGATGTGTGAGGGCCTATATCTCTCACTTTATTAATTTGTTTCTGGTTGTTTTGTATGTTCTTTTTTTCTTTCTCTCTTATTGTTCATCACTGTGGTTTGGTAGTTTTCTGTAATGGTAACCTTTGAATGCCATTTTCTTTCTCATTTGTGTGTTTGCTCTATGAGTTGGCTTTATACTTTTGTGTGTTTTTATTATGATATTGTTCTTTTGCTTCCATATGCAGGCCTCCCTTAAACATTTCTTGTAGTTGGTCTAGTGGTGGTGAATTCTTTCAGCTTTTGCTTGTCTGGGATAAACTTATTTTTCCTTCATTTATAGTGGGGAGGGTGGGGTTGCTTTCAGTGGCAGCATTCATAGTCAGGTGGCTGAGGAATACACACTTCAGCCCTAGGGGGTGGCTATAAATGGAGAAACCTTCCTCAGGGTGGGTTAAATGAGTGGTTGCCTTGCTACTGGAAGCCATGGTGGCATCACTGCCAATGGCTCATGCTTCAGCCCTAGTGACAGCATCCAGCAGTGGTGCCTGGCTTTGTGCAGAGGATATTAATGGGGCTCCAAAATGTGGAGATGTAGGGGTTTTGGGGTCCCATGGCAGGATGCAATCTGGTGAGGCCTGGGATTTCAATATGGCACCTTGTTGTAGCTGCTTAGGACTCAGGAAATGTGTGGGATCCAATGTGAGTTTCCTCTCTGGAGCAACATTGTTGTGTGGTTCCTAGGCAGTTCCCTATCTTACCACCAGGGCCCATGTGGGTTAAGGAACTCTCCTATGACTGGAATTGCAAGAGTAGGAAGTGGGAATGTGGACTGCTGGGAGTCACTCACTTACCCTTTCCCCACACTGAGGAGCCTCACTAGGCTCCCAGTTAATCCCAGCTGAGCAGGCTGCCTGTCTTGTCTGTCCTTTCTTGCCTTAGGTGTTTGCCGTCACTTCTCTATTGAATTCCAGCCTTCTCTCTTAGACAAGAGAAAGGAGAAGTAAGATCCTTTTCAGTCAAGCAAATGCTAAGGGAATTTGTAACCAGCAGACCTGGCTTGCAAGAGCTTCTGGAGGAAGCTCTAAAAATGGAAGGGAAAGACCATTACCAGCCACTACAAAAGGAGAGTGAAGTACACAGACCAGTGACACTATAAAGCAACCACACAAACAAGTCTGTATAATAACCAGCTAGCATCATGATTACAGAATTAAATCCACACATAACAGTACAAACCTCAAATGTAAGCAGGCTAAATGCCCCAATTAAAATACACAGAATGGAAAACTGGATAAAGAACTAAGACCTGTCAGTATGCTGTCTTCAAGAGACCCATCTCAGATGCAAAGACACACATTGGCTCAAAACAAAGGAATGGAGTTCTCTCTCCATCAAGCAAATAGAAAACAGAAAAAAGCAGGGGTTGCGCAAAACAGACTTTAAACCAACAAAGATCGAGATAGACAAAGAAGGGCATTACATAATGGTAAAAAGATCAAATCAACAGGAAGAGCTAACTATCCTAAATATATATGCACCCAACACAGGAGCAACTAGATTCATAAAACAAGCTCTTAGAAACTTCAGAGACACTTAGACTCCCACATAATATTAGTGGAAGATGTCAGCACCCCACTGACAGTGTTAGACAGATTATTGAGGCAGAAAATTAACAGATACTCAGGACCTGAATTCAGCACTGGTTCAAATGGACCTCATAAACATCTGCAGATCTCTCCACTGAAAAGCAACAGAATATACATTCTTCTCACCACCAAATGGCACATACTCTAAAATCAGCCACATAATCAAACATAAAACAATTATCAGCAAATGCAAAAGAATTGAAATCATAATGACCACTCCCTCAAACCACAGCACAATAAAATGAAAAATTAAGACTATAAAAATAACTCAAACTCACACAATTACATGAAAACTAAATAACCTGTGTTTGTATGATTTTGGGGTAAATAATGAAATTAAGACAGAAATCAAGAAGTTTTTTGAAACTAATCAGAACAAAGATAGAATGTACCAGAATCTCTGGGACACAACTAGAGCTGTGTTAAGAGTGAAGTTTATAGCACTAAATGTTCACATCAAAAAGCTAGAAAGATCTTAACAACCTAACATTATGACAAAAATAAGAGCTGAACTAAATGAGATAGAGACACAAAAATAAAACTCTTCAAATAATCCACAAATCCAGGAGCTTGTTTTTGAAAAAAGTAATAAAATAGATAGACCACTAGCTAGACTAATAAGAAAAGAGAGAAGATTCAAAAAAACACAATCAGAAGTGATGAGGAGTATATCACCACTGACCACACAGAAATACAAACAACCATCAGAGAATATTATAAACATTTCTATGCACATAAACTAGAAAATCTAGAAGAAATGCATAAATTCCTGGACACATCCACCCTCCCAAGACTGAAGCAGGAGGAAATTGAATTCCTGAATGGAACAATAACCAACAACAATAACAAGTTCTGAAATTGAGGCAGTAATAAATAGCCTACCAACAAGAAAAAGCCCAGGACTAGATGGATTCACAGCTGAATTCTACCAGAGGTACAAAGAAGAGCTGAAATCATTTCTACTGAAATTATTCCAAAATTTGAAATGGAGGGACCCTCCCTAACCCATTCCATGAGACCAACATCATCCTGATATCAATACCTGGCAGAGGTACAACAAAAAAGGAAAACTTCAGGTCAATATCCTTGATGAACATCAATGCAAAAATCCTCAATAAAATACTGGCAAACTGAATCCAGTAGCACTTCAGAAAGCTTATCCACCACAATCAAGTAGGCTGCATCCATGGGAAGCAAAGTTGGTTCAACATATGCAAATCAATAAATGTGATTCATCACATAAACAGAACTAAAGACAAAAACCACACGATTATCCCAATAGATGCAGAGAAGGCCCTTGATAAAATTCAACATCTCTTCATGTTAAAAACTCTTAATAAATTAGGTATTGAAGGAACTTACCTCAAAATAATAAGAGCCATATATGACAAACCCACAGCCAGTATCATACTGAATGGGCAAAATTTGGAAGCATTCCCCCTTGAAAACAAGCACAAGAAAAGGATGCTCTCTCCTTTTCACCACTCCTATTCAACATACTATTGGAAGATCTGGTCAGGGCAATCATGCAAGAGAAAGAAATAAGTGGTATTGAAATAGGAAGAGAAGAAGTCAAACTGTCTTTCTTTGCAGATGACATGATCCTATATCTAGAAAACCCCATCATCTCAGCCCAAAAGCTTCTTAAGCTGATAAGCAATCTTAGCAAATTTTCAGGATTCAAAATCAATGTGTATTGATTGCTAGTATTGGAACTACTATGGGAAATGGCTAGTATTCCCATACACCAACAACAGGCAAGCAGATAGCCAAATCATGAATGAACTCCCATTCACAGTTGCCACAAAAAGAATAAAATACCTAGGAATACAGCTAGCAAGGCAAGCGAAGGACCTCTTCAAACAGAACTACAAACCACTGCTCAAAGCAATCAAATATAACACAAACAGGGGCCGGCACGGTGGCTCACGCCTGTAATCCCAGCACTTTGGGAGGCTGAGGCAGGTGGACCATGAGGTCAGGAGATCGAGACCATCCTGGCTAACATGGTGAAACCCTGTCTCTACTAAAAATACAAAAATTAGCTGGGTGTGGTGGCGGGCACCTGTAGTCCCAGCTACTTGGGAGGCTGAGGCAGGAGAATGGCATGAACCTAGGAGGTGGATCTTGCAGCAAGCCAAGATCATGCCACTGCACTCCAACCTGGGTGACAGAGTGAGATTCCGTCTCAAAAAAAAAAAAAAAAAAAAGAAATCAAATATAACACAAACAAATGGAAAAATCTTCCATGCTCAAGATTAGGAGGAAGCAATATTATTAAAATGGTCATACTGCCCAAAGCAATTTATAGATTCAATGTCATTTCTATTAAACTACCTACTACATTCTTCCTATGACTCAAAAAAAAAAAACTATTTTAAAATTCCTATGGAACCAAAAAACAGCCTGAATAGCCAATACAATTCTAAGCAAAAGTACAAAGCCAGAAGCATCAAATTACCTGACTTCAAACTATATTACAAGGCTTCAGTAATGAAAACAGCATGGTACTGACACAAGAACATACACATAGACCAATGGAACAGAATAGAGAACCTAGGAATAAGACTGCACAACTACAACCATCTGATCTTTGACAAACCTGACAAAAACATGCAATGAGGAAATGATTCCCTATTTAATAAGTGGTGCTGGGATAACTGGTTAGCCATATGCAGAAAGTTGAAACTGGACACCTTACACCATATACAAAAATAAACTCAAAATAGATTAAAGATTTACATGTAAAATCCAAAACTATGAAAACTCTAGAAGAAAATCTAGGCAACACCATTCAAGACATAAGCACAGGAGAACATTTCATGATGAAGATGCCAAAAGCAATGACAACAAAAGCAAAAAGTGACAAATGGGATCTAATTAAGCTAAAGAGTTTCTGCACAACAAAAGAAACTATCATCAGAGTTAACAGGCAACCTACAGAATGGGAGAAAATTTTTGCAATCTATCCATCCAGCATCTATAATGTACTTAAACAAATCACCAAGCAAACAACAAACAACCCCATTAAAGTGTTGGCAAAGGACATTGAATAGACACTTCTCAAAAGAAGACATACATGCAACAACAATCAGACAAAAAAAAGCTAAACATCATTAGAGATCATTAGAGAAATGCAAATCAAAATCATAATGAAATACCATCTCACACCAGTCAGAATAGCTACTATTAAAAAGTCAAAAAGCAACAGATGCTGGCAAGGTTGTGGGGAAAAAAAAGGAACACTTTTTCACTGTTGGTGGGAGTGTAAGTTAGTTCAACCATTGTGGAAGACAGTATGGCTATTCCTCAAAGACCTAGAGGCAGAAATACCATTTGACCCAGCAATCCCATTACTGGGTATATACCCAAATAAATATAAATCTTTCTATTATAAAGACACTTTCAAGTGTATGTTCATTGAATCACTATTTACAATAGCCAAGAAATGGAATCAACCCAAATGCCCGTCAATGAAAGACTGGATTAAAAAGAAATGTGGTACATACACACCATGGAATAATATGCAGCCACAGAAAGGAACGAGATCATGTCCTTGGATGGAGTCAGAAACCATTATCCTCAGCAAACTAACACAGGGACAGAAAACCAAATATGCCATGTTCTAATGTATAAGTGGGAGCTGAATAATGAGAACATATGGACACATCCTGGGGAACAAGACACACTGGGGGTCTGTCAGAGAGTGGGTGGTGGGAGGAAGGAGAACATCAGGAAGAATAGCTAATGGATGCTGGCCTTAATACCTAGGTGATGGGATGATCTGTGCAGCAAACCACTGTGGCACACGTTTACCTATGTAATAAACCTGCCCATTCTGCACATGTAACCCTGAACTTAAAAGTTGGAAAAAAATATTTTGCTGTTACCTGTAGACATACTTCTGTGCAATATAACATGGGAATTTATTCCTCATATTTAATTGTAACTTTGTACCTGTTGACCAACTTCTTTCCATCTTCCCCTGCCCCGTCCCCGCTCCATTCTTTGATAATCACTGTTCTATTCTCTGTGATATCAGCTTTTTTAAAAATTAAGATTATACATGTAAGTGAAACCATGCAGTATTTGTCTTTCTATGTCTGGCTTATTTCACTTATCATGGTGTTCCCCAGGTTCATCCATGTCATTGCAAATGACAAGATTTTTATTCTTTTCTATGGCTGAATAGTATTCTAATGTGTGTATGTATTTTTTTCTTTTTTTTTTTTTAGACAGAATCTCATTTTGTCACCCAGGCTGGAGTGCAGAGGCATGATGTCGGCTCACTGCAAGCTCCACTTCCTGGGTTCAAGCGATTCTTGTTTCTCATGCCTCAGCCTCCCTAGCAGCTGGAATTACAGGTGCATGCCACCCTGCCCTGCTAATTTTTGTATTTTCAGTAGAGACAGCATTTCATCCTATTGGCCAAACTGGTCTCAAACTCCTGACCTCAACTGATCCACCCGCCTTGGCCTCCCAAAGTGCTGTGATTACAGGCATGAGCCACCATGCCTGGCCAACACCACATTTTCTATATCCATTTTTTTGTTAATGAACACAGATTGATTTCATATCTTGGCTATGGTGAATAGTGCTGCAATAAACATGGTAGTGCAGATACACCTTTTTTTTTATTATACTTTAAGTTTTAGGGTACATGTGCACAATGTGCAGGTTTGTTACATATGTATACATGTGCCATGTTGGTGTGCTGCACACATTAACTCTTCGTTTAACATTAGGTATATCTCCTAATACAATCCCTCCCCTCTCCCCCCACCCCACAACAGTCCCTGGTGTGTGATGTTCCCCTTCCTGTGACCATGTGTTCTCATTGTTCAATTCCCACCTATGAGTGAGAACATGCAGTGTTTGGTTTTTTGTCCCTGCAATAGTTTGCTGAGAATGATGGTTTCCAGCTTCATCCATGTCCCTACAAAGGACATGAGCTCATCATTTTTATGGCTGCATAGTATTCCATGGTGTTTATGTGCCACATTTTCTTAACCCAGTCTATCATTGTTGGACATTTGCGTTGATTCCAAGTCTTTCTATTGTGAATAGTGCCACAATAAACATACATGTGCATGTGTCTTTATAGAAGCATGATTTATAATCCTTTGGGTATATACCCCGTAATAGGATGACTGGGTCAAATGGTATTTCTAGTTCTAGATCCCTGAGGAATTGCCACACTGACTTCCACAATGGTTGAACTAGTTTACAGTCCCACCAACAGTGTAAAAGTGTTCCTATTTCTCCACATCCTCTCCAGCACCTGTTGTTTCCTGACTTTTTAATGATCGCCATTCTAACTGGTGTGAGATGGTATCTCATTGTGGTTTTGATTTGCATTTCTCTGATGGCCAATGAGGATGAGCATTTTTTCATGTGTCTTTTGGCTGTATAAATGTCTTCTTTTGAGAAGTGTCTGTTCATATCCTTCACCCACTTGTTGATGGGGTTGTTTTTTTCTTGTAAATTTGTTTGAATTCCTTGTAGATTCTGGATATTAGCCTTTTGTCAGATGAGTAGATTGCAAAAATTTTCTCCCATTCTGTAGGTTGCCTGTTCACTCTGATGGTAGTTTCTTTTGCTGTGCAGAAACTCTTTAGTTTAATTAGATCCCATTTGTCAATTTTGGCCTTTGTTGCCATTGCTTTTGGTGTTTTAGACATGAAGGCCTTGCCCATTCCTATGTCCTGAATGGTAATGCCTAGGTTTTCTTCTAGGGTTTTTATGGTTTTAGGTCTAACATTTAAGTCTTTAATCCATCTCGAATTAATTTTTGTATAAGGTGTAAGGAAGGGATCCAGTTTCACCTTTCTACATATGGCTAGCCAGTTTTCCCAGCACCATTTATTAAATAGGGAATCCTTTCCCCATTGCTTGTTTTTCTCCGGTTTGTCAAAGATCAGATAGTTGTAGATATGTGGCATTATTTCTGAGGGCTCTGTTCTGTTCCATTGATCTATATCTCTGTTTTGGTACCAGTACCATGCTCTTTTGGTTACTGTAGCCTTGTAGTATAGTTTGAAGTCAGGTAGCATGATGCCTCCAGCTTTGTTCTTTTGGCTTAGGATTGACTTGGCAATGCAGGCTCTTTTTTGGTTCCATATGAACTTTAAAGTAGTTTTTTCCAATTCTGTGAAGAAAGTCATTGGTAGCTTGATGGGGATGGCATTGAATCTATAAATTATCTTGGGCAGTATGGCCATTTTCACAATATTGATTCTTCCTACCCATGAGCATGGAATGTTCTTCCATTTTTTTGTATCCTCTTTTATTTCATTGAGCAGTGGTTTGTAGTTCTCCTTGAAGAGGTCCTTCATGTCCCTTGTAAGTTGGATTCCTAGGTATTTTATTCTCTTTGAAGCATTTGTGAATGGGAGTTCACTCATGATTTGGCTGTTTGTCTGTTAATGGTGTATAAGAATGCTTGTGATTTTTGCACATTGATTTTGTATCCTGAGACTTTGCTGAAGTTGCCAATCAGCTTAAGGAGATTTTGGGCTGAGATGATGGGGTTTTCTAGATATACAATCATGTCATCTGCAAACAGGGACAATTTGACTTCCTCTTTTCCTAATTGAATACCCTTTGTTTCCTTCTCCTGCCTGATTGCCCTGGCCAGAACTTCCAACACTATGTTGAATAGGAGTGGTGAGAGAGGGCATCCCTCTCTTGTGCCAGTTTTCAAAGGGAATGCTTCCAGTTTTTGCCCATTCAGTATGATATTGGCTGTGGGTTTGTCATAGATAGCTCTTATTATTTTGATATACTTCCCATCAATATCTAACTTATTGAGAGTTTTTAGCATGAAGGGTTGTTGAATTTTGTCAAAGGCCTTTTCTGCATCTATTGAGATAATCATGTGGTTTTTGCCATTGGTTCTGTTTATATGCTGGATTACGTTTATTGATTTGTATATGTTGAATCAGCCTTGCATCCCAGGGATGAAGCCAACTTGATTGTGGTGGATAAGCTTTTTGATGTGCTGCTGGATTCCGTTTGCCAGTATTTTATTGAGGATTTTTGCATCAATGTTCATCAAGGATGTTGGTCTAAAATTCTCTTTTTTGGTTGTGTCTCTGCCAGGCTTTGGTAACAGGATGATGCTGTCCTCATAAAATGAGTTAGGAAGGATTCCCTCTTTTTCTATTGATTGGAATAGTTTCAGAAGGAATGGTACCAGCTCCTCCTTGTACTTCTGGTAGAATTCGGCTGTGAATCCATCTGGTCCTGGACTTTTTTTGGTTGGTAAGCTATTAATTATTGCCTCAATTTCAGAGCCTGTTATTGGTCTATTCAGAGATTCAACTTCTTCCTGGTTTAGTCTTGGGAGGGTGTATGTGTAAAGAATGTATCCATTTCTTCTAGATTTTCTAGTTTATTTGTGTAGAGATGTTTATAGTATTCTCTGATGGTAGTTTGTATTTCTGTGGGATCAGTGGTGATATCCCCTTTATCATTTTCTATTGCACCTATTTGATTCTTTTCTCTTTTCCTCTTTATTAATCTTGCTAGCGGTCTATCAATTTTGTTGATCTTTTCAAAAAACCAGCTCCTGGATTCACTGATTTTTTGAAGGGTTTTTTTTGTGTCTCTATTTCCTTCAGTTCTGCTCTGATCTCAGTTATTTCTTGCCCTCTGCTAGCTTTTGAATGTGTTTGCTCTTGCTTCTCTAGTTCTTTTAATTGTGATGTTAGGGTGTCAATTTTAGATCTTTCCTGCTTTCTCTTGTGGGCATTTAGTGCTATAAATTTCCCTGTACACACTGCTTTGGATGTGTCCCACAGGTATGTTGTATCTTTGTTCTCATTGGTTTCGAAGAACATCTTTATTTCTGCCTTCATTTCATTATGTACCCAATAGTCATTCAGGAGTAGGTTGCTCAGTTTCCATGTAGTTGAGCAGTTTTGAGTGAGTTTATTAATCCTGAGTTCTAGTTTAATTGCACTGTGGTCTGAGAGACAGTTTGTTATAATTTCTGTTCTTTTACATTTGCTGAGGAGAGCTTTACTTCCAACTATGTGGTCAGTTTTGGAATAGGTGTGGTGTGGTGCTCAAAAGAATGTATATTCTGTTGATTTGGGGTGGAGAGCTCTGTAGATGTCTATTAGGTCCGCTTGGTGCAGAGCTGAGTTCAGTTCCTGGATATCCTTGTTAACTTTCTGTCTCATTGATCTGTCTAATGTTGACAGTGGGGGTGTTAAAGTCTCCTATTATCATTGTGTGGGAGTCTAAGTCTCTTTGTAGGTCTCTAAGGACTTACTTTATGAATCTGGGTGCTCCTGTATTGGATGCATAAATATTTAGGATAGTTAGCTCTTCTTGTTGAATTGATCCCTTTATCATTATGTAATGGCCTTCTTTGTCTCTTTTGATCTTTGTTGGTTTAAAATTTGCTTTATCAGAGACTACCCTGCCTTCTTTTGTTTTCCATTTGCTTGGTAGATCTTCCTCCATCCCTTTATTTTGAGCCTATGTGTGTCTCTACACGTGAGATGGGTTTCCTGAATACAGCACACTGATGGGTCTTGACTCTTTATCCAATTTGCCAGTCTGTGTCTTTTAATTGGAGCACTTAGCCCATTTACATTTAAAGTTAATATTGTTATGTGTGAATTTGATCCTGTCATTAAGATGTTAGCTGGTTATTTTGCTCATTAGTTAATGCAGTTTCTTCGTAGCATCGATGGTTTTTACAATTTGGCATGTTTTTGCAGTGGCTGGTACTGGTTGTTCCTTTCCATGTTTAGTGCTTCCTTCAGGAGCTCTTTTAGGGCAGGCCTGGTGGTGACAAAATCTCTCATCATTTGCTTGTCTGTAAAGGATTTTATTTCTCCTTCACTTATGAAGCTTAGTTTGGCTGGATATGAAATTCTGGGTTGAAAATTCTTTTCTTTAAGAATGTTGAATATTGGCCCCCACTCTCTTCTGGCTTGTAGAGTTTCTGCTGAAAGATCTGCTGTTAGTCCGATGGGCTTCCCTTTGTGGGTAACCCGACCTTTCTCTCTGGCTGCCCTTAACATTTTTTCCTTCATCTCAACTTTGGCGAATCTGACAATTATGTGTCTTGGAGTTGCTCTTCTTGAGGAGTATCTTTGTGGCATTCCGTGTATTTCCTGAGTTTGAATATTGGCCTGCCTTGCTAGATTGGGGAAGTTCTCCTGGATAATATCCTGCAGAGTGTTTTCCAACTTGGTTCCATTCTCCCTGTCACCTTCAGGTACACCAATCAGACGTAGAGTTGGTCTTTTCACATAGTCCCATATTTCTTGGAGGCTTTGTTTGTTTCTTTTTATTCTTTTTTCTTTAAACTTCTCTTCTTGCTTCATTTCATTCATTTGATCTTCCATCACTGATACCCTTTCTTCCAGTTGATCAAATCAGCTACTGAGGCTTGTGCATTCATCACATAGTTCTCGTGCCATGGTTTTCAGCTCCATCTTGTCCTTTAAGAACATCTCTGCATTGGTTATTCTAGTTAGCCATTAGTCTAATTTTTTTTCAAGCTTTTTAACTTCTTTGCCATGGGTTCGAACTTCCTCCTTTAGCTTGGAGTAGTTTGATCATCTGAAGCCTTCTTCTCCCAACTCGTCAAAGTCATTCTCTGTCCAGCTTTGTTCTGTTGTTGGTGAGGAGCTGTGTTCCTTTGGAGGAGGAGAGGTGCTCTGATTTTCAGAGTTTCCAGTTTTTCTGCTCTTTTTTTCCCCCATCTTTGTGGTTTTATCTGCCTTTGGTCTTTGATGATGGTTACGTACAGATGGGGTTTTGGTGTGGATGTCCTTTCTGTTTGTTTGTTTTCCTTCTAACAGTCAGGACCCTCAGCTGCAGGTCTGTTGCAGTTTGCTGGAGGTCCACTGCAGGCCCTGTTTGTCCAGGTATCAGCAGCGGAGGCCACAGAACAGCAGATATTGGTGGACAGCAAATGTTGCTGCCTGATCATTCCTCTGGAAGTTTTGTCTCAGAGGAGTACCCAGCCATCTGAGGTGTCAGTCTGCCCCTACTTGGGGGTGCCTCCCAGTTAGGCTACTCGGGGGTCAGGGACCCACATCAGGAGGCATTCTGTCCATTCTCAGATCTCCAGCTGCATGCTGGGAGAACCACTACTCTCTTCAAAGGTGTCAGACAGGGACATTTAAGTCTGCAGCGTTTTTTGCTGCCTTTTGTTTGGCTATGTCCTGCCCCCAGAGGTGGAATCTACAGAGGCAGGCAGGCCTCCTTGAGCTGCGGTGGGATCCACCCAGTTCGAGCTTCGTGGCTGCTTTGTTTACCTACTCAAGCCTCGGCAATGGCTTGTGCTCATCCCCCAGCCTCACTGTTGCCTTGCAGTTTGATCTCAGACTGCTGGGCTAGCAATGAGTGAGGCTCCGTAGGCATAGGACCTTCCAAGCTATGCATGGGATATAATCTCCTGGTGTGCCATTTGCTAAGACCATTGGAAAAGCGCAGTATTAGGGTGGGAGTGACCCAATTTTCCAGGTGCCATCTGTCACCCCTTTCTTTGACTAGGAAAGGGAATTCCCTGACCCCTTGTACTTCCTGCTTTGGCTCAGGCTTGGTGCACTGCACCCACTGTCTGACACTCCCCAGTGAGATGAACCCGGTACCTCAGTTGGAAATGCAGAAATCGCCCATCTTCTGCATCGCTCATGCTGGGAGCTGTAGACTGGAGCTGTTCCTATTCAACCATCTTGGCTCCACCCCCCAGATACACCTTTAAAATAATGATTTTATTTCCTTTGTATATATACCCAGTAGTGGGATTGCTGTATCACATGGCAGTTCCATTTTTAATTTTTAAGGAATCTCTATACTGCTTTCCATAATGGCTGTAGTAGCTTGCAGTCTTCTTTTTAATTAATCAAAAATTTGTTAGTAATTCAATTCATATTTTCTTTTTTTATTATACTTTAAGTTTTAGGGTACATGTGCACAATGTGCAGGATTGTTACATATGTATACATGTGCCATGTTGGTGTGCTGCACCCCTTATCAATTCATATTTTCTATTGACTTTTTCAATGTACAGTTTTGGTTCAATTTTTCAGTGGTTGCTCTAGAAATGTACAGTATGTATATATCCTTAACTTATCACAGTCTACCTTGATTTACTGTTCTACTATTTTGCAATCAATGTAAGAAACGCACAACAGCGTAATTCTGTTTTCAACCCATCTAGCCCTTGATGCTATTGTTATTATATAATTTTCTTCTACATGTGTTGTAAAGCCCACCATACATTCTTATTATTTTTCCTTTTAGATAATTCATATTTTATTTTTCTTTACTATTTTAATTTTAAAAGTCAATAATCTTTTTAAGGCATTTGAAAATAATCTTCCACAATGGTTGAACTAATTTATACTCCCACCAACAGTGTAAAAGCATTCCTATTTCTCCACATCCTCTCCAGCATCTGTTTCCTGACTTTATAATGATCGCCATTCCAACTGGTGTGAGATGGTATCTCATTGTGGTTTTGATTTGCATTTGTCTAATGACCAGTGATGATGAGTATTTTTTCAAATGTTTGTTGGCTGCAAAAAATGTCTTCCCTTGGGAATTGTCTGTTCATATCCTTCACCTGCTTTTTGATGGGGTTGTTTGATTTTTCATTGTAAATTTGTTTAAGTTCTTTGTAGATTCTTGATATTAACCATTAGTCAGATGGATATATTGCAAATTTTTTTCTGGCATTCTGTAGGTTGCCTGTTCATTATGATGATAGTTTCCTTTGCTGTGCAGAAGCCCTTTAGTTTATTAGATCTCATTTGTCAATTTTGGATTTTGTTGCCATTACTTTTGGTGTTTTAGTCATGAAGTCGTTGCCCATGCCTACCTCCTGAATGGTATTGCCTAGGTTTTCTTCTAGGGTTTTTATGGTTTTAGGTCTTACGTTTAGGTCTTAAATCCATCTTGAATTAATTGTTGTATAATGTGTAAGGAAGGGATCCAATTTCAGTGTTTTACATATGGCTAGTCAGTTTTCCTGCACCATTTATTAAATAGGGAACCCTTTCCCCATTGCTTGTTTTGGTCAGGTTTATCAGAGATCAGATGATTTTAGATGTGTGATGTTATTTCTGAGGCCTCTCTTCTGTTCCATTGATCTATATATCTGTTTTGGAACCAGTGCCATACTGTTTTGGTTACTTTAGCCCTGTAGTATAGTTTGAAGTCAGGTAGCATGATGCATGCAGGTTTGTTTTTTTGCTTAGGATTGTCTTGGCTATGTGGGCTCTTTTTTGTTTCCATATGAAATTTAAAGGACTTTTTTTTCCAATTATGTGAAGAAAGTCAATGGTAGCTTGATGGGGATAACATTGAATCTATAAATTACTTTTGTCATTCTGGCCATTTTCACAAAATTGATTCTTCCTATCCATAAGCATGGAATGCTTTTCGACTTGTTTGTGTCCTCTCTTATATCCTTGAGCAGTGGTTTGTAGTTCTCCTTGAAGAGGTCCTACACATCCGTTATAAGTTGTATTCCTAGGTATTTTATTCCCTTTGTAGCAATTGTGAATGGGTTTTCACTCATGATTTGGCTCTCTGTTTGTCTATTATTGGTGTATAGGAATGCTTGTGACTTTTGCATATTAATTTTGTATCCTGAGACTTTGCTGAGGTTGCCTATCAGCTTAAGGAGATTTTGGGCTGAGACGATGGGGTTTTCTAAATATATAATCATGTCATCTGCAAACAGAGACAATTTGACTTCCTCTTTTTCTAATTGAATACCCTTTATTTCTTTCTCTTGCCTGATTGCCCTGGCTAGAACTTCCAATAATATGTTGAATAGGAGTGGTGAGAGAGGGCATCCTTGTCTTGTGTTGGTTTTCAAAGGGAATGCTACTAGCTTTTGCCCATTCAGTATGATATTGGCTGTGGGTTTGTCATAAATAACTCTTATTATTTTGAGATGTGTTCCATCAATACCTAGTTTATTGAGAGATTTTAACATGAAAGGCTGTTGAATTTTGTCAAAGGCTTTTCTGCATCTATTGAGATAATCATGTGGTTTTTATCATTGGATGTGTTTATGTGATGGATTATGTTTATTGATTTGAGTATGTTGAACCAGCCTTCCATCCCAGGGATGAAGCTGACTTGATCGTGGTATATAAGCTTTTTGATGTGCTGCTGCATTCAGTTTGTCAGTATTTTATTGAGGATTTTTGCATCGTTGTTCATCAGGGATATTGGCCTGAAATTTTCTTTTTTTTTTTTTTTTTTGGTGTGTCTCTGCCAGGTTTTGGTATCAGGATGATGCTGACCCCATAAAATGAGTTAGGGAGGATTCCCTCTTTTTCTATTGTTTGGAATAATTTCAGAAGGAATGGTACCAGCTCCTCTTTGTACCTCTGGTAGAATTTGGCTGTGAATTCATCTGGTCCTGAACTTTTTTTGGTTTGTAGGCTATTAATTACTGCCTCAATTTCAGAACTTGTTATTGGTCTATTCAGGGATTTGACTTTTTCTTGGTTTAGTCTTGGGAGGGTGTATTTGTACAGGAATTTATCCATTTCTTCTAGATTTTCTAGTTTGTTTGGGTAGAGGTGTTTATAGTATTCTCTGATGATACTTTGTATTTCTGTGGGATTGGTGGTGATAACACCTTTAGCATGTTTTCATTATGTCTATTTGATTCTTCTCCCTTTTCTTCTTTATTAGTCTGGCTAGTGCTCTACTGATTTTGTTGATCTTTTCAAAAAAATAGCTCCCGGATTCATTGGTCTTTTTGAGGGTTTTTGTGTCTCTTCTTCAGTTCTGCTCTGATCTTAGTTATTTCTTGTCTTCTGCTAGCTTTTGAATTTCTTTGCTCTTGCTTGTCTAGTTTTTTTAATTTTGATGTTAGAATTTCAATTTTAGATCTTTCTTCCTTTATTTTGTGGGCATTTAGTGCTATAAATTTCCCTCTACACACTGCTTTAAATGTGTTCCAGAGACTCTGATATGTTGTGTCTTTGTTCTCATTGATTTCAAATAACTTATTTTTTTCTACCTTAATTTCATTATTTACCCAGTAGTCATTCAGGAGCAGGTTGTTCAGTTTCCATGTAGTTTTGCAGTTTTGAGTGAGCTTATTAATCCTGGGTTTTAATTGGCTTGCACTGTGGTCTGAGAGCCTGCTTGTTATGATTTCCATTATTTTGCATTTGCTGAGGAGTGTTTTACTTCCAATTATGTGGTCAATTTTAGAATAAGTGTGATGTGGTGCTCAGAAGAATGTATATTCTGTTGATTTGGGATATAGAGTTCTGTAGATGTCTATTAGTTCTGCTTGGTCCAGAGCTGAGTTCAAGTCCTGAATATCCTTGTTAATTTTCTGTCTGATTGATCAGTCTAATATTGAGAGTGGGGTATTAAAGTCTTCCTCTATTATTGTGTGGGAGTCTAAGTCTCTTTGTGGGTCTCTAAGAACTTGTTTTATAAATCTAGGTGCTCCTGCATTAGGTAAATATATTTAGGATAGTTAGCTTTTCTTGTTACATTGATCCCTTTACCATTATGTAATGTCCTTCTTTGTCTCTTTTGATCTTTGTTGGTTTAAAGTCAGTTTTATCAGAGACAAGGATTGTAACCCCTGCTTTTTTTTGTTTCCATTTGTTTGATAAATATTCCTCCATCCCTTTATTTTGAGCCTATGTGTGTCTTGCATGTGAGATGGGTCTCCTGAATACAGCACACTGATGAGTCTTGATTTTATCCAATTTGCCAGGCTGTAGCTTTTAATTTGGGCATTTAGCCCATTTACATTTAAGGTTAATATTGTTATTTGTGGATTTGATCCTGTCATTATGATGCTAGCTGGTTATTTTGCCAGTTGGTTGATGAAGTTTCTTCATATTGTTGATGGTCTTTACAATTTGTATGTTTTTACAGTGGCTGGTATCAGTTGTTCCTTTCCATGTTTAGTAATTCCTTCAGGAGCTCTTGTATGGCAGAACTGGTGGTGACAAAATCTCTCAGCATTTGCTTGTCTGTAAAGGATTTTATTTCTTGTTCACTTATGAAGCTTAGTTTGGCTGGATATGAAATTCTGAGTAGAAAATTCTTCCTTTAAGAATGTTGAATATTGACCCCCACTCTCTTCTGGCTTTTAGGGTTTCTGGTGAGAGATCAGTTGTTAGTCTGATGGGCTTCCGTTTGTGGGTAACATGACCTTTCTTTCTGGCTACTCTTAACATTTTTTCCTTCATTTCAACCTTGGTGAATCTGATGATTATGTCTTGGGGTTGCTCTTCTTGAGGAGTATCTTTGTGGTGTTCTCTGTATTTCCTGAATTTGAATGTTGGCCTGTCTTTCTAGGTTGGGGAAGTTCTCCTGGATAATATGCTGAAGAGTGTTTTCCAACTTGGTTCCATTCTCCCTGTCACTTTCAGGTACACTAATCAAACATAGATTTGGTCTTTTCACATAGTCCCATATTTCTTGGCAGCTTTGTTCATTGCTTTTCACACTTTTTTCTCTAATCTTGTCTTCTCACTTTATTTCATTGAGTTGATCTTTAATCTCTGATATCCTTTCTTCCACTTGATCATTTGGCTATATATTTCAGAGATGCCCTGTCCACTGAGGAGGAATCTAGAGAGGCATTCGGCCTTGCTGAGCTGCGGTGGGCTGCATCCAGTTCGAACTTCCTGGTGACTTTGTTTACACTCTGAGGGTAAAACCACCTACTCAAGCCTCAGCAATGGTAGACACATTTCCCCCCACCAATCTCAAGCATCCCAGGTCAACCTCAGACTGCTGTGCTAGCAGGAAGAATTTTGAGCCAGTGGATATTAGCTTGCTGGGCTCCATGGGGGTAGGACCCATCGAGCCAGGCACCAGAGGGAATCTCCTGGTCTGCAGGTTGTGAAAACAGTGGGAAAAGTGTAGTATCTGGGCTGCAGTGTACCTTTCCTCCTGGTACAGTCTCATGACTTCCCTTGGCTGAGAAAGGGAAATCCCTCCACCTGTTGCACTTCCCTGGTGAGGTGATGCCCCACCCTGCTTTGGTTCACCCTGTGTGGTCTGCACCCAGTCTCCAACCAATCACAATGAGATGAATCATGTATCTCAGTTGGAAATGTTGAAATCACCCACCTTCTGCATCAATCTCACTGGGAGCTGCAGACAAGAGCTGTTCCTATTCAGCCATCTTGCCAGGCCATATTTACCACTTCTACTGTTGTTTCTTCCTTCTTGCAGATTCAGGCTTCCACCTGGTATCATTTCTTTTCACCCTGAAAATTTCCCTTTTATATTTATTGAAGTAAAAACTGTTGGTAAGAAATTCTCCCATCCCAATTGTTGTTTGTTTAAAGATATTTCTATTCTTCCTTCATTTCTAATTCAGTTATATTATAGACAGCATTCTAAAATGTTTCTGCCCCAAGATTCCTGGTCCCTAATTACTCAATCAACACTAATTTAGGTACTGCTGTTAAAGTAATTTGCAGATGTAATTAAAGTATGAAATAATTTGGTTTTAAGATTTCTGAGTGGGTCTGACTTAATAAAATCATCCCTTTTATAGCTGAGACTTTTATCTGTCTGGCAGCAGAAAAGAAAGTCAAATATATTGGAAATATAAGACGGATTCCCCACAAGGGAGGTTCTCTTTTGCTGAAATACAGAAGCCATGGGACAAGGTACTGAAGACAGCCTCTATTTGTTGATGGAATTCCCTGGCAGACATTCAGGGGAATATAAGGAAGTGTTTGAGCCCAACAACCTCAGTGAATTGAATTCTGCCAACAATAATTTTGGAAGCTTTTTTTTTTTTTCAGATGATAACTCAACCCAACTGACACCTTGATTTTATCCTTGTGATTTCCTGAGCAGACAACTCAGTCATGCTATGCAGGACTTCTGACCTACAGAAACTGTAACATAATAAATGGGTGTTGTTTTAAGTTAGTAAGTGTGTAGAAGTAATTTGCTATGTAGCAACAGAAAACTAATAGAGGATATAATTTACATTAAGTAAAATGCTTACATCTTAAGGATGCCAGTTTTGTAAAATAAATATACTCATCTTACCCACATCCTTATGAAGATACAGAATATTTCCATTATCCAAGAACATTTCCTCAAACCCTCCTAGTGAACCGTACTACCACCAGTAACTCTTAATCTGATTTCTATCATTTTAGGTTAGTTTTTATGTTGCAGAATTTTATATTAGTTCAATCATTCAGTTGTACTTTTTGTGTCAGTTTATTTCACTCAGAATAATACTTTTTAGATTCAGCCATGTTATTGATCATTAATTTTATTGCTGAGTAGTATTCCATTACACAAATATCCCACAGTTTATCATAATTGTATTGATAGACATCTAAGCTGTTATCACATTTTAGCTATAATCAATAAAGCTGTTGTGAACATTCTCGAATAGGTCTTTTTTGAACATGTTTTTATTTCTTTTGGATAACTACCTACAGATGGAATTACTTTGTACATATATATACATGTATATGTCTATACATGTATATATGACGTAGATATATGTTTAACTTTACAAAAACTGATAGTTTTTAAACTTATAGCCATTCATATCCTTTTCCTCTCCCATCAGCAATGTAAAAGAGTTCTTATTATTTCATATCTTCTCCAACGTTTGGTGTTGTCATTTTTTTAAACAATCCTAGTGGGTATGTAACAGTATCTCATTATGATTTCGATTTTCATTTTCCTGATGACCACTGATATTAGGCATCCTTTCATGTTCTTATTGGCTACTCATATATCTTATTTTCCAAAGTGTACTTCTGAGTGATTTTGCCTAGACTTACTCGGTGGATTTTTATTTACTTTTGAGTTATAGAAATTTTTTCTTTCTATTCTGAATACAAGTCATTTGTCTGCTCCATGTTGCAAATATATTATCCAATCTGTAGCTTGTCTTTTCAATCCCTTAATGTTGTCTGTGTTTATTTATTTATTTATTTCGAGGCTGGACTCAAACTCCTGAATTGAAGCTATCCTCCTGCCTCAGCCTCCTGAGTAGCTGGGACTATAGGCATGTGCCAACATACCTGGCTAATATTTTTTCAAAAAAAGAAGGATTTAATTTTGATAAAGTAAATTATATTAACTTTTTTTAATGTTTCATACTTTCTGTGTTCTAAGAAACCTCTGAATACCACAAGTTATAAAATATATTATTTCATCTATTCTTCTAGTAGCTTTATAGTTTTAACAATTGTGGTTGGGTCAATGATCCGTCTTAGATTTTGTGTGTCGTGTTGTATGAAATAGTAGTCTAGGATTTTCTTCTATGTGGCTGCCCAATTATTCCAGAATCATTTGTTAAAGAGATTACCTTCTGCCCAGTAATTTGCTTTGTGCTCTTTATGAAAATATTATATGTTGAACTATTTATGAACTTTCCATTTTTTTTCCAGTGATATATTTACTTATTCTGTTGCCAGTGCCAATTGTCTTGATTACTGTTGCTTATACAAAGCCTTAAATTCAGGTAGTGTGAGTCCTTCCACTTTCTCCTTGTTTTAAAGATTGTTTTGACTATTCTAGATATTTTGCCTTCCCAAATAAGTTTTAAAATCAGCTTGTAAATTTCTAGAAAAATAACTGAATGGGATTTTGGGGATTGCATTTAATCAATGTTGCCCAATTGAATTTTTTGGTAATTGAATTTTTTGTAAAGACCTGAAGCTATGAAACTACTAAAAGAAAACATTGGAGAAATTCTACAGGACATTGGTCTCGGCAAAGAATTTTTGTGTAAGACATCAAGACACAGGCAATTAAAACAAGAGCAGACAAATAGGATTACATCAACCTAAAAAGCTTTTGCACAACAAAGGAAATAATCAACATTGTGAAGAAGCAACCTACAAAATTTGATAAAATATTTGTAAACTATCCATCTGACAAGGGATTAATAACCAGAATATATAAGGAACTCAAACAACTCAATAGCAAAAAAAAAAAAATCAGTTTAAAACTTGGCAAAGACCTCAATAGACATTTCTTCAAAGATATGCAAGTTGTCAACAGGCATATAAAAATGCTGAAACCACTAATCAATAAAAAAGTGCAAATCAAACCCACAATATCATCTCATCCCAGTTAGAATGGCTATTATCCAAAAGACAACAAAATCGACTGCTGGCAGAGATGTGAAGAAAGGGAAACGCTCAAACACTGTTGGTAGGAATGTAAAATAATACAGACATTATGGAAAAGAGAGGAGCTTCCTCAAAAAAACTAAAACAGAATTACCATATGATCCTGCAATCCCACTATTGGGTATGTATTCAAAGGAAATGAAATCAGCATATGGAAAAGATATCTGCTATTTGCACTCCCATATTTATTGCAGCAATAGTCATAATAGCCAAGATAAGCAATCAACCTAAATGTCTATCAATGGATAAATGGATAAAGAAAATATCGTATATATACACAGTTGAATATTGTTGAGCCATAAAAAGCATGAAATGTTGACATTTTCAGCAACATGAATGAAACTGGAAGTCATTATGATAAGTGAGGTAAAGCAGGTGCAGAAGGACAAATATTGTATGTTCTTACTCATACATGGGAGCTAAAAAGTTGGATCTCATGGAAGTAGGGAGTAGAATGGGGGACACCTAGTCTGGTAAGGGAGCAGGAAAGGGGGAAGAAGAGAAGTTGCTTAATGGGTACAAAAATACAGTTACATACATGGAACAAGATCTAGTATCTGATAGTACAGTAGGGAAGTTATAGTTAACAATAATTTATTATGTATTTCAAAATAGCTAGAAGAGTTGTAATGTACCTAACATAAAGAAAGGATAAAAGTTTGAGGTGATGGATATCTCAATTACTCTGATTTGATCACTATACACTGTATACAGGTATCAAAATATCACGTACACCACAAAAATGTGTTCGACTATTATATATCAAAAAATAATATAAACAATTAAAACACAAAATTAAAACAAAAGATTCCATGTGTAATAAGATTATTAATAAATATAGATTTTCTACTTGTATTGATTTTGGTAATTTGATTTTTTCAAATAATTTAATCATTTCTTCTTGACTATTGAATTTACTGGCATATAGTTGTTCATAATATGCCATTTTTATTCTTATAACACTTATGTGATCTATAGGGATATCAACTCTTTCATCCTCGATGTTGATAATTTATGTTTTTTTTTAAACTTTGATATTTAGGGATACATGTGCAGGCTTGTTATATAGGTAAATTGCATGTCACAGAGGTTTGGTGTACAGATTATTTCCTCCCACAGGTAATAAGCATAGCACCCAATAGGTAGTTTCTCTATCCTCACCTTCCTCCCATCCTCCACCCTCAAGTATGCCCTGGCATCTGTTCCCTTCTTTGAGACCATGTGTAATCAGTGTTTACCTTCCACTTATAAGTGAGAGCATATGGTATTCAGTTTTCTGTTCCTGTGTTCCTTCACTTAGGATAATGGCCTCAAGCTCCATTCATGTTGCTGCAAATGACATATTACTATTATTTATGGCTACATAGTATTCTATGATGTATATGTACCAAATTTTCTTTATCCTGTCTTCTGTTGATGGGCATTTAGGTTGATTCCGTATCTTTGCTATTGTAAATAGTGCTGCAGTGAACATATGCATGTATGTGTTTTTATGGTAGGATGACTTTTATTTTTGGTTCTATACCCAATAATGGGATGGCTGAGTCAGATAGTAATTCTGTTTAAAATTTTTGAGAAATTGCCAAACTGCTTTACACAAAGACTGAACTAATTTTCATTTCCACCAGCAGTGTATAAGCATTCTCTTTTCTCCACAACCTCATCAGTATATATTACTTTTTTTTTTTTTTTGAGATGGAGTCTCACTCTGTCTCCCAGGCTGGAGTACAGTGGCATAATCTTGGCTCACTGCAACCTCTACCTCCTGGGTTCAAGCGATTCTCCTACCTCATCTTCCCAAATAGCTGGGACTACAGGCACCTGCCACTATGCCTGGTTAGTTTTTGTATTTTTAGTAGAGATGGGGTTTCACATATTTCCTCACCTTCCTCCCATCCTCCACCATCAGGTAGGCCCTGGCATCTGTTCCCTTTTTTGAGACCATATCCCAAAGTGCTGGGATTGCAGGGGTGAGCCACCACGCCCGGCCTATTTTTTGACTTTTGAATAATAGCCATTGTGACTAGTGTGAGATGGTATCTCATTGTGGTTTGAGTCACATTTCTCTAATGATTGGTGATGTTGAGTATGTTTTCATATGCTTGTGGGCTGTATGTACGTCTTCTTTTGAAAAAGATCTGTTTATGTCCTTTGCCCACTTTCTTTTTTATACTTCAAGTTCTGGGATACATGTGCAGAATGTTCAGGTTTGTTACATAGGCATACGCATGCCATGGTGGTTTGCTGCACCCATCAGCCCGACGACTACATTAGGTATTTCTCCTGATACTATCTCTCACCTACCCCTCCCCCACCTCCCAACAGGCCCCGGTGTGTGATGTTCCCCTCCCTGTGTCCATGTGTTCTCATTGTTCAACTCCCACTTATGAGTTAGAACATGCAGTGTTTGGTTTCTGTTCATGTGTTAGTTTGCTTAGAATGGTGGTTTCCAGCTTCCTCCGTGTCCCTGCAAAGGACACTAAATCATTCCTTTTTATGGCTGCATAGTATTCCATGGTATATATGTGCCACATTTTCTTTATCCAGTCTATCATTGATGGGCATTTTGGTTGGTTCCAAGTGTTTGCTATTGTGAATAGTGTTGCAATAAAAATACATATGCATGTGCCTTTATAGTAGATGATTTATAATCCTTTGGGTACAAACCCAATAATGGGATTGCTGGGTCAAATAGTATTTCTGGTTTTAGATCCTGGAGGAATTGCCACACTGTCTTGCACAATGGTTCAACTAACTTACACTTCCACCAACAGTGTAAAAGCATTCCTATTTCTCCACATCCTCTCCAGAATCTGTTGTTTCCTGTTTTATTTTAATGATCTCCATTCTAACTGGCATCAGATGGTATCTCATTGTGGTTTTGATTTGCATTTCTCTAATGACCAGTGATGATAAGGATTTTTTCATATCGTTGTTGGCCACATAAATGTCTTCTTTTGAGAAGTGTCTGTTCATATCCTTTGCCCACTTTTAGATGGGGTTCTTTGTTTATTTCTTGTAAATTTGTTTAAGTTCATTGTAGATTCTGGATATAAGCCCTTTGTCAGATGGATAGATTGCAAAATTTTTCTCCCATTCTGTAGGTTCCCTTTTCACTCTGATGATAGTTTTTTTTTGTGTGTGAAGAAACTATTTAGTTTAATTGGGTCCCATTTGTCAATTTTGGATTCTGTTGCCATTGCTTTTGGTGTTTTAGTCATGAAGCCTTGCCCATGCTTATGTCCTGAATGGCATTGCCTAGGTTTTCTTCTAGGGCTTTTATGGTTTTAGGTATTATATTTAAGTCATAAATCCATCTTGAGTTAATTTTTGTATAAGGTGTAAAGAAGAGGTCCAGTTCTAGTTTTCTACATATGGCTAGCCAGTTTTCCCAACACCATTTATTCAATAGGGAATCGTTTTCCAATTGCTTGTTTTTGCCAGGTTTGTCAAAGATCAGATGGTGGCAGATGTGTGGCATTATTTCTGAGGCCTCTGTTCTGTTCCATTGGTCTATATCTCTGTTTTGGTACAAGTACCATGCTGTTTCAGTTACCGTAGCCTTGTAGTATAGTTTGAAGTCAGGTAGCATGGTGCCTCGAGCTTTGTGCTTTTTGCTTAGGATTGTCTTGGCTATACAAGCTCTTTTTTGGTTCCATATAAAATTTAAAGTAGTTTTTTCTAATTCTGTGAAGAAAGTCAATGGTAGCTCAATGGGGATAGCATTGAATCTATAAATTACTTTGGGCAGTATGGCCATTTACATGATATTGATTCTTCCTATCCATGAGCATGGAATTTTTTTAATTTGTTTGTGTCCTCTCTGATTTCGTTGAGCAGTGGTTTGTAGTTCTCCTTGAAGGGGTCCTACACGTCTTTTTTAAGTTGTATTCCTAGGTATTTTATTCTTTTTGTAGCAATTGTGAAGGGAGTTCACTCATGATTTGGCTCTCTGTTTGTCTATTATTGGTGTATAGGAATGCTTGTGATTTTTGCATGTTGATTTTGTATCCTGAGACTTGGCTGAAGTTTTTTATCAGCTTAAGGAGATTTTGGGCTGAGACAATAGGGTTTTCTAAATATACAATCAGGTCAACTGCAAACAGAGACAATTTCACTTCCTCTCTACCTATTTGAATACCTTTTATTTCTTTCTCTTTCACGATTGCCCTGGCCATAACTTTCAATAATATGTTGAATAGGAGTGGTGAGAGAGGGCCTCTTTTTCTTGTTCAGGTTTTCGAAGGAAATGCTTCCAGCTTTTGCCCATTCAGTATGATATTGACTGTGGGTTTGTCATAAATAGCTCTTATTATTTTGAGATGTGTTCCATCAATACCTAGTTTATTGAGAGTTTTTAGCATGAAGTGCTGTTGAATTTTAGTGAAGGCCTTTCTGCATCTATTGAGAAAATCATGTGGTTTTTGTCATTGGTTCTGTATGTGATGGATAACTGTATGTGATGTTAAACCAGCCTTGCATCCCAGGGGATGAAGGCAACTGATCTTGTTATGTAAGATTTCTGATGTGCTCCTTGATTTGGTTTGCCAATATTTTATTGAGGATTTTCACATGGATGTTCATCAGGGATATTGGCCTGAAATTTTCTTTTTTTGTTGTGTCTCTGCCAGGTTGTGCTGTCAGGATGATGCTGAACTCATAAAATGAGTTAGGGGGGATTCCCTCTTTTTCTATTGTTTGGAATAGTTTCAGAAGGAATGGTACCAGCTCCTCTTTGTACCTCTGGTAGAATTCGGCTGTGAATCCTTCTGGTCCTGGGGTTTTTTTGGTTGGTAGACTATTAGTTACTGCCTCAATTTCAAAAATGTGTTATTGATCTATTCAGGGATTCAACTTCTTCCTGGTTTATTCTTGGGAGGGTGTATGTGTTCAGGAATTTATCCATTTCTTCTAGATTTTCTAGTTTATTTGTGTAGAGCTATTTCTAGTATTCTCCAATGGTAGTAGGTATTTCTGTGTGATCAATGCTGATATTTCCTTTATCATTTTTTTATTGTGAGTATTTGATTCTTCTCTGTTTTCTTCTTTATTAGTCTGGCTATCAATCTATTTTGTTAATGTTTTCAAAAAACCGGCTCCTGTATTCTTTGATTTTTGAAGGTTTTTTCATGTCTCTATCTCCTTCAGTTCTGCTGTGATCTTAGTTATTTCTTGCCTTCTGCTAGCTTTTGAATTTGTTTGCTCTTGCTTCTCTAGTTATTTAATTGTGATGTTGGATGTCAATTTTTGATCTTACTGCTTTCTCCTGTGGGCATTTAGTGCTGTAAATTTCTCTCTACACTGCTTTAGCTGTGTCCCAGAGATTCTGGTACATTGTACCTTTGTTCTCATTGGTTTTAAAGAATTTATTTATTTGCACCTTCATTTTGTTATTTACCTAATAGTCATTCAGGAGCAGGTTGCTCAGTTTCCATGTAGTTGTGGGTTTTGAGTGAGTTTATTAATTCTGAGTTCTAATTTGATTGCACCGTGGTTTGAGTGACTGTTATGATTTCCATTATTTTACATTTGCTGAGGAGTGTTTTACTTCCAACTATGTGGTCAGTTTTAGAATAAGTGTGATGTAGTGCTCAGAAGAATGTATATTCTGTTGATTTGTGGTGTAGATTTCTATAGATGTCTATTAGTTCCGCTTGGTCCAGAGCTGAGTTCAAGTCCTGAATACCCTTGTTAATTTTCTCTCATTGATCTGTCTAATATTGAGAGTGGAGTGTTAAAGTCTCTCTCTATTATTGTATGGGAGTCTTAATCTCTTTTTAGGTCTTTAAGAACTTGCTATATGAATCTGGGTGCTCCTGTATTGGGTGCATATATATTTAGGATAGTTAGCTCTTCTTGTTGCATTGATCCCTTTACCATTATGTAATGCCCTTCTTTGCCTTTTTTTTTTTTAGTCTTTGTTGGTTTAAAGTCTGTTTTATCAGAGACTAGATTGCAACCCCTTCTCTTTTTATGCTTTCCATTAGCTTGGTAAATCTTCCTCCATCTCTTTATTTGAGCCTATGTGTGTCTTTGCATGTGAGATGGGTCTCCTGAATACAGCACACTGATGGATCTTGACTATTTATCCAATTTTCCCATCTGTGTCTTTTATTTGGGGGCATTTAGCCCATTTACATTTAAGGTTAATATTGTTATGTGTGAATTTGATTCTGTCATTATGATGCTAGCTGGTTATTTTGCCCATTAGTTGATGCAGTTTCTTCATAGTGTCAATGGTCTTTACAATTTGGTATGTTTTTACAGTGGCTGGTACCAGTTGTTCCTTTCCATATTTAGTGCTTTCTTCAGGAGCTCTTGTAAGGCAGGACTGGTAGTGACAAAATCTCTCAGGATTTGCTTGTCTGTAAATAATTTTATTTCTCCTTCACATATGAAGCTTATTTTGGCTGGATGTGAAATTCTGGTTTGAAAATTCTTTTCTTTAAGAGTGTTGAATATTTGCCACCACTGTTCTGGCTTGTAGGGTTTCTGCAGAGAGATTCACTCTTAGTCTGATGGACTTCCTTTTGTGGGTAACCTGAACTTTCTCTCTGGCTGCCCTTAACATTTTTTTCTTCATTTCAACCTTGGTGAATCTGATGATTACGTGTCTTGTGGTTGCTTTTCTCAAGGAGTATCTTTGTAGTGTTCTCTGTATTTCCTGAATTTGAATGTTGGCCTGTTAGGTTTGCTAGGATAGGGAAGTTCTCCTGGACAATATCCTGAAGAGTGTTTTCCAACTTGGTTCCATTCTTCCTGTCACTTTCAGGTACACCAATCAAACATAGATTTGGTCTTTTCACATAGTCCCATATTTTTTGGAGGCTTTGTTCATTGCTTTTCACTCTTTTTTCTCTAATCTTGTCTTCTCATTTTATTTCATTGAGTTGCTCTTCAATCTCTGCTGTGTTTTTAAGCTCCATCAGGTCATTTATGTTCTTCTCTAAACTGGTTATTCTAGTTAGCAATTCCTCTTACCTTTCCTCAAGGCTCTTAGCTTCCTTGCATTGGGTTGCATCATGCTCCTTTAGCTCAGAGGAGTTTGTTATTGCCCACCTTCTGAAACCTACTTCTGTCAATTCATCAAACTCATTCTCTGTCCAGTCTTGTTACCTTGTTGGTGAGCAGTTGTGATCTTTTGGAGGAGAAGAGGTGTTCTGGTTTTTGAAATTTTCAGGTTTTTTGCTCTCGTTTTTCCTCATCTTCATGGATTTATCTACATTTGGTCTTTGATATTGGTGACCCTCAGATGGGGTTTCTGTTTGGATGTCATTTTTGTTGTTGTTGATGCTATTTCTTTCTGTTTGTTAGTTTTCCTTCTAACAGTCATGCCCCTCTGCTGCAGGTCTGCTGGAGTTTGCTGGAGGTCCACTCCAGACCCTATTTGCCTGGGTATCACCAGTGGAGGCTACAGGACATCAAAGATTGCTGCTTGTTCCTTCCTCGGGAAGCTTCATCCCAGAGTGGTACCCACCACATGCCAGCTGGAGCTCTCTTGTATGAGATGCCTGTCGATCTTTGTTTGGAGGTGTCTCCCAGTCAGGAGGTATGGGGGTCAGGAAACAACTTGAGAAGGCAGTTTGTCCCTTAGCAGAGCTCTAGCACTGTGCTGGGAGATCTGCTACTCTCTTCAGAGCCAGCAGGCAGGAACGTTTAAGTCTGCTGATGCTGCACCTACAGCCGCCCCTTCTCCCAGGTGCTCTGTCCCAGGGAGATGGGAGTTTTATGTATAAGCCCTTGACTGGGGCTGCTGCCTTTCCTTTGGAGATTCCCTTCCTAAAGAGGAATAATCTAGAAAGGCAGTCTGGCTACAGCAGCTATGCTGAGCTGCAGTGGGCTCCACCTGGTTTGAACTTCCCAGTGGCTTTGTCTACACTGTGAGGGGAAAACTCCCTACTGAATCTACAGTAATGGTGGACAACCCTCCCCCAACCAAGCTTAAGCATCCCAGGTAGACTTCAGACTGCTGTGCTGGCAGTGAGAATTTCAAGCCAGTGGATCTTAGCTTGCTGGGCTCCATGGGGGTGGGATCCATTAAGCAAGACCACTCGACTCCCTGGCTTCAGCCCTTTTTACAAGGGAGTGAAATGTTCTGTCTGGCTGGCATTCCACTCACCACTGGCATATAAAAAACAACTCCTGCAGCTAGCTCAGTGTCTGCCCAAATGGCCGCCCAGTTTTGTGCTTGAATCCCAGGACTCTGGTGGTGTAGGCACCTGAGGGAATCTCCTGGTCTGTGGGTTGCAAAGACCATGGGAAAAGTGTTGTATCTGGGCTGGAGTGCACCGTTCCTCATAGTACAGTCCCTCAGGGCTTCCCTTGGCTACGGGAGGGAGTTTCCTGACCCCTTGCACTTCACAGGTGAGACAACACCCCACTCTGCTTCAGCTCACCATCTGTGGTCTGCATGCACTGTCTGTCCAGTCCCAGTGAGATGAGTCAGGTACTTCAGCCGGAAATGCAGAAATTACCTGTATTCTGTGTTGATCTCAATGGGAGCTTCAGACCGGAGCTGTTCCTATCCAGCCATCTTGCCAGCCAGCAGCTTTGCCCACTTTTTAATGAGGTTGTTTGTTTTTTACTTGTTAATTTATGTTCATTATATGTTCTGGATATTACATCTTCGTTGGATGCATAATTTCCAAATATTTTCTCCAATTCTGTAGATTTTCTGTTTACTCTGTTGATAGTTCCTATTGCAATGCAGAAGCTCTTTAGTTTAATTAGGTCTTATTTGTCAAATTTTGTTTTCATTGCATTTGTTTTTGGCATCTTCATCATGAAATCTTTGCCTGTTCCTATGTCCAGAATGGTATTGCCTAGGCTCTCTTACAGGGTGTTTATAGTTTTGGGTTTTAATTGTAAGTCTTTAATCCATCTTGAGTTAATTTTTGTCTATGGTTTAAGAAAGGGGTCCAGTTTCAATCTGTATATGGCTAACCAGTTATCACAGCACCATTTATTGAATAAGGAGTCATTTCCCCATTGCTGGTTTTGGTTGACTTTGTCAAAGGTGAGATGATTGCAGGTCTGTGGCACTACTCTTTGGCTGTCTATTCTGTTCCATTGGTCTATGTGTCTGCTTCTGTACAAGTACCATGCTGTTTTGGTTACTGTAGCCTTGTAGCATAATTTGAAGTTGGTAGTATGATGCCTCCTGCTTTGTTCTTTTTCCTTAGGATTGCCTTGGGTGTTCAGGATATTTCTTGGCTCCATATGAATTTTAAGGTAACTTTTTCAAATTCATGAAAAATTTCATTGACGGTTTGATATAAATAGCATTGAATCTGTAAATTGCTTTCAGCAGTATGACCATTTTAATAACATTGATTCTTCCTATCCATAAGCCTGGAATGTTTTTCCATTTGTTTTTGTCATCTCTGATTTATTTGAGCAGTGTTTTGTAGTTCTCACTGTAGAAATTTTTCACCTCCCTGTTGTCTGTATTCCTAGCTATTTTATTCTTTTCATGGCAATTGTGAATGCAACTGTGTTTTTGATTTGGCTTTCAGTTTGGATGTTGCTGTACAGAAATGCTACTGAATTTTGTGCATTAATTTTGTACCTGAAATGTTGCTGAAGTTTATCAGCTTAAGAAGATTTTGGGAAGACACTGTAGGGTGTTCTAGGCATAGAATCATATCATCTACAGAAATAATTTGACTGCCTTTCATCTTTTGTGGAAGTCATTTATTTATTTATTTTGCCTGGTTGCTCTAGCTAGGACACTCAGTTCCATAGTGAATAAGAATGGCAAGAGTGGGCATCTGTGTCTTGTTCCAGTTTTCAAGGAGAATGCTTCCAACTTTTGCCCATTCAGTATGATGTTGACTGTGGATTTGTCATAGATGTATCATTGTTTTGAAGTATGTTCCTTTAATGCCTAGTTAGGGGTTTCTAACGTAAAGAGATGTTAAAACTTATCAAAATCCTTTTCTGCATCTATTTAAATAATCATGTGGTGTCTGTATTTAGTTCTGTTTATGTGATGAATCAAGTTTACTGATTTTTGTATGTTGAACCAAGCTTGCATCCCAGGGGTTAAGTGTGCTTGATTGTGGTGGGTTAGATATTTTATGTGCTGCTGGATAAGCTTTGCTCTACTTTGACCTCATAGAATGAGTTAGGGGGAGTTCCTAGTCCTCAATTTTTTGGGGATAGTTTCAATAGGAATACTACCAGCTCTTCTTGGTACAACATGTTGAATTCAGCTGTGAATTCATCTGGTCCTTGACTTTTTATAGTTGGTGGGGTTTTTATTACTGATTCAATTTCAGAACTAACTGTTGGTTTGTACAGGGATTCAATTTCTTCCTCGTTCATTCTTGGTAGCTTGTATGCTTCCAAGAATTTATCCATTTCTTCCAGGTTTTCTAGATTGTGTGCAAAGAGGTGTTTATCATAGTCTCTGAGGGTTTTTTGTGTTTTTGTGGGGTCAGTGGTAACATCCCTTCATCATTGTTGACTATGCTTATTTGGATTTTCTTTTTTTGCTTTATTACTCTAGCTGGTGGTCTATATATCTTGTTTACTCTTTCAAAAAACAACTCCTGGACTTATTGATGCTTTGTACATTTTTTGGTCTCAATTTCCTTCAGTTCAGCTCCAATTTTGGTTATTTCTCCTCTTATGCTATCTTTGGAGTTGGTTTCCTCTTGTTTTGCTAGTTCCTCTAGGTGTGATGTTAAGTTTTTATTTATTTTTATTTTTTATTTTTCTTTATTACACTTTAACTTTTAGGGGACATGTGCACAACGTGCAGGTTTGTTACATATGTATACATATGCCATGTTGGTGTGCTGCACCCATTAACTCGTCATTTAACATTAGGTATATCTCCTAATGCTATCCCTCCCTCCTCCCCCCATCCCACAACAACCCCCGGTGTGTGGTGTTCCCCTTCCTGTGACCATGTGTTCTCATTGTTCAATTCCCACCTATGAGTGAGAACATGCAGTGTTTGGTTTTTTGTCCTTGCGATAGTTTGCTGAGAATGATGGTTTCCAGCTTCATCCATGTCCCTACAAAGGACATGAACTCATCATTTTTTATGGTTGCATAGTGTTCCATGGTGTATATGTGCCAGATTTTCTTAATCCAGTCTATCATTGTTGGACATTTGGGTTGGTTCCAAGTTTTTGCTATTGTGAATAGTGCCACAATAAACATACGTGTGCATGTGTCTTTATAGCAGCATGATTTATAATCCTTTGGGTATATACCCAGTAATGGGATGGCTGGGTCAAATGGTATTTCTAGTTCTAGATCCCTGAGGAATGGCCACACTGACTTCCACAATGGTTGAACTAGTTTACAGTCCCACCAACAGTGTAAAAGTGTTCCTATTTCTCCACATCCTCTCCAGCACCTGTTGTTGTTTCCTGACTTTTTAATGAACACCATTCTAACTGATGTGAGATGGTATCTCATTGTGGTTTTTATTTGCATTTCTCTGATGGTCAGTGATGATAAGCATTTTTTCATGTGACTGTTGGCTGCATAAATGTCTTCTTTTGAGAAGTGTCTGTTCATATCCTTTGCCCACTTTTTGATGGGGTTGTTTTTTTTTCTTGTAAATTTGTTTGAGTTCTTTGTAGATTCTGGATATTAGCCCTTTGTCAGATGAGTAGATTGCAAAAATTTTCTCCCATTCTGTAGGTTGCCTGTTCACTCTGATGGTAGTTTCTTTTGCTGTGCAGAAACTCTTTAGTTTAATTAGATCCCATTTGTGTATTTTGGCTTTTGTTGCCATTGCTTTTGGTGTTTTAGACATGAATTCCTTGCCCATGCCTTCCTATGTCCTGAATGGTATTGCCTAGGTTTTCTTCTAGGGTTTTTATGGTTTTAGGTCTAACATTTAAGTCTTTAATCCATCTTGAATTAATGTTTGTATAAGGTGTAAGGAAGGGATCCAGTTTCAGCTTTCTACATATGGCTAGCCAGTTTTCCCAGCACCATTTATTAAATATGGAATCTTTTCTCCATTTCTTGTTTTTGTCAGATTTGTCAAAGATCAGATAGTTGTAGATATGTGGCATTATTTCTGAGGGCTCTGTTCTGTTCCATTGGTCTATATCTCTGTTTTGGTACCAGTACCATGCGTTTTGGTTACTGTAGCCTTGTAGCATAGTTTGAAGTCAGGTAGCGTGATGCCTCCAGCTTTGTTCTTTTGGCTTAGGATTGACTTGGCAATGCGGGCTTTTTTTGGTTCCATATGAACTTTAAAGTAGTTTTTTCCAATTCTGTGAAGAAAGTCATTGGTAGCTTGATGGGGATGGCATTGAATCTATAAATTACCTTGGGCAATATGGCCATTTTCACGATACTGATTCTTCCTACCCATGAGCATGGAATGTTCTTCCATTTGCTTGTATCCTCTTTTATTTCATTGAGTAGTGGTTTGTAGTTCTCCTTGAAGAGGTCCTTCATGTCCCTTGTAAGTTGGATTCCTTAGGTATTTTATTCTCTTTGAAGCAATTGTGAATGGGAGTTCACTCATGATTTGGCTCTCTGTTTGTCTGTTATTAGTGTATAACAATGCTTGTGATTTTTGCACATTGATTTTGAATTTGAGATCTTTCAAACTGTTTGATGTGGTCATTTAGCACTATAAACTTCCCTCTTAAAGCTGCTTTAGCTGTGTCCCAGAAATTCTGGCATGAAGTATCTTTGCTCTCATTAGTTTCAAATAATTTATTTCTGCCTTGATTTCATTGTTTGCCCAAAAGTCATTCAGGAGCACATTGTTTAATTTCTATGTAATTTTATAGTTTTGAGTTACTTTTTAGTATTAATTTCAATTTATATTATGCTATAGTCCAAGATTGTGGTTAGTATGATTTTTTTTAATTTGCTGAAAATTATTTCATGGTCAATTGTGTGGTTGATTTTAAAGCATGTGCCATGTGCAGATGAGAAGTCTGTGTATTCTATTGTTTTTGGGTGGAGAGTTCTGTACGTGGTTTTTTGGTCCATCTGGCCAAGTGTCAGGTTCAGATTCCAAATATATTTGCCAATGTTCTGCCTCAATGATCTGTCTAATACTATCTGTGGAGTGTTGAAGTTTCTGACTATTGTTGTGTTGTCATCTAAGTCTCTTCGTAGGCCTCTAAGAGCTTGATGTATGAATCTCTATGCTCCTCAGTTGGATGCATATATATTTAGGATAGGTCTTCCTGTTGAATTGAGCTCTTCACCATTATGTAATGCCCTTCTTTGTCTTTTTTGATCTTTGTTGGTTTATAGTCTGTTCTCTGTATAATTAGAACAGCAATCCCTGCTTTGTTCTGTTTTCCGTTTGCTTGGTAGATTTTTCTCCATCCCTTTACTTTGAGTCTATGGGTGTCAATACGTGTGAGATGGGTCTCTTGAAGACAGCATACTGTTGGGGATTGTTTCTTTATCCAACTTGTTCTTGGTGCCTTTTAATTGGGACATTCAGCCAATTTATATTCAAGGTTAATATCAATATGTGCAGATTTAATCCTGTTGTCATGTTTGTAGCTGGTTATTATGCAGACTTGGTCTTGTGGTTGCTTTACAGTGTTATTGGTCTATGTACTAAAGTGTGTTTTTGTGGTGGCTGGTATTGGTCTTTTATTTCCATATTTAGCACTCCATTAAGGACTTCTTGTAAGGCAGGTCTGGTGGTGATGAATTCCCTTAGCATTTGTTTTTCTGAAAAGAATCTTATTTCTCCTTCACTTATGAAGATTAATTCGGCAGATATAAAATTCTTGGTTGGTTGGAATTTCTTTTCTTTAAGAATACTAAATATAGACCCCCAAACTCTTCTGACTTGCAGGGTTCCTGCTGAAAGGTCTGCTGTTAGCCTGATGGAGTTCCTTTTATAAGTGAACTGCCCCTTCTCTCTAGCTGCCCTTAACATTTTTTCTTTAATATCAACCTTGGCTAATTGGATGACTGTGTGCCTAGGGAATGGTTGTCTCATATAGTATCGTGTACAGAGTGGTTCTCTACATTTCCTGAATTTGAATGTTGGCTTCTCTAACAAGGTTGGATAAATTTTTATGGGAGATGTTTTCTTCACTCTTCTTTAATCTTTTTTCTTTATTGTTGTCTGACTAATTTTGGAGAACTAGTCTTTGAGCTCAGATACTTTCATCAGCTTGGTTGATTCTGCTGTTAATACTTGTGGTTGTATTCTGTTATTCTTGATGTGAGTTTTTCAGGTCTATCACATCAGTTTGGTTCTTTCTTAAAATGGCCATTTTGTCTATCATCTCCTATATCATTTTATTGTATTACTTACATTCCTTGGATTGGGTTTAGACTTCTAATTTTCAATGATCTTATCTTCATTCCTATCCATATTCTGAATTCAATTTCTATGATTTCAGCCATTTCAGCCTAGTTAAGAAGCATTGCTGGAGAACTGGTGCAGTTGTTCGGAGATAAGAAGACACTTTGACTTTTTGGGTTGGCAGAGTTCTTGTGCTGGTTCTTTCTCATCTGTTTGGGCTGATGTTCCTTCAATCTTTACAGTTGCTGGCTTTAGGATTATGTTTTTTTTTGCTTTGCTTTTGTTTTCTTTGATGCCCTTGGGGATTCAAATGTGATATAAGTTGAATTCAGTTGACTGGTTTCCTTTCTGGAATATTTTAAGAGGTCAAGGCTCAGCTCAGTACTCTTGGGCTGTGTTATCTAACTCTGGGGAGCTAGTATCAAGACCCCTGCTTTGTTCTTTGGCCCTTCAAGTTAGGAATCTCCTGTGCTAGAGGGGTCCAGTTGTTCCTGGGCCACTGGCCACAGCACTCTGATGGGTGGCACCAGCCAAAGCACTCCCTTGGAATGGTGGCAGTGTGATCTATGCCTGTTAACACATGCCAGCAGCAGCAGTGCTGTGAGATCCATGTGCATTGGCTGGGGTGGGGTACTGGAAAGAGTGGGACTGCAGCTTTCCTGAATGTGTTATACTACCAGCAGTTGCAACAGTGGCAGTGGGGACAAGGATGCCAATCTCCACACATACGTTTGCAGTGGCAAAGATGATGGTGTGGGGGTTTAGGGTAATGTATTATTTTGTTTTCTTGATAAATCTCACTCATTGTTCATTCATTTTATTTATCTTCTCAGAAAACAAGTTTATGCCTTTGTTGAAAATCCCTACTCTTAGTTTCTATTTTATTAATTTTATTTTTATTTTTATTATGTATTTACTTCTACTTACTTTGGATTTATTTGTTCTTTTTTAATTTTTGTGGGTACATATTAGGTGTATATATTTATGGGGTACATGAGATGTGTTGATACAAGCATGCAATGTGAAATAAGCACATCGGGGGTATTCACTTTCTCAATAATTTTCAAGGTATCACCTTGCCCTTTGAGTTACAATCCAATTACACACTTTAAGTTATTTTAAAACATACCATTGTCATTGACTATAGTCATGCTACTTTGTTATCAAATAGGTCTTATTCATCCTTTCTATTTTTTTTCTACCCATTAACCATTACCACTTCCGCCTCCCCATCCAGGCCCCCATTACACTTCCCATCTTCTGGTAACCATCCTTCTACTCTCTATGTCCATGAGTTCAATTGTTTTGATTTTTAGATCCCACAAATGAGTGAGAACACACGATGTTTGTCTTTCTGTTCCTGGTTTATTTCACTTAACATAATGATTTCCAGTTCCATTCATGTTGTTGCAAATGACTGGATCTCATTCGTTTTATTATATAGCTGAATAGTACTTTATTGTGTATATGTACCACATTTTTTATCCATTTATCTACTGCTGGACACTTAGGTTGCTTCCAAATCTTGGCTATTGTAAACAGTGCTGCAAAAAACACAGGAGTGCAGATATCTCTTTTTTATACTTATTTCCTTTCTTTTGGGTATATACACAGGAGAGGGATTCCTGGATTCTATGGTAGCTCTATTTTTAGTTTTGTGAGAAACATCCAACTGGTCTTCATAGTGTTTGTAATAATTTATATTCCCACCAACACTGTACTAATATTCCCTTCTCTGCATGTCCTTGCCAGCATTTGTTGTTGCCTGTGTTTTTGATATAAGCCATTTCAACTAGGCCAAATTGGTATCTCACTGTAGTTTAGATTTGCATTTCCTTGATAATAAATGAAGTTGAGCACCTTTTCATATGCCTGTTTGTCATTTGTAGGTTTTTCTAAAGAAATATCTAGTCAAATATTTGCCCGTTTTTATTAGATATTTAGACTTTTTAGTACAGAGTTGTTTGAGTTACTTATATATTCTGGTTATTAATCCCTTGTCAGATGGGTGGTTTGCGAATATTTTCCTCCAACCTGTGGGTTGTCTTTTCACTTTGTTGATTATTTTCTTTGCTGTGCAGAAGCTTTTTAACTTAGTGTGATCCCCTTTGTCCATTTTTGCTTTGGTTGCCTGTGCTTGTGGAGTATTGCTCAAGAAATCTTTGCCCAGGCCAATGACCTGGAGATTTTCCCCTATGTTTCCTTGTGGAAGTTGCATACTTTGAGGTATTAGATTTAAGTCTTAAATCCATTTTGATTTGATTTTTGTATATAGTTATAGATAGGATTCTATTTTCATTCCTCTGCTTATGGATATCCAGTTTTGCCAGCACCATTTATTGATGAAACTGTCTTTTTCCCCAGTGTATGTTCTTAGACCTTTGTCAAAATGAGTTAACTGTAGGTGTGTAGATTTTTTTCTGGGTTCTTTATTCTGTCCCTTTGGTCTACGTATCTGTTTTTATGTGAGTTTTATGCTGTTTTCATTATTATATCTCTGTAGTATAATTTGAAATCAGGTAATGTGATTCCTCCAGTTTTTTTTATTTTTACTTAGAATAGCTGCAGCTATTCTGGGCCTTTTATGATTCCACATGAAGCTTAGGATTCTTTTTTCTACTTCTGTGAAGAGTGTCATTGATATTTTGATAGGGATTGCATTGAATCTGTAGCTTGCATTGGGTCATATGGACATTTCAACAATATTGATTCTTCCAATCCATGAACATGGAATACTTTTATATTTTTCGGTGTCCTATAGTTTCCATTATAGAGATCTTTCACTTATTTTGGTAATTCCTCATATTTAATTTTATTTGTGGCTATCATAAATGGGATTACTTTTTTATTTCTTATTCAAGTCATTCACTGTTTGTTATAGAAATGCTACTGACTTTTGTATGTTGATTTCCTATCCTGTAACTTTACTAAGTTTGTTTATCAGTTCTAATAGTTTTCTTGTGGAGTCTTTAGGTTTTTCCAAATATAAGATTATATCATCTGCAAACAAGGATAATTTGACATCTTCATTTTCACTTTGGATTTTCATTAGTCTGATTGCTCTAGCTAAGACTTCGTGTAAGATGTGGAGTAACAGTGGTGACAGTGGGCATCCTGGTCATGTTTCAGATCTTAAAGGAAAGGCTTTCACTTATTCCCCATTCAGTATGATACTAGCTGTGGGTCTGTCATATATGTCTTTTATTCTGTTTAAGTGTGTTCTTTCTATACCCAGTTTTGTAAGCGTTTTTATCATAAAAAAAGTTGAAGCTTATCAAAACCTTTTTCAGCATCAGTTTAAATAATTATATGAATTTTATTCTTCATTCTGTTGATATGGTGTATCACATTGATTAATTTGCATATGTTGAACCATCATTACATCCCAGGGATAAATCCCACTTGGTCATGATGAATGATCTTTCTACTGTATTGTTTAATTTAGTTTGCTAGTATTTTGTTGAGGATTTTTGCATCAATATTCCTAAGAGATATTGGTCTGTAGTTTTGTTTTTCGTATGTGTCTTCATCTGATTTTTGTATCAGGGCAATACTGGCCTTGTATAATGAATTTTGAAATATTACCTCTTCCTCTATTGTTTGGAATAGTTTGAGTAAGATTGGTATTAATTCTTCTTTAAATGTTTGTAATATTTCAGCAATGAAGCTATACATCCTGGGATTTTTTTTAGCAGAAGACTTTATTATGGCTTCATTCTTGTTACTTGTTATTTGTCTGTTCAGATTTTGGATTTCTTCCTGGTTCAATCATGATAGATTCAATGGATCTAGGAAGTTGTCTGTTCTAGATTTTCCAATTTATTGGCATATTGTAGGTCACAGTAGTCATTAATGATACTTTGAATTTCTGCAGTATCAGTTGTTATGTCTCCTTTTTCAGTTCTGATATTATTTGAAAATTTTCTCTCTTTTGTTACTTAGTTTGGTTAAATGTATGTCAATTTTGTTTAACTTTAAAAAAACACAACTTTTTGATTTATCTATCTTTATTTCAACTTTATATTTCTGCTCTGATCATTATTTCTTTTCTCATACTGATTTCGGGTTTGGTTTCCTCTTGCTTGTCTAGTTCTTTAAGATGTATCATTAGATCACTCATTTGAAGTTTTTTCTCTTTTTTGATGTAGGCACTTATAGCTATAAACTTTCCTCTTAGTACTGCTTTTGTTGCATTCCATAGGTTTTGGCATGTGTGTTTCATCATTTGTCTCAAGACATTTTTTAATTTTCTTATTAATTTCTTCATTGACCCACTGGTCATCCAGGAGCATATAGTTTAATTCCCATGTATTTGTATAGTTTCCAAAATTCCTGTTGTTACTAATTTCTAGTTTTATTCCATTGTGCTTAGAGAAGATGTGTGGTATTATTTCAGTTTTTTAAAATATTTTAAGACTTGTTCTATGACCTAATATATGGTCTATGCTTGAGAATGATTTGTGTGCTGAGGAAAAGAATGTGTACTCTGAAGCTATTGAATGAAATGTTCTCTAAATATCTATTAGATCCATTTGGTCTATAGTTCAGATTAAGTCCAATGTTTATTTGTTGATTTTTCTGTCTGAAAGATCTAGCCAATGCTGAATGTCAGCTGTTGAGGTCTCCAGCTATTGAGGTCTTCAGCTATTATTGTATTGGGGTCTATCTCTCTCTTTAGCTCCAATAATATTTGCTTTATATATCTTGGTGCTCCAGTGTTGGGTGCATATATATTTACAATTGTTACATCTTCTAGATTAATGATCCCCTTATCATTATATAGTGACCTTCTTTGTCTCTTATAGTTTTTATCTTGAAATCTATTTTGTCTGATATGAGAATTGTGACTCCTGCTCCTTTTTGGTTTCCAGTGGCATGGAATACCTTTTTTCTATCCCTCTATTTTCCGTCCATGTGTGCCTTTATAGGTGAAGTGGGTTTTTTGTAGGCAACAGATCAATGGGTCTTTTTTTTTTATTTATTCAGCCAGTTTATGCCTTTCAATTGGAGAGTTTAGTCCATTTACATTGAATGTTATTATTGATAAGTAACTCTTAAGTTATTATTGATAAGTAACTCAAGTTATAATTGATAACTTACTCTTGCTTTTTTGTTATATATTTTCTCATTGTTTTATGATCTTCTCTTCCTTCTTTCTTGCCTTCCTGCCTTTCTGTAGTGAAGATGATTTTCTCTGGTGATATGATTTAGTTTCCTGCTTCTTTATTTTTTGTGTATCCATTGCATGTTTTTGGCTCTGAGGTTACCATGAGGCTTGCAAATACTATCTCATAACCCATTATTTTAACTTAATAAAAACAACATTATTTGCATAAACAAACAAGCAAAAAGAAAACTCATACACACTTTACACCTTAACTTAGTTCTCTCACTTTTTAACATTTTGTTGTTTCTATTTATATCTTATTGTACTGGTTATGCCTTAAAAAGTTGTCATGGTTAATATTTTTGATTGGCTTATCTTTGAGTCTTTCCACTTAGGATAAGAGTAGTTTATGTACCAAAATTATAAAGTTACAAAATTCTTTGTTTTTCTGTGTACTTACTATTACCAGTGAGTTTTGTACCTCCAGGTGATTATTTATTGCTCATTAATGTCCTTTTCTTTCTGAATGAAGTACTCCCTTTAACATTTCTTGTAAGAGAGGTCTGGTGTTGATGAATTGTTTCAGCTATTGTTTGTCTGGGAAAATCTTTATTTCTCATTCATATTTGAAGGATGATTGCTGAATTTCCTATTCTAAGGTAAATAATTTTTTTTTTCTTCAGCACTTTAAATATGTCATGCCACTCTCTCCTGGCCTGTAAGGTTTCCACTGAAAAGTCTCCTCATGCCCAGACAGATGTATTGGAATTCTATTGTATGTTCTTTGTCTCTTTTGCTTGATGCTTTTAGGATCCTTTTGTTATCCTTGTTTTTTGAGAATTTGATTACTAAATGCCTTGTGGTAGTTTTTGAGTTAAATATGCTTCACATGATATATTCTTCTTGTACTTGGATATTGATATATTTCTCTAGGTTTGGGGAGTTCTCTGTTATTTCCCTTTGAATGAACTTTCCACTCCTATCTCTTTCTGTGCCTCTTCTTTAAGCCCAATAACTTAGATTTGCCCTTTTGAGGCTGTTATCTGGATCCCATAGGTGTGCTTCATTGTTTTTTATTTTTCCATTGTCTCCTTTGAGTGTGTATTTTCAAATAACCTGTTTTTAGCTCACTAATTCTTTCTTTGGCTTCATTCATTCTGCTTTTAAAGGACTCTGATGCATTATTCAGTATGCCAATTGCATTTTTCAGCTCCAGGATTTCTGTTTGATTCATTTAATTATTTTAATCTCCTTGTTAAATTCATGTGATAGAATTCTAAATTCCTTCTCTGTGTTATCTTGAATTTCAGTTTCCTCAACAAAGCTATTTTAAGTTATTTGTCTGAAAAGTGACATATCTCTGTTTCTCCAGGATTGGTCCCTGGTACATTATTTAGTTCATTTAGTGAGGTCATGTTTTCCTGGATGATGCTGATGCTAGTAGATGCTGTTTGATGTCTGGGCATTGAGGAGTAAGGTATTTATTGTAGTCTTCACTGTCTGGCCTTAATTGTAGCTGTCCTTCTTCAGGTGGCTTTTTAGATATTTGAAAGGACTTGGGTATTTTGATCTAAGCTGTGTCTGCTTTAGGGGTCACCCCAAGCCCAGTAACACCATAGTATTTGCAGACTTGTAGAGGTACCTCCTTAATACTCTTGGGCAAGAATTGGGATACTTCTCTGGATTATCAGGCAAAGACTCTTATTCTCTTCCCTCACTTTCTGTCCAACATACAGTCTCTCCTCTGTTCTGAGCCACCTAAAGCTGGGGGTGGAGTGACATAAGCACCCCTGTGGCTATAACTACTATGACTATACTGGGTCAAACCTGAAGCCAGCACAACACTGGTTCTCAGTCAAGTCCTGCTGTAACCACTCCCTGGCTATTGCCTATGTTCACTCAAGGCCCTGGGGCTCTACAATTAGCAGGTGGCAAAGCCATCCAGGCCTATATCCTTCCCTTCATGGCGGTGAGGTCACCCAGGATCTGGATGTGTCCCAGACGTGCCACCCAGGAGTCAGGGACTACAGTCAAAAACCTTAGAAGTCTACCTGGTGTTCTATTGCACTGTAGCTGAGTTGGCACTCTAACAACAAGATGCAGTTCTTCTCAATATTCCCTTCCCTTTTCAAAGGCAGAGGAGCCTTACCCCATAGCAACCACCACCTCAGGCCAGCGAGGGTACTGCCAGATTACTGCTGATGTTCCCTTAAGGCTCAAGGTCTCTTAATTCAGCTTGTGGTGAATGCTGCCTGGTCTGGGATTCACCCTTCAGGGCAGTGGACTCCCCTCTGTCCCAAGGCAGGTCCAAAAATGCTGTCCAAGAGTCAAGTCCTGGAATAGAGGAACCCAGGAGTCTGCCTGGTGCTCTACCCTCATGGGCTGTGCTGGTACCTAAGGTGCAAGTCAAAGTTCCCTTTACTTTTCTCTCTGCTTTTCTCAAGCAGAAGGAGTTTTGCCCAGTACTCACCACAGATGGTAATGTACTGAGTCTTACCTGAAGCCAGCATGTCTCAAAGGCTCATCCAAAGCCCTCGATGTAGTATCTGGGTATCACTGCTTCTTATTCAGGGTCCAAGGTCTCTTCAGTTAACGGGTGATGAATGCTTCCAGCTCTGGATCCTTTCCTTCAAAGGCACTGGGTTCTCTTCTGGCCCAGAATGTGTCTATAAATGTTGTATGGGAGCTAGGGCCTGGAATAGGGTCCTCACGACTCTGACCAGTGCCCTATCCTGCTGTGGCTGAGCTGGTATCCTAGATGCAAGACAAAGTCCTCCCCACTCTTCCCTCTCCTCTCTTCAAGTGGAAAAAAGGGGTCTCTTTTGTAGACTCAAGCTGTGCAACTAGGGATTAGGGGAGGAGTGATGCCAGCACTCCCTTGGCTGCCCCAGCTGGTGTCTCATTATGTCACGTGCCCCCATAGTCTACTGTCTCTGGGCCTAGTTCAGCCTTAGGACTCACCTAAGTGTTGCAGTCATTATGGTCTATTCTGTCTTTCAAGTTTACTTGGAGACACAGAGTTCTGTAACCCTGGGTGGCGAGGTTTGCAAGCACTCATGTTTGAACTGCTGGGATGGGCAATTCGCTTCTGGCTAGGGCTGGTCTAAATGCTCCCTCCATGGTCAGGCATCACCTGAGTTTGGCCTGGGTTTTCTTTCCGCTCTAACAGTATAGCACTGAGTTCAGTGCCTCACACTTACTGTGTTCTCCCTCTCCCAGTGTTCAGAGAGGCTCTTTGCAGCATACCTCTGCTGCTAGGGATGGGGAGGGGTGGTGTCAGTGATTTCAGACTGTTTTTTCTCTATCTTTTCAGTGCCTCTTTCAATGATATGAAGTTGAAACCAAGTACTATGGGTTCTCACCTAATTTTTGGTTCTCATTAAGGTGTTTTCCTGTGTAGACAGTTGTTAACTTTATGTCTTTGTTGGGAGGATGATAAGTGGATCTTTCTATTCCACCATTTTGCTCCACCTCCTAATTGGTTCTTATTCTGATTTCTTAAGTTGGTAATGAAGGTCATTAATTTTATTTTTTCTTTTCTGATACAGATATTTAAAGCTATAAATTTCTTTCTAAGGTGTATTTAGCTGCATCGTACAATTTTTGATATGTTGTTTTATTAGCATTCTTTTAAAAATATTTTCTAATCTTTCTCATGACTTCTTCTTTGATGAGATTTTTTAATAGTGTTTTATATAATTTCAAAACATTTGGGGACTCTGTGTATTTTGCTGTTATTGGTTTCTATTTTAATCACTGGGTGCTCAGAGAACATAGTCTGTATAATATCCATCCTTAAAAATGTATCAGGAATTGTTTTGTGGCCCAACATATAACCTATACTGGTAAAAATTCTTTAGACAAATGTGTATTTTGCCGTTAATGGGTCTGATAGTCTGCACATGTCAATTAGGTCAAATTGTTGATGATGTTGTTTCAGTCTTCCATATGTTTTCTAATTTTTTTCTGTAAATGTTCTATAAATTACTGAGAAAAATGATGTTAAAGTCTCTACATTTGTAAATTTTTCAACACTTTATTTCTGATGAGTTTGCTTCATATATTTGGGGACTTTGCCTTTAGGTGCAACACATATAGGATGGTTATCTCTTCTTGATAATTCATCTCTTTTATCATTGTAAAATGACCTTCTTTATCTCTAGTAATTCTCTTCATCATGAGTTCTACTTTGTCTGATATTAATATAGCCATAACATCATTCGTATGCTTAGAGTTTGCATGGAATACTTTTTTCCATCCTTCCATTTTCAGCTTTTTATGTATTTACGTTTAAAACATATATCAAGTAAAAAACATAAGTAAGAAACCTAAAGTAAGTAGGATCTTACTTTATCATCCAGTTTGATGATAGCAGGAGTTTTGCCCAGTAGCCACCACAGTTGGTAATATACTGATGTCTTGCCTTTTAACTGGGGTGTTTAGTCTATTTGCATTTAATATAATTATTGATACTTTTTATTTAAGTCTACCATGTTGGCATTTGATTTCTATTTGCCTCATCTGCCCTTTATTTTTCTGTCCTTACTTTCCTAATCTTTTTTGGCTTAATCAAATTTAAATGTTTTAGTGTATTTCCCCTATTGACAATTTAGTTATTCTCCTTTGTATTATTTTTAATAATTATTACAGAGATTACAATACATATTTAACTTATCACAGTCTACATTCAAAATATATTACTACATGAAATATTCAATAACTTTAAGAAGTATATTTCAATTACTGCTTTCCCATCCTTTGGGTTATTATCATATATTTCATTTTCATATATGCCATAAACTGCACTTTCTTTGTCATTATTTTTACATTAAATAGCCAATAGTTTTTAAGACATTAAATAATACATATGTATAAAAATACAAATAAATGTTTAGAAATGTACTCATATTTATTGACCAATTTATTCTTCTTGATACTTTTTATTTCTTTCTGAAAAGTTAGGTTTCTATGTGATATTATTTCCTTTCAGCCTATTTAACTTCATTTAATATTTCTTACAGTGCAGGTTTGTGAGAGATGAATTCTGCCAACTTGCTCTATCTAAAATGTCCATATTTCACCTCCATTTTTAAAAGATTATTTTGTCCTTCATTATTTCTGATAAGAAACCAGCTGTCATTCTTATCATTGTTCTCTTATATGTAATGCTACTGTATTCTCTGGCTACTTTCATGATTTTCTATTTTCCCTTGGTCTTCAGAATTTGACTATGATGTCTGTAAGTGCATGCTGCATATTTATCTTGCTTGAGATTTGTGGAGCTTCTTGGATTTGTTGTTTGGTATCCTTTTTTAAAGTTCAAAAATTTCAGTCGTTATCCCTTCAAAAATGTTTATGCTCTACTCTCGCTCTTTCCTTTCCTCCCAAAGCTCCAATTATATATAGGCTAAATCATTTGATATTGCCCTAAAAGTCTCTGATGTGTATTTTTTTTTCTTTATTCTGTTTCTGTGTAATATCTTTGATTCAGTTTGGATAATTTCTATCTCTGAGGCAGCATAAGATCTGTGTTTGAGTTCACTAAGCCTTTTCTGTTACGTTCGGTAGTCTTCTATTTCAATGACTTCCTTATTTTAGATATACATTTTTTTAGTTCTAAAATTTCCATCTTGTCCTTTTCAGGATTTCCTTTTCTCTGTTGAATTTTTACATTTCTTTACAGTTTTCCACTTTTTTCTCTAATTTATAAAACATATTTATAATAACTATTTTAAATTTTCCTCCTGTTAATTCCAATAGCTGGATAATTTCTAGGTCTCCTAATGAATTTGGTTTTAGTATTGTGGTTCACATTTTCTGATTTTTCACAGGTCTATGAATTGTTTTATTGTATGCTGGACATTGTGAATTACATGCTGTAGAAACTCTGAATTAGGTTATCTTCTTTCAGGATTAAGGTTTTTTTTGTTTTGTTTTGTTTTTGTTAGTTTGTTTGTTTTTCTGGAAGGCACTGAAATTACTGCTGAATCTCCTGGATCTTGTCAAGGCCTGGTTTTAGGCTTCATTTGGGGGTGGAAGGCAGCTATTTTTATTTTTCCCCCAGACTTATAATGCTTAATCCTAGTTTGTAGTTCTTATTCCTAATGTGTGGCCTTTCTCAGGTCTCAAGTGACTGCCTAGTGTGTTCACCAAGGTCTCTTCATTCTGGAGGGTTCAGAACTCTAAAATATCCTCAGTGCTATGTACATTATGAAATTTCCATTCAGCTCCCAGACTCCTAATAAGGATTCTCTGCTAGGCCTCATAGAGTTCTAACCTAAACATGAAGAGCTGAAGATTTGGTCAAGGAAACAAAAAGCATTCTTACACAAATTCCTTTAACCCCCTAATTTCCAGTAACTTCCCTACAAATTTTAGTCAACTTAGCAGCTCATAATTCTGATCTCTCTTTCTTTCACTCCACAAGACTGCTGCTTTCTGCCTGGGCTCCATTTCCCTGCACTGGAATTTGGAAATTTCCCACAGGCAGAAAGCCAAGGAGTATGTGAAAGTCAAATTGTATGTTTCTCCTCTGCTGAGCATAGCAGACCTGTATGTTCACTATCAAATGCTTAAAAACTATTACTTTTTATATTTTGTCATTTGTCAAGGAAGTATCTTGAGTGGTACAAAAAACCTCTTGAGAAGGAATTTGTCCATACACACAGGAATCAGTGTTGAAGACATTTATAAAATTAGAACATTTTAATTAGAGTAAACTGTCCAACAGATTTCTCAGCATTTTCTCTGAGGACCTAGGAACTTCCAGAAAGGATCCAGTGTTACTCAGTGTACTTTTAGTTGCTGTACCAATTCACTATGCATTTTATCCTAAGTGATAGAAAAACAAGAGATTTAGCATTTCATTAAGTCCTCACAACATGTATAAATTTATACCCTGTGAGCTTATAAAAAATTATGAGTGCTCTATGGACAAGGCACTTATCTGCCAGTCCAACTCCTGTGTCCAGCTTTAGGAGTTGAGTAACTCCTTGATATTCTTGTTATCAGGCATGTCTTGGTAAAATGAACTTGCCCAGGTGTATCAAGCATCAGATGATACTACTGCAAAAATCTATAAGAGCATTCTCAATAAGGAATCTTCCCAATTAAGTACCTGCCATGGATTCAAGTTGCCATCTTCTCTGGAAGTTTTCAGGGTTTCACAAAGACTCTGCATCTGATGGCTCCAGGTTTGATAATATATTCCAATAATATCTGATGACATTATTTCAAGTCTTGTTTAGTTAAATCAAACACAAGAAACAACTAAATAAAATGTCCATCTTTCCAATGTTACTTTCTTAGGCAACTGGCAACTTCTTTACCCCTTCGTACCTTTCTGCAGCAAGAGGAGATGCAGGGGAGTCCATTCCCTTAAAAATGCAAGATCTAGAGCTGAGCACAGTGGTGTGCACCTGTAGTCTAAGCTACTACGGAGGCTGAGGCAGGAGAATTGCTTGAGTCCAGGAGTTTGAGGCTGCAGTATGTGATGATTGTACCTGTGAATAGTCACTGCACACCAGCCTGGACTATACTGTGAGACCCTCAACTCCCTAAAATAAGGATGCATAAGCTTCCCTGGGGCAACTCAATCTTTACTGTGTTTTTCTTCCATAAAAGTCAAAAATTTCTGAGTCACTTCATTGTCTACTGAGAAAAAAAGTGTGTGGTTTGAAGCTTATCAGAAATAGCTAATGGACAAATTCTAGGCTGCTAAGAAATTATTGGCTTCCATGTATGGAGTGAACATCAACCACCTCTTTTTATTATTTCCTCTTAACCCCAAAAAGTCACTACCAACATTTCCACTTGCTTGAAACTCAAGAGCAAGATTATCTATATATAAGAATTCTGTATAAATTTTTGAGACAACTCTGTTGTAACAGAAATCAAGAATAACCACAAGTAGCTTTATGGCTATGTCTTTATTATTTGTACTATTCTCAAGTCTCTCTGAGGATTACTTTCCAAACCAGAGAGATATATTCTTTATATCATGTCAGTAGGTAAAACACATTAGAGTCCCTTGCTGAGTTTCTAAGAGCATACTAATTGAATGCTGGTATCCTGAACTGTCTGCCCCTGCAAATTCTAGGTTATATTGAGTCATATCCATAGGAAATTTTAATGCTGAAAGATCTCCTAGACTCACCTCTTTAGGCTGGTTGAATTTCATGTTTAACTGAAAGGGATCTCAGATTAGCCTGGGTCTTGAACTGGATCAGGAGGGGGCATCCACAAGAGAACCACTCCAGAAATGTAAGCTGTTCAAAACTGTCAAGATGAGTTATCTGTTCATAAGGAATTCATTGTATGGAGGAATTGTATTTTTCAAGAAGGCAGTTTTCATGTTAACTTGACCATGCTAAATGTAGCATATCCAAAATCTGTTTGCATGAAAACCTCAGACAGAAGCACTTTCTGATGTCCTGGAATTGATTCTGATATTTAAAAGACTGTAAAAGAGTACAGCCTGACAAGCTTCTTGACATAACTGGTTAAGGAACCTACTTTTTCATGGTGGATATGGGAGAGGAATGGACAAGCAGAGGGATCAGGAAGACTTAGATAATAATCCATATTGATTTTGCAGGGCCATACTAGGGTAAGACTTTTTTCATTGATCTAGTCTTCCTCTCAAGATGTCTCAAGGAGGTCCCAGGACCACCACCAACCTCTCTATGTTAGTTGTTTTCAATAAAATATCAAAAAGCATTACTGTTTCTGATGATGTGGCCTACACATTGAGATCTTAAGTTTGTTCCACTGTTTAGAAGATAAAAGTAACTTCAGGAAATTTTGTGTTCAAAATCTTCAAACCATTGTGTTTGAATGGTTGAAAGGTTGAAAAGAAAAAAAAAAATGACCATGATTTCCTACCCTAACTCACCCACAGATAGAAAACAGTTATCTTTAATATTTTGGTGTATTTCTTTCTTATTTTTTTCATGCCTTTTTTTTTTTTTTTTTTTTTTTTTGAGACAGGCTTGCTCCATCACCCAGACTGGAGTGCAGTGACATGAACACAGCTCACTGCAACCTCGATCTCCTGGGCTCAAGCCATCCTCCTCTCTCAGCCTCGTTAGTAGCTGGGACTACAGGTGCATGCCAACATGCCTGGCTAATTTTTGTATTTTCAGTAGAGATGGGGTTTTGCCATGTTGGTCAGGCTGGCCTCGAACTCCTGACCTCAAGTGATCCTCCTGCCTTAGCCTCCCAAAGTGTTGGGATTACAGGCTTGAGCCACTGTGCCTGGCCCTGAATGCTCTTAAAAGCATTAAGACGGTTTTTAAAATTAAATGTTTTGGTGCATGGTAAAGCACTTCCAAGCTACTCAGAAGTCTCTAAAATAAAAGGTAAATTTTTATTTATTCATTTCCACCCCTGGCTTGAGTCCCACAGATAGAGATAACACTTATACTAGTTTCTACTTTTCAGGTGGTTTCAAATTTAGCGTTCGACAATGTGTTTATGCTTTTCTTTCTTGGTGTTTTAGATAGCATCTATTGACTCCTTTCCATTCAGGAGATGTTAGTGGTTAACAGTATAGATTTTGAAGCCTGACTGCCTGGGTTTGAATGCTGGTTCTCCTACTTCCTGGTGTGTGGCCTTGAGCAATTTTTTTTAATCTCTCTAAGCCTCAGTTTTCTCAAAAGTAAAAATGAAGATAATAACAGTACCTACCTCACAGTGTTGTTGTGAAGATTTTATGAGTTGATACTTGTAAGATGTTTATGATAGTATTTATATGTGCTCATTAAATTTTATTTTTATTAAATTTGAAAGATGAAAATTTTAGCTCACTTTCATGGCTTTCTATTTTTATTTTACTTCCTCTTATTTGCTATATTATGTATTTTAATAGATTTCAATAATAAATTAAACATATATTTCTTATTTCAACTTTAGACAGTATCAATTTACCCTGAATGTGAGATATAAAAGATAATGAAATAATCATCCTTTTAATTATCTTCACTCTCCTATCTCCTCCCACTTTCCCACTTATGTTAACTATATTTTTACTTTCATGTGATCAAGTTGCTTAATATTTATATTATTTTGAAACTATAATTAAATCTTTTGTGTTTCTTTTAGATCTTTGCTATTCAAAGTTTGGTTCTTCCACCAAAAGCCTTGGACTTGGGAACCTGGGCCCTTAGTAGAAATGCAGAATCTCAGGCCATACCTCAGATTTGCTGAATCAAAATCTGGATTTAACAAGGTCCCAGGTGATTCTTATGCTCATGGAAGTTTAGGAAGACTGCTTTAGAGTGGTAGTTCTCAACATGACTGTTTCCCAGATGATTCTAATATACAAGTAGGAGCGAGAACCATAGGTTGTAGACAATCATTATGTGGATCTAAAGTTACCTCAAATTCTCCTCTGATGAACACTCATGTCCCCATTCCCTTGGAGCATTTCTACTGAGGCAGGTAGTTTACTGTCTTCAGAATGCAGAGGCAATTTTCAGGCTTAATCCTTTTGGCAAGTCTAAGTTGTCAAACACCCTTTGCTCTGAATGGGAGGGAGGGCAGTAGGTAGAAATAGTAACTCTATTGGCCTATCATTCCTGAATGCAATTCTTTTTATTATTATTATACTTTAAGTTCTAGGGTACATGTGCAAAACGTGCAGGTTTGTTACATATCTATACATGTGCCAGGTTGGTGTGCTGCACGTATTAACTCGTCACTTACATTAGGTATATCTCCTAATGCTATCCCTCTCCCCTCCCCCCACCCCATAACAGGCCCCAGTGTGTGAGGTTCCCCTTCCTGTGTCCAAGTGTTCTCATTGTTCAATTCCCACCTATGAGTGAGAACATGCAGCGTTTGGTTTTTTGTCCTTGCAATAGTTTGCTGAGAATGATGGTTTCCGGCTTCATCCATGTCCCTACAAAGGACATGAATTCATCCTTTTTTATGGCTGCATAGTATTCCATGGTGTATATGTGCCACATTTTCTTAATCCAGTCTATCATTGTTGGACATTTGGGTTGGTTCCAAGTCTTTACTATTGTGAATAGTGCCGCAATAAACATATGTGTGCATGTGTCTTTATAGCAGCATGATTTATAATCCTCTTGGTATATACCCAGTAATGGGATGGCTGGGTCAAATGGCATTTCTAGTTCTAGATCCTTGAGGAATCACCACACTGACTTCCACAATGGTTGAACTAGTTTACAGTCCCACCAACAGTGTAAAAGTGTTCCTATTTCTCCACATCCTCTCCAGCACCTGTTGTTTCCTGACTTTTTAATGATCACCATTCTAACTGGTGTGGGACGGTATCTCATTGTGGTTTTGATTTGCATTTCTCTGATGGCCAGTGATGATGAGCATTTTTTCATGTGTCTGTGGCTGCGTAAATGTCTTCTTTTGAGAAGTGTCTGTTCATATACTTTGCCCACTTTTTGATGGGGTTGTTTGCTTTTTTCTTGTAAATTTGTTTGAGTTCTTTGCAGATTCTGGATATTAGCCTTTCATCAGATGAGTAGATTGCAAAAATTTTCTCCCATTCTGTAGGTTGCCTGTTCACTCTGATGGTAGTTTCTTTTGCTGTGCAGAAGCCCTTTAGTTTAATTAGACCCCATTTGTCAATTTTGGCTTTCGTTGCCATTGCTTTTTATGTTTTAGACATGAATTCCTTGCCCATGCCTATGTCCTGAATGGTATTGCCTAGGTTTTCTTCTAGGGTTTTTATGGTTTTATGTCTAACATTTAAGTCTTTAATCCATCTTGAATTAATTTTTGTATAAGGCGTAAGGAAGGGATCCAGTTTCAGGTTTCTACATATGGCTAGCCAGTTTTCCCAGCACCATTTATTAAATAGGGAATCCTTTCCCCATTTCTTGTTTTTGTCAGATTTGTCAAAGATCAGATGGTTGTAGATGTGTGGCATTATTTCTGAGCACTCTGTTCTGTTCCATTGGTCTATATCTCTGTTTTGGTACCAGTACCATGCTGCATTGGTTACTGTAGCCTTGTAGTCAGTTTGAAGTCAGGTAGTGTAGTGCCTCCAGCTTTGTTCTTTTGGCTTAGGATTGTCTTGGCAATGTGGGCTCTTTTTTGGTTCCACATGAATTTTAAAGTAGTTTTTTTCCAATTCTGTGAAGAAAGTCATTGGTAGCTTGATGGGGATCGCATTGAATCTATAAGTTACCTTGGGCAGTATGGCCATTTTCATGATATTGATTCTTCCTATCCATGAGCATAGAATGTTCTTCCATTTGTTTGTGTCCTCTTTTATTTCATTGAGCAGTGGTTTGTAGTTATCCTTGAAGAAGTCCTTCACATCCCTTGTAAGTTGGATTCCTAGGTATTTTATTCTCTTTGAAGCAATTGTGAATGGGAGTTCACTCATGATTTGGCTCTCTGTTTGTCTGTTAGTGAAAACTGCCTCATGGACTCCTTTGCTTTTGTATTTCTTGAGTCTAAGTTTAAAACTACTGTGAAGTTATCTTGGAAAAAAGACTCTTACTACCCTAGTTTTAGGTTGTAGATTTCCCTCCTCTATTTGTCCCATTAATCAGATCCCATGTGCTTTCTCTCTTTAATGATTTCCTCAAACTTTCTGGGTTACTGCTGAATTCCTTTCTTGTTTCTAGCACTGTTATGGTTTAATACTATTGAAAATATGTTTCCTTTCATTTCAATGAAACTATGGAAAGGAGAAGCAGTAAATACAAGTGCTCAGTCCACTATCTTTCATGGGAACACCTTTCTCAGCTGAATATAAGAAATTTGTGGAGAGGAGTCAAGATGGCCAAATAGGAACAGCTCTGGTCTACAGCTCCCAGCGTGAGCGATGCAGAAGACGGGTGATTTCTGCATTTCCATCTGAGGTACTGGGTTCATCTCACTAGGGAGTGCCAGACAGTGGGCGCAGGCCAGTGGGTGCACGCACTGTGCGCAAGCTGAAGCAGGGCGAGGCATTGCCTCACTTGGGAAGCGCAAGGGGTCAGGGAGTTCCCTTTCTGAGTCAAAGAAAGGGGTGAAGGACGCACCTGGAAAATCGGGTCACTCCCACCCAAATATTGAGCTTTTCAGAACGGCTTAAAAAACGGTGCACCATGAGACTATATCCCACACCTGGCTCGGAGGGTCCTATGCCCACGGAATCTCACTGATTGCTAGCACAGCAGTCTGAGATCAAACTGCAAGGCAGCAGTGAGGCTGGGGGAGGGGCACCCGCCATTGCCCAGGCTTGCTTAGGTAAACAAAGCAGCCAGGAAGCTGGAACTGGGTGGAGCCCACCACAGCTCAAGGAGGCCTGCCTGCCTCTGTAGGCTCCACCTCTGGGGGCAGGGCACAGACAAACAAAAAGACAGCAGTAACCTCTGCAGACTTAAATGTCCCTGTCTGACAGCTTTGAAGAGAGCAGTGGTTCTCCCAGCACACAGCTGGAGATCTGAGAACGGGCAGACTGCCTCCTCAAGTGGGTCCATGACTCCTGACCCCCGAGCAGCCTAACTGGGAGGTACTCCCCAGCAGGGGCACACTGACACCTCACACGGCAGGGTATTCCAACAGACCTGCAGCTGAGGGTCCTGTCTGTTAGAAGGAAAACTAACAAACAGAAAGGACATCCACACCAAAAACCCATCTGTACATCACCATCATCAAAGACCAAAAGTAGATAAAACCACAAAGATGGGGAAAAAACAGAACAGAAAAACTGGAAACTCTAAAACGCAGAGCGCCTCTCCTCTGCCAAAGGAATGTAGTTCCTCACCAGCAACGGAACAAAGCTGGATGGAGAATGACTTTGACGAGCTGAGAGAAGAAGGCTTCAGATGATCAAATTACTCTGAGCTACGGGAGGACATTCAAACCAAAGGCAAAGAAGTTGAACACTTTGAAAAAAATTTAGAAGAATGTATAACTAGAATAACCAATACAGAGAAGTGCTTAAAGGAGCTGATGGAGCTGAAAACCAAGGCTCGAGAACTACATGAGGAATGCAGAAGCCTCAGGAGCCGATGCGATCAACTGGAAGAAAGGGTATCAGCAATGGAAGATGAAATGAATGAAATGAAGCGAGAAGGGAAATTTAGAGAAAAAAGAATAAAAAGAAATGAGCAAAGCCTCCAAGAAATATGGGACTATGTGAAAAGACCAAATCTACGTCTGATTGGTGTACCTGAAAGTGATGGGGAGAATGCAACCAAGTTGGAAAACACTCTGCCGGATATTATCCAGGAGGACTTCCCTAATCTAGCAAGGCAGGCCAACGTTCAGATTCAGGAAATACAGAGAACGCCACAAAGATACTCCTCGAGAAGAGCAACTCCAAGACACATAATTGTCAGATTCACCAAAGTTGAAATGAAGGAAAAAATGTTAAGGGCAGCCAGAGAGAAAGGTCGGGTTACCCTCAAAGGGAAGCCCATCAGGCGAACAGCGGATCTCTCGGCAGAAACCCTACAAGCCAGAAGAGAGTGGGGGCCAATATTCAACATTCCTAAAGAAAAGAATTTCCAACCCAGAATTTCATATCCAGCCAAACTAAGCTTCATAAGTGAAGGAGAAATAAAATCCTTTACAGACAAGCAAATGCTGAGAGATTTTGTCACCACCAGGCCTGCCCTAAAAGAGCTCCTGAAGGAAACGCTAAACATGGAAAGGAACAACCGGTACCAGCCACTGCAAAATCATGCCAAAATGTAAAGACCATCGAGACTAGGAAGAAACTGCATCAACTAACGAGCAAAATCACCAGCTAACATCATAATGACAGGATCAAATTCACACATAACAATATTAACTTTAAATGTAAATGGACTAAACACTCCAATTAAAAGACACAGACTGGCAAATTGGATAAAGAGTCAAGACCCATCAGTGTGCTGTATTCAGGAAACCCATCTCACGTGCAGAGACACACATAAGCTCAAAATAAAAGGATGGAGGAAGATCTACCAAGCAAATGGAAAACAAAAAAAGGCAGGGGTTGCAATCCTAGTCTCTGATAAAACAGACTTTAAACCAACAAAGATGAAAAGAGACAAAGAAGGCCATTACATACTGGTAAAGGGATCAATTCAACAAGAAGAGCTAACTATCCTAAATATATATGCACCCAATACAGGAGCACCAAGATTCATAAAGCAAGTCCTGAGTGACCTACAAAGAGACTTAGACTCCCACACATTAATAATGGGAGACTTTAACACCCCACTGTCAACATTAGACAGATCAATGAGACAGAAAGTCAACAAGGATACCCAGGAATTGAACTCAGCTCTGCACCAAGCGGACCTAATAGACATCTACAGAACTCTCCACCCCAAATCAACAGAATATACATTTTTTTCAGCACCACACCACAGCTATTCCAAAATTGACCACATAGTTGGAAGTAAAGCTCTCCTCAGCAAATGTAAAAGAACAGAAATTATAACAAACTATCTCTCAGACCACAGTGCAATCAAACTAGAACTCAGGATTAAGAATCTCACTCAAAGCCACTCAACTACATGGAAACTGAACAACCTGCTCCTGAATGACTACTGGGTACATAACGAAATGAAGGCAGAAATAAAGATGTTCTTTGAAACCAACGAGAACAAAGACACAACATACCAAAATCTCTGGGATGCATTCAAAGCAGTGTGCAGAGGGAAATTTATAGCACTAAATGCCCACAAGAGAAAGCAGGAAAGATCTAAAATTGACACCCTAACATCACAATTAAAAGAACTAGAAAAGCAAGAGCAAACACATTCAAAAGCTAGCAGAAGGCAAGAAATAACTAAAATCAGAGCAGAACTGAAGGAAATAGAGACACAAAAAGCCCTTCAAAAAATCAATGAATCCAGGAGGTGGTTTTTTGAAAGGATCAACAAAATTGATAGACCACTAGCAAGACTAATAAAGAAAAAAAGAGAGAAAAATCAAATAGACACAATAAAAAATGATAAAGGGGATATCACCACCGATCCCACAGAAATACAAACTACCATCAGAGAATACTACAAACACCTCTACGCAAATAAACTAGAAAATCTAGAAGAAATGGATAAATTCCTCGACACATACACTCTCCCAAGACTAAACCAAGAAGAAGTTGAATCTCTGAATAGACCAATAACAGGAGCTGAAATTGTGGCAATAATCAATAGTTTACCAACAAAAAGAGTCCAGGACCAGATGGATTCATAGCCGAATTCTACCAGAGGTACAAGGAGGAACTGGTACCATTCCTTCTGAAACTATTCCAATCAATAGAAAAGGAGGGAATCCTCCCTAACTCATTTTATGAGGCCAGCATCATTCTGATACCAAAGCCGGGCAGAGACACAACCAAAAAAGAGAATTTTAGACCAATATCCTTGATGAACATTGATGCAAAAATCCTCAATAAAATACTGGCAAAACGAATCCAGCAGCACATCAAAAAGTTTATCCAACATGATCAAGTGGGCTTCATCCCTGGGATACAAGGCTGGTTCAATATATGCAAATCAATAAATGTAATCCAGCATATAACCAGAGCCAAAATCAAAAACCACATGATTATCTCAATAGATGCAGAAAAAGCCTTTGACAAAATTCAACAACCCTTCATGCTAAAAACTCTCAATAAATTAGGTATTGATGGCACATAACTCAAAATAATAAGAGCTATCTGTGACAAACCCACAGCCAATATCATACTGAATGGGCAAAAACTGGAAGCATTCCCTTTGAAAACTGGCACAAGACAGGGATGCCCTCTCTCACCACTCCTATTCAACATAGTGTTGGAAGTTCTGGCCAGGGCAATGAGGCAGGAGAAGGAAATAAAGGGTATTCAATTAGGAAACGAGGAAGTAAAATTGTCCGTGTTTGCAGATGACATGATTCTATATCTAGAAAACCCCATTGTCTCAGCCCAAAATCTCCTTAAGCTGATAAGCAACTTCAGCAAAGTCTCAGGATACAAAATCAATGTACAAAAATCACAAGCATTCTTATACACCAACAACAGACAGAGAGCCAAATCATGAGTGAACTCCCATTCACAATTGCTTCAAAGAGAATAAAATACCTAGGAATCCAACTTACAAGGGATGTGAAGGACCTCTTCAAGGAGAACTACAAACCACTGCTCAAGGAAATAAAAGAGGATACAAACAAATGGAAGAACATTCCATGCTCATGGATAGGAAGAATCAATATCGTGAAAATGGCCATACTGCCCAAGGTAATTTACAGATTCAATGCCGTCCCCATCAAGCTACCAATGCCTTTCTTCACAGAATTGGAAAAAACTACTTTAAAGTTCATATGGAACCAAAAAAGAGCCCGCATCGCCAAGTCAATCCTAAGCCAAAAGAACAAAGCTGGAGGCATCACACTACCTGACTTCAAACTATGCTACAAGGCTACAGTAACCAAAACAGCATGGTACTGGTACCAAAACAGAGATATTGATCAATGGAACAGAACAGAGCCCTCAGAAAGAATGCCGCATATCTACAACTATCTGATCTTTGACAAACCTGGGAAAAACAAGCAATGGGGAAAGGATTCCCTATTTAATAAATGGTGCTGGGAAAACTGGCTAGCCATATGTAGAAAGCTGAAACTGGATCCCTTCCTTACACCTTATACAAAAATCAATTCAAGATGGATGAAAGATTTAAACGTTAGACCTAAAACCATAAAAACCCTAGAAGAAAACCTAGGCATTACCATTCAGGACATAGGCATGGGCAAGGACTTCATGTCCAAAACACCAAAAGCAATGGCAACAAAAGCCAAAATTGACAAATGGGATCTAATTAAACTAAAGAGCTTCTGCACAGCAAAAGAAATGACCATCAGAGTGAACAGGCAACCTACAAAATGGGAGAAAATTTTCACAACCTACTCATCTGACAAAGGGCTAATATCCAGAATCTACAATGAACTCAAACAAATCTACAAGAAAAAAACAAACAACCCCATCAAAAAGTGGGCAAAGGACATGAACAGACACTTCTCAAAAGAAGACATTAATGCAGCCAAAAAACACATGAAAAAATGCTCATCATCACTGGCCATCAGAGAAATGCAAATCAAAACCACAATGAGATACCATCTCACACCAGTTAGAATGGCAATCATTAAAAAGTCAGGAAACAACAGGTGCTGGAAAGGATGTGGAGAAATAGGAACACTTTTACACTGTTGGTGGGACTGTAAACTAGTTCAACCGTTGTGGAAGTCAGTGTGGTGATTCCTCAAGGATCTAGAACTAGAAATACCATTTGACCCAGCCATCCCATTACTGGGTATATACCCAAAGGACTATAAATCATGCTGCTATAAAGACACATGCACACGTATGTTTATTGCGGCATTATTCACAATAGCAAAGACTTGGAACCAAGTCAAATGTCCAACAATGATAGACTGGATTAAGAAAATGTGGCACATATACACCAGGGAATACTATGCAGCCATAAAAAATGATGAGTTCATGTCCTTTGTAGGGACATGGATGAAATTGGAAATCATCATTCTCAGTAAACTATCACAAGAACAAAAAACCAAACACCGCATATTCTCACTCATAGGTGGGAATTGAACAATGAGATCACATGGACACAGGAAGGGGAATATCACACTCTGGGGACTGTGGTGGGGTGGGGGGAGGGGGGAGGGATAGCATTGGGAGATATACCTAATGCTAGATGGCGAGTTAGTGGGTGCAGCACACCAGCATGGCACATGTATACATATGTAACTAACCTGCACAATGTGCACATGTACCCTAAAACTTAAAGTATAATTAAAAAAAAAGAAAAAAAAGAAAAAAAATTAAAAAATAAAAAAAAGAAATTTGTGATCAGGAGCATTCACCAAACTGTCACCATCACATCTCAACACCCTCAGGAAAATAATTATGATCAGGGAATCCTGCAGACAACTAAGAATTCACTGAAGCAGATTATTCAAGGAGACTATTCAATACTTGCTAGGTCTTTGATTGGTTCTTTTATCATTTTATGCTCAATGTAATTAATTGAGTTTGTTGATTTACTAATGATATGACATCCCAGCCTTGCCCTGACTGTATCCTCTTAGACTTAAATGAAAACTTAAACATTCAAATTCCAGATGCTACTCTGTTTGAACATAGAACAACATATAACAGATGGTATTATTTAATAAATAATTGCTGGATGATGAATGAAAAAAATGACTGTGCCTATATAGCACTCATTTGTACCATAAGACTTTGTCTCTGCTAGTTAGTTAGGAGATGAACCAAGGTGGGTTCCTGCTCCCTAAGTAATGGAGCCTGGATCTTATCAGTCTAGAGGCAAATGGGTGAGGCGTTGTATTACCATAATGATCAATAATAAAGAACTTCTTATGGAGCTTTGTCAACAGCCAAACCATTAGACTTTTCTCTGCCAGAGCCATCTGTTGATGACTTTTTAGCTACACATCTGGAGGACACATCACAACAACAAAATGAAGAAAGCAGTAAGTCTTCTCTAGTTCCTGAGGTGACCAAAATGGAGTCACCTGGAATTTGTACACTTGCTAGAATAATACAGAAGTTGATATCCATAATGGAGCTCCCTTGTCAGTTTAAAGACCACATTTTAAATAATGGAGGGGGCAGGTTATGTATGCCAGGAAGCTCTATGCCAGGCTGTGTTTTTGTTCCTTGGACTTATTTATGGTTGCAGGCTGTAGTGATTCATTGGTGTGGCAGTAGAATTAGTGTACAACCTTGTTACAGACCAGTCAGGATTTTAGTCAGGCTTTCACTGGTGTAATGCAACCTGACACAATAGAAACAATTGCCTGGAGGAAACCCTCTCCTTCAGCCCTCTGAGCCTATACAGCAAATGGCAATATTCTAAAGGAATTCTGCTGTCTGTTGGATAATATTGCCTTTGCACAAAACACATGTTGGCCACCTGTGTCCTGTATTTATCCCCTGTTGCTACTTAACCATTCATACTAAGAATGTTTTGTTAAAGTCTTCCCCTCTTCAAACTTGCCCCACTTTAGTTACTTGGCTAACGTTTTGCCTTTTTTTCTATCAGAGGTTATTGCCACACACTCTTCACCCAAAAAAGAGGGAGGAAGAGTCTATTGACAAAGCAAAGTATTTTAAGAGGCTAAGGTGATTAAAAGAACAGTATGTGGAGGAGTCGGACACCACGAGGAGGAGGGATAGTGTTAGAACAGAAAACACTCTGTCTTTTCACTGGAGCTACAGCATATGGTACTTGGTGGTATGACTGTTCATATCCTGGAATTTCTTACAGGAAATAGCTACACTTCAAGTGGAAACTTTGCTAAGGACAGAGCCCTAGAAGAAAACAATCAAAATGATTTGTGAAAACAGAGAAAGAAAGAGAAATACAGAGAGGAGGAGATGCACAAAGAAAGCAATGTTATTGAGTTGATGGGAGGCTGTTTTTGCATAGCAACGGGAAGTAGTCTTGAATGCTGTATTCCTTAATGTCCTACAATCCTAACTCTGAAGAAGGTAATAAAAGACAGGTTCATAAGAGCAAATCAGATTTTGTAGCCAATGGGGTAACCTTATAGAAATCTTTGGTGAGAAGCCGTTTGAATAGAATTCTAGTTCATTAGAGTAGCTACAGATCCACCGTAAGATAATTTTTATAGCATCTATTTATTTAGTACAGAATAATGAAAAATAGATCAACTTTGTAGTCAGATAATTTTGGTTAAATATTAGATCTGTCCCACACTACTAGCTCTGTGTGCTTTGACAAGGTAGCAAACCTTCCTTAGCCTTGGTTTCTATATTTGAAAAGCAGTTTAGGAACATTTATATCATAGAAATGTTTGCAAGATGTTTTAGATGAGATCATACATGAAAAGCATGTGCTTAAAATTATTTATCACTGTTGTTCATGGCATAAGCTATTAGTTTTTTGAAATAAAAAATTCAGGGAGCCATTGTGTACATGTTAAGACTACCAGGCAAATTATATATGGCTTTTATTGTGTTAATCTCAGAATTTGCAACTTCAACCTTGTAATATACACTCCTTCCTAGTACTTTGGCTACTCAAAGAGATTCTTTTTGGGTATTGGAAATATGACTTTCTCCTCTGCAGGAGGAAAAATTGGTAAAGGGTGGATGTTCTCAAAATAACATATGGAAATTTTTCATCTTTAGTATTCCTAAGAATGCATGTAAAGGAACAACCAACTTACAAAATACTTATTTATAGTGACCATGTACTTGTAATCAATGAACTCTACTTGTTCAATGTCTGAATTACAAAATTGAGAGAGAAAAACCTGGACAGTCACTCAGGAAATTTGAGCAGATTGATTAAACTGAGAAGAATGTGGCATCCAGTTTGACATTTTCTTGTTTGCACCTATGTGCTGAGATCAGATCACAGATGCAGTAGATTAGTTAGATGGTTCAGGGAAGGATAATGAATCTTAATATTGAATAACAGTACCTAGAATTTACAGAACACCTGATATTCAAATACTTCTCAGACATCATCACATTAATTTTCAAGCCCATCCTGTGAAGCAGATGTTGTTTTTGGTACACTAATGGGAAAAACAAGTCTCCAAAAGGTCAAAAGACAGGGTAGAACAAGTTAGAGATACAGCTAAGGATTAGAATTCAGGCCTACTGACTTGCACTTGATTCATTTTATTGCTTTTTGAAATGTCAGAGGTAGTAGCTTAGGTCAAAAAGATGTTCTTTCAACTACATCAAGTTAAGAAGATAATAGTCATTGGAACATCTCAAATTTTGTTGTTTTTTTTAAAAATTTGTTTGCTTGCTCACTTGTAGACACTCTGGCATCCACCACGGCATAAAACTCAGAACTGTATTCAAAGGGCTTTATGATTTTTTATACCTAAGATCACCAGAAAGTTCTTACTATAACTGTCTCCTGGCTGTGCTCCCCAAATCTTTGCTTCATGTATTACATCTCTACAAAACAAATATTTCAATGCTCAAATAAGAAGGAAGAAACTATTAAATAGATACTTGAATCCCTAACATTTTATCTCTAGATCTTTGATTTGGCTGCAATCCAATAAATAGTATCTAAAATATTTGCCTTTCCTATTTATCATATTGTTCGTCTCTTGTAATTTCCCACATAAAATAAGTGAGCAGTCATGTGTCAATACAATTTTAATCAAGTTGTACCCACAGCAACAAGCCATAATCACTAGCTGGTGTTTGTTAAAGCCTTCAATAACTAGTGGGCTAAGATTCCAAGAAACCTGATATTAAAAGCAGTTTTGGATCTTAGATACTATTTTCACCTCTCAAAATTGTCTACTTATATAGCAAGCAGGAAACCTATTGAGATTGTGTCAAAAGGCTGGGAAATTAATGGAATAATTGATTCATTTCTTAACTGCAAAGAAAAAGTAAAATATTGTATTCTTTAAATATATTTATTGATTGTATTGATTGGTTGATATTTGAGTAGACACTATGACATTTTCTATAAACTACCTATTACAGAACAATCATCAGATGTGTTCTTAAGATCTTCTGTTCTTGATAATAAGATTAAAGAAGGTTGGTTGCATGTTTCAGTAGTCTTGAGTTTTTCCAAAAATTAGTTAGCAATAATAACTACTTTCTCCTTCTTACTCATTAGTTATAATCACAAGGGAAAGTAGAATGGTTGATTTGGGAGTGACACAATGTTTTCAGGCATCATGCCATAATTACTAGATTTCATTAAGGAAATTATAGGATAAATTGTATGAATGGGATATGGAATCTGTTATCTTTGGAAAGATATGCTTTCTCTTCTCTCCCCAAGGATTGCTGGCATTTCTCAAAGTGCTTATTTTCCTTGAGGAGTAATGTTTTCTTTTGCATGATGTTCAACATATAAGTCTTTGTATCTTACCTAGGGGTCTCTCCATTTTCATAATACCCAGGCTCATTCACAAATATAGACACTCTTCTAGTACTTTACCATTTTAAAGTCAACAAGTAAATCTACTTCACTCTAATTGGAATCTCTAATTCACTATAATCTCTCTAATTTGCACCAATATGTGGGTCAACTCATTGTATATTATGTCATAAAGTTACCAAGATTTTAAGGGTCTTAAATTAAAAAAACAAACACATTCTTGTTATTTTCAGTACAGCAGCCATTTCCTGAGCCATTATATTGGGCCAAGCACTTTGCTAGGTGTTGAGATACAAAGATAAAAAGACATAGTTGCTGCCCTAAACATGCTCACAAGCTGATGGACAAAACAGACATGGAAACATTTAGCTTCTAAGGGTGGTAAGTGCAGAGAGATGCAAAGGTTGTTAGAAGAGCAATCTCTTATTCCAGGTGAGAATCTGTTATGCAACCCAACCTATTATTTCAACATTCAGCACAAAATAACAATAATAACTTCTGATATCCTGTGGAGATTGAACAAAGCCTCGATTACCCCCACCCCCTCAAATCACTCTCCTCCAGTACCTCTGCCTGTTAGATGTTGCTATATTTTGTCTGATAACTGTAGGTTTCCTTCCTTTTATTCTACCTAAAAGACCAGTTTTAAGGGTCAAGCCCTAAATTAGATATACATATTTATTTTAGGAGGAAGGTTTTATTTTTCACTTTTGTGAGGTGTTATTATTATTACATATCATGAATGAGGAAATTGACACTCAATGAAGAAAACTTCGAAAACCACACAACTGATAAGTGGCAGAGTGGGGCCTTAAGATATAGGAGAGTTCTTAATCATGACACAAGAATTTTCCAAACTTTGGTCTTTTGGGTACCACTTTCATGATTTTGATATATCTATGTTAACATCTATTATTTACTTAATTAATAAAACCAGGCTCCCCTCCTTTGTAGAACCCTTAATCTTATCCTAGGCAATAGAATCTGAGTAATCACAATTTTCTGGTGCTAGCTATATATATATATATATACATATATATGTATATATATATATATACACACATACATATATGTGTGTGTGTGTGTGTGAGTGTGTGTGTGTATACCCATAAAATGAAGTTAATATGTAACTTTTTTTGAGACAAACAGGATCTTGCTCTGTCACCAAGGCTTGAGTGCAGTGACATGATCATGGCTCACTGCAGCCTCAACCTCCCAGGCTCAAGTGATCCTCCCACCTCCTCATCCCAAGTAGCTGAAACCACAGGCGTGTGCCTGGCTAATTTTTATTCATTTTTATTTTTTGTGGAGACAGGGTCTCCCTACCTTACTCAGGTTGGTCTCAAACTCCTGAGCTCAAGATATCCTCCCACCTTGGCATCCCAAAATTCTGGGATTATAGGCATGAGCCCCTACACCTGGCCTAATACATAATTACTAACATAAAAAAAATTGGTCCATGTATCACCTAAAATAATGTTACATATCACAATAGTATACATGCCATAGTTTTGGACCCTGCCTTACTCTATACTATTTGTATAGTTAGTTTACCATGATTGTATGCAAATTTGGTAGTGGATATATCTGATTAAACTTGGGTAATTAGGTGCTACATCGTTTTATCTTTTCCAGAAGAGATTAATGTACAGAACAATAAAGACTATCCAACAAAGTGACTATGGCTCCGATATAAGAGAAAGTGATAGGTGACTGGTGGAACAATAACCAGTGGGGAAATGGCTTATTAAGAAGAAAATTTGAATTATGGAGAGAATGGTTTTCACTGGAAAATGGCTAAGGGGAGGAAACTTGGATCAAAACACTTAGAAAATAGGCAGTATTGAAGGACTTGGAGTTTTGTACCAGTGATTGGTGTTATTTTTATGATCAATTGTAAAACAAAGCAAGCCTCTTGTATTGCAGTGCCATTGTGACTCACTTTGAGGAAATGTATGTAAAATCGGGAGCATCAGTGTTTCTGACACCACTGCCATTTCACTTGAGAGACTCCCAGGACCTCAGGTGCTGGCAGCATAGACACAGAGTAAATGGTCAGCTGGCCACCTGGTGGTTCCAATGGCCAACAGAACAGTTTGTGTGCGTGAGCAAGCTTGAGTTGTTATCATCTCTGTCTCTCTGGGATAAGACGATGATTATAGATATTTATGAGGAGTGCATGCTTGAGCTCTGGTGGACTCTATTCAGCTTAAACATGAGTTGTTGCTGTTGTTGTTTTCAATTTGTACCATTAACAAAAAACATTTAAGAATAAACCATAAGATTAAGGATGAAACCAGAAGGTTTGTGGTGAAATCCAATAAGGCAGTATCAACATTTTGTGCTAATTGGTTTTAACCAGCAATCAAAGAGGCCAGATGGCCTCCTTTGGGAAGAAGAGCACTACATTTCAGGGAAATATATGCTTGTCCTTCTTCATAAATATTCGTACTCTCGTTCCTGCCAACATCATCATTTTTCATTTTCTCTGTTCCACAACAACCCAGATTTCATTTGCATGTTTTAAGAATATGATATAGGTATTAAAATATCAATCTGAGGAATTTTTTTCATTAAGATACTAGTTTTATGAACCTGAATTCTGGTGTAGTTATATAAATTGGGAAAATGTCACTCTTTGTGATATATTCAGGACAATTTAGAAACAAACTCCAGAAACTGACAGTATGATATTAAGTTTTTGTGATCTGGAGCCATTTTTAGCAAAATCTCTGGAGTAAGAGCTATGAAATTAAATGTCAGATGTGGATCTAGTCAACAGGATAAGGTTTGTGGGGAGGGGTCTGGAAAGACTTGAGAATTTAGGAAGAAAGGTGGAGTAGTATGTAGCATGAGAGATGGGTTCAAACTGTCAGATTGAGTTGTAGGTTTCCATATGTAGTTCTGTTTGTATGCTCAAAAAATGAGCTCATTTCCATCATCTAGGCTCTTCTCTAATTTATCCCGTTTGGTTTGTGTTAAAAAATAATTTGGCCATATGCCATCATCCATTTTATATGTTCCCTTTATATTTTGCAAATTTTTTTCTATTACACTTACTATGTTCTGTTCAAAACAGCGCAGATGAGATGTACTACTATTTCCATGCCTATATCACAAATACCAGACTCAAGAGAACATGCATCCATATTGATTATTAATCTAAAATATTTATTAAGCATCAACTCTTTCCAAAGTGCCAAATAGGATTATACATAGGACTAAAAAGAAGCCACACTTCCTTACTTGTATTATTTGCAATCTAGCTTGGCAGACAAGGAATCAATCCATAAAAAGCCAAGCAGTATATACTCTAAAATATAGTCTATTCTTTTAAAAAATATTTCAAACAAATATATCAGAACTCAGCTAAATTATTTATCACAACTTCTGTGGGGTAAGTTTCGACTTTATAAACTTATTCCAAAGTGTTTATCATTATTCAAAAGAATCTTTGGAAATCCTGCTTGATATTGCCTTTAGAGCCTGTGATCCATTTCTGGAATTTCTTCAGAGGCCAAAAACATTTCTACTGTGAAGGTGAAATTGATTTCAGGAAACCTTTAAGAGTCATTTGGAGCCAGAACTGGTGAGTAAGAAAGCCAAACAAAATGAGTGATGCCGTTTTGCCGTTAAATTGACGTATACCCAGAAATCAATAAGACTGGTTTTCTTGGGTGGTTTGGAAAGTGACTTTGAAAGAAGTTTCCCTATATGACTTTCTGTTTGTTTGCTTCTTCTAATGGAGACATCATTGTTACAGGTGGACAACCTTCTAGTTATCAACAGGCAGTTCCCAATCTGGATACTATTATTTTCAAAGAAACCAGAGAATTTCCTCATACAAAGAATTGTGGTTTGATCTCCAGAGCAGATCATTGAAGTCTATTTAATCCTGCATCACAGCTGAAGAAGGTGATAACATTCCTGCCTCACTGCTTTTGAAATGTGACTTGGCTTTTTCTTGAATATACAGATAATCCCTGACTTATAATAGTTCAACTTAAGATGTTTTTACTTTGGTACAAAAGTGATACAGATTTAGAAGAAACCATACTTCAAGTAGCCATACAACCATCCCATTTTTCACTTTTGGTGCAGTATTCAATAAATTACATGAGATAGTCAACACTTTATTATAAAATAAACTTTGTGTTAAATGACTTTGCCCAACTGTAGGCTAATGAAAGTGTTCTGAGCACATTTAAGGCAGGCTAGGCTAAGTTATGGTATTTGGTAGGTTAGATGTATTAAATGCATTTTTTGCTTGTGATATTCTCAACCTACAATGGGTTTATTGGGAGATAACCCCATGGTATGTCAAGGAGTATTTATCTATGTATCATCTGTCTACATATCTACCTACACACCTATGTACCTATCTATCTATCTAGAAAAAGAAATTGGCTCATGCAATTATGGAGGATAAGTCCAAAGATCTGCAGGGTAAGTCAGCAAGCTGGAGACCTAGGATAGCCAATAGTGAGGATCCAGTCTGAAGACCAAGGAAGAGCTGATATTTCACTTTGAGTCCAAAGGTGGAAAAACAAACAAACAAACAATGTCTCAGTTCAAAAACAGTCAGACAGGAGCAATTTTCTCTTACTTGCAAAAGGGTCAACTTTTTGTTCTATTCAGAATTTCAGCTGATTTGATGAGGACCACCCTCATTAGGGAGAGCAATCTGTTTTACTCAGTCTATCAATTTGAGTGTTAATACCATCTGAAAACCCCCTCACAGAAATATTGAGAATAATGTTTGACAAAAATATCTGGGCACCCTGTGATCCAGTCAAGCTGACACCTAAAATTAACCATCACAGGAAGTAAAAATAAGGGAAGTTAAAATAGAGAACTTCAATTTCCTATGAAAGATAAAATGAAAGGCCACATTTGTTGAGAAAGTTATAAATTGAACTGAGGGCATAAAAGCCACAAAAGACAGTGGGATACTAGGCAAATAATTTTAACACTATGCTATGTATAACTGAGGCTTTCCTTTTTATAATTCTGAAAAACTTTCATTTGACACCATCTCCTCTATCACCTTATCTCAGTTTCTATGCCTGAACATGGGAACTCCCACTCATAAGATAAAATGAGGTTGGCCATGTCTATTATTATTACTTTTCCCCCTTGATGTTTATGTATGATAAGATTTTTCTTAAAAGGTCTTCATAGTGAAGCTTTCATTCAACAGGACTTAAGGACCTATCTCAGAGATATGGATGAATATGAACAGTGACAAACACTCATTTTAAATACAAATTAACCAAAAGACCACGTGACTCTAGTAATAGAACCACTATTTATTGCTAAAATTACTCCTTAGACTCTCTAGGAATACCTGAGTCGATGGAATGTTTTCATATTTTCCAATCTGATTCAACATTTGGCTTGGCTATAAAATGTCATTATTCATATTATTAAAAGTGTTCTCCAAATAACTACTCACTGGAGTCTTTCTGTACTCCAGGACCAGGTTTGATTATTGCTATTAATATTGATTGTGATTTCTAGTGTTAACCACACTAGAAATAGAATAGAAATAGAATAACCACTTATTTTGTGAGCATTTTGCTGTGGTCATTCTTAATTGACTAACTGGCTGCACATAATTGTCTCTAGTATAGCATTATTGGACATTTGAACCTATACTTCAGAAGGTATGGTTTATCAGGTATGGAATTTTTAGTAATATGGAAGCATACAATGAATAAAAACTGTTCTTAAATTCAAGCTATCATGTTGTGGACCAGTCACCATTAGCCAAATTGACAGGACAGGACAATTTCTTAAATTTTGTATGGTTTCCAGGCTGAGTTTGGCAAGTGTTGCAGTTACAGGAGCATTGCTGCAACCAGGACAAGACAACCAGGAGGATTCTGCTCATACTTTTCCCTTAACTCCAGCCCAAAAAGAGAACATCAGTCTTGGCCTAAGTCTCCAAATTTTTCTTGCAAGTCTAGGATCAGGGACTCAAAACCCATAAAGAACACTTATGAATTCCTTGTTTATATGTTGTTGTTCACAAAATTATCTTTGTTGGTTTAATTTAAGTATTATAATGTGTAAGGCCTTCCAAAGCCCTTCATGGCTTATCTCTAACTTGACACAGCATAACTTGACTCTTGACTGGACCTCAATGTGGGACTTATGGTGATTTGACCACTCACTGAAAGGTTCCCCATATCAAGATGGTATAGGCTGGACCAGGATGGGTCATGTGATCGTCCTATTTTTAATTCACTTATTAAACAAGTTTTATTGTCGATTTCCACTAATGGCTAATATTTTGCATAATATCTGTTGCAAAGATGTGCAATCTGTTTCCAGAAAGTAACCAACACAGGAGTGAGGCTAGAATCACTAAAATATTTGTTCTCGGGTATGCACTTCTTCATTAAAGCCTGTAGAATAACCTGTATTCCATTATTAGCATTTAGATTTGGTTGTAAAGATCCCTAAGGGCCTCTGTGTACCATGTCTTCTGTGCTCTCCACAAAAGGTATTCTTTGCAAACATCAAAGGCAACAGTGATGAATGGCATGCACCTAATGCATAAAATCTCACTCCCACATCTATTTGAAAAGGCTCACTCCCACGGCCTACTTTTCTTTCATGTACCCATACAATATCAATCTGGACAATACAGGCTGAAAACAACCACATAACAATCCAAGGTAATTCATGTAAGAGCAGAAGCTTTTTGACTAAATTACCCAGGTAATGGCATATGTGTAAAGATGGTGCTAGGGACATTTCTTTTGGGAGACAGACAATTATATTATCCAATTCTATTGGCATTATTAGTGTCATTAGAAATATGGTGTGCTTAATACTCAAAGATTATTGAAAATCTTTCTCTTTTATCTGTATGTGGCCAGCCTTCATATTTCAACATCTTGGAAAGGTAACTCAATTTTAGAGCTCAGAGGAAATGTTTAGATGGGGCGAAGAACAGATATAACAATTGTTGCTTCTGGAAAAGAATGCAAAATGAAGTGCTTCTCATGATGTCGTAATAGTATAGTTGTAAGTCAATTTTTTATGTAAAACAATGTGAGGATCAAAAATATGTTATTTAGAGCCAAATGCTCCCAAAACTTGTCTATTTTAAAGGCCAAAGACTGAACAAGGGGCAACACCCTAAACAAGAACATAATAGTAAATTCATTAATTTATTTTTTCACATTTTGTTTCTATTACCCAAGGCAATTGTCTAGGTAAAGCTTTCTACTCTGATTAACACTATGAATATCTAAAAGTGTGAGCCTGGTATTTTGGTGTAAAATATAAAACTAGTAATATATAGATATATGTGAATTTCTAACATCCTGCTGGACATCACTGCAATTTTCAGTCAGAATCTACAACTCAATGTGTCCAGAAAGAAACTGACAACCTGCTGCTCTCTCCCTTCCTCTTCCCACCCACTGATTTTACCTTATTATATTGAGTTCAGAGGATCTCCAACTAGTTTATTAGATCAGAATTTTGCTTTATTAGAGCTTGTGCTGAGACTCCTATTCCTCCCCCTACACTGCATATATCAGAGATAAAATCTTGTCTATATATTGAGTTAGCAAGTGAAAAAAAATCTTTTGAAGCCAGAAGAGAAATGTGAGAAGTATTATGTATACAACATTCACCTCACCTCAGGATTTGTTTTATTTGTTTTTAGTGGTTTGAAAGGGTAAGTTTAGGGTGTGTGTGTGTGTGTGTGTATGTGTGTGTGTGTGTGTGAGATTTTGAGGGGGGATGTTTTGGGGAAATATTTTAAGAATTCCAATCTAAGAGTAACTGAATGGAAATTTTTACTTGACACCAGGACAAATGAGCACTAAATAGCTTACCTACAGTTCAGTTTAACTTTCTTCCTCTACTGAACATAGTGCAAACATCACAGGATCGGGTCTTTGTATACAGAAACATCACTGTAGATAATTTATAAGACAAAATGATAAACAAAACAATATTACAACGTGCCATCTACCTGGGTGTAGAAATGGTTCTGTTATGCTGAATGTTTCCTAATAGTGACATTTTGCCAATAGAGACCCTTAATTAAAGTGACAAATAATAACATTACCTGTTGAAGGCTAAGCACAATTGTCCATTGTTCTTTTCTTCCATCACTTGCCTATGCAAATTTTCTGTTTAAAGACAGCTTCCTGTAATATTTCTACAGAGCCTGGTTAAAGAGTGAAAATGTGAGGTTAAGAGACTGACATGTAATCAGACAGTCTGAGGAAGCAGCATATATATACAGATTTCACTGGTTTGCAATTTTATTAAAGGAATCAGAGTAGGCTCCTACTGGTTGAAATTTCATATTGCATAAGGATGGGCTAGAAAAATATTCTGGAGATAGGTGTCGACAGTTGGATTTATGAGTTAATCACTGATTTTCTTCAGAAGTGAAAGATAGTGGAGGATGTACTTTCAAAAATAGAGAATTTTAAAGGCAGGATTTGGAAAGGGGAAGAGAGGAAGCTGGTTAGATAGATGAACAAAGGTTTAGCAAAAGATCAGGATAAAAATCTCCCAAATAACAGTGTCATCCCAAAGTAGCAAAGGAGAATGGCAGTGTGAGTTGGTCCAGAGTGGTATCTCTTTGAACCTATGACAGAATCAGCTTCCCCTTAAGCTCTAATGCTAGAACTTTCCATTGAGAAAATGGAGGCTGATGAGTGCCTTTGGCTCACAGCCGTGGACTGCATGTGTCACATTCTTGGCCAATCTTTGTGGGATGAAAAGAAATAAGAGATGGAAGCAAAGTGATGAGACAGTGAGCTTTTCAGATAAAGATAATAAGATTCCATTCTTGACAGCAAGCAATTTGGGACTCAGTGCAGAGGTCTGAAGAGAGAAAGTGTAAGGCGACCATGGTAATAAGAGTGAAGAATTTTAACAGAAACATTTTGAGCCATTTCAGATAGAGAACATGTATTGGACATGAAGGAGAAAAAACACAGTAGCAAAGAAATAATTAAAATATAGATAATGGCTTTAGTTGCTTAGACAAAGAAGCAATGGAGGATAGGGAAACTGTAAAGGAAAATATTGAGATTTTGCAATGGCTTAAATCTTAGTTATGCCTTAATTGTCCCTTTATTGATGATAGAACAGGATGAGATTCCTTAGGACTTCTCACCCTTTCTCCTCATCCCAAGGAGAATTTAAAGCAGAGATTCTGAACCTGGGGCACATGGAATTCCCAAAAGTGTTTATAAGGTGACCCATAAATTTGTAAGGAAAATATTTACATTTCATTTTCACTAATCTCTAATTGAAATATAACATTTCCTTTAATTAGGAACGTAGGCAATAAACTGCAGTGGAATTAACCATATGTGTAATTTGTTTCCAGTAATAATCATAGATATTTGTGTATTATAGTTTTTATAGATATTTTGGAATATAATTTATATTCATCAGAATTTTGAAATTATAGCATTTATTAGACTTGTCCTTGTATCTTATTTAATGCATTAACAAATACATGTATTAATCATAAGTGTGTTTTTATAGAATTTTAAACTTTATTTCAATGTAATTGGGGTACAACAGCATGAGTAGTTCCACTGAACCTCTCTCCAATTAAAATGGTGAAAATATATATAAAAGTAACAAAAATTATTTAAAGCATCTGGAAATGGTCATAAGGGCAAACAGATAATGAAGAAAAATGTATTCAAGAAAATCTGTGGAAAATTTCAAAAAAAGTCGTGCTATTTGAACCAAGACTGCTCTCTCCCTCTGCCCTCTAAATTTAGCAAAGGGAGATTCCACTCCAGACTACTGCAGCCAAGGATGCAGAGGTCTCTTTCCCTGTAGCTCCCAGCCTGAGTGCTTACTTTCCAAGAAGAGTAGCATGTCACTTTTTCTCATCCTGCCTCAGCTGCCTGTTGCTGATGCTGAGTCCTGGGCAGTGTGCAAAGAGATGGTGGCTGCCTTCTTCTATCCAGCTCACACTTGTAGAACAGAGGCTCTATTTTGAACATGGCATTCTGAGAATACTGGACCCTTGATGGCCCTTGCACTGATTCATGAGGTGATGATTCCACAAGAAAAGAGGCAAGCCAAGAGAACGTCAGTTACTACTACCTCCTCCACTGAACACTGAGCACTCAACTTCTAGAGTGGGGTGTCACTCAAAAAGAAGCTTACCACTGTTCCCACCTTAAGCTCAGGAGCCCATGCTCAGAGATTTTTCTGGGGAGGGGGGAGAAGCAGATCACAAAATATATAGCTCCTAATTTCTTTCCAAACGAAGCAACTTCCTTTACGACATAGAGAAGTTTAAACCTAAAAACAAGGAGGTTGTAGAGAAGGGAATTGGGAGGAGATTTGTGGATCTGATGTTGATACAGCCTACACTGTAGGTCACCTAGTTTTAAGGAAACATCTGGGGAATAAGATAGCTGGGAGCAACCATCATGGGGTGAGAACAAATATCAAACACTGACCTCAGAAATCATTCTGATTAGAGTATTTGTAGAGAAATCTCTGCCCCTGGGACATTTTTATAAATAACAGAGCAATCAACAGGCAATTAATGGAGCATAACAACTGGGTATGGTCAGGAAAAGAACCGGAGAGCCTTACCTAACACTGATCACAGTGTGACTTTGAGGATACACAAATCTCTGCCTCCCTAAGGAGAAATATCAAAGATTTAATACAGTGGAGGCAGAAAACAGACTCCACTAAACTCTTTAAGGGAGGGTAGTAACAAGAGTTGCTACAATATCTTACATAAAATGTTTAGTTTCCAATAAAAAATTATGAGGCATGCAAAGAAGTAGCAAAATATGACCCATGTGCCAGAAAAAAGGAGGCAAGACAAACTGCCTATAAGAGTAACTACAGGTTGAATGAACAGGAAAATGTTTCAAAGTAGTCATTATAAATATATTTACAGAACTAAGGGAAAGCTTAATTTAAAAAGTAAAGGAAGATGTGATGACATATTACATCCAAATAAAGAATATCAATAAAGAAATAAAAATTTTCAAGAAGAATGAAGTTGAAATTCTGGAGTTGAAAGTAGAATAACAAAGATAAAAATAAATTTTAATAATGGGCTCAACAATAGATTTGAGCTGTCAAAATAAAGAATTTGAAAACTTCAAAATTTACAATAGATCAACAGAGATAATGCAAGCCAAATAATAGAGAAGAGTGGAGGAAAATAAACAAAACTTCAGAGAAACATGAGATACAATGAAGCACACCAACATACACATAAAAGGAATGCCAGAAGAGGAGTAGAGAGAGAAAGAAACAGAAAATATTTGAAGAAATAATGGCTGAAAACTTCTCAAATTTATTAAAATGTAATAACCTACACATTTGATGATCTCAAAGTAGGATAAATGCCAAAAGACCCACAAACAGATATACCATAGTAAAAGTGCTGAAAGTCAAAGACAAGGAAAAAATCTTGAAATCAGTAAAAGGAAAACAACACTTCACTTATAAAAAGAACCCCAATAAGATCAACAGCTGACTTATTGTCAGAAACATTGGAGGCCTGCAGGTAGTGGGTTAACATATTCAAAGTGTTCAAAAAAAAAAACTGTCAACCAAGATTCCTATATTCAACAAAGCTGTTATTTCAAAACTAAATATTAAATACTTTCCCAGATAAACAAAACCAAGAGAATTTCTGCCAACAGAATTGCCTTACAAGAAATACTAAAGAAAAAAAAGCTTTTTTTCTTTAGTAAGAAAACATATTAAAGGCTGAAATATTTCAAAAGCAAGTGATTGCAGATAGTTATCAGAATTCACATGAGCAAATAAAGAATGCCAGTAAAGTTAATTATGCAATTATTAAAAATGCTATTAATATATTTCTTTTCTTCTTTTAACTGATTTAAAAGCAGTTGTTTAAAATAATATGTATGCAATGATTTGTTGGGCCTGTAACATATAGAAATGTAATGTTTGTGTAATATATTTACCAATAACAACACAATGGAGGAGAGTGAGAGAAAAAGCTGTAATAGGCTAAGGAAATGACAATAGGTGGTAAAGCAATAATTATAACAATGTATAGTTAGGTTTGTACCATTGATAGATATGGTAACAATAACAGATATGGTAGCAATAATACCATAAGAGCTATATAGGTGTAACATATATATATATATATATATATAAAATTAGAATCAAACCAGCATAAATATGAAACTAATTCTGATAACTTAAAATGTATATGGCAAACCCTAGAGCAACCACTAAAACAATATAAAAATAGTAAAACTGTAATCTATAAAATAAAAACTCTAGATGCAAAAAATTTTCTCAATGAAAAGCAGTAAAGTGGGAATAGAAGGGAAAAAGTCATAAGGCAAAAAGTAAGTTGACAGATCTAAATCAAGCAAAAGCAACAATAACATTAAGTGTAAATAGACTGAAAAATCTAATGATAAGGCAGCATTGTCAAATTGGATTTATGATAAAACATGACCCAACTGTAAGCTGTCTACATGAAACTCACTTTAGATTCAAAGATAAAACAGATTGAAAGTAAAACTATGGAAGACATATATAAAGCAAATAGTAACCAAAGGAAAACTAGAGTGGCTATACTAATATCACAAAAAATAAACTTTAAACAAAAAATACTATTAGAGATAAACAGTGACATTTTATAATGAAAAATGTGTCAATTCATCAGGAACACATAACAATTGTGAACATATACATTAGAAATAACAGCATCAAGACACATGTAGCAAAAACTGACAGAAATAAAGGGAAAAATGGACAATTTAACAATAGTTAGAGACTTCAACTCTTCACTCTTCTAACAGGTAGAATAACTAGAAAGAGATCAATGAGGAGATACAAGACTTGAACAAACAATAAACCAACTAGATCTAACTGATATCTGCAGAATATTCCACGAAATGACATAAAATACATTATTCTCAAGTGCACATGGAACATTCTCCAGGATAGACCATATCCTAGGCCATAAAATAAACCTAAACAAATTTATAAGTGTAAAAATAATATAAAATATGTTCTCTGATCTTAGTGGAATGGAATTAGGAGTAATAAAAGGAAAATTTTGGAAACTAAATATATGCAGAAATAAATAGCCCACTCCTAAACAACCAATGGGTCAAAGAAGAAATCAAAAGGGAAATAAGAAAACATTCTGACGTGAATGAAAATCGAGGCTCAAAATACCAACATTTATGAGATGCAGTACAAGCAATTCTTAGGGTGAAATTTATAGCTGTAAAATGCCTACAATAAGAAAGAAAAAAATGATCTCAAAAAATGACACACAAAAAGCACTTAACAAAATCCAACATCCTTTTATGATAAAAACCAATCAACAAACTGAAAATAGGAGAAAACCTGATATATTTTCTTCTTCCACTGTGTTGCTGCAGGTTCTTAAAACGACCTTTCTAGTACTATTTTGGTTTGTGGACAGCTGTTTATATTTGCTTTCTTGTCAGGAAATAGAGACTACTATCTCCTATTCTTTGGTGATATCTCATCTCAGTTGAGAAAAGGAGCTTTCTCAATCTGATAAACATAACTTTCTCAAACTGATAAATGTGCTGTATGAAAAACCCACAGCTAATGTCATCTTAAATGGTGAAAGACTAGATGATTCCCCCTGAAGAACAGGAGTAAGACAAGGATGTCCACTCTTGACAGTTATATCAACATTATACTGGAGGTTCTAGCTAGGGCAATTAGTCAAGAAAAAGAAATAAAGGGCATTCAGATTGAAAAGGAAGAGGTAAAATTATGTTTATTCACAAGTTATGTAATCCTGTATATAGAAATTTTTAAGGAATCCACTAAAAAACTATTAGAAACTAAAAATGAGTTCATCAAGTTTGCAGGGTACCAGATTAATACATCAAAATCAACTGTATGTCTATATGTTTGCAATAAACAATCCAAAAACAAAATTAAAAAGCAATTTTTCACAATATTATCAAAAAGAATGAAATACTTAGTAATTAACAAACATGGTGAAAAACTCATACTCTAAAAACCACTAAGTATTGTTGAGTTTTTTCTTTAAGATTTTTACAGAAGATCTAAATAAATGGAAAAAAAATCCAATGATCTACAGATTCAATCTAATACCCATTAAAAGCCCAGCTGAATTCTTTGTGAAACTGGCAAGCTGATTCTAAACTCTGCCAAGCAACCCAGAACAGCAAAAACTATCCTGAATAAGAAGAATAAAGTAGGATTCACATGTCCTAATTTAAAAATTTACTATAAAGCATTAGTAATGAAGACAATGTGGCACTAACACAAAAATAAAAACAGATTAATGGAATAGACTTTAGTGTCTGGAAATAAGCTCATGTATATATGGTCAACTGATTTTTGGCAAAGATGCCAAGATTATTCATTAGAAAAAGAATAATCTTGCCAGGCATGGTGGCTCATGCCTGTAATCCCAGCAGTTTGGGAGGCCGAGGTGGGCAGATCACTTGAGGTCAGGAGTTCAAGACCAGTTTGGCCAACGTGGTGAAGCCCCATCTCTACTAAAAATACAAAAATTTGCTGAGCATGGTGTCCCATGTCTGTAATCCCAGCTACTTAGCAGACTGAGACAGAAGAATTGCCAGAACCCAGGAGATTGAGGGTTGCAGTGAACCAAGATCACACCACTGCACTAGAGCCTAGGTGACAGAGCGAGATTCTCTCTCTCTCTCTCTAAAAAAAAAATTATTATAAAAAGAAAAATCTTTTGCATCATGAATTAATTTTTTATATAAGGTGTAGGAAAGTGGTCCAGTTTCAGATCTCTGCATATGGCTAGCCAGTTTTCCCAACACCATTTATTAAATAGGGAATCCTTTCCTCATTGCTTCTTTTTGCCAGGTTTGTCAAAGATCACATGGTTGTAGATGTGTGACATTATTTCTGAGTCTTCTGTTCTGTTCCATTGGTCTATATATCTGTTTTGGTAAGACTACCATGCTGTTTTGGTTACTGTACCCTTGTAATATAGTTTGAAGTTAGGTAGTGTGATGCCTCCAGCTTTGTTCTTTTTGCTTAGGATTGTCCTGGCTATACAACTCTTAAAACTAACTCAAGATGGATTAAAGACTTAAACATAAGACCTAAAACCATAAAAACCCTAGAATAAAACCTAGGCTTTACCATTCAGGATATAAGCATGGGCAAAGACTTCATAACTAAAACACCAAAAGCAATGGCAACAAAAGCCAAAATTGACAAATGGGATCTAATTAAACAAAGGAGCTTCTGCACAGCAAAAGAAACTATCATCAGAGTGAACAGGCAACCTACAGAATGGGAGAACATATTTTCAATCTACCCATCTGACAAAGGGCTAATATCCAGAATCTACAAAGAAATTAAACAAATTTACAGGAAAAAACAAACAACCCTATCTAAAAGTGGGCAAAGGATATGAACAAACACTTCTCAACAGAAGACCTTTATGTGGCCAACAAACATATGAAAAAAAAGCTCATCTTCACTGGTCATTAGAGAAATGCAAATCAAAACCACAATGAGATACCATTAAAAAGTCAAGAAACAACAGATGCTGGTGAGAATGTGAAGAAATAAGAATGTTTTACATTGTTGGTGGGAGTGTAAATTACTTCCACCATTGTGGAAGACAGTGTAGTGATTCCTCAAGGATCTAGAACCAGAAATACCATTTGACCCAGCAATCCCATTACTATGTATACACCCAAAGGATTATAGATCATTCTACTATAAAGACACATGCACACGTATGTTTATTGCAACACTATTCACATTTTCAATGACTTAGAAGCAACCAAATGTCCATCAATGATAGACTGGATAAAGAAAATGTGGCACATCTAAACCATGGACTACTATGCAGCCATACAAAAGGAAGAGTTCATGTCCTTTGCAGGGACATGGATGAAGCTGGAAACCATTATTCTCAGCAAACTAACACAGGAACAGAAAACCAAACACCAAATTTTATCACTCATAAGTGGGAGTTGAACAATGAGAATACACAGACACGGGGAGGAAAACATCACACACTGGGGCCTGTCAGGGGGTGGAAGCTTAGGAGAGGGATAGCATTAGGAGAAATACCTAATGTAGATGATGGGCTGATGGGTGCAGCAAACCACCATGGCACGTGTATACCTATGTAACAAACCTGCATGTTCTGCACATGTATCCCAGAACTTATAGTATAATGAAAAAAATGATCTTTTCAACAAATGGTACAGGGACAACATAAAAATAATGAATTTGGATGCCTATTGACTTGGAATGAATCACAGACCTAAATGAAAGAATGAAAACTGTAAAACTCTTAGAAGAAAATATAGGGCTAAATATGACCTTGTGTTTCACAAAAGATTATTAGATATATGAGAAAAAAAGATGTGTAAAAAGAAAAAATAAATTGGATTTCACCAGAACTAAATTATTCTGTGTTTCAAAGGACATCAACAAGAAAGTGAAAAGGCAACTCACAGAAGGGTGAAAACATTTGCATAGCATGTAATAAAGGACTTGTAACTCAAAAATATAAAGAATATTTAAAACTAAGTAATAAAAAGATAAATAATGATTAAAATGGACAAATATAAAGTTAAAAAATCTTTTTCCAGACTACTGAAAAAAAGGGAAAAGATGCAAATAAATAAAATCAGAGATGAACAAAAGACATTACAACTGACAGGGCAGACATTCAAAGAATCATTAGTGGCTACTATGATTCTATATATCAATAAATTGAAAAATCTAGAGAAAAAGGACAAATTTCTAGACACTCTAGACACATACAACCTACCAAGATTAAACCATGAAGAAATCCAACACCTGGACAAATCATTAACAAATAACAAGATTGAAGCTGTAATAAAAAGTCTCCCAATAAAGAAAAGCCTGGGACCTAATGGCTTCACTGCTGAATTCTACTAAACATTTAAAGAACGAATAACAATCCTACACAAATGTTACAAAAAACAGAGAAAGAGGAAATATTTCTGAATTAATTCTCCAAGACCAGTATCACCCTGATACCAAAACCAAAGACATAAAATGAAAGAAAACTACAGGTCAATATCTCTCAGGAATATTGATGCAGAAATATTCAACAAAATACTAGCAAATTGAATTCAACAATACATTAAAAAGATCATTCATTATGACCAAGTGGGCTTTATCACAGGGATGCAAGGATGGTTCAACATACACAAATCAATCAATGTGACACATCATATCAACAAAAAAGACAAAAAAATCTGATCATTTAAATTAATGCTGAAGATAAAGCTGAAGAAGCATTTAATAAATTTCAGCATCCCTTCATGATAAAAACCCTCAAAAAACTTGGAAAAAAAGGGAAATACCTCAACATAATAAAAGCCATATATGACAAACCCACAGCTAGTATCATGCTGAATAGGAAAAAAACTGAAAGCATTGCCTCTAAGATCTGGAACAAGACAAGGACGCCTGCCTGCCTACCTGCCTGCTTACTTGCTTGCTTGCTTTCTTCTTTCTTTCTTTTTTTTTTTTTTTTTTGCATAGTTTTACTCTGTCACCCAGGCTGGAGTGCAGTGGCATGATCTTGGCTCACTGCAACCTCTGCCTCCCAGGTGCAAACGATTCTCCTGCCTCAGCTTCCCAGTATCTGGGATTACAGGTGTGTACCACCATGCCTGACTACTGTAATTCAACATAGTACTGGAAGTGCTAGCTAATTCAATGAGACAAGAGAAAGAAATAAAGGGCATCCAAACAGAAATGGAAGAAGTCAAATAACCCTTGTTTGCAGATTATTTGATCTTACATTTGGAAAACCTAAAAAATTCACCAAATAACTATGAAAACTGATAAACAAAGTCAGTTAAGTTGCAGGATAGAAAATCAACATACAAAAATCAGTAGCATTTCTATATACCAACATTGAACAATTTGAAAATAAAATAAAAATAATCCCATTTACAATAGCTACAAATAAAATAAAATTGCTAGGAATTAACTTAACCAAATAAGTGAAAGATTTCTACAATGAAAATTGTAAAACACTGATAAAAGAAATGGAAGAGAACAGCAAAAAATGGAAAAAGAGTTCATGTTCATGGGTTGGAAGAATCACTATTGTTAAATATCCATACTATGCAAAGTAATCTATAGATTCAAATGCAACCCCTATCAAAATACCAATAACATTCTTGTCAGAAATAGAAAACACAATGTTAAAATTTATATAGAACCATGAAAGACCCAGAATGGCCAAAGCTATCCTGAACAAAAAGTACAAAACTGGGGAAAACGCATTGCCTGATTTCAAAATGTATTATGGAGTTGTAATAACCAAAACAGCATGGTACTGGTGCAATAACAGACACATACACCAATGAAAGAGAATAGAGAACCCAGAAACAAATCCACACACCTATAGTGAATTTATTTTTGACAAAGATGCCAAGAACATACACTCGGAAAAAGACAATCTCTTCAATAAGTGGTGCTGGGAAAACTGGATATCCAAGTGCAGAAAAATGAGATTAGACCTTTATCTCTTGCTATATATAAAATTAAATTAAAGTGGACTAAACACTTAAATCTAAGACCTCAGATGATGAAACTTCTAGAAGAAAACATTGGAGACACTCTCCAGGACATTGGTCTGGGCAAAAATTTCTTAAGTAATACATCATAAGCATAGGCAACCAAAGCAAAAATGGACAAACAGGATCACATCAAGTTAAAAAGCTTCTGCACAGTGAAAAAAACAATCAACAAAGTGAAGAGACAACCCACAGAATTGGAGCAAATATTTGCAAACTACCCATCTGAAAAGGGATTAATAACCAGAATATATAAGGACCTCAAACACTCTATAGGAAAAACATCTAATAACTCCATAAAAATGGGCAACTGATTTGAATAGGCAATTCTCAAAAGAAGACATAAAATGGCAGGCATATAAATAAGTGCTTAACATAATTGGTCATAAGAGAAACGCAATTCAAAACTGCAGGTAGATATCATCTCACCCCAGTTAACATGGCTTATATCCAAAAGATAGGCAATAACAAATGCTAGTGAGGATGTGGAGAAAAGGGAACTCTCATACACCGTTGATGGGAATGTAAAGTATTACAACCACTATGGAGAACAGTTTGGAGTTTCCTCAAAAAAACTGAAAATAGAGCCACTGTATGATCCAGCAAACCCACTGCTGGGTATATATCCAAAAGAAGGGCAATCATTATATCAAAGGGATATCTGCACTCCCATGTTTGTTGCAGCACTATTCACAATAGCCAGTATTTGGAGACAACTTAAGTGTCCATCAACAGATAAATGGATAAAGGAAATGTAAATATACACAATGAAGTACTATTCAGTCATAAGAAAGGAATAATTTCCTGTCATTAGCAACAATATGGATGAAATTGGAGGTCATCATGTTAAGTGAAATAAGCCAGCCATAGAAAAGTAAACATCACATATTCTCACTTATTTGTGGGATGTAAACGTCAAAACAATTGAGTACATGGATATAGACAGTAGGATAGTTATCAGAAGTTGTCAAGGGTAGTGGCACGGTCTTCCCTGTTGACCTGTTTGACAGAGCAGAGACAGTCATTATCTCTCTGGGGACATAATACCAATGGCCTAAGAACCACGCTGTCATCCCCCACAGCTCCTGGAGCAAGCCCCGCCCAAGGAGAACCTGAGCTCAGACACACCTAACCCCACACCAACCTGATAGTCTTTCTCTACCCACCCCAGTAGCTGAAGACAGAGCACATAATCTCTTGAAAGGTCTATGGCCTTGCCCACTGCCTGAGAAACCAGAATATGTGTCCAGCTGACCCTAGGGCAAGCTTGTATCTTCCCCATACTACCGCAGCTGATGCTCCCTTGAAAGCCCCACCTCCTGGCCAGAAGCCAAACAACATAAAACCAGTGCACTAAACAAAAATACAAGCAAGGACCCTCACAGAGTCCACTTCACTCCCCTGCTACCTCCACTGGAACAGGTGCTGGTATCCATGGATGAAAGACCTGAAGACAGATCACATTAAAGAATGCTTTGCAGAAACTCCCCAGTACCAGCCTGGATTCCAGGAGCTCCACTGGGTGGACAGACCCAGAAGAGCAAAAACAACCACTGCAGTTCAGCTCTCAGGAAGCCCTGTCCATAGGGGAAAGGGGAGAACACCACATTAATGGGGTACCCTGTGGGACAAAGAAAAAATCTGCAGCCCTTGAGTCCCAGATTTTCCCTCTGGCATAGTCTACTCAAATGAGAAGGTGTTGTGGAAAGTCAGGGACCCCGAACGGAGGGACTGGCTGAAACCATGGCAGAATGAAATGAATTGTGAAGATTTCATGGGCGTTTATCATTTCCCCAATCAATACTCTTATAATTTCCTATGCCTGTCTTTACTTTAATCTCTTAATCCCATCATCTTCATAAGCTGAGGATATATGTCACCTCAGGACCCTGTAATGATTGTGTTAACTGCAGAAATTGTTCATAAATCATGTGTGTTTGAACAATATGAAACTGGGCACCTTAAGAACAGGGTAACAGTGATTTTCAGGGAACAAGGGAGATAACCTTAAAGTCTGGCTGCCTGTGGGCCGGGCAGGACAGAGCCATATTTCTCTTATTTCCAAAAACGGGTTAGATAAATATGGCTGAATTCTTTCCCCAGTAAGGAATATTAATATTTAACAGCCCTGGGAAAAGAATGCATTCCCAGGGGGGCCTCTAAAATGGCCACCCTGGGACTGTCTGCCTTATGCAGATGTAGATAGGGATGAAACACACCCTAGTCTCCTGCAGCACCCCCAGGCTTGGTAGGATTAGGAAATTCCAGCCTGGCAAATTCTAGTCAGACCAGTTCTCTGCTCTTGAAACCTGTTAAGATGTTTATCATGACAATGCATGCACAGCTGGACCTGGAAGTCCATTAGTGATTCTAGTTTTGCCCTGATGTTGTGATCTCACCCTGACCTTCTGCCTTGCGATCTTTTGTTGCCCTTAAAGCATGTGATCTCTGTGACCCATACCCTATTCATACACTCCCTCCCCTTTGAAAATTGCTAACAAAACCTTGCTGGTTTTATGGCTCAGGGGACATCATGGAACCTGCCAACATGTGATGTCTCCCCTGGACACCCAGCTTTAAAATTTCTCTCTTTTGTACTCTTTCTCTTTATTTCTCAGACCGGCCGACACTTAGGGAAAATAGAAAAGGACCCAAGTTGAAATATCAGGGCTGAATTTGACAAATATGACAAAACAAGGTTCTTTAACACCCCCAAAAGATCATACCCACTCACCAGCAATGGATCCAAACCAAGAAAAATATCTATAAATTGCCAGAAAAATAATTCAGAAGGTTGATTATTAAGCTAATCAAGGAGGCAGAAGAGAAAAGTGAAGTCCAACTTAAGGAAATCAAAAGCACGATACATGATATGAAAAAAAAATCTTCAGCAAAACAGCATAAGTAAAAAACAATCAAAACTTCTGGAAATCAAGGCCACACATTGAGAAATGCAAAATGTACTGGAAAGTCTAAGCCATAGACTTGAACAAGCAGAAGAACTTCAGAACTCAAAGACAAGGCTTTTGATTAACCCGATCCATCAAAGACAAAGAAAAAAAAGTTTTAATGAACAAAGCCTCCAAGATGTTTGAGACTATGTTAAACATCCAAACCTAAGAATAATTTGGGTTCCTAAGGAAAAACAGACGTCTAAAAGTTTGGAAAATATATTTCAGGGAATAAATGAGGAAAACATCCCTGATCTTGCTAGAGATCTAGACATCCAAAAACATGAAACTCAAAGAACACTTGGGAAATTCATTGCAAAAAGATCATCACTTAGGCACATAGCTATCAGGTTACGTTTAGTGAAGACAAAGGAAAGAATCTTAAGTGCTGTAAGGCAAAAGTATCAGATAAGCTATAAAGGAAAACTTATCAGATTAACAGCAGATTTCTCAGCAGAAACCCTACAAGCTAGAAGGAATTGGGGGGGTTCCCAATTTTAGTCTCCTTAAACAAAACAATTATCAGCCATGAATTTTGTATCTGGTGAAACTAATCTTCATAAATAAAGGAAAGATACAGTATTTTCCAGATGAACAAATGCTGAGAGAATTCAGCACTACCAAGCCAGCACTACTAGAAGTGCTGAAAGGATCTCTAAATCTTGTAACAAATCCTTGAAATACACCAAAATAGAACCTCCTTAAAGCATAAATCTCACAGGACCTATATAACAATAACACAATGAAAAACACCCAAGATATTCAGGCAACAAATACCATAATGAAAAGAAAAGTACCTCACATCTGAATACTAAAGTTGAATGTAAATGGCCTAAATGCTCCACTTAAAAGATACAGAATGGAGAAGAATTTACCAATTAAGATTCTGCTGTCTGTAGGAGGCTCACCTAATACGTAAGAACTCATGTAAACTTAAGGTAAAAAGGTGTAAAAAGACATTCCATGCACATGGAGACCAAAAGTGAGCAGTAGTAGCTATTCTTATATCAGACAAAACAAACTTCAAAGCAGCAGCAGCTAAAAAAGACAAAAAGGGACATTATATAATGACAAAAGGACTAGCCCAACAGGAAAATACCAAAATCCTCAATACATATGCACCTAACACTGGAGGTCCCAAATTTATGATACAAGTACTACCAGACCTAAGAAATGAGATAGATGGCAACACAGTAATAGTGGGGGACTTTAATACTCCACTGACAGGACTAGACAGGTTGTCAAGACAGGAAGTCAACAAAGTAACAATGCACTTAAACGATCCCCTACAACAAATGTTTTTAACAGATATTTACAGGACATTCTACCCACTAACTGCAGAATAATTATTTTATTCATCAGCACATGGAATATTCTCCAAGACAGATACTATTATAGACCAGAAAACAAGTCTCAGTAAATTTTAAAAATCAAAATCATATCAAGTACTCTCTCAAACCACAGTGGAATAAAATTGGAAATCATCTCCAAAAGGAACCCTCAAAACTATGCAAATACATGGAAATTAAATAACCTGTTCCTGAATGATCATTGGGTCAGATCTTTGACCTGAGTGATAATAGCGACATAACCAATCGAAACCTCTGGGACACAGCAAAAGTGGTGCTAAGAGGAAACCTCATAGCATTAAATGTCTACATCAAAAAGCCTGAAAGAGCACAAATAGACAATCTAAGGTCACAACTGATGGAACTGGAAAAACAAGAACAATCAAAACTCAAATCCAGCAGAAGAAAAGAAATAAGGAAGAGCAGAGCAGAACTAAATGAAATTGAAACAAAACAATAATTAAATGAAACAAAGAGCTGGTTTCTTGAAAAGGTAAATAAAATCGATAGACCATTAGCAAGACAAACCAAGAAAAGAAGAGAGAAGGTCCAAATAAGCCCAATTAGAAACAAAACAGGAGATATTATAACTGATACCCCAGAAATAGAAAAGATTATTCAAGGCTAATATGAACACCTTTATGAGCATAAACTAGAAAGCCTAGAGGAGATGAATAAATTCCTGGAAATATACAACCGTCCTAGATTAAATCAGGAAGATATAAAAACTCTGAACAGACCGACAATGAACAGCAAGATTTAAATGGTAATACAAATATTGCCCATAATAAAAAGTCCAGGACCAGTTGGATTCACAGTTGAATTCTGCCAGGCATTCAAAGAAGAATAGAAGCCAATTCTATTGACACTATTCCACAGGATTGAGAAGGAGGAAATCGTCCTTAAATCATTCTATGAAGCTAGTATCACCCTAATACCAAAACCAGGGAAGGACATAACAAAAAAAGAAAACTACAGACCAATACCCTTGATGAACATAGATGCAAAAATTCTCAACAAAATACAAGCTAGCCAAATCCAACAGTATATTAAAAAGATAATCCTCCATGATCAAGTGGGTTTCATACCAGGGATGCAGGAATGGTTTAACATATGTAAGTCAATAAATGTGATATAGCACATAAACAGAATAAAAACAAAAATCACATGATCATCTCAGTGGATGCAGAAAAAGCATTTGACACAATACAGCATCCATTTATGATTAAAACCCTCATCCAAATCAACATAGAAGTGACACACCTTAAGGTAATAAAAACCATCTATGACAAACCCACAGCCAACATAATATTGAACTAGGAAATGTTGAAAACATTCCCCTTGAAAACTGGAATAAGACAAAAATGCCCACTTTCACCACTTCTATTCAGCATAGTACTGGAAGTCTTGACTGCAGCAATCAGACAAGAGAAATAAATCAAATGCATCTAAGTTGGTAAGGAGGAAGTCAGACTGTTGCTGTTTGCTATGAGATAGTCATATACCTAGAAAACCCTAAAGACTTATCCATAAAGCTCATAAACTGGTAAATGAATTGAGGAAAGTTTCAGGATACAAAATGGATGTACACAAATCAGTAGCTCTGCTATACACCAACAGCAACCAAGCTGAGAATCAAATCAAGAACTCAACTCCTTTTACAATAGCTGCAAAAATAAAACCAAACTTAGGAGTACACCTAACTAAGGAGGTGAAAGACCTCCACAAGGAAAACTATGAAACACTGCTGAAAGAAAGTATAGACAATGCAAACAAATGGAAACATATTCCATGCCCATGGCAAACAGAAACATAAATTGGGGAAATGACATTCTATTCAACAAATGGTGCTGGGATAATTAGCAAGCCACATGTAGAGAATAAAACTGGATCCTCATCTCTCATCTTATACAAAAATCAACCCAAGATGGATCAAGGACTTAAATCTAAGACCTGAAACAGCAAAGATCCTAGAAGATAACATTGGAAAAACCCTTCTAGACATTGGATTAGGCAAAGACTTCATGACCAAAAACCCAAAAGCAAATGCAATAAAAACAAAGATAAATAGATGGCACCTGATTGAACTAGAAAGCTTCTGCACAGCAAAACAAATAATCAGCAGAGTTAACAGACAACCCACAGAGTGGTAGAAAATCTTCAAAATGGATACATCTGACAAGGGACTAATATCCAGAATCTACAAAGAACTCAAATCAGCAAGAAAAAGCAAACAATCCCATCGAAATGTGGACTAAGGACATGAACAGACAATTCTCAAAAGAAGATATACAAATGGCCAACAAGCATATGGAAAAAATGCTTAACATCACTATGTATCAGGTAAATGCAAATCAAAACCACCTTACTCCTGCAAGAATGGCAATAATAAAAAAATTACAGATGTTGGCATGAATGTGGTGAAAAGAGAACATTTTTACTTTGTTGGTGGGAATGTAAACTAGTACAAGCACTATAGAAAACAGTGTGGTGATTCCTTAAAGAACTAAAAGGAATACCATTTGTTCCAGCCATTTCACTACCAGGTATCTGGGATGGTTTGGCTGTGTCTCCACCCAAATCTCATTTCGAATTGTAGTTCCCTTCATCCCAATGTGTCATGGGAGGGACCCGGGGAGGTAATTGAATCATGGGGATGCTTTTCTCATGCTATTCTCATGCTATTCTTGTGCAAGTAAGTTCTTATGAGATCTGATAATTTTATAAGAGGGTTTCCCCTTCGCTTGGCTCTCATTCTTCTCTCTCCTACTGCCATATGAAGAAGAACATGTTTGCTTCTTCATCTGCCATGATTATAAGTTTCCTGAGGCCTCCCCAGCCATGCAAAATTATGAGTCAATTAAATCTCTTTTCTTTATAAATTATTCAGTCTCAGGTATGTCTTTATTAGCATTGTGAGAACAGACTAATACAGTAAATTGTTACCACAGAAAGTGGGGCACTGCTGTAATGATATCTAAAAATATGACAAAGTTTGGATCTTTCTAGAGACTTGGAGGGCTCAGAGGACAGGAAGATGTAGGAAAATTTGAAACTTCCTATAGACTTGTTGAATGGCTTTGACCAAAATTCTGATAGTGATATGGACAATAAAGTCCAGGCTGAGGTGGTCTCAGATGGAGATGAGGAACTTCTTAGGAACTGGAGTAAAGGTCACTCTTGCTATGCAAAGAAACTGGTGGCATTTTGCCTCTGCCCTAGAGATCTGTGGAACTTTGAACTTGAGAAAGATGATTTAAGGTATCTTGTGGAAGAAATTTCTAAGTGGCAAAGCATTCAAGAGGAAACAGAGCATAAAAGTTTGTAAAATTTGCAACTTGAAGATGAGATAGTAAAGAAAAACCCATTTTTCTGGGAAGAAATTCAAGCTGGCTGCAGAAATTGGAGTAAGTGACAAGGAGCCTAATGTTAATCACAATGATAATAGGGAAAAATCTCCATGGCATGTCAGAAACCTTCATGGCAGCCCCTCCCATTACAGGCCCAGAGGCCTAGGAAGGAAAACTGGTTTCATGGTCCAGGCCCAGGGCTAACTGCTCTATGTAGCCTTGGGACATGGTGCCCTGCATCCCAGCTGCTTCAGCTCAAGCTGTGGCTAAAAAGGGCCAAGGTACAACTCAGGCCATTGTTTCAGAGGGTGCAAGCCCCAAGCCTTAGGAGGCTTACATGTGGTATTGGGCTACAGGTACACAGAAGTCAAGAACTGAGGTTTGGAAATCTCTGTCTATATTTCAGAGAATGTGTAAAAACTCCTGGATGTCCAGGCAAAAGTTTGCTGCAGGGGCAGAGCCCTCATGGAGAACCTCTGCTAGGGCAATGCAGAAGGGAAATGTGGGGGTCAGGGCCCCCATACAGAGTCCCCACTGGAGCACTGTCTAGTGGAGCTGTGAGAAGAGGGCCACTGTCCTCCAGACTCCAGAATTGTAGATCCACCAACAGCTTGCACCATGCACCTGGAAAAGCCACAGACACTTGATACCAGCCTGTGAAAGCAGCCAGGAGGGGGTCTGTACCCTGCAAAGCCACAGGGGCAGAGCTGCTCAAGACTATGGCCAAGAGCCCACCTTTTGCAGCAGTGTGCTCTGAATGTGAGACATGGAGTCAAGGGAGATCATTTTGGAACTTTGAGGTTTAATGACTGCCCTGTTGGATTTTGGACTTGCATGGGCCCTGTAGCACCTTTGTTTTGGCCAATTTATCCCATTTGGAATGGGTGTATTTAACCAATGCCTGTACACTTATTATATCTAGGAGGTAACTAACTTCCTTTCATTTTACAGGCTTACAGGCAGAAGGGACTTGCCTTGTCTCAGATGAGACTTTGTACTTGGACTTTTGAGTTAATGATAAAACGAGTTAAGACTTTGGGGAACTATTGGAATGGCATGATTGTGTTTTCAAATGTGAAGACATGAGATTTGGGAGGAGTCAGGGGCAGAATAATATGGTTTGGCTGTGTCCACATCCAAATCTTATCTTGAATTGTAGTTCCCATAATCCCCAAATGCCATAGGAAGGACCCAGTGGCAGGTAATTGAATCATGGAGGCAGTTTCCCCCAAGTTATTCTTATGATAGTAAGTTCTCAAGAGATCTGATGGTTTTACAAGGGGCTTCCCCCTTCACTTGGCTCTCATTCTTCTCTCTCCTGCTGCTATGTGAAGAAGTACATGTTTGCTACCCCTGCTGCCATGATTGTAAGTGTCCTGAGGCCTTCCCAGTCATGTGAAACTGTGAGTCAATTAAACCTCTTTTCTTTATAAATTACCCAGTCTCAGTTATGTCTTTATTAGCAGCATGAGAACAGACTAATATGGCATCTACCCAGAGGAAATAAATAATTATATGAAAAAGATACCTGCACACATGTGTTTATAGCAGCACAATTTGCAATTGCAAAAACATGGAACCAGCCCAAAGAACCATCAATCAATGAGTGGACAAAAAAAAACTGTGGTTGCTGGGCACAGTGGCTCATGCCTGTAATCCCAGAAATTTGGGAGGCCAAGGTGAGTGGATCGCCTGAGCTCAGGGGTTCAAAATCAGCCTAGGCAACATGGCAAAACCCTGTCACTACTAAAAATACAAAAAATTATCTGGGTGTGGTGGCAGGCATCTGTAATCCCAGCTACTTGGGAGGCTGAGGCAGGAGAATTGCTTGAACTTGGAAGGCAGAGGTTGCAGTGAGCTAAGATCATGCCACTGCACTCCAGCCTGGGTGACAGAGTGAGACTCTGTCTCAAAAAGAAAAAAAAATGATATATAAATATATATATATATATAAAGAGAGAGAGAGAGAGAGAGCATGGAATACTACTCAGCCACAAAAGGGAATGAAATAATGGCATTTGCAGCAACCTGGATGGAATCAGAGACCATTATTCTAAGTAAAGTAACTCAAGAACGGAAAACCAAACATCATATGTTCTCACTCATAAGTGGGAGCTAAGCTAAGAGGTAACAAACACATAAGAATGACACAATGGACTTTGAGGACTTGAGAGAAAGGGCAGGAGGGGAGTGAGTGATAAAATATATTGAGTATTGTGTACACTGCTCGGGTGCTGAGTGCACCAAAATCTCAGAAATCACCCCTAAAGAACTTATTCATGTAACCAAACACCACCTGCTCCCTAAAAACCTATTGAAATAAAAAATAAATTTTAAAAATAAATCAATGTATATACATTTGTGAAAAAAATAAAATTTATTTTTTCTGATGTAAGTACAGCTTCCCATGTTCTCTTTTGGCTTCTATTTGCATGGGATATCTTTTTCCAGTTTTTCCCTTGTAGCCTATGTTTATCCTTGAAGCTAAAGTGAGTCACTTGTAGGCAGAACACAGTTGGGTCTTGCTTTTTAAAATATATTCAGCCACTCTATGTTTTAATTGGAGAATTTAGTCCACTTACATTTAAAGTAATTATTTACAGGTAAGGAGTTACTATCGCTTTTCATTAATTTTTTTCTTGCTGTTTTGTAGTTTTTTTTCCCTTTCTTCCTCTTACTGCCTTTCCTTGTCATTTGATTATTTCTTTGGTGGTATGATTTGATTTATTTCACCTTCTGGTTTGTGTAGTATCTACAGCTTTTTGCATTGTGATTACCATGCTGATTACATAAAATATCATAGTTTTATTTTTTGCATTTAAAATAATATTTATTTAGCTCCTCCTAAGGCCACAGAGTCCCTTCTCTCTAGAAGCTTACATACTAGTGAGAAAGAAAGACAATAAACCAAATGAATAAGTATGAAATGAAACATTAGAGTGACATGAAAGGAAAGAATGATAGGGGATTGAGAGAGATTGGATGCAATTTTGGTTAAGTAGTCAGTGAAAGACTCTCTGAGGCATGGTAAAATCATACCTTGAACAGTCTATTTTAAGATGATAGCAACTTAACTTCAATCACATACAATATATCTACACTTTTACACCCCTCTCAGACATTCTGGATTTTTGAGGTCAAAATTTACTTGTTTTTATATTTTGTCTCCATTAGCAAATTATTATAGCTATAGCAATATTTAACATCTTTGTCTTTTAAATGTTATACTAGAATTAATGTATACACTATTACAGTACTAGAGTATTCTGCATATTACTGTAAGTTTTATGTTTTCATTGATGTTCATGTTACTAATTAGCATCTTTTAGTTTCATTCTGAAGAAATTCCTTTAGCATATCTTCTGATGGATATCAAGTGGTGATGAACTTTTTCAGTTTTCCTTTTTTTTTTCTTGGAAAATCTTTATCTCTTCTTCATTTCTGAAGCTTTACCAGGTAAAGTATTATTGGTTGGCAGGTGTTTCTTTTGGCACTCTGAATATATCATCTCAGTTTCTCCTGGTCTGTAAGGCTTCTGCTGAGAAATTGCTTGTAGTCTAATGGGGGAAAGACTTCTCTTATATTTGATGAGTCTCATTTATCTTTCTGCTTTCAAAATTCTGTGTCTTTGTTTTTGGCAATTTGATTATAATGTGTTTTGGTGAAGTGCTCATTAGACTGAACCTATCTGAGGACTTCTAAACATCATATACTTTCCAAGCCTCATATCCCTTCCAAGATTTGGGAATTGTTCAGCTATTCTTTTTTAAAAATGTGCTTTCTGCCCTTCTCATTCTCTTACTTTTCCTTCTCATGCTTTCATAATCCACATATTACTGTACTTGATGCTCTTTCATAAATCACATAAGCTTTTTTATATTCCTTCTCATTCTCTTTTCTTTCTTCTCCTCTAAATGTATAATTTCAAATGATTCATCTTTTAGTTCATAGATTCTTTTTTCTGCCTAACCAACTCTGATGTTCAAGTTCTGTTACATTTTTAATTTCACATTAATTTCACAATTGCATTTTTACCCCAGAATTTCTGATTTTTTTTAAAAAAAAATGATTTCTATGTTTCTGCTGAAGCTGTTGTTCCACTCATGCAGTGTTTTCCTGATTTCCTTGAGTTGCCTGTGTTTCACTGAAGTTCACCGAAATATTTTAAACAATTTTTTAAATTCTTTATTACAAAATTTGTAGATTAGATCTCCATTTCTTTGGGGTTAGTTGCTGGAAAATTACAGTGTTTCTTTTGTGATGTCATGTTTCTTTGGTTTTATCATTTTTTGAAGTTTTTCAATGCTGACTTTGTCTTTGAAGAAATAATCACCTCTTCCAGGCTTTTGAGTGGCTTTGAGAAAGAAACATTCTCACCAAAGAGTTTAGGTAGGTATTCTGCATCACTCTCAGATCTTTTCTATGGATGCACCCCCTCCAAACCTCTTGTTTCCTTTTGGGGTAAAATTTTTAAGATTGTATTACTTCTCTTGGTCTTACAAATCAGGACAAGGACCTAGAGCATCTTGTTTTTTTCTCTAGGGAGATACCTTGAAATGCTCAGATGTGTATGCCTTCTCAGTCCTGTGCAGTTAAGACAGCTATCTTCATTAGATGTTTGAAATTACTGTTTGTGGGCATGCACTTAGAGAATCTAACCTATGGTAGGGAAAATTGAGGTTCATGGAGTGCTTGAGATGCCAGATGGGAGGTGATCCACAGGATAGGTATCCTAATTAACTTGTGGGTGGGCTAGCTGATGGAGTTCAAGGAACAGTTAATAGGGTCTTTGGCCTTTTTTTCCTTCCCCCAGCCTCTCCCAACCACTCAGCCCTGCCAATCACCTTGATATTCTGGGTGGAGTGAAAAAGAATTAAGCTTGTTTGGCAACATCCTGTATGACTAGGGGATCTGGATGCTCACTCACCATGTTCTTGTTTTCCCTGTTAGGGAAGCTGTAGGCTGAGCAGGTCTCCATTGGTATTGAGCTAGGCTGTCTTGGAGGATGTGTTACATGGGTAATGTGAATTTGTTTTTCTTATCCTATTTGATGTGTCTACTGTTAGATTTTTTTTGCTCCAACACTGTTGGAACTTCTCTCTTGGGCTCCCAGACTTGCATAAAGATACTCTAATCAGATGGTAGTTGTCAAAATTAATGTTTCTGCAGGGAGATGATAGTAGATAACTCCTATTCTACACACTTGCTGATGCCACTCCTAGAATAGTTTTTACTCTTAACTAGTTTAGTCCTATTAGCAATAACAATTATTGGATTCCTACAATTCCGCAGTGATTCCTGGGTGTTTAGGACTTTTTACTATGCTTGGTAGGAATTTTAGTGTCATCAGGCCTATATGAACTGTTAGAACTGCTTAACTCATGGTTTCCTGGTCATTCATTGTCAGCCTCATAGTTTCACCTAATGCATGCAGTGCTTATTATATAGAACAACACACTCCATTAGACCTCTAGGCAGAGTGCTAGCAGTCTTTCCCTTTGTAGGTTCTTTTTCCCAATCTACCTAAGAAGCCTGAATATTTATATCTGTGTCCACAACTTGCTGAGACCACTACACTTTACTTGTATTTCCCTTTACTCCACCACGGTCTAGAAAGTGCCTCTAGGCACAAAGTCATGACTCACATCACTTGTTCCCCTTCTATTGAAAACCACAATACTGTACATCCTGTTGTTCAATGTTGAAAAACAAATGTTTCTTTCTCCTCCTCATTTCCACTGTTCAAGCCTTTGGAAAAAAAATCTCTTTAATAGTTTAATCACCTGATTGTCTTAGCAACAAGGTCAGATGGTCATGCTCATCAATTCCCAAACCTTTGCATCCAAAAAGTAATGTTGAGACAATAGTTCTGTGTACCTCAAAAAGTCATTTTTTCCCAAGTAAAACATTTTAAATGAAGGGGATCCATATGTTTCCTATTCTTGAACTATTGTCTTTTGCTATATGTTTGTAGCAGACTATGGTGAGTGTATTCATTTAGAAAAGCCAATGGAAAAGAGAGAGAGAGATACAGAGAGAGAGAGAGAGAACCACTATATGTTCCACTCATTTTAAATTAGAAAGTTTAACAGATAAGTAATTACAAGATTCAATTATATGGCTACTATAGCCCACACTGGAACTGTTTTCTGTGATTGGTAGAAAGTGAGGCAAAAGTAATGAATAGCTTCTGCTACGAAAGTCCCATGGCTGGGCTCATTTTGGTCCACTGTTCAAAAGCATTAAAAGATCCATGGATGGCACACATGCAGGTAAAAAGGATAGAGTACATGCACCATGATAGAGAATATCTGAACAGCCACAGCTCAGAGGAGCTTCAACAAAACTCAAAGAAAAGCTATGTGGCATGCACAAAGTGGCTAATAAATAGTCTAACTTGCCTTCTGCCAGACTGACATTGTGCTTTGGTTGATAATGAGACTTCCCAATGCCAAGGAGTTTTATAACAAGCTGTATTTGGTGGGTTGCCTTTGTACTAAATTATCTTATACCTATGGGATTTCAGAGAGTCCACAGATACACCAAGTCACTTCCTGCTAATATGACATAAATGAAAAGATACTAAAAATGGCATTAGATGCAGACTTACAATTGTTTTGAAAGAGAAGTTCACTGTTTACAATGCAGATGTAGTCTAGGAAAATTGGATGACAACTACCTACCCCATACATCCCTTCTTCTCATCCTTTTTTCCTTTTCTCTCCTTTTAATTCTTCTCTCTTAACTCTACCCCTAGCTCATGTAAAGGCAATCAGAAGAGAATTGTAAAATGTTTAGCTTTGGAATTACCGAACTTCCATCAAATTGATGGATGAGAGGCCCAGAAAACAGAATCATGGATGCTTTCTATTGGAAAGGTGAAGCCCATGCTCACCATCTACCTTAATTTGCCAGATAAAGTGAGGGCCAAAAACAATAGAAATATTACTATCTTTCAAATTCACTGCTACTGGCTTCTTGCTAAGTTGCACATTATGATGCTTCAAAAACTAACAAATAAACAAAACACAAAAACAGAAAGAACAAACACTTGAACGACAAAGTATACAGAAAGATAAAATAAACTAATCCAAATTTCAAGCAAATTAACCCCTTGAAAGAATGGAACTAGTAAAATGGTCAAAAAGTAACTTTAGCAGTGATATCAGCAAGTTGACCTACTAGAGGTGCCTAGTGCTCCTCACCCCCAACCCCCACAAAAAGGAAAATGAAACTAAATAAATTACTAAAACTGGACAATAATGTCTGAACAAGAGTACTGGCCTATGGAAAGGGACTGGTGAAATCCCTGTGGAGCATGAATACTCAGAATGACAGCATAGAGAGAGGAGTAAAGTACCTGCCTCTGCTCCCTTCTCATCCACCAGGATTAATTCAGAGCCAGGAAGAACTTTACTTGCAAAGAAAAGATAAGGAGGCCTCCAACAGTCCCCATCACAACTACAGACAACTGCAGTCCTTGCTACAGAGAATCACGCAGTCCTCACAGGCCCTGAGCCTTGTTTAGGGAGCTGCCTGTTACTCACACAGCTGCTTTACTGCAAAATAGGAGGTCACATTGTGCATCCCCCATTTCCCATGACCCAAGGTACTATAGGAAAGTGCCATCTTGAAACTGCAGCCACTGCTAGAGTGTGCTCTGCTCAGGGGATCAGTAGTCACTGCTTCTCTCCATAACTAAGCCACGGCCATAATTGGGATCAAATGGTGACTAAAGCACAAAGATCCTGGGTATTCAAAGTAAGGACCCAGCAGAATGACTATGACTCTGATGCCCAAGTTCATACAGTGCCCTGTTTTCCAAGAAACAGGTATTTCTTCACAGTGAGAAAGCCAAGCTTGTGTTGGTCCAGGCAAAATGTGTACATGCCACCAGCCTGAGAAACAACCTGATACCTGTATTAGTCTGTTCTCACGCTGACGTGAAGAAATACCATACACTGGGAAATTTATAAAGAAAAGAGATTTAATTGACTCAGTTCTGTGTGGCTGGGGAGGCCTCAGGAAACTTGCAATCATGGTGGAAGCCATCTCTTCACAGGGCAGCAGGAGAGAGACTGAATGCCAAGAAAAGGGGAAAGCCCCTTATAAAACCATCAAATCTCATGAGAACTTACTCACTGCAATGGCAACAGCATGGGGGAACTGCACCCATGATTCAATTATCTCCACCTGGTCCTGCCCTTGACATGTGGGAATTTTAACAATTCAAGGTGATATTTGGGTGAGGACACAGCCCAACCATATCAGTACCCTAATCTTGGCAAAGCTGTGTTGTCACTGCCACCAACTCCTTCAGCCTAGGCCACTGAAGCATTTGCAAATATTGCTGACCTATATTAGAGCTGAGGAAACTGCATGGGTACTACACTACTGCATCCTCTCAAAACCAAAGCCAATACACACTATAAAACCTACACCCTAGGATCTGTCTACAGGAAAAATTCTCCCAACTAAAGCTACTCTACAAAATTGAAAGAGGCAACTCTTCCACCAGATGTGCAAATATCAATGTAGAAACACAAGAAATATGAAAAAGCAGGGAAACATGACCCCCCCAAAGGAACACAATAATTCTCCAATTAATGTGACCCCAAAAAAGGAAATTTACAGGATGCCTGAAAAGAAATAGAAGATAATAATATTAAAGAAACTCAGCAAGATACAAGAGAATATAGATACGCAGCTGAGAAATCAGGAAAGCAATTCATGATCTGAAAGAGAAATTTAACAAAGAGATAAACCAAACATAATTCATGTAACTGAGGAATTCAATAAATAGAATACAAAATAAAACTAAGAGCTTCAAAACAGAGTAGATCAATCAGGATAAAGAATTTCTAAATTTGAAGACTGGTCTCTTTAAATAACCTATGCAGAGGGGAAAAAAAGTGTAATAATAGAAAAGAGTAAAGAAAGCCTACAGAACTTATGGAACTCCATTAAGTAAACAAATATTCACATTATGAAAATGTCAGAGGGAGAAGAAATTAAGAAAAAAAAACAGAAAATGTATCTAACAAAATAATAGGTAAGAAAATTCCCAAGTATTGGCAGAAATATAAACATCCAGATCTAGGAAGCTCAAAAGTCACCAAATAGATTCAACCTACAAAAGTCCTCTCTGAGGACATTATTATTAAACTGTAAAAACTGTAAAAAGTCAAAGACAAAGAAAATCCTAAAAACAGCAAGAAAAAAGCACAAAGTCAGATATAAGGAAAGACTCATTAGAATATCAGCATATTTCTCAGCAGAAACTTTGCAGGCCAGGAGAGAATGGGATGATATATCCAAAGCACTGAAGAATAAAACAAAAAACTACCAGTGAGAATACTATACCCAGCAAAGCTATCCTTCAGATGTGAAGGAGAAATAAAGTTCTCACAGAGAATCAAAATGGGCAATTCACCAACACTACAAAAAAATGCTTAAGGAAGTACTACAACTGGAAGCTAAAGGATAAGAATTAATATTGTGAAAACATGGGAAGATATAAAACTCACTAGCAGAAGTAATTTCATAATCAAACTCAAAATACTCCAGTACTGTGATGGTGCCATGTGAATATTCCAAACATGTAGTATGAAGGTTAAAAGCAAAAATGGTAAAAAACAACAACACTCACAATTAGTTGTTAAGGAACACACAACATATGAAGATGTGAATTAAGGCAACAAAAATATAAATTGTGTGTTACAATTAGTTGATAAGGAACACAAAATATATAAGAATGCAAATTAAGGAAACAAAAATATAAATTATGTGTTGTGGAGAAGGGTAAAATCTAGTGCATTTTTACGTGACCAAAGTTACATTGTTATCAGCTTAACATAGTCCATTATAACTATAGAATCTTTGTATTTTTCTCATGGTAACCACACACACACACACACACACACACACACATACACACAAACTTGTGGTGAATACATAAAAGATTAAGGGAAAGGAATGAAAGCATAACATCACAAAAAGTTATCAAATCACAGAGGAAGACTGCAGAGAGGAAGAAAGAAACAAAGGATTTACAAAACAACCAGAGAACAACAAACAAAATGGCAGGCCTAATTCCTTACCTATCAGTAATAATCCTGAATGTAAATGAATTAAATTCCCCAATTAAAAGATATAGAGGGATGGAATGGATGAAAAACAAGACCTAATTATATGCTGCCTACCAGATACTCACTTCACCTGTAAGAACAGACAGACTTAAAATAAAAGAATGGAAAAAGATATACCATGCAAACAAAAACTAAAAGGAAGCAGGAGTAGCTATACTTATATCAGATGAAATAGACTTTAAGTCAAAAACTTTCAGAAAAGACAAAGAAGGTAATTATATAATGATAAAGAGAAATATTCTTCAAAAGGATATAACAATGGTAAATGTATACACACCCAACACTGGAGCACCAAAATATATAAAGCAAATATTATTATATCCAAATGGAGAGATAGACTGCAATATAATAATTGTAGGAGACTTCAACTCCTGACTTGCAGCAATGATTACATCATCCAGACAGAAAATCAACCACAAAAAAATGGATTTACATTGCACTCTAGACCAAATAGACATAATAAACATTTACCAAATTGTCCATCTAACAGTTGAAGAATATACATTCTTCTTAACTGCACATGGAACATTCTCCAGGACAGACCATATGTTAGGTTCAAAACAAGTTTCAACAAGTTTAAGAAGATAGAGATCATGTTAAGTATTTTTTCTGACCATAGCAGTATAAAAATAGAAATTAATAAAAATAATTTCAAAAATTTTACAAATACATGGAAAGTAAACAACATGGTCCTGAATAACCAATGGTTAATGATGAAATTTTTAAAATGTTTGAGACAACAGAATATGAAAACACAGCATACCAAAGCCTATGAGATACAGCAAAAGCAGTCTACATATGAAGTTTATAGCAGTAAACACCTACATCAAAAACATAGAAAGATCTCAAGTAAACAATCTAACACTGCACTTCAAGGAACCACAAAAACAAGAAAAAATTACACACAAAATTAGTAGAATGAAAAATTTTAAAATGCAAAGCATAGAGACTACATAAACAATATAAAAGATCATGAAAAGGAAGACTGTTTTTTAAAAAAATTGGCAAATTTCTAGCTAGACAAAAAACAAAAGATAGATGACTCAAAATCAGAGATGAAAAGGGGACATTACAACTGAAACACAAAATAAAAATGGACCATGAGAGATTATTATCAACAATTATACACGAAAACATTGGATAACCTAAAAGAAACAAATAAATTCCTGGACTAGTACAACCTATCACAGTTGACTTATGAAGGAACAGAAAGTTGGAACAGACAAATAATAGGTGTAAACACGAGTAAGTGAGATAGTCTCCTATCAAATAAAATCCCAGGACCAGATGACTTCACTGCTAAATTCAACCAAACACATAAAGAAAATCTAACACCAACTCTTCTCAAACTATTCCAGAAAATTGTAAAACGGGACACTTTTAAACATTCTATGAAGCTAGCATTACCATGATACCAAAACCAGAAAAGGATACAACAAAAACAAAAACAAAAACTAAAGACCAATATTCCTGATTAATATAGATGCAAAAAAATCTCTACAAAATATTAACAGACAGAATTCAACAGCACAATAAAAATATTATTCACTATGATCAAGTGTGATTCATCTCAGGGATAAAAGGATGATTTAACATAAAAAATAAATAAATGTGATACATCACATTAAGAAAAATAAGGACAAAATCGGTATGATTATTTTCATTGATACAGAAAAAGCATTTGACAAAATTTCACACCCCTTCATGACATAAACAATCAAAAAAATAAATAGCAGGTACACACCCGAACACAATAAAGGCTATATCTGACAAACTGACAACTTAAAGGAAAAAGTGGAACATTTTTTTCTCTAACATCTGGAAGAATACAAAAATGCTTATTTTCACCCATTCTATTCAACATAGTAATATTGGAAGTCCTAGCTAAAGCAATTAGGCAAGAGAAAGAAATAAAAGGCATCCAAATGAAAAAGGAGGCACTCAAATTGTCCCTTTTTGGAGAAAACATGATCTTATATGTATAAAACCATAAAGACCACACTAAAAAACTGTCAGAACTAATAAATTTAGTAAAGTTGCAGGATATAAATTCAATATGCAAAATTCACTGGAGTTTATAAACACTACCAGTGAACAATCCAAAAGAAAAATTAAGAAAACTATCCAGGTCAGGTGTGTTGGCTCACACCTGTAATCCCACCACTTTGGGAGGCCAAGGCGGGTGGATTACCTGAGGTCAGGAGTTCAAGACCAGCCTGGCCAACATGGTGAAACTCTGTCTCCACTAAAAATACAAAAATGAGCCAGGCATGGTGGCGGGCACCTGTAGTCCCAGCTACTCAGGAGGCTGAGGCAGGATAATCGCTTGAACCTTGAAGGTGGAGGTTGCAGTGAGCCGGGATCGTGCCATCCAGCCTGGGCAATAGGGCGAGACTCCATCTCAAAAAATAATAATAATAATAAAAACTATCCCATTCACAATAGCAACAAATATAATAAAATGTTGAGGAATAAATTTAACCAAAGAGGTGACAGTCTTGTACTCTTAAAATATACACAATTTTTAATTGTCAAATACTCCTCAATATAAATAAAGATGTCAATTCTCCGCAAATTACAGTTAATATGACCCAAATTATAACCATAGCAGTGTTTTCTGTGGAAATTGACAAGCTGTTTCTAAAATTTGTGTGAGCTTAAAAACAACATAGAATAGTCAAAACAAGTGTAGAATAGAAGAACAAAATTGAAGGATTATGCTGATGATTTCAAAACTTATCATAAGCTATTATAACTATGAAAGTATGGTATTGCCATAAAGGTTGACAAATGGATCAATGGAATAGAATAGAAAGTACAGAAATAGGCCCTGATGTATGGTCAATTGATTATAGGTGACAAAGTAATTTTTAACATTACAACATTAATATTTTACATTTGCATGGGATACATGTAATATTTTGTTACATGCACAGAATGTATAATGATCGAGACAGGGTAGTTGGCATATCCATCACATTGAGAATTTACCAATTCTATGTTTTGGAAACATGTTAAGTCCTCTCTTACAACTACCATAAAATATATAATATATTGTTTCTAACTATAATAACCCTACTTGCTATTGAATATTAGAATTGATTTCTTCTATCTAACTGCATGTTTGTACCCATTAACCAACCGCTCTTCATTCCCCCTTCCCACCCTCACAGCTTTCCCATCTTCTGGTATCTATATTTCTACCCTCAATTTTCTTAGCTCTTACATATAAGTGACAATATGTGGTATTTTTCATTCTGCATCTGCCTCATTTCACTTAACATAATGACCTCTAATTCCATCTATGTTACTGCAAATGACAGGATTTCATTCTTTTTATGACCTATTAGTATTCTATTGTGTATATATACCACATATCTTGTACCCATTTGTCCACTGATGGACATTTAGGTTGATTCCACATCTTTGGTATTATGAATAGTGCTGTGATAAATATGTGAGTGCAGTTATACCCTTGATACACTGATTTCCTTTTCTTTGGATATGTGCCCCATAGTGGAATTACTAGATCATGCAGCAGTTAAATTTTTAGTTTATTGAAAATCTCTATACTATTTTCCATAGTGGTTGTATTATACTAATTTACATTCCCACCAACAGTGTATAAAAGTTCCCTTTTCTCCACATCCTCTCCAATGTCTTTTATTTTTGTCTTTTTAATAACAACCATTCTACTTGTGGTAAGATAACATCTCACTGTGGTTTTGATTTGCAGTTCCCTGATGATTTGTGATGTTGAGCATTGTTTTTCATATGCCTCTTAGCCATTTGTATGTCTTCTTTTGAAAACTTTATGTTTTTGATGCTTTTGTTGAAAATCAGTTGGATGTAAATACATGCATTTAATTCTGGATTCTGTTCCTTTGGTCTATGTGTCTATTTTTATATGAATACAATGATGTTTTGGTTATTATAGCCTTGTAATATATTTTGAAGGTAATAAGATGCCTCCAGCTTTTCTTTTCTTTTCTTTTTTCTCAGAATTGCGTTAGGTATTCTGGCTCTTTTTTTGGTTCCACACAAATATTAGGAATTTTTTTCCATTTCTATGAAAAAATGACATTGATATTTTGAAAGGGATTGCATTGAATCTGTAGATGGCTTTGAGTATTATGGTCATTTTAATGAAGTTAATTCTTCTGATCACATGAGCATGGGATATCTTTCTATTTGTGTCCTCTTCAATTTCCTTCCTCAGAGACTTGCAGTTTTCCTTGTAGTGGTCTTTCACCTCCATGGTTAAATTTATTCCTAGGTATTTTATTTTTCTGTAGCTATTGTAAGTAAGATTGCCTTCTTGATTTCTTTCTCAGCTAGTTTTTTATTGGTATATAGAAACATTACTGATTTTTGTATGCTGATTTTATATCTTGAACCTTACTAGATTTATTTATTAGATCTAAGAATATTTTGATGGAGTCTTTAGGTTTTCCTAGATATAACATTATATCTTCTGCAAAGAAAGAAGATTTGAATTATTCTTTTCTGTTGGGATGCCTTTTATTTCTTTCTCTTGCCAGAATACACTCGCTAGGACTTCCAGTACTCTATTGGATACAAGGGGTGAAAGTAGGGATGCTTGTCTTGTTCCATTTCTTAGAGAAAAGGCTTTTAGCATTTCTTCATTCAATATGATGTTAGCTGTGGGTTTTTCATGGCATTTGTTATGTTGAAAGATATTCCTTCTATGCTTAGTTTATTGAGCGTTTATATCATGAAGGAATGTTGAATTTTTTCAAATGCTTTTTCTGCATATTGTGAGATGATTATATGTCTTTTGTCCTTTTTTCCGTTGATATTTTGTTGAGAATTTTTGTGTCTGTGTATATCAGGGATATTGGCCTGTGGTTTTCTTTTCTGTTGTGTCCTTCTCTGGTTTTAGTATCAAGGTAATTCTAGCCACATAAAATGAGTCAGCAAAAATTCTTCCTCTTTAGTGTTTTGGAATAGTTTGAGAAGAATTGGTGTTAGTTCTTCTTTGAAAGATCTGTTCAGTTTGACAGTAAAGCCAACTGGTCCTGGACTTTTCTTTGTTGGGAGACATTTTATTACTGATTCAATCTCATTACTCATTATTGTTCTGCTCATGTTGTCTATTTCTTCCTGATTCAATCCTGGAAGATTGTATGTGTCCAGGAATGTATCCATTTTCCCTAGGCTTTTCAGGTTATTAGTATATAATTGTTCATAATAATCTCTGATGATCTTCTATATTTCTGTGGTCATAGTTACAATGTCTCCTTTTTCATTTCTGATTTTGTTTATCTGAGTCTTCTTTCTATTATTGATTAGTCTAGCAAGTGGCTTATCAATTTTATCTTTTCAAAAAGCCAACTTTTTGGTTTGTTCATTTTTAATGTTGTTTTTATAGTCTCTATTTCTACTCTGATCTTTATTATTATTACTTTTTATTAATTTGGGGTTTGCTTTGTTCTTGCTTTTCTAGTTCCTTGAGATCCTTTCTAGTTCCCTGAGTTTTAGATTGCTTATTTGAAATCTATTTTTTTGATTTAGGTATGTATTACTGTAAGCTTGCCTTTTAGCACCACTTTTGCTGTATCCCATAGGCTTGATATGTTGTGTTTTCATTTTCATTCATTTCAGGAAACTTTTTTAATTCTCTCTTTTATTTCTTCCTTGAAACTATGGTCATTCAGGAACATGTTTAACTTTCATGTATTTTACAGTTTCCAAAGTTCCTCTTATTAATGATTTCTAGTTTTATTCCATTTTGATCTCAGAAGATACTCGATATGATTTTGAGTTTTAAAAATTTGTTGAGACTTGTTTTGTGTCCTAAAATATGGTTTATACTGGAGATTGTTTTATGTGCTGAGGAGAAGAATGTGTATTCTGTAGATGTTGGTTACATGTTCTATAAATGTCTGTTAGGTTCATTTGGTCTAAGGTAGAGTTAAAATCCAATGTTTCTTTATTAATTTTCTGTTGATGATCTCTTTAATGCTGAGAGTGGGATGTTGACATCCCCAACTATTATTATGCAGAATTCCATCTCTCCTTTTACATATAATAATATTTGCTTTATATATGTGTGTTCTCCTGAGTTGGGTGAATGTATGTTTGGAATTTTTATTTCTCTTGTTGAATTGATCCCTTTATCATTATATAATGACTTTCTTTGTCTTTTTTTTTTTTACAGTGTTTGACTTAAAGTCTATTTCATCTGACATAAGTATAGCTACTCTTGCTTGTATTTGGTTTCTGTTTGCATGAAATAACTTTTTCCAACCCATTTTTAGTCTACATGTTTCTGTACAGGTGAGATGAGTTTCCTATAGGCAGCACATAATTGGGTAATTGTTTTTTTCCATTCAGACAGTCTATATCTTTTAAGTGGAAAGTTTAATCTGTTTACATTCAGCTATTGTTGCTGTGTGAGGATTTCTTCCTGTCATTTCATTAAATGATTTCTCATTATTTGTCTATTCATTTTTCTTTCTTTCTCTCTTATTGTTTATTATTGTGGTTTGGTGGTTGTTTTTAGTGGTAACATTTGAATCTTTTCCTTGTTTGTGTGTTTGCTCTACCAGTGGTTTGCATATTTTTGTTTTCATGATTGCAGATAACCTTTTGTACTCAGGTATATAACTTCCTTAAGAATTTCTTGTAGGACCAATCTAGTGGTGATAAATTCCCTCAGCTTTAGCTTCTCTGTGAAAGACTTTATTTCTTCTTGATTTATAACAACAATTTTTCTCGCTATAGTATCCCTGGCTAGCAGGGTTTTTTTTCTTTCAGCACTTTAAATGTATCATTCAATTATGTCCTGGCCTAAAAGGTTTCTGCTGAGAAGTCTGCTGTTAGTCTGATGGGTGTTCCTTTATGGGTGACTAGATTAGTCACACTTGCTGTTTTAAGAATTATCTCTTCATCTTTTACTTTAGACAGTTTGACTATAATATGCCATGGAGACCTTTTTGCATTTTATCTGTTTGGGAATCTCAGCACCTTTTGTATCTGGATGACTAAATTTCCTGGTATATCTGGGAAGTTTTCATCTATTATTTTGTCAAATTGATTTTCCAAACTGTTTGTTTTCTCTTTGCCTTCTGGGACTCTGAAAACTTGAATGTTTTTTCATTTTATAATGTTCCACATGTCACATAGGCTTTGCTTGTAGTTATTTATTTATTTATTTATTCTTTACTTTTGTCTGATGGGTTATTTAAAAAGGCCTGTCCTCAAGTTCTGAGACTTTTTCTTCTGCTGCTCAATCCAGTCTATTGACAAAGCTTTCAAATGCATTTTGTATTTCAGTTAACTAATTCTTCAGTTCCAGAATTTGGTTCTGTTTAATGGTACTTATTCTTTGGTCAAATTCTCATTCATATTCTGAATTTTTTTCTTATTTATTTGCATTGTTTCTCAATATTCTCTTACAACTCACTGAATTTCTTTAAAATCAATATTGTGAATTATTTCTCCAGGATTTCATAAATTTGTTCTTGATTGGGATCTGTTGCTGGAAATGTATTGTGTTTCTTTGGAGGTGTCAAATTTCCTTTTTTTCTTCCTGTGTCCTTATATTGATATATGTACATCTGTTGTAACAGTCACTTATTTCGAGTTTTTCTATTTACTTTTGTAGAAGAGGACTTTTTCTGAAGATGTATCTACGATGTTGGTTGGGTACAGCACTTTGGCATTGATTCAAGATGTGTGCAATAGTGTTGTCTCTGTATGATTTCTTCAGCTGTAAACAGTATCAGTGGTATCTGTAATTTCTTTGGTGGCTTAGAGTGTGGTTATTAGTGGAGGCTGTAGTGAAATTTTGCTCTGGACTGCCATGCCAGGTGGGACAGTCTTTGGGCCCTAGTCATGGCACGTGTGAATGCAGCATGTTTGTCCTTGAGCTCCAGGGTAAGGTACACTGGCATCAGTGTCAGGGGGTCTACATAAGCCTATTCTTGGGATTCCAGGTGGCTTGCTAAATGCCAGTATTGGTTGCAGAGGACCAGACAAGTGGGAATCCTTAGGCATCTGGCCAGCTAGTCTGGTGTAAACAATGGCAGTAGCCATGGCAGAGATGACCCTCTGGTTCCTAAGCAGTGCATGCTGGTGCTAGCAGTGGCTATAGTGGCTGTAATGAGCTGGTCAGGCCTATCTGCAGGCCTGCAAGTTACATGTTTAGTTAGGTGCCAGTTGTGGTAGTAGTGGCAGGGTGAGTAGGCCCAACCTCAGGCTACCAGGAGGAGTGCTCAGGTGCCAATGGTTGTGCACTGAACTGAGCAATCACCAAGCATCCAGACTGTGTGCTCTGTCATGGCAATGGGTCTGAAGCTGGGCCATGCAGGCTTGTCCTCAGGGTCCCCAATGGTGTGTGCAGGTGACTTCTGTGGTAGACAAGGGCAGGGCGATCCCCAGGCCACCAGAGTAATGCTCAGGTTGGGGGCAGCAATGGTCATGTTGTGTCCCTGTCACTGTGGAGGGTGCATCCACCTTCACTGGTGGCAGCCTAGGCTGATAGATGGGGAATATGTGCCTTACTCTCACCTCAGTCACGGCAGTGGCATCCAACATCCTGCTCACACCTTAGACTCAGTTGTAGCAGGCTGTACCCTGCTCACACTTCAGTTGTGGTGGCACTGTTCTATGCCTCACTTGTGCCTCAGCCTCAGTGGTAGCAGCCCATGCCCTGATTGCACCTCAGCCATGAGGGTTGCAGTCTATGCCTAATTCACACCTCTCCTCCAGCAGTGGCAGCTCATGCTTCACCCTCTTTCTCTGCATTGGCACTGCTAGGTCCCAGAACAGTGTGCAGTCTGTTGTGGAGTGAGCTCTTAAAATGCAAAAATGACAAACTAAATAAATTGGAAAAATCTTTTAAACGAATTGTGCTGGAGAAAATGGGTATTCATCAAAATATAAAAGTGAAAACTATACAGTTTCTAGAAGAACATATGGGAGAACAAATATATTCACTACTTGGGCAGAGGCAAAGTTTTTTCAGACATAGAGAACCAATAACCATAAACAAAAGTATCTATGAATTAGGCTTCATTGAATTTTAAAACTGCTGCTCATGAAAACAAAAAGAATTAAAAAATTGATGACTCCACAAGCCATAGTATTCACAATACATATGTCTGACAAAAATATTTGCAATACATATATCTGACCAAAAAAACCTCTATCAAGAGAATATTAAGAAACTTTATGAATTAATAGATAAGCAGCCCATTTAAAAAGGGAAAATATTTGAACAGATATTTTGTAAGGAATATATTCAAATGGCCCATGTATACATGATCAAAAAGAACATAAGAATATGTTTAGCATCATTAGTTATTAGGGAAATGCAAATTAAAACCACAATGAAATGCTACTACACCACCATTAAAGTGCCTAAAATTATAAAGCTTGACAGATCTAAATGTTAGTGAGGATTTAGAGCCACCTACAATCTCCTACATTGCTAGTAGAAATGTAAAATGGTGTAAACACTTTAGGAAACATTGTTTAACGTTTAGATTAAACATATATCAACCATATAACCTAACGAGACCACTTCTAGGTAATTACTCAAGAAAAAGAAAACTTGTTCAACTCAAACTATTGTATATGAATGTTAAAGTGACTTTATTCACAATCACAAAAACTGGAAACTAAATTTTCCATCATTGGATGTGTAGGTACAATGGAACACTACTCAGTAATTAAAAAAGAATAAATTACTAATACATAAAATGACATGGATAAATCTCAAAAATGTTATGCTGAGTTAATGAAGCCAGGAATATGTTATTCTATAAATGTAAAGTAATAGAAAATACAAAGAAATCTATAATGATAGAAAGTACACCAATTATTGCCTGGGAATGGAGGTGAGGGGCATTGACTACATGGGAACACAAAAGCACTTTTTCTGATGATGAAAATTATCCATATCTTCATTATGGTAAAAATTACATGGGCGAATACATTTTTCAAGACTCATGGCCATGTACATTTTGCATGGGTGAATTTTATTGTTTATAAATTATGTCATTAAAATGGATTTTTTGAAAGTTCACCAGGTCGTTGTAATCTGCAATCAGATTTGATAAACATTGCTCCATAGCCTTGCTTCTCAAGTGCATTTCTGAGACTAGCAGTATTTGATCCCCTGGGGAACTCATTAGGAATATAGAATTTCAGCCCCCACCCACAGCTATTGAATCACACTTGCATTTTAACAAGATCGACAGGAAATTTAAATGCTCACTAACATTTGAGAAACACTGCCATAATGGAATCGTGAGCTGGAGGCAACCTGGATACCTTAATCACCACATGGAGAAAAGCCACCAACTGACCAAAAACATCCACTTTACTCTCTGATGTGAACAAAAAGTAAACTTTTATTGTAGTTGAGGTATTTTGATTTGGGGTCTATTAGTTATGACAGATTAGACTATCTGACTATAACAAGATTGATCTTGTATTCCTCAGGGGGCTGAGTACCCAGACCAAATTGGTCTCAATGGAAAATAACCTTGAAGGCTCATGTTCATGCTTCATCTTTAAAATTCATTCAAATTACTTTCTTTTTGGTGCTGTATTTTTATTTTTTGGAAACAATAATAATGTTTTAAACTACATATTAGTTAAATTACTTCATTGCTTTCTCCTAAATCTAGAAGCAAAACTAAAGATCCAAAAAGACCATTTTGTTGCTTTCCCTTCCTCCAAAGGTTATGTGTTCACTGTTTAAGAAGTATAGAGTAAAATATACAGTGTATGAAACAGAACAGAAACTAAATAAATGTTTTCTTGTTGCCCAAGGAAAGATGGTCGGATTTGAAAGAGAACTGTCTGCAAATAGTACTTTAAATCATAAGAATGACTTCCTAAGTGTGTAATTTTGGGGACTTTGATGGGTTTGGCAAGAAGAAACCTTGCAAAGGCAAACCTTCCCTGGGTCTCTCAAATCATACCATGAAGTGGTTTGCCTATTCTGTACTGTCAAAAGACAAAACTACAACAAATTTAGTTTAATGATTGCAGTTGGCTTTATTTGTGATTCTAGAATCAGGCAACACTTTATTCCATAAAATAGAAAAAGTGTTCCAATGAACTGAACAGAAGACATTGGCTTTATGGACAGAGAAGGGCTGAAGAAAGCAAAATCAAAGAACAAAGAGTATTAATTGTTCCAAAGATACTTTCTTTTGTAAGACAAGGACAGGAAGAAAGAATAGTAGAAAAATAACTGATTAGTTAACATCAGATTACTTTAATCTACTTTCTTGTGTAGGGATCAAGGCAGAGGAGCTTCATCATGATGCTGATTTGGGATTTAAACTGACCTGTTTGGGAAAATGGCTATTATCCCTTTTTCTTGATTTCTCAGAAGGTCAGATAACAACTTAGTTTAGGTTTGGTGACATGGAAGTTTAGCACGGGTGACATCATTTTGATTTTAGTCTGGTCTGCTGGGGCCTAGTGCAGGAGCTTAGTCCATAACAATGACCTCTTATAATGTTATTTGAAAATGTCCCCTTTTTGGTCATGCTTTCACCTAGGTGAGAAATTATAAGAGGCCACCTAGGTGATGTTAACTAATCATCTATGTGAGAACATAACCAAAACTTAGAGCATCAGCACTACTCTCAGTTACCATAATTTGGGGTTTAGTCTCAGCATACCATTTAAGTGTTTTTGTGTCCTCCTCATTCTAATGTGTTTCGTTGAGTTTTTGTTCCAGCCAAAGATATCATTTGACTTTTGACAGATGGCTGTATGGAAACATTAAAAACTTTTTGAGCAGATACAGTGCACCAGGGAGACTACCATTATGACTATCAGGAAGATAATACCAAGAGTTTGTAGTATATTCATTAGTCAGGGTACCTATAAACTGAAACAACTAAAGTAGAATGGACAGACAAGGCATCTACCCATTTTAACCAAGAGGTCTGCTCTACAACACCCAATATATTTATCTATGTGCAACAAGAAATGTCATCAAGTGCACGGATTCTTCTCTGTTTAATTAGTAGGTAATCTAGCAGGCAATGACTGGGTTAAATTAAAGCAGGTACTACAAGTTACCTGCAGAAGCTACTGATAGTGAAATTTTAACTACAGCATTGTTACAGGATCTTTGGGGTGTCACTTTTCTGACAGGAAACCTGTGGATGGTGGCACCTTTACTTGAGTTTTGCTTGGGCCCACTGGGCCTATTCTGCCCACTCAGTCTGGCAGGCTTTGCTCAGCTCATGCTACCGGCCTGGATCCTATGCCTCCAAGGGATACTGACCCTCAGAGGGGTGGGTGCAGTGGTTGTGCCATTGGCTGGGTCCTGGAAGTGGGCAGTGCTCCCACTTCCAGCCCTGGGCCTCCAAAGTGCAGCCCCACCTCTGCCTCCCAGCCCTGCACTCCATGTGCAAGCCAGCACCACCCTGGGACCCCTCTCTGCCCAGTCGCGCTGCTCCCCCTTTGTGCTGCTTCCCCACTGGTGGGCAACCCAGCCTGGACCCTTCATGGTGGCCTCCAGGGTGGTGGGCTGTGTGGGGGCTGTCCACATTCTCCCCATGCCCTCCCTGCAGCAGCTGGTGTGGCAACCTGTGGCCGCTCCAGATGGCCCAGTGCTGCCAACAGCATTATCTTGCCAATTGAAAGAGGTGGGCATAAGGAAAAATTAAGAGAGGTAAGGTTCTTATTATGATAGAGAGTCTTGACCTGACAATCTTTGGAAAAGCTGTCTACAGCATGAAATCAACAGTATAACAATGCGTAGTCCTGGTTTGCAATCTGAATGCTTCTAGTTGTGGCATTGTGTATTCTGGTGAACTCTCTATGTAGCCCATGCAGCAGGCATGAGACTTATCCTTTGAAATTTACTTCAAGTTATCCAACTTCAGCTGATAGAGCCTTCAGAAACTTGGAGTTTTTATTTTAGTTTGGAGAGTTGTGGCCAGATATTAGAGAAAACTGGAATTCAAAATCCAGTCTAGTCTATAGGTAGATAATAAAAACTCAAAACCAATGAACAGTGCAATATTCTAATAACAGGACTACCACAGTTTTCTTTGGAAACAATTTTTCTCTCTACAGTCACCCCAATTTCTATTGAAGATAATCATGGTAAGACCAATTTGCCTGATAATTTACATAAGTACAGCAAGAATAATCACATGGGCTCCATTTAAATTTCTTTGCTGGAAATTTTGACAAGGAACCTCAGATTAGTCTTTTAAAAACCTCTTGAAGATTTGAAGCCAAACCAAGGCAGACACTAGACTTTGCCTGATGTATCTAATATCTTGAGGTTCCGGGGCCTGTCAGGAAGTGACAACGTTTTGCTCATTCACTGTAAGACTGGGAACCCTTAAAGCCAAGCTTTCTGTGCAGGCTTTCAAATATGACATTTTACTCAATGCCTTAGTAAAATAATGAATGTTTCCAATTGTATCCTGTTAAAAGAGAGCAGATTCTTATTGAACTTATTATGCAAATAACTATTTGCCATAAAAATGAGAATACTCACAGTTTCTTAAGAAAAACAAGTGTTTCAATTTTTGTTTACAAAAGTATGCTCTACCAAATTGTTGTAAGCTATAGATAACATGAAAAGAAAAAGTTTTCTTAAATCTAAAATACAAAACTTTAAAAGAACCTGCAAAATGGGGTATAGAGAGAGATGTGTTAAAAGATACAAAATTACAACTAGATAGCAGGAATAACTTCTAGTGTTCTGTAGCACTGTAGTACGACTATTATATAGTTTCAGATAACAAGAAGGAGGATATTGAATGCTCCCAATACAGAACATGCATAAAGAAATGATAAATGTTTGAGATGATGGATATCTAATTACCCTGATCTGATTACTACACATTATATGTATCACATCATTATGTACCCCATCAATATGTAAAATTATAATGTGTCAATTTAAAAATGCTTTTTAAAACAACAAGCAGTTTCAAATAAAGAAGACTTAAAAACCTATAATTCTTTTTAATCAATTCATTCAGTCTCATGTAATTAATTCTTGCTCTGATCTTGGTTAGCAGTTTCGCAAACTTATCAGTTTCTTCATTAGAGTTTTCAAAATTCAGTCCAATAATATGAACTCAGAGTTATTAGAAACGTGTACATTTCAGAGTTCTTTTCATTCTTTCCATGAACCTCTTTGAAGACATAATGCTTTAGGATTAAAATTGCTTGCAAGAAGCTTTCAGAAAGGCATCAGAATAAAGCAATTAACTGTGGACATCAAGACATAAGATAGCCATGGTTAAAAACCTGATGAAAGTTAGCCAATTGACAAGGATATTTTGCTATTTCTGTGACATACAACAATTTAAAATAACCAAACTTATTACTCACAGCATTTATACAAAGACACATAAGATTTCTATGAACTGTGTACAATTTTAGAATGCATTAATAACATATCCATAGAAATATAACTCAATGAAGGTTAGCAATCATTCTTTATGTTGGCAATGTTTCTCATACAATTTAACACATCAGATAAGACCATTTGGTTTCATATCTCTTTTACACATCCTCTGAGAAGTTCCAGGGCCCTCAGGAATGTCTCAAAGTTAATTCTAACTCAAAAATACTGAATTTTGAATTTTGAGAAATTTGTCAAACATTAAATGTGTAAAACAGTTGATCAGAATAAAAATCACAGGACACTACGAAATAAAACCAGAGTGGCAAAAGATTTCAAAGGCACAAAGCAAAAGAAATTATTGTGATAAATATGGAATTTCTGTTCCCTAGGCTAGTTACCTAAAAGGTAAAGTAAAACCTCTCATAATTTTCTGTTAAGAGCAGATGAATGTTCTGAGAAAACCCTATTGTTCCAACACAGGGGTGCGAACTCTGGTGTTGAATCTGTGTACTTTTGATACTACTGCTCAGCTTTTAGTAAAATTTATTTATTTATTTTTTTATTATACTTTAAGTTTTAGGGTACATGTGCACATTGTGCAGGTTAGTTACATATGTATACATGTGCCATGCTGGTGCACTGCACCCACTAACTCGTCATCTAGCATTAGGTATATCTTCCAATACTATCCCTCACCTCTCCCCCAACCCCACCACAGTCCCCAGAGTGTGATATTCCCCTTCCTGTGTCCATGTGATCTCATTGTTCAATTTCCACCTATCAGTGAGAATATGCAGTGTTTGGTTTTTTGTTCTTGCGATAGTTTACTGAGAATGATGCTTTCCAATTTCATCCATGTCCCTACAAAGGACATGAACTCATCCTTTTTTATGGCTGCATAGTATTCCATGGTGTATATGTGCCACATTTTCTTAATCCAGTCTATCATTGTTGGGCATTTGGGTTGGTTCCAAGTCTTTGCTATTGTGAATAATGCCGCAATAAACATACGTGTGCATGTGTCTTTATAGCAGCATGATTTAGAGTTCTTTGGGTATATACCCAGTATTGGGATGGCTGGGTCAAATGGTATTTCTTGTTCTAGATCCCTGAGGAATTGCCACACTGACTTCCACAATGGTTGAACTAGTTTACAGTCCCACCAACAGTGTAAAAGTGCTCCTATTTCTCCACATCCTCTCCAGCACCTGTTGTTTCCTGACTTTTTAATGATCACCATTCTAACTGGTGTGAGATGGTATCTCACTGTGGTTTTGATTTGCATTTCTCTGATGGTCAGTGATGGTGAGCATTTTTTCATGTGTTTTTTGGCTGCATAAATGTCTTCTTTTGAGAAGTGTCTGTTCATGTCCTTCACCCACTTTTTGATGGGGTTGTTTGTTTTTTTCTTGTAAATCTGTTTGAGTTCATTGTAGATTCTGGATATTAGCCCTTTGTCAGATGAGTAGGTTGTGAAAATTTTCTCCCATTTTGTAGGTTGCCTGTTCACTCTGATGGTAGTTTCTTTTGCTGTGCAGAAGCTCTTTAGTTTAATTAGATCCCATTTGTCAATTTTGGCTTTTGTTGCCATTGCTTTTGGTGTTTTAGACATGAAGTCCTTGCCCATGCCTATGTCCTGAATGGTAATGCCTAGGTTTTCTTCTAGGGTTTTTATGGTTTTAGGTCTAACGTTTAAGTCTTTAATCCATCTTGAGTTGATTTTTGTATAAGGTGTAAGGAAGGGATCCAGTTTCAGCTTTCTACATATGGCTAGCCAGTTTTCCCAGCACCATTTATTAAATAGGAAATCCTTTCCCCATTGCTTGTTTTTCCCAGGTTTGTCAAAGATCAGATAGTTGTAGATATGTGGCGTTATTTCTGAGGGCTCTCTTCTGTTCCATTGATCTATATCTCTGTTTTGGTACCAGTACCATGCTGTTTACTAGAAAATCTAGCAGAAATGGATAAATTCCTTGACACATCCACTCTCCCAAGACTAAACCAGGAAGAAGTTGAATCTCTGAATAGATTAATAACAGGATCTGAAATTATGGCAATAATCAATATTTTACCAACCAAAAGAGTCCAGGACCAGATGGATTCACAGCCGAATTCTACCAGAGGTACAAGGAGGAACTGGTACCATTCCTTCTGAAACTATTCCAATCAATAGAAAAAGAGGGAATCCTCCCTAACTCATTTTATGAAGCCAGCATCATTCTGATACCAAACCCAGACAGAGACACAACCAAAAAAGAGAATTTTAGACCAATATCCTTGATGAACATTGATGCAAAAATCCTCAATAAAATACTGGCAAAACGAATCCAGCAGCACATCAAAAAGCTTATCCACCATGATCAAGTGGGCTTCATCCCTGGGATGCAAGGCTGGTTCAACATACGCAAATCAATAAATGTAATCCAGCATATAAACAGAGCCAAAGACAAAAACCACATGATTATCTCAATAGATGCAGAAAAAGCCTTTGACAAAATTCAACAACACTTCATGCTAAAAACTCTCAATAAATTAGGTATTGATGGGACGTATTTCAAAGTAAGAAGAGCTATCTATGACAAACCCACAACCAATATCACACTGAATGGGCAAAAACTGGAAGCATTCCCTTTGAAAACTAGCACAAGACAGGGATGCCCTCTCTCACCACTCCTATTCAACATAGTGTTGGAAGTTCTGGCCAGGGCAATGAGGCAGGAGAAGGAAATAAAGGGTATTCAATTAGGAAAAAAGGAAGTCAAATTGTCCCTGTTTGCAGACGACATGATTGTATATCTAGAAAATCCCATTGTCTCAGCCCAAAATCTCCTTAAGCTGATAAGCAACTTCAGCAAAGTCTCAGGATACAAAATCAATGTACCAAAATCACAAGCATTCTTATACACCATTAACAGACAAACAGAGAGCCAAATCATGAGTGAACTCCCATTCACAATTGCTTCAAAGAGAATAAAATACCTAGGAATCCAACTTACAAGGGATGTGAAGGACCTCTTCAAGGAGAACTACAAACCACTGCTCAAGGAAATAAAAGAGGATACAAACAAATGGAAGAACATTCCATGCTCATGGGTAGGAAGAATGAATATCGTGAAAATGGCCATACTGCCCAAGGTAATTTACAGATTCAATGCCATCCCCATCAAGCTACCAATGCCTTTCTTCACAGAATTGGAAAAAACTACTTTAAAATTCATATGGAACCAAAAAAGAGCCCGCATCACCAAGTCAATCCTAAGCCAAAAGAACAAAGCTGGAGGCATCACGCTACCTGACTTCAAACTATACTGCAAGGCTACAGTAAAATTTATTAATAATTCCCTTCTAAGTTTAGCCAAGTTGATCATACATAAAATTTCTTTCATAAGATTAATCTTCCATAAGTCTTCTACAACTTGCTTGAAACTTTATTTTTGTCCTATACTTTCTTTTGTTATTTTGGCCTTCTACCTTAGGACAAAATTTACTTTCTCTTTCCCCTTATCATTTTTACCACACAAAGTTATCTCACATGCAAAAGAGAAAATTATTCTTTTCAACTTTCTTTCCCAAATACATATCCTCATAGTTATAATTTTTTTCTACATCTCTCCTACTTACTTTTTCCCTTATAATTCTATTTCTATTATTTCTATTTCTTTTGTAAATCCATATTTTGAAGCAACCTTTAAATAACCTCTGAAAATTGCTGTTTTTTAAAAATATGTGTCCTCATGTCTTTTTACAAATTTTCTCACCAAAAACACATCTTACTTTCCCTGGACACTTTGCATACAGAATTATTTTCCTTATTTCTAAGTATTTAAAATATGTATTAATTAGAATTTTAAACTCTCAGTAACCATAATTTCTTGTAAAATCTAGAAAGTAAACAATGTACACTGCTTTTCACATAGCAACATTTTATGAATATATATCTTATAATTTCTAGAACTATGTACTTATTCATAGAAAAAATTAATGTTTACTAAGAAACTCAAATATATTTTGCTTCTCTATATCATATAAAAAAGGTACTAAAGTATTTACATTTAAATTTATGCTTAATAATTAATGTTTGCTAGTTTAACTTATTTCGAAATGATTCAGACATGTAATGAGTGTCAGGTCTCTGAGCCCAAGCTAAGCCATCACATCCCCTGTGACTAGCACATATACGCTCAGATGGCCTGAAGTAACTGAAGAATCACAAAGAAGTGAAAATGCCCTGCCCCACCTTAACTGATGACATTCCACCACAAAAGAAGTGAAAATGGCCGGTCCTTGCCTTAAGTGATGACATTACCTTGTAAGAGTCCTTTTCCTGGCTCATCCTAGCTCAAAAATCTCCCCTACTGAGCACCCTGCGACCCCCACTCCTACCCGCCAAAGAACAACCCCCCTTTGACTGTAATTGTCCTTTACCTACCCAAATCCTATAAAACAGCCCCACCCCTATCTCCCTTTGCTGACTCTCTTTTCGGACTCAGCCCGCCTGCACCCAGGTGATTAAAAGCTTTATTGCTCACACAAAGCCTGTTTGGTGGTCTCTTCACACGGACGCGCATGAAATTTGGTGCTGTGACTCAGATCGGGGGACCTCCCTTGGGAGATCAATCCCCTGTCCTGTTCTTTGCTCCGTGAAAAAGATCCATCTATGACCTTAGGTCTTCAGACCCACCAGCCCAAGGAACATCTCACCAATTTTAAATCGGGTAAGCGGCCTCTTCTTACTCTCTTCTCCAACCTCTCTCACTATCCCTCAACCACTTTCTCCTTTCCACTCTTCAACCTCTCCCTTCTCTTAATTTCAATTCCTTTCATTTTCTGGTAGAGACAAAGGAGACACATTTTATCCATGGACCCAAAACTCCGGCGCCGGTCACGGACTGGGAAGGCAGCCTTCCCTTGGTGTTTAATCATTGCAGGGACACCTCTCTGATTACTCACCCACGTTTCAGAGGTGTCAGACCACACAGGGACGTCTGCCTTGGTCCTTCACCCTTAGCGGCAAGTCCTGCTTTTCTGGGAGAGGGGCAAGTACCTCAACCCCTTCTCTCCATGTCTCTACCCCTTCTCCACCTTTCTGGGGGGCAAGAAACCCCCAGCCCCTTCTCCTTCACCCTTAGGGGCAAGTCCCACTTTTCTGGTGGAGGGGCAAGTACCCCAACCTTGTATCTCTGCACCCCAACCTCTTATATCTCTGTGCCCCGATCCCTTATTTCCATACCCCAACCTCTTATATCTCTGCACCCCGATCCCTTATTTCCATGCCCCAACCTCTTATATCTCTGCACCCTGATCCCTTATTTCCATGCCCTGACCTTGTATCTCTGTGCCCCAACCCCTTTCCTGCTTTTCTGGAGGGTAAGAACCCCCGAACCGCTTCCCTCCATGTCTCTACTCTCCCTTTTCTTTAAACTTGCCTCCTTAACTATAGGCAACTTTCCACCCTCCATTCCTCCTTCTTCTCCCTTAGCCTGTGTTCTTAAGAACATAAAACCTCTTCAACTCTTACCTGACCTAAATCCTAAATGCCTTATTTTCTTCTACAATGCTGCTTGACCCCAGTACAAACTTGACAGTGGTTCCAAATAGCCAGAAAATGGCACTTTCAATTTTTCCATCCTACAAGATCTAAATAATTCTTGTCATAAAATGGGCAAATGGTCTGAGGTGCCTGACATCCAGGCATTCTTTTATACATTGTTCCCTCCCTAGTCTCTGTTCCCAATGTGACTCATCCCAGATCCTCCTTCTTTCCCTCCCACCTGTCCCCTCAGTCCCAACCCCAAGCATCGCTGAGTCTTTCTAATCTTCCTTTTCTACAGACCCATCTGACTTCTCCCCTCCTCACCAGGCCAAGCCAGTCCCAATTCTTCCTCAGCCTCTGCTCCCCCACCCTATAATCCTTTTATCACCTCCCCTCCTCACACCCGGTCCAGCTTACAGTTACATTCCGCTACTAGCCTTCCCCCACCTGCCCAGAAATTTCCTCCTAAAAAGGTGGCTGGAGCTAAAGGTATAGTCAAGGTTAATGCTCCTTTTTCTTTATCTGACCTCTCCCAAAATCAGTTAGCGTTTAGGCTCTTTTTCATCAAATATAAAAACCCAGCCCAGTTCATGGCTCATTTGGCAGCAACCCTGAGATGCTTTACAGCCCTAAACCCTGAAAGGTCAGAAGGCCATCTTATTCTCAATATGCATTTTATTACCCAATTTGCTCCCGACATTAAATAAAGCTCCAAAAATTAAATTCTGGCCCTCAAACCCACAACAGGACTTAATTAACCTCACCTTCAAGGTGTACAGTAATAGAGTAGAGGCAGCCAAGTAGCAATGTATTTCTGAGTTGCAATTCCTTGCCTCCACTGTGAGAAACCCCAGCCACGTCTCCAGCACACATCTCCAAACACCTGAACTGCAGCTGCCAGGGGTTCCTCCAGAACCTCCTCCCCCAGGAGCTTGCTACAAGTGCCAGAAATCTGGCCACTGGGCCAAGGAATGACCGCAGCCCAGGATTCCTCCTAAGCCATGTCCCATCTGTGTGGGACCCCACTGGAAATCGGACTGTCCAACTCACCTGGCAGCCACTCCCAGAGCCCCTGGAACTCTGGCCCAAGGCTCTCTGACTCCTTCCCAGATCTTCTTGGCTTAGCGGCTGAAGACTGATGCTGCCTGATTGCCTCGGAAGCCCCCTAGACCATCACGGACACTGAGCTTCGGGTAACTCTCACAGTGGAAGGTAAGTCCGTCCCCTTCTTAATCAATACAGAGACTACCCTCTCCACATTACCTTATTTTCAAAGGCCTGTTTCCCTTGCCTCCATAACTGTTGTGGGTATTGACGGCCAAGCTTCAAAACCCCTGAAAACTCCCCCACTCTGGTGCCAACTTGGACAACACTCTTTTATGCACTCTTTTTTAGTTATCCCCACCTTCCCAGTTCCCTTATTAGGCCGAGATATTTTAACCAAATTAGCTGCTTCCCTGACTATTCCTAGGCTATAGCCACACCTCATTGCCACCTTTTCCCCAGTTCAAAGCCTCCTTCGCATCCTCCTCTCGTATCCCCCCTCCTTAACCCACAAGTATAAGATACCTCTATTCCCTCCTTGGTGACCGATCATGCACCCCTTACAATCTCATTAAAACCTAATCACCCTTACCCCCGTCAATGCCAATATCCCATCCCACAGCATGCTTTAAAAAGATTAAAGCCTGTTATCACTCGCCTGCTACAGCATGGCCTTTTAAAGCCTATAAACTCTCCTTACCATTCCCCCATTTTACCTGTCCTAAAACCAGACAAGGCTTACAGGTTAGTTCAGAATCTGCACCTTATCAACCAAATTGTTTTGCCTATCCACCCCATGGTGCCAAATCCATATACTCTCCTATCCTCAATACCTCCCTCTACAACCCATTATTCTGTTCTGGATCTCAAACATGCTTTCTTTACTATTCCTTTGCACCCTTCATCCCAGCGTCTCTTCGCTTTCACTTAGACTGACCCTGACACCCATTAGGCTCAGCAAATTACCTGGGCTGTACTGCCGCAAGGCTTCACAGACAGACCCCATTACTTCAGTCAAGCCCAAGTTTCATCCTCATCTGTTACCTATCTCAGCATAATTCTCATAAAAACACACGTGCTCTCCCTGCTGATCATGTCCAATTAATCTCCCAAACCTCAATTCTTTACAAAACAACAACTCCTTTCCTTCCTAGGCATGGTTAGTGCGGTCAGAATTCTTACACAAGAGCCAGGACCACACCCTGTAGCCTTTCTGTCCAAATAACTTAACCTTACTGTTTTAGCCTAGCCCTCATGTCTGCGTGCAGCGGCTGCCACTGCTTTAATACTTTTAGAGACCCTAAAAATCACAAACTATGTTCAACTCACTCTCTACATTTCTCATAACTTCCAAAATCTATTTTCTTCCTCACACCTGATGCATATACTTTCTGCTCCCTGGCTCCTTCAGCTGTACTCACTCTTTGTTAAGTCCCACAATTACCATTGTTCCTGGCCCGGACTTCAATCCGGCCTCCCACATTATTCCTGATACCACACCTGACCCCCATGACTGTATCTCTCTGATCCACCTGACATTCACCCCATTTCCCCATATTTCCTTCTTTCCCATTCCTCACCCTGATCACGCTTGATTTATTGATGGCAGTTCCACCAGGCCTAATTGCCACACACCAGCAAAGGCAGACTATGCTATAGTACAAGCCACTAGCCCGCCTCTTAGAACCTCTCATTTCCTTTCCATCGTGGAAATCTATCCCCAAGGAAATAACTTCTCAGTGTTCCATCTGCTATTCTACTAATCCTCAGGGATTATTCAGGCCCCCTCCCTTCCCTACACATCAAGCTTGAGGATTTGCCCCCACCCAGGACTGGCAAATTAGCTTTACTTAACATGCCCCAAGTCAGATAACTAAAATACCTCTTAGTCTAGGTAGACACTTTCACTGGATAGGTAGATGCCTTTCCTACAGGGTCTGAGAAGGCCACCGTGGTCATTTCTTCCCTTCTGTCAGACATAATTCCTCGATTTGGCCTTCCCACCTCTATACAGTCCCATAGCAGACCGGCCTTTATTGGTGAAATCAGCCAAGCATTTTTTCAGGCTCTAAGTATTCAGTGAAACCTTTATATCCCTTACAGTCCTCAGTCTTCAGGAAAAGTAGAACAGACTAATAGTCTTTTAAAAACACACCTCACCAAGCTCAGCCACCAACTTAAAAAGGACTAGACAATACTTTTACCACTTTCCCTTCTCAGAATTCAGGCCTGTCCTCAGAATGCTACAGGGTACAGCCCATTTGAGCTCCTGTATAGATACTCCTTTTTATTAGGCCCCAGTCTCATTCCAGACACCAGACCAATTTGGACTGTGCTCCAAAAAACTTGTCATCCCTACTATCTTCTGTCTAGTCATACTCCTATTCACCGTTCTCAACTACTCATACATGCCCTGCTTTTGTTTACACTGCCGGTTTACACTGTTTCTCCAAGCCATCACAGCTGATATTGGTGCTATCCCCAAACTGCCACTCTTAACTCTTAAAGTAAATAATCTTTGCTGGCAGGACTATGCTGAACCTCCTTAGGCACTCTCTAATTAGATGTCCTAGGTCCTCCCAATTCTTAGACCTTTAACACCTGTTTTTCTCCTTCTCTTATTCCATTTAGTTTTTCAATTCATACAAAACCATATCCAGGCCATTACCAATAATTCTAAATGACAAATGTTTCTTCTAACAATCCCACAATATCACCCCTTACCACAAAATCTTCCTTCAGCTTAATCTCTCCCACTCTACATTCCCGTGCCGCCCCTAATCCTGCTTGAAGCAGCCCTGAGAAACACTGCCCATTCGCTCTCTCCATACCACCCCCAAAAATTTTCACCATCCCAACACTTCAACACTATTTTGTTTTATTTTTCTTATTAATATAAGAAGGCAGGAATGTCAGGCCTCTGAGCCCAAGCTAAGCCATCGCATCCCCGGTGACTAGCACATATACGCCCAGATGGCCTGAAGTAACTGAAGAATCACAAAAGAAGTGAAAATGCCCTGCCCCACCTTAACTGATGACATTCCACCACAAAAGAAATGAAAATGGCCCGTCCTTGCCTTAAGTGATGACATTACCTTGTAAAAGTCCTTTTCCTGGCTCATCCTGGCTCAAAAATCTCCCCTACTGAGCACCTTGTGACCCCCACTCCTGCCCGCCAGAGAACAACCCCCCTTTGACTGTAATTGTCCTTTACCTACCCAAATCCTATAAAACGGCCCCACCCCTATCTCCCTTTGCTGACTCTCTTTTCGGACTCAGCCCGCCTGCACCCAGGTGATTAAAAGCTTTATTTCTCACACAAAGCCTGTTTGGTGGTCTCTTCACACAGACGTCCATGAAAATGAGTATCTATTACTTAATTTCACTTTAAGGTTTCAAGTTACCAAAAATATTTTTGAAACTTTGAAGAGTTTATCTATAAACATCTATAGCTATTTTACTTGTTTTTAATAACTATGTTTAAACTATTCATGAAAGTTCTATGAGACATTAAACAAAACTAGTTTTTATCTCATGTTATTTCCCCGTTAACCATTTTTGCAGCATGTGAATGTTAGACATTCTTTCAATCACCTATTCCATTGCCCCAAGAAATTGCTAGCTAGGAAACCCTGAATTTGTACTTTCAAAGGGATGCCTTCCCAGATGAAACAAGTTAAATAATTTGTAGAACTCAGATCTAAACACTGTTATTTGCCAAAAGAAAAAGAAAGGCATATGTAAAGGTCAAATTAAGACAAGATGATCAGAGAAGTACCTTAAACAAAGGTAAGGTTTGTTATGTGAACTTTAAGTCCAATATCTTTACTATTGTAAAAGTTTCTAGTGGTTTAGGTGCAAAGAGGGAAATACCCTTACAAATGGAGATTTCCCATACAGATGTAAATTTCTTTTACAAAGAGTTTCAAAGTAGCTACCTAATTGTCTGGAAGTTGTCTTTTGGAGACCATTTAATTTGATAGGCAGTCTTTTCAACTTTTCTTGTTTCTTAGCTAGACTTCAACTTGAAGCTCATTAATGAGTAGGCCAAAGAAAAACTGGTAGAAACTTACTGGAGCTTCCCCCAGAGGACCTTTGGTCCTGGTGGTTAACATAAAGATTATCAGAAGGTGGGCAGCCTCTTTTAGGGGCTTTCCTCAAAATCTCTGGGGACAATGCCTCTTTCAGTGTCCTAGTTGTTTCTAGGAATGGCAACAATTTTTTGGAAACTGGTGTTTTAGGGGTCATTAATTGGAAAAGTGCCCTGGGGCAGGCCTAAAAGTTATTCTAGGTTGTTGGTTGCCATGAACTGAAACACTTTGGGAATGGCTTTCAAATGGTTATTTAAGATCTTTTGGATTTTGCCTGGGCCATAAATAGACCAAGTAGGGCTTGTCAGGTCCTTGCTATCATTCTCAAGAGAATAATATTCTGCCTCTTTTATCCACTTTTGGGCTTTCTCAGGTCCCACTAACATGTGTATTAGTTGGTATAGAGCAAGTATCATGGGTCATAAGTTATAATTAAGACCCTGAATCCTTTAGATAACTTTTGAAAGTCTTCCTTAATTTTAGGGTATTTTTAAATTATGGCCCTGAGCTCCATTTTTGTCTGGGGACTGTAAGTCACTTGGGGATTGTCTCCAATTTTGGGGTAATTCTAGTCTTATAAGAAAAATGTTTGTTTTTTTCAGAGAAGAAAGGAAATTCAGACAGAGAGTAGACTGTGAATATTCAGGAGTACACTGTGAATATTCAAGCAAAGTAGGATAAAGGGGAGTGGTAGGAGTCATGTCAGTTCTATCATCCTTCGTATGGTAAATACCTTGCATTTTTAGCTTTTTATTAGGTTTTTGCAATGAATCTTTTTTAAAAAACTATGTTAAAATTCTATTGTCTCTTTGAAGCTTCTGAATGCCAACAAGAATCCTGTTCTTTCTGTGTAATTTGGGAGGCTTGGGATTCAAGTGCTCTTCTTACAGACTTGTTCATCTGGAATGTTCCACATAATGGCCATGGTAATTCTTAATTATCTTTTGGAAGATTTTGCCAGTTTCATAAATATTTGTAGCTTCCAAGGCCAGAAATCTTATACACAAAAACAGGGGCAAGTCTAATGGAAGATGGAGTACTCAGATCTTTCAAAATTAAAAATCTCATTTTTATTTTGATCTCGGGTCTCTCAGACCCCAAATGACTTTAGATCTAAGATCTTCTTTACCAACTTCACCAATGATTTTCCAGTTTCTGTCTGAGCAGTCAGATATCTGAGGCCTCCCTTAAGTAAGCCTGCAAGAAAAAAGATCCCACATATCTGCAAATTCCAAAAGCCAGACTTTATGCCCCATACAGTAATAACCACTTACTGCAACTGCTGTCAGTTACCTTTAAAACTGCAGTCCTTTACTCTATCTGCAAATGGAGTGCAATCCAAATTTCTGTTTGGCCATATGCCAGCCGAAATTTGGGTGCAACCTACATTTCTGTCCAGCCATATTCTTACGAGCTTAACTCAAACCTTTTATGGAACCATACAGAAGACATCTCCAAAGAGACAGCAAAATATGCAGCCATTGCCAGTGACTTGTCAGCCACCACAAATCCAAAAGTCATGTGCCCTGCCACAGCACAAACTAATCCTAGGTATCACAAAATCAAATACTCTCTCACAGCACAAACTAGACTTAGTACACTCAAAGCTGAGTATATCAAAGAGCTCAAATGCAAAAGAGAGCAGAGCTCAGATCTGAGAGAAACTTACTCAAAACTCTTGGGGATCCAAGAGGAAGACAGAGTATGCCCTCCAGAAAATGGGTTTAGCAGTGCCTTTTCCTGTGTTCCTCAAGGGGTCTCAGGTCTTCAGCAGTCTCTTTCACATCCCTTCAGGGCCTCCGGATGGGTCAAAAGAAAAAATTACAACAAATTTCATTTAAAGATCTCAATTGGCTTTATTTATGATCTTAGAATTGGGTGACATTAATTCATAAAATAGAGTAAGTGTTCAAATAAGATGAAGAGAAGAAGTTTATAGATGGAGAAGGGCTGAAGAAAACAGAAGGAAAGAACAAGAGTAATAGTTATTTCAAAGATGCATTTCTTATAAGATGAGGACAGGGAGACAGAAGAGTAGAAAAATAACTGATTAGTTAACATTGATTACTTCAAGCTACCCTGTTTTTGGTAAGGATAAAAGGAGAGGGAACTTCATCATGATGCCAATTGAAGATTTAAACTGGCTTGTGTGTGAAACTGGCAGTTACCTCTTTCTCCTGATTTCTGGGAAAGTCAGATAACAACTTAGTTCGTGTTTGGTAATGTGGAACTTTAGCGTGGGTGACTCCATTTTGTTTTTAGTCTGGTCCGTTGGGGCATAGTGCAGAAGCTTAGTCCAAAACAATGGACTCCTATAATTTTTATCTGACAGTACCAATGAAGGGCTACACATGGTTTTGTATTATCTGTAAAAGTTGTTGCGAGTATCCAGGGCTAACTTATTATGCCTTTACTACATGCCAGACCCTGTGCTTGGCCCTTGCCTATACAAGATTTAATTTGATACTAGCCACAACATTAGAGAGTAGCATTTTTTGCCCTTAATTATGAATATGGATAGTGAAACTCTGAGAAATTAGATAGCTTGCCAGACTTCACAGTAAATCTAATATAAAACTGTCTGACTCTGATACCATCCTTTGTTTTTTTAACAAAACTATTGCTCCTTGGGCAACCTCTTATCTACCTATTTATCCTAATGTATGACTATTATTAATGAAAGAGAAAAGGCAGTAAGACAGAAATACTGACAGCCAGTTAGTAAGCTAGAGCTTTGTCCTGCTTAGAGCAGGAGCAAATGAGTCACTTATAAGCAGATGGGGCAGCCCCTTCACTACTCTTCCTGTGTCCTCCCATTCTGAGGCTCAATGTACCTCACAACCTGTCTGTCTGTTTTTCTTCTTTTGCAGTCTTAACACCCTACCTGCTCTGCAATCCCTAGGCTTTTCTCCTTTGTCTCCAGGTCACCCCACCCTCATTTACTTTACTTTCCTTTGAGTCCTACACACTACTACTACCACCTGCCCTCTTCACCATCCCTTGAATCCCTACCCCTACTTCTTTTAGTCCTGCTTTCTCTGTTCCTTTTTCTCCTGCTCATCTTTCAAGGCCCCATTAGGGCCCCATCATCGACTCTGCCCTTACAATGGCTCAGTGGTTTTGAGATGAAGTAAAACGTCACTAATTTGTTCTAATTGGGGGGAAAGGTCAGTCTGCCTTAAATGAAAAGTATGAGTGATAGGATATTTGGAGAGGAAAATGCAATCTCATTACTTTCAAGTACATAAAGTAATCCCAATGACTGAGACAAGAGGATAAAAGGCAAAGCTATACATCTCAGAGATCTGTAAGTGGTTTGACAAATAGACATGGCTCATTTATAATTAGGACATTCAGTTTGGGGATACAAATGCTGCTGCTGAGGTTTTCACACTGAAGTAGGCTAATATTTCTCTTGTGTACACAATAAGCTTGTGAAGAGAACTTTTTCATCATAGATATAGGTACAATCTCATTAGAAGGGTCCAGTATTTCAAACCCACTTTCTTATGTCACGTGGCCTAGAGGAAGAGTGCTTTGTTCAATCAATTTCCAGAAGGAGTAACGGTGAACAACACCAACAACAAATACTCATTTCTCTAATTTCTTTCTATGCAAGAGTTACTATTAATGAAAAAAATACCCTGTTGGGGTTACATTAGTTATGGGTGGGGATGCAGAGGTGTAGGGGAAAGAACTGAATGAACACAAGCTGGGCAGCATGTAGTCAAATGACCTTAGTTTGGAATCCATTAATTTGGAATTGGTGAAAATCAAGGAACCAGCCTACTTTATTTTTATACTCTAAGAAGCCAATTTGCCAAGCTAATTACAATGGTAAACAAATTTTTCCTGCAAAGATTTATAAAATTCTTTAAAATTTCCATGCATTGTTCAATACTTTAAAAGTACTCCCTTCATTTATTTATAATTGTTAAGCTAATTAGCTAAACTTCCTACCAGTATTTGAAAGCAGATCCCTGGAGGAAGTCCTATTAGGAAGCCCTTGGTTAGCCTGTTTCACCTTATTATGTATGAAAATTTTGAAAAAATACTTATTTTATTTTCAAATAGCTTATCATTAACATTTTCCACCAAATCAAACTAGTCTTCCCTCATTTTATCTTTCTTACAGCTCAGCAATATTTTTCCCTGGACAACTAAACAGCAATGGAAAGAGATAGCTGCTGTGTTCTACCAAGGTCTCTCTGAATCATTAGGAGGGCAGGATTGCTGAATTATCATGCATCCTGGCCCCCCAATCCCTGACAATGTGGAGACATGTGAGTAGTTGGTAAAAAGAAACACTGCATTATATTTTGGCTTGCATCTTAGAGGGCTTTTCAGGCACTCAGAATACAGATGTGCCTTATTATGAAACTATATGAATTTCTGGGGATTTTCTTCAGCTACAGGAAGAGTCAATTGATGTGAAACTACATTTCCTAAAAGCCACAAATTAGAGACTACTTCTTACAATTATTAGATTCTTCAGCTTTACCCCAAATGATTCATAGAAAGATTCCTTGACATTGTTCAGCAGGCCAAAGCTGGGGAGATAAGGGAACAGCTTTTATTTACAAACCATTAGAAGTACATTTAAAGGGAACTTTATTGGAAAGTCACTTGAAATGCTGAACAGGGTCATGAAGCTATTTCCAACAACTATTCTGAATTTTTATGCTTTTCAGCTCATACAAACACCATGCATGGGAAAGAACACAAGGATTCATTAGCAGAGTCTACTGAATGGGGTGAAGCTACTGGATTCAATAATAGTGATGCATACCTGGCAACTTTCAAGGCAAAGTCAGATGAAAGCCGTTGCCTTCAAATTTCAAAGGGAAATGTCCTATGGACTGTTGGAGGTGAGAATATGATTTCTATTTTACACTTTAGGAAGATGACCATGTCCAGGTGCCCCCCTTTATTCCCCCAAATGCCAAATTAACATGATATTTTAATGGTGGCATAATCAAATTGTATGTGATGCAGACACAGACTAATATTTTTCAGAAAAATATTTGTTCTTTTGTTTTCTGCTTTAAAATGAAGCTAAGCTGCATTCTAAGTGTGTTTTTGTTCATATTGAGGCTCTTATCTTTTCTGTGGGTATATTCACTTTAGACTCTAAAATGTAAATCAACAGGAAAATGGGATTTTGTTTACAAATTTATGCTTACAAGAAAGCATGGATAAATCTGTCAAATGACCAAAGGAATTTATAAAAGAGTACAACAAAGGTAGTTAAGTATACAAATTGAAGAATTACTGACCAATGAAATTATTTGGCATCCCCTTTTACTATACATTTTCTTAAATGAGCTATATCTAATTTCTGGAGGTAGTCCTATGCTTGGGCTTTAGGATTAGAATCAGAGACATTCTGAGTAGAAAGGGAACTTAGAGTTTACCTAGTCCAGTAATTTTTTCCAAACTTATTTTCTTTAAATTTCTTCAATCAAAATCTTGTTTGAAAACTCAATACAGAGACCTGGTAATAGGGGTGAGTTTCTAATTAAAGTCGGGGTTGAGGGGCTTGAAGCCTACCTAATCCACTCCCTTATCACTACTTCCCTACATTTTCTGACTGAAGTCTACAGAAACTAAGTGACTTGGCCAAGTTTGCCCAGTGAATGATAGTGGATCTCCTATTTTTTCTTTAATTTTCTTTATTTCCATTTTCTATTCTCTTTCACCTCCAATAACACACACACACACACACAAACACATATAACACATGCATGCACACACCATTCTAGGTAGTCAGAAGAAACTTCTGCCTCTCATAAGCCACTAATATCTCATTGAGAACATTTGCATTTTCAAAGAGAAAAGTCAGAAGGAGGCAATGTTGAAGCTAATGAAATGAGTCACTAAAGATAGCATGACAGAATTACGGCAAATTTTGCTGTGTGTGGGCTTTCTCAAATCATACTTTGTAAGCATCCTCATCTTTGTCCAATATTTAAGGATAGCTCTGCTGACTTATTTAAAAATAATGGCCTTGGAAAAAACCTCAGTAGCAATTTGCATTTAGACCATCATTGTCTTGAGAGTTGAACAAGCAGAATGAGGGTGAAAGGTGTTCCTATGCTTATCTAGCAAGCTTCCACTTTACTGCACTTCTTTCTGAATCGGTGCAGTGTTCCAGAATATATTGCTTTGTTTCCTCTATGGCTAGGAGATAGGCCTAGGAGACAGGCCTAGTGAGTAAGTGTGGTGTGAGAAAGAGACAGAGACACCCATGGAAAGAGATAAACACACAAAGACACAAACACAGACATAAATAGATGCACACTCATATATAGAGACACACAGTGAGAGGCACATAAACATACAGAGAGGGAGATAAACATATTCATACACAGAGAAAGAAGAGAGAAAGAGATACAATGAGTGACAATGATGGAATGTGAAAAAAAGAGAAATCAAGAAACAGTGACACACACACATATACATATATACACATCCAGAGGGGGAAATTGAGAGAAAGTATGATTGAAACTGAGAGACTGAGAGAGATATATACAAATAAATAGAGTGGGAGGCAGATATACACAGAGAGACAGAAAGATAGAGAGAAAAACTTAGAGTGAAAGAGAGACTGAGAGTGATGGGGAAAAGCTAAGACAAACAGTGGGGAACAATCATGGTGATAGAGAAAGAGAAAAATCATTCCCGTTCTATTTTCTTCCCCACTGAAAACTTTTGGTGTCAGGTTTGTGTGTGTGTGTGTGTGTTCCAGCTTATATGGAACACACACACACACACACATGCAATCTGACCGTAGAAAATATTATATTGTTTTTCCCAGATTGCTGGCAAGATGGCCGAATAGGAACAGCTCTGGTCTGCAGTTCCTAGTGAGATTAACTCAGAAGGTGGGTGATTTCTGCATTTCCAACTGAGTTACCCAGTTCATCTCATTGGGACTGGTTGGACAGTGGGTGCAGCCCACAGAGGGTGAGCCGAAGCAGGGTGGGATGTCACCTCACCCAGAAAGCACAAGGGGTCAGGGAATTCTCTCCCCTACACAAGGGAAGCCATGAGGGACTGTGTCATGAGGAATGGTGCACTCCGGCCCAGATACTACACTGTTCCCATGGTCTTCGCAACCCACAGACCAGGAAATTCCCTCCAGTGCCTATGCCACCAGGGCCCTGGATTTCAAGCAGAAAACTGGGCAGCTGTTTGGGAAGACACCAAGCTAGCTGGAAAAGTTTTATTTTCCATACCCCAGTGGTGCCTGGAACTCCAGCGAGACAGAACTATTAATGCCCCTGGTAAGAGGGCTGAAGCCAGGGAGCCAAGTGGTCTGGCTCGGTGGATCCCACCCCAATGGAGACCAGAAAACTAAGATCCACTGGCTTTAAATTCTCACTACCAGCACAGCAGTCTGAGATGGACCTGGGATGCTCGAGCTTGGTGGGGGTGGGGCGTCTGCAATTGCTGAGGCTTGAGTAGGCGATTTTAGCCTCACAGTGTAAAAAAGCCACCAGGAAATTTGAACTGGGTGGAGCCCACTGCAGCTCTGCAAGGCCACTCTGGCCAGACTGTCTCTCTAGATTCCTCCTCTCTGGAGAGGGCATCTCTGAGGGAAAGGCAGCAGCCCCAGTCAGGGGCTTATAGATAAAAATCCCATAACTCTAGGAGAGAGCACCCAGGGGAAGGGGCAGCTGTGGGAGCAGCTTCAGCAGACTTAAACTTCCCTGCCTAACGGCTCTGAAGAGAGCAGCAGATCTTCCAGCATAGCATTCGAGCTCTGCTAAGAATCAGACTGCTTCCTCAAGTGGGTCCCTGATTCCTGTGTATCCTGATCCTGACTGGGAGAAACCTCGCACTAGGGGCAGACAGACATTTCATACAGGAGAGCTCTGGCTGACATTGGGCAGCTGCCCCTCTGGGAAGAAAGTTCCAGAGGAAGGAACAGACAGCAATCTTTGCTGTTCTGCAGCCTCCACTGGTGACACCCAGGAAAACAGTGTCTGGAGGGATCATCCAATAAACTCCAGCAGACCTGCAGCAGAGGGGCCTGACTGTTAGAAGGAAAACTAACAAACACAAAGAAATGCATCAACATCAACAAAAAGGACGTCCACTCAGAGACCCCATCTGAAAGTCACCAACCTCAAAGACCAAAAGTAGATAAATCCACGAAAATGAGGAGAAACCAGGGCAAGAAGGCTGAAAATTCCAAACACCAGAATACCTCTTCTTCTCCAAAGGATCACAACTTCTTGCCAGCAAGGGAACAAAACTGGGTGGAGAATGATTTTGATGAATTGACTGAACTAGGCTTTGGAAGGTGGGTAATAACAAACTCCTCTGAGCTAAAGGAGCATGTTCTAGCCCAATGCAAGGAAGTTAACTAAGAACCTTGAAAAAAGGTTAGACAAATTGCTAACTAGAATAACCAGTTTAGAGAAGAACATAAATGACCTGATGGAACTGAAAAACACAGCACGAGAACTTAGTGAAGCATACACAAGTATCAATAGCCGAGTTGAACAAGTGGAAGAAAGGATATCAGAGATTGAATATCAACTTAATGAAATAAAAGCAGAAGGAAAGATCAGAGAAAAAAAGAATGAAAAGGAACAAACAAAGCTTCCAAGAAATATGAGACTATGTGAAAAGACTAAATCTATGTTTGATTGGTGTACCTGAAGGTGACGGGGAGAATGGAACCAAGTTGGAAAACACTCTTCAGGATACTAACCAGGAGAACTTCCCCAACCTAGAAAGACAGGCCAACATTCAAATTCAGGAAATAAAGAGAAAACCACTAAAATACTCCTAGATAAGAGCAACCCCAAGACACATAATCATCAGATTCACCAAGAGTAAAATGAAAGGGAACATGTTAAGGGCAGCCAGAGAGAAAGGTTGGGTTATCCACAAAGGGAAGACCATTAGACTAACAGTGGATCTCTCTGCAGAAACCCTACAAGCCAGAAGAGAGTGAGGGCCAATATTCAACATTCTTAAAGGAAAGAATTTTCAACCCAGAATTTAATATCCATCCAAACTAAGCTTCATAAGTGAAGGAGAAATAAAATCTTCTAAAGAGAAGCAAATGCTGAGAGATAATGTCACCACCAGGCCTGCCTCATAAGAGCTTCTGAAGGAAGCACTAAACATGGAAAGGAACAACCAGTACCAGCCACTGCAAAAACATACCAAATTGTAAAGACCATTGAGAATATAAAGAAACTGCATCAACTAATGGGCAAAATAACCAGCTAGCATCATAATGACAGGATCAAATTCACACAAAACAATATTAACCTTAAATGTAAATGGGCTAAATGCCCCCAATTAAAAGACACAGACTGGCAAATTGGATAAAATGTCAAGACCCATTGGTCTGCTGTATTCAAGAGACCCATCTCAAGTGCAAAGAGAAACATAGACTCAAATTAAAGGGATGGAGGAATATTTACCAAGCAAATGGAAAGCAAAAAAAGCAGGGGTTGCAATCCTAGTCAGTGATAAAACAGACTTCAAACCAACAAAGATAAAAAGAGACAAAGAAGGGCATTACATACCAGTAAAGGGATCAATGCAATAAGAAGAGCTAACTTTCCTAAATATATATGCACCCAATACAAGAGCACCCAGATTCATAAAGCAAGTTCTTAGAGACCTACAAAGAGACTTAGACTCCCACACAATAATAGTGGGAGACTTTAACACTGCACTGTCAATATTAGACATATCAATGAGACAGAAGGTTAACAGGGACATTCAGGACTTGAACTCTGCTCTGGACCAAGCAGACTTAATAGACATCTACAGAACTCTCCACTCCAAATCAACAGAATATACATTCTTCTCAGCACCTTATCACACTTATACGAAAATTGGCCACATAATTGGAAGTAAAACACTCCTCAGCAAATGCAAAAGAATGGAAATCATAACAAACAGTCTTTCAGACCACAGAGCAATCAAATCAGAAATCAGGATTAAGAAACTCACTCAAAACCACACAACCACATGGAAACTGAACAACCTCCTGAATGACTACTGGGCAAATAATGAAATTAAGGCAGAAATAACAATGTTCTTTGAAACAAATGACAACAAAAACACAATGTATCAGAATTTCCGGAACACAATTAAACCAGTGTTTAGAGGGAAATTTATAGCACCAAATCTCCACAAGAGAAAGCAGAAAAGATCTAAAAATCGAGACACTAACATCACAATTTAAAGAACTAGAGAAGCAAGAGCAAACAAATTCAAAAGCCAACAGAAGACAAGAAATAACTAAGATCAGAGCAGAACTGAAGGAGATAGAGACACAAAAAAAATCCTTCAAAGAATCAATGAATCCAGGAGCTGGTTGTTTGAAAAGATTAACAAAATAGACAGACAACTAGGCAGACTAACAAAGAAAAAAATGGAGAAGAATCAAATAAACACAATTAAAAATGATAAAGGGGCTATCACTACTGATCCCACAGAAATGCAACTACCATCAGAGGATATTGTAAACACCTCTACACAAATAAACTAGAAAATCTAGAAGAAATGGATACGTTCCTGGACACATACACCCTTCCAAGTCTAAACCAGGAAGAAGTCGAATCCTGAATTAGACCACTAATAAGTTCTGAAATTGAGACAGTAATTAATAGCCTACCAAACCTAAAAAGTGCAGGAAAAGACAGATTCAGAGCCAAATTCTACCAGAAGTACAAAGAGGAGCTGGTACCATTCCTTCTGAAACTATTCCAAACAATAGAAAAAGAGGGAATCCTCCCTAACTTATTTTATGAGGCCAGGATCATCCTGATACCAAACCTTGGCAGAGACACAACAAAAAAAGAAAATTTTAGGCCAATATCCCTGGCAAACCGAATCCAGCAGCACATTACAAAGCTTATCCACCTTGATCAAGTTGGCTGCATCCCTTGGATGCAAGGCTGGTTCTACATATGCAAATCAATAAATGTAACCCATCACATAAACAGAACCAATGACAAAAACCATGCGATTATCTCAATAGATGCAGAAAAGGCCTTTGACAAAACTCAACACCCCTTCATGTTAAAAACTGTCAATAAACTAGGTATTGATGGAACGTATCTCAAAATAATAAGAGCTATTTATGACAAACCCACAGCCAATATCATACTGAATGAGTAAAAGCTGAAAGCATTCCCTTTGGAAACCGGAACAAGACAAGGATGCCCTCTCTCACACTCCTATTCAACATAGTATTGGAAGTTCTGGCATGGGCAGTCAGGGAAGAGAAAGAAACAAAGGGTATTCAAATAGGAAAACAGGAAGTCAAATTGTCTCTATTTGCAGATGACATGATTGTATATTTAGAAAACTCCATTGTCTCAGCCCAAAATCTCCTTAAGCTGATAAGCAACTTCAACAAAGTCTCAGAATAGAAAATCAATGTCAAAAATCACAAGCATTCCTATACAGCAATAACAGACAGACAGCCAAACCATGAGTTAACTCCCATTCACAATTGTGACAAAGAGAATAAAATACCTAGGAATACAGCTTTCAAGGGATGTGAAGGACCTATTCAAGGAGAAATACAAACCACTGCTCAAATAAATAAGAGAGGACACAAATAAATGGAAAAACATTCCATGCTCATAGATAGGAAGAATCAATATTGTGAAAATGGCCATACTGCCCAAATTAATTTATAGATTCAATGCTATCCCATCAAGCTACCATTGACTTTCTTCACAGAATTGGAAAAAACTACTTTAAATTTCATATGGAACCAAAAAAGAGCCTGCATAGGAAAGACAATCCTAAGGAAAAAGAACAAAGCTGGAGGCATCACACTACCTGACTTCAAACTATACTACAAGTCTACAGTAATCAAAACAGTGTGGTACTGATACCAAAACAGATATATAGATCAATGGAACAGAACAGAGAGCTCAGAAATCACACAACACGTCTGCATCCATCTGATCTTTGACAAACCTGAAAAAAACAAGAAATGGGGAAAGGATTTAATAAATGGTGTTGGGAAAACTGTCTAGCCATATGCAGAAAACTGAAACTTCGACCCCTTCCTTACAACTTATACAAAAATTAACTCAAGATGGATTAAAGACTTAATGTAAGACCTAAAACCATAAAATCCCTAGAAGAAAATCTAGGCAATACCATTCAGGACATAGGCATGAGCAAACACTTCGTGAATAAAACACCAAAAGCAATGGCGACAAAAGTCAAAATACACAAATGGGACCTAATTAAACTAAAGAGCTTCTGCACAGCTAAAGAAACTATCATCAGAGTGAACAGGCAACCTACAGAATAGGAGAAAAATTTTGCAAACTATGCATCTGACAAATGACTAATATCCATTATCTACAAAGAACTTAAACAAATTTACAAGAAAAAAACAACCCCATCAAAAAGTGGGCAAAGGATATGAACAGACACTTCTCAAAAGAAGAAGTGGCCAGCAAACATATGAAAAAATCCTCATCATCACTGGTCATTAGAGAAGTGCAAATCAAAACCACAATGAGATACCATCTCACGCCAGTCAGAATGGCAATCATTAAAAAGTCAGGAAACAACAGATGCTGGAGAGGATGTGGAGAAATAGGAATGCTTTTACACTGTGGGTGGGAATGTAAATTAGTTCAACCATTATAGAAGACAGTGTGGCCATTTTTCAAGGAACTAGAACCAGAAATACCATTTGACCCAGCAATCCCATTACTGGGTATATACCCAAAGGATTATAAATCATGCTACTATAAAGACACATGCACAAGTATGTTTATTGTGGCATTATTCACAATAGCAAAGAATTGGAACCAACCCAAATGCCCATCAATGTTAGACTGGATAAAGAAAATGTGGCACATATACACCATGGAACACTATGCAGCCATAAAGGATGAGTTCATGTCTTTTGCAGGGACATGGATAAAGCTGGAAACTATCATTCTCAGCAAACTAACACAAGAACAGAAAACCAAACATTGCATGTTCTCACTCATAATTGGGAGTTGAACAATGAGAACACATGGACACAGGGAGGGGAACATCACACACTGGGTCCTGTCAGGGGGTTGGGGGCTAGGGGAAGGATAGCATTAGGAGAAATACCTAATGTAGATGATGGGTTGATGGGTGCAGCAAACCACCATGGCACATGAATACCTATGTAACAAACCTAGACATTCTACACATTTACCCCAGAACTTAAAGTATAATAAAAGAAGAAAATATTGTTTTTCCCATTTAATTTACCAAATTTAATTGTGTGGGATCACATAATGAAAGAACCAATTTTCTAGACCTCCAATGTCAACTATTGATATCCTTCAGCAAGCCTCCAGTGTTATGTGCATTCTATGTTTATGCTCCCTGTAAGGCAGACACAAGGGCTAGGTGTACCACATTTTCCGTGTGTCAGCATGCCTGGCACTTATTGCAGTCTTAGGATCTCTATGCTCTTAGGGAATAGTGGTGCCTACTGCAGCAGGAAATTACCCATCTTACCTATTCTCCAGGTACCTTCCTATTGCTGTCTAACACTGGACACTTAATAGTTTCCATGAAGAATTCTAAAAAGGGAGACTCAGAGAGTCTCATAAGTCTGTGCATTGTCAGTGGTTCTGACCACCAATCAAACCTGTCTGGAGACACTTTCCCCCCTCACACTCTCTCTCAATCTCCCTCTCTCTCTCTCTCTCTTTCTTTCTGTCTCTCTCTCTCTCTTTCTTTCTCTCTCTCTCTCTCACACACACACAGACACAGACACACACACACACACAAAGATTGATTCAGGAAAAATGAATCTTATGCCTACCAAAAGATGTGTATAAGAATGCTCACAGCAGCTTTATTTATAATATCCCCAAACTAGAAACAGCCCAAATATCTACAAGTAGACCAAGTAAACAATTGATGATTAATTATATAGCCATACAGCAGAATGCTGCACAGAAATAATAAATGTATTTGTGATACACACAAAAACATGACTGAATCTTACAGACATGAATGAGTGAAAGAAGCCAGACACAAATGAATGGAGACTGTATTATTCCATTTACATAAAGTTCAAGCACAGTCAAATCTAATCATTGGTGATAGAAGTCAATGACAGTTACCTCTACAAGGAGGGTATTAATGGAGAAGGGGCTTAAGGGAGCCTTCTCTGGTGCTGGTCATGTTTCATACTTTGATCTAGGTCAGGGGTGAGCAAACTACAAACTGGGGGCCAAATTTGGCCACTACCTACTTTTGTATGGTCAGGGAGTTAAGATGGTTTTTACATTTTAAATGATTGGAAAAAGAAAAAAAATAGAATCCTATTTCAAACATTTAAAAATTATATAAAATTCAAATTTCAGGGTTCCTGAATAAATATTTACTAGCACATAGCCACACCTATTTGTTTATATATTGTCTATGACTGCTATTGTGCTACAATGGCAAAGTTGAATAGTTGTGACAGAGACCATATGGCCTTCAAAGCATAAAATATTTACTCTCTGGACTTTGCACAAAACATTTCTTGACCCCTGATCTAGGTAGTTGTTACATGGGTAACTCACTGAGCTGTACATTATTAGTACACTTTATGCACTTTAGTGCAAATATTTTCAAGGTATAAAGAAATGAAGATTAACAAGAATACTTGCTCAAATACTTGATGTATATTAGGTTCAGAAAAGTAATGCTTAACTCAGTCCTTTCTTTCCTCGTTTTTTAAGATAAATGAGAATCACTCACTTACACAACATCTTTATGACCAGGATAATAAGTGAAGCAATATTTGAAGTAGCTGTAATATAAATTATTCAATCAGTAAAAGCTTTTTCATACCATGAAATTCTGAATGACATCCTGCAAGTAGAAAAAAAAACCATAAGTAATATGCAATTTCCTATTCTTTTTCTAAAAAGAACAAAACTCTAAAATTAAAAACTCTTTTGGCACCAAAGGAATGTCTGACTCACATTGGTGGGTCATCTCTGAATTACATATTGAATCACTCTTAAAGGTCATCGTGACTCTTCTGAGCAGTTATTTGTGTTATTAACGAAAGAACTGCCAAAAAAATTCCACATGCTACTCTTTTTCACAGAAAAATATCTGTCTCTAAGAAGAGGCCAGTACAAGCCAAAGTACAAGCCAAATGACAGTGATAAATGCATTATAAACACTTCTTGGAAGCTTGTAATGATGCAATTTCTTTATATTGTCAAATTTGTTCCTAACTTTAGTTTTACATTTGGCTTTTTCAAATACTTATAAAATGCAATGTATGTCAAAGAGTATATTTCAGGGTGAAAAAGGAAAGGAGGGCTGGAAAATATATCTCCAAATGGCTTCAGGGTGAGAAATGCATTTGTTTCTGAAAGCCAGAATACAAGTTTAAAATTACAGGCTTGCATTCAGACAAGCCACTGATAGCCTTTTCATTAAATCTTGACTAAATTGTATAGTTGTGTTGTTGTTGTAGTTGCTGCTGTTGTTACACCTACAGTTGTTAACCAAACAATGAGAATGATTAAAATCTTTTCCTCCTGTTAATGAAACTTTATTTTCATTTTCTAATTTGCATTCAGCCTCAGGTATCCCAATCAAGCAAATTTCACCTGTGTTGAAATACCTGGGAGCTTTTAAATTAGGATTGCAGGACTCCTTCCGTCTATCTCCAATTTCTTTCTTATGAACTCTGATTACTGATCCCACCTTTTGAAATTTAACTTGATGTCAGCCAGACAAATAAAATAAATTCTTCTTTACATGTGATTATTGAAGGATTAAATTAGATAATGTATATAAAGTTCCAGGAGCACAATAGTATTGTATGATTGATATTTATGTCAACTTTGTAAGAAAATTATTTGGCCCCTACATTTGATTTTGTGGCAGTTAAATCTGAGTAGAGAGTGGAATAACAGTAGATGTGTAGCAGTGTTGTCTAATAGTATTTTCTGCAATGATGGAAATGTTCTGTATCTGTGCTGTTCAATTTGGTAGTCATTAGTCACATGTAAGTATTGAGCACTTGAAATGTGGCTAGTGTGACTGAGAAATTTAATTTTTAATTTAACTAAAATTTATTAATCTAAATTCAAATATCTATAGCCACATGTGACCAGTGGCTACCATGCTGGATGGCACAGCCTTAAGGGACTAAGTTTTCCTTGCTAAAGTAGTTTCAAATTAGGCTTTATCTTTCTTTACACCATAGGCCACTTGGGAATCTGGTGAAACCTGTTGGACAATCTCTTTTAAATCATGTTTTCCTTTTTTTTAAACAGCTTCATTGATATTTAATTCATATACCATACAATTTATAATTCAATGGTTTTAGTATATTCACAGACATGTGCAACCATTACCAAAGCCAATTTTAGAATATTTTTACCATCTCAGAAAGAAACCCCATATTTAGCTATCATTCTCCTATCCTCCTGCTCCTGCTCCTAGCCTTAAGCAAAGACTAATCTACTTTCTGTCTCTATAGATTTTCCTATTCCAAATTTTCATATTGTTATAGGTTGAATTGTGTTGCCCTAAAAGATATGATGAAGTCCTAACCCCCAGTACCTCAGAATGTGACCTTATTTGGAAATGGAGTTGCTGCAAATGTAATGAGTTCAGATGAGGTCATACTGGAGTAAGATGGGTTCCTAATCCAATATGACTGGTGTCCTTACAAAAAGAGAAGAGGCACAGAGACAGACACCCAGAGGGAAGATGTGTAGATGCAAGAAGGCCATATGTCCATTGAGGCAGAGATTGAAGTGATGTAAACCAAAGGGTGTCAAAAATTTCTAGCAAACACCAAAAGCTAGAAGAGGCAATGAAAGATTGATTCTCCCCTACAGATTTCAGAGGGAGTATCACCCTGCTGACACCTTGATTACAGGTTTCTAGCTTCCAGAAGTGTAGGACAATACATTTTTGTTGTTTTAAGCCACCCGGTTTGTTGTCGTTTTAGTGCAGGCCAAGGAAGTTAATAGAAATGTGAGTGTAATCATATAGTATGTGTCTTTTCGTGACTGGCTTCTCTCACTTATTATAATGTTTTCAATGTCCATCCATGTTGCACTGATGAAAGATATGAAGGTTATTCATTTCCTGAAGGAAAGGTACTTCATTGTTTTCTATGACTGAATAATATTCTATTGTATGGATGTAGTCCATTTTGTATATCCATTTGTCCATTAATGAACATTTAAGTTGTTGCCACCTTGCAGCTCCTATGAGTAATGCTGCTGTAAATTACAAGTTTCTAGGTGAACATATGTTTTCATTTATTATGAGTATATACTATGGAGTGGAAGTGTTGGGTCATTTGGTAAGTCTACATTTAATTGAGGAACCGCCAGACTATTTTCCAAAGGGCTTCACCATTTTACATATCCATCAGCAGTGTTCTGAGGGTTATATTTTCTCCACATCATTACCAACCCTTGTTGACTAGCCATCCTAGCTGTTGTGAGAAATGGTATGTCATTGTGATTTTCATTTGCATTTTCCTAAACACACATTTCTTGAGATTTTTGGCCATTTGTATAAAATTTTTGGAAAACAATCTCTATTCAGAACCTTTGTTCATTTTTAAAAAATTATTTTTAATTTTTCTGGGTCCATGGTGAGAGTCTATACTTATGGGGTACATGAGATATTTTGATACAGGCATGCAATGTGTGGTAATCATATCATGGAAAATAGGGTATCCATCCTCTCAATCATTTATCCTTTCTGTTATAAACAGTCCAATTATATTCTTACAGTTATTTTTAAATGTACAATTACTTTTTTAAATTTTACTTTAAGTTCTGGGATACATGTGCTGAATGTGCATGTTTGTTACATATGTATACATGTACCATTGTGGTTTGCTGCACCTAACAACCTGTCAACTAGGTTTTAAGCCCCACATGCATTAGGTATTGGTCCCAATGCTCTCCCTCCCCTTTAACCCCACCCTCCCCCGACAGACCCTGGTGTATGATGTTCCCCTCCCTGTGTCCATGTGTTTTCATTTTTCAGCTCCCACTTATGAGGGACAACATGCAGTGTTTGGTCTTCTGTTCCTGTATTAGTTTGCTGAGGATGATGGTTTCCAGCTTCATCTATGTCCCTGCAAAGGAGATGAACTCATTCTTTTTATGGCTGCATAGTATTCTATGGTGTATATGTGCCACATTTTCTTTATCCAGTCTATCATTGATGGACATTTGGGTTGGTTCCAAGTCTTTGCTATTGTAAATACTGCTGCAATAAACATATGTGTGCATGTGTCTTTAGACAGAAATGGGATTGCTGGATCAAATGGTATTTCTGGTTCTAGATCCTTGAGGAATCACCACACCATATTCCACAATGATTGCACTAATTTACACTCCCACCAACAGTGTAAAAGCATTCCTATTTCTCCACATCCTTGTCAGCATCTGTTGTTTCCAGATTTTTTAATAATTGCCATTCTAACTGGCATGAGATGGTATCTCATTGTAGTTTTGATTTGCATTTCTCTAATGAGCAGTGATGATGAGCTTTTATCATATGTTTGTTGGCTGCATAAGTGCCTTCTTTTGAGAAATGTCTGTTCATATCATTTGCCCACTTTTTGATTTTTTTTTTAATTATTATACTTTAAGTTCTAGGATACATGTGCAGAACGTGCAGGTTTGTTACATAGGTATACACGTGCCATGGTGGTTTGCTGCACCCATCAACCCATCATCTACATTAGGCATTTCTCCTAATGCTATTCCTCCCCTGGCCTGCCATCCCCTGACAGGTCCCAGTGTGTGATGTTCCCCTCCCTGTTTCCAGGTGTTCTCATTGTTCAACTCCCACTTACGAGTGAGAACATTCAGTGTTTGGTTTTCTGTTCATGTGTTAGTTTGCTGATATTGATGGTTTCCAGCTTCATCCATGTCCCTGCAAAGGACAGGAATTCATCCTTTTTTATGGCTGCATAGTATTCCATGGTGTATATGTGCCACATTTTCTTTATCCAGTCAATCATTGATGGACATTTGGGTTGGTACCAAGTCTTTGCTATTGTGAACATTGCTGCAAAAACATACATGTGCATGTTTCTTTATAGTAGAATGATTTATAATCCTTTGGGTATATACCCAGTAATGGGATTGCTGGGTCAAATGATATTTCTGGTTCTAGATCCTTGAGGAATTGCCACACTGTCTTCCACAATGGTTGAACTTATTTACACTTCCACCAACAGTGTAAAAGCAATGCTATTTCTCCACATTCTCTCCAGCTTCTGTTGTTACCTGGTTGTTTATTTTTACTTGTAAATTTGTTTAAATTCCTTGTAGATTCTGGATATTAGACATTTGTCAGATGGATAGATGGCAAAAATTTTCTCCCATTCTGTAGGTTGCTTGCTCACTCTGATGATATTTTCTTTTCCTGAGCAGAAGATCTTTACATTAATTAGATCCCATTTGTCAATTTTGGGTTTTGTTGTAATTGTATTTGGTGTTTTAGTCATAAACTCTTTGCCCATGCATATGTTCTGAATGTTACTGCCTAGGTTTTCTTCAAGGGTTTTTATCATTTTAGGTTTTACATGTAAGTCTTTAATCCATCTTGAGTTAATTTTTGTATAAAGTGTTAAAAAGTATTCCAATTTCTGTTTTCTGCATATGGCTAGCCAGTTTTCTCAGCATCATTTGTTAAATGGGGAATCCTTTCCCCATTTCTTGTTTTTGTCAGGTTTGCCAAAGATCAGAAGGTTGTAGATGTGTGGCATTATTTCTTGGGCTTCTGTTCTGATCCATTGGTCTATATTTCTGTTTTTGTATTAATACCATGCTGTTTTGGTTACCATAGCTTTGTAGTACAGTTTGAAGTCAGGTAGCATGATGCCTCCAGGTTTGTTCTTTTTGCTTAGGATTGTCTTGACTATACGGGCTATTTTTTGGTTCCGTAAGAAATTAAAAGTAGTTTTTCTAGTTCTGTAAAGAAAGCCAATGTTAGCTTGATGGGAATAGCATTGAATCTACAAATTACCTTGGGTGTATGGCCATTTTCATGATATTGATTCTTCCTATCTTTAGGAATGGAATGTTTTTCCATTTATTTGTGTCCTCTCTTATTTTCTTGAGTAGTGGTTTGTAGTTCTCCTTGAAGATTTCCTTCACATCCCTTGTAAGTTGTATTCTAGGTATTTTATTCTCTTTGTAGCAATTGTTAATGGGAGTTCACTCATGATTTGGCTCTCTGTTTGTCCATTATTGGTGTATAGGACTTCTTGTGATTTTTCCACATTGATTTTCTAACCTGAGACTTTGCTGAAGTTGCTGATCAGCTTAAGGAGATTTTGGGCTGAGACAATGGGGTTTTCTAAATATACAATCTTGTCATCTGCAAACAGAGACAATTTGACTTCCTGTTTTCCTATTTGAATGCCCTTTATTTCTTTCTGTTGCTCTGGCCAGAACTTCCAATACTATGTTGAATGGGAGTAGTGAGAGAGGGCATCCTTGTCTTGTGCCAGTTTGCAAAGGGAATACTTCCATGTTTTGCCCATTCAGTATATTGGCTGTGGGTTTGTCATAAAGAGCTCTTATTATTTTGAGATATGTTCCATCAATACCTAGTTTATCGAGAATTTTTAGCATGAAGGGTTATTGAATATTATCAAAGGCATTTTCTGTATCTATTGACATAATCCTGTGAATTTTGCCATTGGACTTATTTCTGTGACGGATTACATTTATTGATTTGTGTATGTTGAACCAGCCTTGCATCCCAGGGATGAAGCTGACTTGATCATGGTGGATAAGCTTTTTGATGTGCTGCTGGATTTGGCTTGCCAGTATTTCATTGAGGATTTTTGCATCGATGTTCATGAGTAATTTGGGTCTGAAATTTCCTTTTTTTGTTTGTCTCTGCCAGGTTTTGGTATCAGGATGATGAGTTATGGAGGAGTCCCTCTTTTTCTATTGTTTGGAATAGTTTCAGAAGGAATGGTACCAGCTCCTCTTTGTACATCTGGTAGAATTCAACTGTGAATCCATCTGGTCCTGGGCTTTTTTGGGGTTGGTAGGCTATTAATTACTGCCTCAGTTTCAGAACATGTTATTGGTCTATTCAGGCATTTAATTTCTTTCTGGTTTAGTCTTGGGAGGGTGTATGTGTCCAGGAATGTATCCTTTTCTTCTAGATTTATTTGCATAAAGGTATTTGCATAGAGGTATTTATATTATTCTCTGATGGTAGTTCGTATTTCTGTAGGATCAGTGGTGATATCCCCTTTATCATTTTTATTGTGTCTATTTGATTCTTCTCTCTTTTATTCTTTATTAGTCTGGCTAGCGGTCTATCTATTGTGTTAATCTTGTCAAAAAACCAGGTCCTGAATTCATTGACTTTTTTGAAGAGTTTTTCATGTCTCGATCTCTTTCAGTTCTGCTCTGATCTTAGCAATTTCTTGTCTTCTGTTGGCTTTTGAATTTGTTTGCTCTTGCTTCTCTAGTTCTTTTAATTGTGATGTTAGCTTGTTGATTTTAGATCTTTCCCGCTTTCTGATGTGGGCATTTAGTGCTATACATTTCTGTCTAACCACTGCTTTGGCTGTATCCCAGAAATTCTGATACATTGTCTTTGTTCTCATTGGTTTCAAAAAACTTTGTTATTTCTCCCTTAATTTCGTTATTTACCCAGTAGTTATTCAGAACAAGGTTGTTCAGTTTCCATGTAGTTGTGTGGTTTGAGTGAGTTTCTTAATTCTGAGTTCTAATTTTATTGCACTGTGATCTGAGAGCCTGTTTGTTATGATTTCTGTTCTTTTCCATTTGCTGACGAGTGTTTTGCTTCCAATTATGTGGTTGATTTTAGAATAAGTGCTATGTGGTGCTGAGAAGAATATATATTCTGTTGATTTGGGATGGAGAGTTCTGTAGATATCTGTTAGGTGCTCTTGGTCCAGAGCTGAGTTCAAGTCCTGAATATCCTTGTTAATTTTCTGTCTCCTTGATCTGTCTAATATTGACAGTGGGGTATTTAAGCCTCCCTTTATTATTGTGTGGGAGTCTAAGTCCCTTTGTAGGTCTCTAAGAACTTGTTTTATAAAACTGGTTACTCCTGTATTGGGTGCATATATATTTAGGATAGTTAGCTCTTTGTGTGCATTGATTCCTCTACAATTATGTAATGCCCTTCTTTGTCTTTTTTGATCTTTGTTGGTTTAAAGTCTGTTTTATCAGAGACTAGGATTGCAACCCCTGCTTTTTTTTTTTGCTTTTTTTTTTTTTCTGTTTTCCATTAACTTGGTAAATATTTTTTACCATCCTTTTATTTTGAGCCTATGTGTGTCTTGGCATGTGAGATGGGTCTCCTGAATACAGCACACCAATTGATCTTGACTTTTTATCCAATTTGCCAGTCTGTGTCTTTTAATTGGGGGCATTTAGTCCATTTACGTTTAAGGTTAATATTGTTATGTGTGAATTTGATCCTGTCTTCATGATTCTAGACGGTTATTTTGCACATTCGTTGATGTGGTTTCTTCATAGTGTCATTGGTCTTTATATTTTGGTGTGTTTCTGCAGTGGCTGGTACTGGTTTTTCCTTTCCATATTTAGTGCTTTCTTCAGTAGCTCTTGCAAGACAGGCCTGGTGGTGATGAAATCCCTCAGCATTTGCTTGTCTGTAAAGGATTTTATTTGTCCTTCACTTATGAAGCTTAGTTTGGCTGGATATTAAATTCTGGGTTGAAAATTCTTTTCTTTAAGAATGTTGAATATTGCCCTCTCCACTCTCTTCTGGCTTGTAGGTTTTCTGCAGAGAAATCCACTGTTAGTCTGATGGGCTTCCCTTTGTAAGTAATCTGACATTTCTCTCTGGCTGCCCTTAACATTTTTTCCTTTGTTTCAACCTTGGAGAATCTGACCATTATGTGTCTTGGGGTAGCACTTCTCAAAAAGTATCTTAAGGTGTTCTCTGTAGTCCCTGAATTTGAATTTGTCCTGTCTTGCTATGTCGGGGAAGTTCTTCTGGATGATATCCTGAAGTGTGTCTTCCAATTTGGTTCCATTCTCCCCATCACTTTCAAGGAACCCAATCAATCATAGATTTGGTCTTTTCACCTAGTCCCATATTTTTTGGAGACTTTATTTGTTCCTTTTCAGTCTCTTTTTCTCTAATCTTGTCTTTACACCTCATTTCAGTAATTTGATCTTCAGTCTCTGATATTCTTTCTTCTGCTTGATCGATTTGGCTGTTGATACTTTTGTATCCTTCATGAAGTTTTCATGCTGTGTTTTTCAGCTCCATCAGGTCATTTATATTCTACTCTAAACTGGTTATTCTAATTAGCAGTTCCTGTAGCCTTTTGTCAAGGATCTTAGTTTCCTTGCATCGGGTTAGAACATGCTCCTTTAGCTCAGAGGACTTTGTTATTACCCATCTTGAGAAGCCTACCTCTGTCAGTTCATCAAACTCATTCTCTGTCCAATTTTGTGCCCTTGCTGGAGAACAGCTGTGATCATTTGGAGAGGTGGCTTTCAGGTTTTTGGAATTTTCAGCATTTTTGTGCTGGTTTTTCCTCATCTTCATGGATTTATCTACCTTTGATCTTTGAGGTTGATGACCTTTTGATGGGGTTTATGAGTGGGGGTTCTTTTTTGTTGATGGCCCTTCTTCTGCAGGTCTGCTGTAGTTTGCTGGAGGTCCACTCCAGACCCTATTTGCCTGGATATCACCAGTGGAGGCTGCAGAATAGCAAAGATTCCCACCTGCTCCTTCCTCTGGAAGCTTTGTCCTAGAGGGGCACCAACCTGATGCCAGCCAGAGCTCTCCTGCATGAGGTGTCTGTCAACCCCTTTTGGGAGGTCTCTCCCAGTCAGGAGGCACAGGAGTCAGGGACCCACTTGAGAAGGCAGTCTGTTCCTTAGCAGAGCTCTAGTGCTGTGCTGGTTGAACCCTCCTTTTCAGGATCTGCTGATCTCTTCAGAGCTGGCAGGCAGGAACATTTAAGTCCACTGAAGATACACCCACAACAGCCCCTTTCCCCAGGTGCTCTGTCCCAGTGAGATGGGAGTTTTATCTATAAGCCTTTGACTGGGCCTGCTGCCTTTCTTTCAGAGATGCCGTGCCCAGTGAAGAGGAATCTAGAGAGTCAGTCTGGCCACAGCTACTTTGCCACACTATGTTCGGTTCTGCCCAGTCCTTAGTACTGTGAGGGGAAAACCGCCTATTCAAGCCTTAGTAATAGCAGACACCCCTCCCCACACCAAGCTTGATTATCCCAGGTCGACTTCAGACTGCTGTACTGGCAGTGAGAATTTGAAGCTGGTGGTTCTTAGCTTGCTGGGTTCTGTGGGAGTGGGACCCACTGAGCAAGACCACTTGGCTCCCTGGCTTCAGTCACCTTTCTAGGGGAGTGAACGGTTCTGTCTCACTGGGGTTCCAGGCACCACTAGGGTATGAAAAAAAAAATCTCCTGGCCAGGTGCAGTGGCTCATTCCTGTAATCCTAGCACTTTGGGAGGCTGAGGCAGGCGGACTACGAGGTCAGGAGATTGAGACCATCCTGGTTAACACGGTGAAACCCCATCTCTACTAAAAATACAAAAAATTAGCCAGACATGGTGGCAAGCACCTGTAGTCCCAGCTACTTTGGAGGCTGAGGCAGGAGAATGGCATGAACCTGGGAGGTGGAGCTTGCAGTGAGCCGAGATCACGCCACTGCACTCCAACCTAGGTGACAGAGTCAGACTCCATCAAAAAAAAAAAATCTCCTGCAGCTAGCTCATTGTCTGCCCAAACAACCACCCAGTTTTGGGCTCAAAACACAGGGCCCTGGTGATATATGCACATAAGGGGATCTCCTGGTCTGCAAATTGCAAAAACCATGGGAAAAGCATAATATCTGGGCTGGATAGCACAGTCTCTCATGGCTTCCCTTGGCTTGGAAAGGCAGGTTCCCCTACTCCTTGCACTTCCTGTGTGAGGCGACACCCCACTCTGCTTCTGCTCACCCTCCATGGGCTGTACCCACTGCCTAACCAGTCCCAATGAGACAAACAGGGTACCTCAGTTGGAAATGCAGAAATCACCCATCTTTTGTGTTGGTCTCCCTAGGAGAGGCAGCTTGGAACTGTTCCTATCTGGCTGTCTTGCCAGCCAGCCCACAATTACATTATTTTGACTATAGTCACTCTGTTGTGCTATCAAATGCTAAGTCTTATTCATTCTTTTTATTTTTTTGTACCTATTAACCTTTGATACCACCCTTCCACCACCCCACTCTGTATTTTTTTTATTATTTAGAAATTTCAATAAGTTTTGGGAGTGTTTGCTTACATGGATAAGTTCTTTAGTGGTGATTTCTGAGATTTTGGTGCACCCATCACCTAAGCAGTGTACACTGTACCCAATGTGCAGTCTTTTATCCCTCACCCCCCTCCCACCCTTTCCCCCAAGTCCCAAAGTCCATTGTATCATTCTTTTTCTTTTCTTTTCTTTTCTTTTCTTTCTTTCTTTCTTTCTTTTTTTTTTTTTTTTTTGAGATGGAGTGGAGTCTAGCTCTGTCTCCCAGGCTGGAGTGCAGTGGCCCTATTTGGCTCACTGCAAGCTCTGCCTCCTGGGTTCATGCCATTCTCCTGCCTCAGCCTCTCGAGTAGCTGGGACTACAGGCGCCTGCCACCAAGCCAGGATAATTTTTTTGTACTTTTAATAGAGACGGGGTTTCACTCTGTGTTAGCCAGGATGATCTCAATCTCCTGACCTCGTGATCCACCCGCCTCAGCCTCCTGAAGTGCTGGGATTACGGGTGTGAGCCACTGTGCCTGGCCTCATTGTATCATTCTTATACCTTTGCATGTGCATAGCTTATGAGTGAGAACATATGACGTTTGGTTTTCTATTCCTGAGTTACTTCACTTGTTTTGGTGACTATGGCCTTATAGTATAGTTTGAAGTTGGGTAATGTGATACCTCCAGGTCTGTTCCTTTTCCCTTATTCTTGCTTTGGCTATGTAGGGTCTTCTTTGGTTAAATATGAATTTTAAGATTGTGTTTTCTAGTTCTGTCAATAATAATAGTGGTATTTTTATGGGAACTGCATTGAATTTGTAGGTTGCCTTTGGCAGTATGATCATTTTTCACACTACTGATTCTATCCATCCATGAGCATGGGATATGTTTCCCTTTGTTTGTGTCATCAAAGGAAAGCCCAAGACCTGATTGAATTAGTGTTGAACTCTACCAAATATTTAAGGATGAATAAATAGCAATTCTTTCCAAATTCTTTTAAAAAATTGAAGAAAAGGAAACATTTTCCAACTCATTTTATGAGGCTAGCATTAGCCTGATACCAAAGCCAGATGAGGATACCATAGGAAAAGTAAACTACAGAATAATATTTCTGCTGAACATAGGCAAAAATTCTCAATAAAATGCTAGAAACCCTAATTCAACAAGACATTAAAAGGATAATTCACCATGATCAAGTGTGATTCATCCCTGGGATGGAAGAATAGTTTAATAAGTGCAAATTAATGAATGTGATATACCACATTAATGGAATGAAGGATAAAAATGATATGACCATCTCAATAGATGCAAAGAAAGCATTCAACAAAAGTCAACATTTCTTTCATTAGAATAACTCTCAAAATTAGGTGTAGAAGGAATGTATCTCAATATGATAAAGGCCATATATGAGGGGTCTTCAAAAGTTTATTGAAAATGCGTATAATGAAATAATTATGCATGGATTTCAAAACTCATTTGCACCAAAGTAAACTCTAACTTGTTATAAAATGTCTGAACAGGATCTAGCTTGAGATATTAAGAAGAATAAAATATCAGTTTGAAAAAAACCTCCACCAAAGCAACTCGAATTCTGTCAAAATTGAAGCAAAAAGAAATATTAAATTTATGGTGAAGGTTGGGTGGCAGAATGATGAAATAACTTATGTTTTATAAAGAGCTTATGGAGACAGTCCCCCTAAGAAATGAGCAGCTTACAAATGGATGATTTGTTTTAAGAAAGGAGCACATGATGCTGAAAATGAAGCTCACATTTGCAGATCCTCCAACATCAATTTTTGAGGAAAATGTCTTGCTTATGCCCTAATTGAAGAAGACTGACAATTAACAGTAGAAGCAGTAGCCAACACCATAGATAGCTCAATAAGTTCAGATGAGACAATTCTGACTGAAGAATTAAGGTTGAGCAAACTTTCCAGTTAATGGGTCCCAAAACAATTGCACCCAGAAAGAAAGAACCAACCCAGATGCCCATCAATGTTAGACTGTGTAAAGAAAATATGGCACATATACACCATGGAATACTATGCAGCCATAAATAAGAATAAGTTCATGTCCTTTGCAGGGACATGGATGAAGCTGGAAACCAAAAATTCTCAGCAAACTAACACAGGAACAGAAAACTAAATACTGCATGTTTTCATTCATAAGTGGGAGTTGAACAGCGAGAACACATGGACACAGGAAGGGGAACATCACACACCAGGGCCTGTCGGGCAGTGGGGGGGCAAAGGGAGGGATTAAGTCATACACCCAATGCATGTGGGGCTTAAAACCCGGATTATGGCTTGATGGGTACAGCAAACCACCATGGTACATGTATACTTATGTAACAAACCCACATGTTTTGCACATGTATCCTAGATCTTAAAGTATAATAAAAAAAAACCCTCAACGTTCCTGATTATTAGAAAAAATCCAAATCAAAACCACATCATGGTACCATCTCACACCAATCAAAATGGCTATCATTAAAAAGTCAAAAAATAACAGGTGCTGGCAAGGTTATGGGGGAAAATGATTACTTATACACTGTTGGTTGCAGTGTAAATTAGTTTAATCACAGTGGAAAAACTTGATGAAGACCTAAAAACAGAACTGCCATTCAACCCAGCAACCTCATTACTGGGTACATACCCAAAGGAATATAAATTATTTTTTTGTAAAGACACATGCATATGTATTTGCATTGCAGCTCTATTCACAATAGCAAAGATATGAATTCAACCTAAATACCCATCAATGATAGACTGGATAAAGAAAATGTGGTACACATACACCATGAAATATTATGCATCCATTAAAAATGAAATTATGTCCTTTGCAGTAACATGGATAGAACTGAAGGCCATTATCCTTAGCAAACTAATGCAGGAACAGAAAGTCAAATACCACATGTTCTTGCTTATACATGGGAGCTAAATGATGAGAATGTATGGACTATACAAATACATGGAAATTAAACAATATCTCCCGAATGACCAGTGGGTCAATGAAATTAAGAAAGACATTGAAACTTTCTTGAAATAAATAATAGTGAAAACACAACATACCAAAACCTATGGGATACAGCAAAAGCAATACTAAGAGATGTTTAGAGCTATATGTGCCTAAATCAAAAAAAGAGAAAACACTTCAAATAAAAAATCTAATGATGCATCTTAAAGAACTAGAAAAGCAGGAAAAAAGCTAACTCAAATTTAGCAGAAGAGAAAAAATAATAAAGATCAGAGAAGAAATAAATAAAATTGAAAGAATACAAAGATAAATGAAACAAAAAGTTGGTTTTTGGAGAATTTAGTCAAAATTGACGAACTTTTAGCCAGACTGTATTTGTCCATTCTCACATTGCTATAAGAAATGCCTGCAACTGGCAAATTTATAAGGAAAATATGTTTAATTGGCTCATGGTTCCACAAGCTGTACAGGAAGCATAATGCTGGCATCTGCTTGGCTTCTTGGGAGGTCTCAGGAAACTTACAATCATGGCAGAAGGTGAAGGGGGAAAGGCCAATCTCACCTGGCTTGAGTGGGAGGGTTGGGTTGCCACACACTTTTTAAAAACCAGATCTTGGGAGAACTCTATTATGAGAACAGAAACAAAGGAGGAAATCAACACCCATGATCCAATTACCTTCAATCAGGCTCCACCTCCAACACTGGGGCTACAAATTCACATGAGATTTGGGTGGGGACACAGATCCAGAACATACCATAGATGAACTAACAAAAAAGAGAGAAAATCCAAATAAATAAAATCAGAAATGAAAAAGGAGACATTACAACAGATAGTGCAGAAATGCAAAGGATCATTAGTGGCTACCATGAGCAACTATATGCCAATAAATTAGAAAATCTAGAAGAAATTGACAAATTCCTAGATATGTACAATCTACCAATATTGAAGTAGGAAGAAATTTAAAACCTGAGCAGACCAATTACAAGTAACAAGATTGAAACCATAATAAAAAGCCTCCCAGTAAAGAAAAGTCTGGTACCTCATGACTTCACTGCCAAATTCTACCAAAAATTTAAGGAAGAGCTAATATCAATCCTACTAAAACAATTTAAAAAATGGTCTAGGAGGAAATAATTCAAAACCCACTTTACAAGGCCAGTATTACCCTAATACCAAAACCAGACAAAGACACATCAGAAAAAAAAAACAAAACCTACAGGCCTATATCTCTCCTGAATATTGATGCAAAAATTTGTGACATGATACTAGCAAACTAAATTCAGCACTACATTAAAAAAAGCATTTATCATGACCAAGTGGGATTTATCCCTGGGATGCAAGGATGGTTCAACATACCCAAATCAATCAATGTGATACATCATGTCAACACAATGAAAAATAAAAACCATATAAATTTTTAAACTGATGCTGGAAAAGTATTTGATAAAAATTCAACATCATTTCATGGTAAAAAAAAATCCCTCAATAAACTACGTATGGAAGGAACATAACTCAACATAATAAAATCATTTATGACACACCCACAGCCAGTATCACTCAGAATTGGGAAAAACTGAAAGCCTTTTCTCTAAGATCTGGAACAAGACAAGGATGCCCACTTTCCTAATGGTTATTCAACATAGAACTGGAAGTCCTAGCAATTAGACAAGAGAAAAAATAAAGAACATCCAAATTGGAATAGAAGAAGTCAAATTATCCTTGTTTGCAGATGATGTAGTCTTATATTTTGAAAAACTAAAGACCTTTTTGTTAGAACAATTTGTTTATTAGAACTGATAAACAAATTCAGTGTAGCTGCAGGATAGAAAATCAATATAAAATATCAGTAACATTTCTGTATTTCAACAGTGATCAGTCTGAAAAAGAAATCAAAAAAGTAAACCCATATACAATAGCCACAAATAAAATTAAATATCTAGGAATTAATTTAACCAAAGAAGTAAAAGATCTCTTTAAGGAAAACTATAAAACACTGATGAAAGAAATTAAAGAGGACACCAAAAATGAAAAAGTGTTCCATGTTCATGGATTGGAATAATCAATAATTTTTAAATGTCCATACTGCCCAAAGCTATCTACAGATTCAATGCAATCCCTATCAAAATACCAATGACATACTACACAGAAATAGAAAAAACAATCTTAAAATTTATATGGAACCACAAAGACCCAGAATAGCCAAAGCTATCATAAGCAAAAAGAACAAAACTGAAGGAATCACAGTACCTGACTTCAAATTATACCATACAACACAGATAAAGTAACCAAAACAGCATAGTACTGGCATAGAAACAGATACATAGACCAATGAAACAGAATAGAGAACTCCGAAAAAAATCCGCACGCCTACAATGAACTCATTTTGACAAAGATACCAAGAACATACACTGGGGAAAACAGTCTCCTCCATAAATAGTGCTGGGAAAACTGGATACTCATATGTAGAAGAATGAAACTAGATTCCTATCTCTTGCCATATACAAAAATCCAATCAAAATGGATTAAAGACTTAAATCTAAGACCTCAGACTATGAAACTACTACCATAAAACATTGGGAAAAATCTCCGGGTCATTGGTCCGGGCAAAAATTTCTTGAGCAATACCCCCCAAGTAGAGTCAACCACAGGGAAAATGGACAAATGAGACCATATCAAGTTAAAAAGCTTCTGCACAGCAAAGAAAACTACCAAAAAAGGGAAGAGACAACCCACAGAATAGGAGCAAATATTTGCAAACTCCCCTTCTGACAAGGAATTAACAACCAGAATATATAAGGAGCTCAAACAACTCTACAGGAAAAAATCTAATAATTCTATCAAAAATAGGCAAGAATTTTGAATAGATAGACATTTCTCAAAAAAAGACATACAGATGGCTAGCAAGCATATGAAAAGGTGCTTAACATCACTAATCATTAGAGAAATGCAATTCAAAACCACAATGAGTTATTATCTCTTCCCAGTTAAAATGACTTATACCCAAAAGACAGGCAATAGTAATGCGGTGAGGACGTGGAGAAAAGGGATCCCTCGTCCACTGTTGGTGGGAACGTAAATTAGTACAACCCCTATGGAAAACAGTCTAGAAATTCCTCAAAAAAGCTAAAAATAGAGCTATCATATGATCCAACAAGCCCAATATTGGGTATATACCTCCCAAAAAGGAAATCAGCATATTGAAGAGATAAATATACTCCCATGTTTGTTGCAGCACTTTTCACAGTAACTAAGATTTGAAAGCAACCTAAGTGTCCATCACAGATGAATAGATAAAGAAAACGTGGTACATATACACAACGGAGTAGTATTCAGCCATAAAAAGGACATCCTGTCATTTGCAACAACAGGGATGGAACTGAAGATTGTTATGTTAAGTGAAATAAGCAAGACACAGAAAGACAAACATCGCATGTTCTTACTTACTTATGGGATCTGAAAATCGAAACAATTGAACTTATGGACATAGAATAGAAGGATGGCTACCAGAGTCTGGGAAGGGAGCATTGGAGTGGATGTGGGGAAGGTTAATGGCTATAAAAAGTAGTTAGAAATAATGAATAAGGCTTACTATTTGATAGAACAACAGGGTGACTATAGTCAATAATAACTGAATTGTACATTTTAAAATAATTAGAAGGAGTAATTTGATTTTTTATAAACAGAAAGGATAAATACTTGAGGGAATGTTACACCCCTTTTTCCATGATAGGATTATTTCACATGGCATGACTGTATCAACACATCTCATGTACCCCATAAATATATACACCTACTGTGTATCCACAAAAATTAAAAATCAAAAATCAAAAAAAGTTTTTAAGAAAGGAAATCCTGCCACTTGTGATAACATATATAAAACTGGAGAACATTATGTTAAATGAAATAAGCCAGACAGAGAAAGAAAAATACACTTTTATATGGAATCAAAAAAATTCAAACTCATAGAGGCAGAGAGTAGAATGGTGATTTCCAGGGGCTGCAGGTATAGGGAGAGGTTGGTTAAAGTGTACAAACTTTCCTGTGTTAAGATGAATAAGTACCAGAAACCTAATTTACAGCATGGTATATATAGTTAATGTATAATATGCTCAAAATTTGCTAACAGAGTAGATCTGAAATATTCTCACCACAAAAAGGTAGTTATGTGAGATGATGGATATGTTAATTAGCTTGATTGTGGCAACCATTTCACAATGTGTATATATATATATATATATATATATATATATATAAACATCACATTACACAGTTTAAACGTATACACTTTTAATTTGTCAATCACATCTGAATAAAGTTGTGTGCAGGAAAAAATAAAACTATTCTAGACTCATCTCACAAATTTGGAGTCCTGAATGGATTGAGCTGATATGCAAGTAGTCCGATTGTCTTCCAGAAATCTATCCAGCAATCTTTAAATGAAGGCAAGCAAATGCAGTGTTCAACAGTGTAACATCACAATTCCAGCCTCCAACAAAAATATTAGACACGCAAAGTAGCTGGAAAATATAGGCATAACTATGAGAATAATCAGTCCATAAAAACAGACCTAGAAATAACAGATATGATGGAATTAGAAGAGAATAAATATAAAACAGCTATTATAAATATGCTCTGTGGTTTAGAGAAACATGTCAACATAATGAAAAAGTAAATGGAATTATTAAATAGGAAACAAATGGAAACTCTATTGCTGAAATATGCAATATCTGAAAAGTTAAATAGATGGGTAATAGCAGATTAGGTACCACAAAAGAAAAATAACAAACCCAAAGACATAGCAATAAAAACTTTTTTAAATGAAGCATGGAGCAAAAAAAGACTGCAATAGAATGAATCAAGGGAAGTTCATAGCCGATTAGTTTGAAGGAGATGTGTAAACAAAGGGTAGAGTGGCTTTGATTATGAGAAAAAGTTCAATGTGATTAGAACATAGAGTGAAAAAAAGTGGTGGATGATGAGGTTGTAAAATTAGCTTAGGGTGTACCAGAAAAACCTTGTATGCTATGCTAAGGATTTTGAAACTTATACTATGGACAATGGAAAAACGACCTAACCTTTTGGAGCGAGTGCTTGACATAATCAGTTGTGATTTCAAAAAGTTAAATTTGGATTGATTATAGACAGGAGATATCAAAGTCAGGGAGATAATCTGTTAGGCTTTTGGAGAAGTCAGGGTGAAATAAGACAAGAGCCAAACTTGGGCAATGGACAAAACGAAGGCAAATTCATAAAGCTTTCAAATAGAACTGATACAATTTGGTGCCAAAATTTTGAGGAGTACAGAAAAAAGAATGAGGAAGTGGAAGCAGAGGAGAAGGGTTTTCAGGTTTCTGCTTTGAGCAAACAGGGGAATACTGATACTCTTCTCTGAGATGGAATGCTGAATGAACACCAGTTTGGGGATACAGTTTTGGACATGCTAAGTTTGCAGTTTCTGTGGAACATCCAGGCAGAGGAAAGCCCTGGAGATAAGATGGAATTAGGCATCATCCAAGAACATATGGTGATACAGTGGTTGAATCATTGAAGAAGATGATGAGGAGGTGGAAAATATCTAGATTTATATGAGAAGACAATCAAAGCAGAAAATATTGGTAACACCAACATGTAATGGACAGATGAAGAAAAAAAACTAGTCAGAGAGGTCGAAGAACTAAGAGAGATTAATATTGTGGAAACCAAGAATGAGAGTTTCCAGATGAGAGTGATAAAGAGTGTTAAATATTGCCAAAGGTCAAGTCATTTATCCCACTTGAGGAAGAGAGGTCAATTGATCAGGTTTAATTATTCATTAGTGCCTCTAGAGAGAATGGTTTCAGTAAAGGTAAAAGCAGACATTATATTGCAGTGAATGAATAACAAGTCAGAGACAAAGAAATAGAGCCACTGAGGGCAAAGTGCTCTTTCAAGAAGTTTAGCTGTGGAGAAAATTAAGGAAATATGGTTATAGGTTATAGCTTGTGGGAGAGGAACTCTTGAGGGTAGGTGATTTTTTTAAGATGCAGAGGATTTGATCACGTTTATAGGCAAATGAGGAAAAGCTAGTGGAAAAAGAGGTGTTAAAGACATATAACTCGGTGAGGAGGGATAATTGATGGAGTAGTGACTCTATGAAAGAAAATCACTAGTGGAATGATTTGTCTTGGAAAAGGTAAGGACATCTGCTTCTCTAAGTCAAGAGAAAAGAAATAAGTACAGGAAGGTTAGTTCAAAGCACTTCAAGATGGCTTTTAATTTCTCTGTAAAGGAAGCATGATGATCTACTGAGAAGTGTATATTTAGGAACTTTGAGAAGAGTGGAAGTAATTGCTGTGGCAAATATTAGTGACAGATGAAGAAAAGGAACGAATTGGAAAAAAGCAAAAGTTTGGTTAGCAATTTTGAGAGTACACGTGAAGTTGAAAATCTTAACCTTGGAAATGACGGTTATCAGTGTGCTTATGCGATTTTCTGCAGTAGCACTCTGCAACCCAGAATTAAAAGTAAATAAATGGATCTTTATGTTCATCTGGTATAGGAAAATTGCAAAGCATGGGTGGTGGAAAGATAAGCAGATGAGGAAATAATAGGTGAGGGCACAATAAACTAGTGGTAATTATGCCCCAGATTCACATTGATCAACATGAAGCCAGCAGGGACTGAGAGAAGAGGGACTTTGAAAATAGAGAAGTGTCAAGGATTAGGAATTTTCAGTGATGTTAAAGAACCAATTTAGTGGGAGTAAGGAAATTTGAGAGGAGGAATATTAAGATGTTTTGATCAGAGAGTGGAATATTGGAATCAAAGTTTCTGGAGGTAAAATACTATAAGAGGAGAAGATGTAAGATGCCGTTATTTGGTTGCTAACATAGAGTAGAGGTGATATTTATTGGAGGTGAATGAGCTCAAGAAATTGTAAGCCTATGTTGCTGAAGTTATCTGGTGAATTAGTCAAGGTAATTAAGGCTAGCTATAGCAACAAATAAACTCAGCTGATTAATACACAAAGGTTTGTTTCTATGCTCATGCAGAATCAGGCTCAACTTGGTAGGAGTTGTCATCCATCCAGTAACGTAGGATCCAGGCTTCTCTCGTCCTGAAATTCTGGTAATTCAACACATAGTTTCTAAGGTCACTGCAGCAGGGGAAGAGGAGACACGGAATAAATATACTGACCTTTAACTGCTTCAGCTTGGAAGTAGCATGTGATATTTCAGTTCACAGTTCACTGGTAAGTACAATTTAAATGGTCCCATTCTAATTGCAAGGACAGCTAGGAAATATAAGGCAATCAGTGAACTATTTGGTGAGTGTTAACTGTCTTTGCCACATTCCAGCGGGACTTGGGGTAGTGAGGAGCATTGTGAGTCAAGTGTCAAAGTTCTGGATGAATATGTGTGTGGTCCATCTTGGAAGGAAGAAGAGGCAACCAAAAGGATGGGGAGGTGGTATATCAAGAATGGTTTTAAAAGATAAAACAATTTTGAGTAAGGGTTAAAGAAATATAATCTAGAAATTTCTATGGGGAATTTAAGAAAATGCTATCCTGTGTCCAGATCCCCCATTCTGGGTTGGGAAATAGTGTGGAATATGGCTGGAAATGTGAACTGCTACTATATTGTGGTAAGAATTGACACCAGATTAAATCTGTTGGCCTTTATCCTGGAAACAAAAGAATAAAATGACATTATAAAAGTGCATTGTAGGAAAATTATTTTGTCAATGGCATTCAGATTGCATTGAATGGGGTAGATACTGGAGGTGAGAAAACAATTAAGAGGTATGAGCTAATGGTGGTCACAGTAGGAATCCACTGTCACATGCAGGAGACACTAAGTGAGAAAATTCAGCAAGCTTTTATAACAAACAGTTGCTGCATATTTTAATTGCCTCCAGCAAATTCACAGAAGTACCAGAATGGCCTTGGAATGGGATGGGAGACAAAAGGGAGATAGATGAGATATGCCTAGAAGAGCTAACAAGGGTGGCCAGAAAGATTAAAGGTGAAGGAAAGAAATAAAGAAAGAGTCTGCAGAAAAGGACCAATGGACTCCAGGCACACATGGCCTATAAGTTGGGAGACAAAAGGCAGTGGTGATTAGCAGCAGCTGAAGGCCACACACGGGGTCTTCTGGCATCTAAGCCAGTGGTTAGAAACCTTTCAGATTTGTCTTGCCAAGTCAGTATTTATTCACTCTTAATTTCAGGATTTATATGCCAATAATATATATTTCCACTTAGAAATTTTCTGTACATCTAAAATCTCATTGCATATAAAATTATTTTTTGAAAGTTTCAAGATTAAGAAGCTGCATTTACAATATAATTATAAACCAGATTTAATGAGTGTCACTTATATCTTTTTCTGTTTTGACCTTTTTCCGTTACCCCAAGTTTCTGTGTATATTCGTATACTCAAAGCTACGGAGATATCTATCTCAAACTATTTGTATCCCAGCCCCACTCTTACTAGGTCCAGAACTATTATTACCACCTGCTGACTACAGCCCAAGAAGCCTTAGATAGGGCCAAAGGGGACCAGAGCCCACTCTCTGCTGAGCCTGAAGCTGCTTGGCCAGAAACACAAATGGTAGAGAAAAGTGCAGAGTGTTGTGGGAACACAAAGCAGGGAGTTCTGAAATGATTGCGTGATACAGGAAAAGGCCTCCATGAGATGTGAAAGGTAAGTAAGATATAGTGTGGAGGCTGAGAGCTGAAAAAAAAATACATGATGTGTTTTAAAAACTGAACAAAATTCAGGGCAACTGGAGTATATAGAACTGGAGGAGAGTGGTGTTAAGTGAGGCTGGAAAGGTGGGCAAGACTCAGAGCCTGAAGGGGAAGGCATAAAGAAGACATTCTTCTTAATGGTGTAAAATGCAAGCACAACAATTGTTATGTATTATTTTGGGCAATAATAAACTAGATACTGTTTTGAGTTTTTTTTTTTTTTCAGCTATTAGCTGTTTTAGTTCTTATTCCTACTCTATGAGATAGATGATATCATTACTCCCATTCTATAAATAAGAAAACTAGAGCATGAAGAGGTTAGGTAACTTGCCCAAGATAATACTGCAGCAGAACTAGGACTCAGTTTCAAGGTGTCTGGCTTCAGAATTTGTGCTCTAGAGCAATCCACAATACTGCCTTATGCCAATATAATGTGTCTCCTTGGAACAAAAAAAAAAAATCAAGCTTTTCTTTATAATTGTTTGTGGTAATAATTTAGAGACAAAGAAACTGTTCAGTATAAAACCACTGGACCCCAGAATACTCCATGGATGGCCAGAGGCCCAGGAAAATTCACCAAAAGGAGAAATGGTGCACACACACACACACACACAAATTAAATTTTCTTAAAAGTGATATTTGATTACTTCTGATCCTGGCAAAATGGAGTAGGCTTACTTTCCATTATTCCTTCCGCTTAAGTACAAGTAAAAACCCTGAACATTATACAGATGTTTCTCTACTTACAATGGGGTTATGTTCTGATAATCCCATCATAAGTTGAAAATATTGTAAGTCAAAAATGCATGGCTGACTGGCAACTGTGACTCACTACCACTGCCCAGCATCATGAGAGAAATACAGTTTCTACACAATGTGTGTCACTCTCACTCCATCTTAAAGTGGAAAATTCCCAAATGGAACCATCATAAGTTAGGAACCATCTGTCTATGAATCAAATAAGAAAAGGTTATGAAAGGTAGTAAGAAGAAGTCAGCCTGGCTAGTGACCTTGGGACCCAAGGAATGATATGATGTTGCATTCCCTGGGTTTTCTTTTTGCCTTGAGTGTCCTATATAAGGAACTGAAAAAGACTAAAAAGCAAACACCAACAGGTGGAAACAAAAATGTTCCTAACAAAAGCCTATTCTCTCTAGCCAAAGTATCAGGAAAGAGACAGGCTAGCAGGCCAGAAAACTTTTAGATAATAATGGCTCTACTCCAGTCAATCATCGCAGAACTATCTGTGGACCCATCCCCACCCATGCAAGTAAGGGACAAGTGGAGGGTCTATCACCCTCTCAGGGATGTAACTAGGCAGTATAACACCCTCAACAGGTTGGTGTCAAAGAAGGCAAAGTAATGAACTGAGACTTTTGTCACTGCCAACTGGTAACAAGGTTATCTTCCCAACACCCACGTCATCAGTGAAGACTACAGGGGAAACGTGGACTTCCACTGGCACCAAGCAGTAATGAGGTGTTTCTACTCTTCTCTGCTGCAGTGGTGTCAGAGGAAGCCTAGTGGAGAAGTAAGAGTTTTCTCCATTGACCAGCGGTAATAAGGCCACCTACACTCCATGGTGTCATTAGATGCAATATGGAGAACAGTAATGAGACCTGCTTACCTCTTTCAGCCAGGGAAGTATCACTGGAAGCTTAGTAGGGAACTGGAAATTCCACTCTGTCTAACACAAAGGAAAAGTCCATGCCACTTGTGTGTCAAAGGAAGCTGAGTGGGGAAACTGAACTTCTACTCCCGACCTGGCAGTAACAAGGTACTTTGCCAGAGAAGTGTCAGAAGAAACAAGCTAATTCAGAAAGTGTAAATAAGATCCAGAGTCTCAAATAGTAATACCCAATATGCCCGGGTTCCAATAAAAAACTACTCATTATATTAAGAAACAAGAAGTTATTAGATTGAATGAAAAAAAGAGAAAGGTGCCAACACCAAGATGACAGAGATACTAGAATTATCTGACAAATATTTTAAAGCAGTGCCATAAAGATGTGCATCACACAAAATTATTTATATGTTCAAAACAAATGAAAGCTTAGAGAGTGTTACCAAAGAAATAGAAAGCCTCAGCAAGACATAGAAGACATAAAGTAGAACCAAATGGAAATTTGAAAACTGGAAAATGTGATAATGTAAAAGAAACTACAGGTGACCTCAAGAGCAGAATGAAAGGGGCAGGGGAAACAATTAGTGAACCTGAAGAGAGAAAAATTGCCTTTGATAAAATTCAACATCCTTTCATGTTAAAAACTCTCAATAAACTAGGTATTGAAGAAACATATCTCAAAAATAGTAAGAGCTATTTATGACAACACCACAGCCAATATCATACTAAATGGGAAAAAGCTGAAAACATTCCCTTTGAAAACCAGCACATGACAAGGATGCCCTCTTCCACCACTCCTATTCAACATAGTATTGGAAGTTCTAGCCAGGACAATGAGGCAAGATAAAGAAATAAAGGGTATTAAAATAGGAAGAGAGGAAGTCAAATTCTCTGTTTGCAGATGACATAATTCTATATTTAGAAAACTCCATCATCTCAGCTGTAAAACTCCTTAAGCTGATAAGCAACTTTAGCAAAGTCTCAGGATACAAAATCAATGTGCAAAAATCACAAGCATTCCTATACACCAACAATAGACAAGTGGAGGGCCAAATCATGAATGAACTCCCATTCACAATTGCTACAAAGAGAATAAAATATCTAGGAATACAGCTAACGAGGGAAGTAAAGGAAAGCTTTAAGGAGAACTACAAACCACTGCTCAAGGAAATAAGAGAGGACACAAACCAATGGAAAAACATTCTATCCTCATGAGTAGGAAGAATCAATATTGTGAAAATGGTCACATTGCCCAAAGTAATTTATAGATTCAATGCTATTCCCATCAAACTACCATAGACATTCTTCACAGAATTGGAAAAAAACTACCTTAAATTTTATATGAAACCAAAAAAGAGACCATATAGCCAAGACAATCCTAATCAAAAAGAACAAAGCTGGAGGCATCACGCTACCTGACTTCAAACTATACTACAAGGCTACAGTAACAAAAACAGCATGGTACTGGTATCAAAACAGACATACAGACCCATGGGAAAGAACAGAGACCTCAGAAACAACACCACTTATCAACAACCATCTGATCTTTGAGAAAATGAACAAAAACAAGCAATGGGTAAAGGATTCCCTATTTAATAAATGTTGCTGGAAAAACTGGCTAGCCATATGCAGAAAACTGAAACTGGACCCCTTCCTTACACCTTATACAAAAATTAATTCAAGATGGGTTAAAGACTTAAATGTAAAACCCAAAGCCATAAAAACCCTAGAAGAAAACCTAGGCAATACCATTCAGGACATAGGCATAGTTCATGACAAAAACGCCAAAGGCAATGGCAACAAAAGCCAAAATTGACAAAAGGGATCTAATTAAACTAAAGCACTTCTGCACAGCAAAAGAAACCATCATCAGAGTGAATAGGCAACCTACAGAATGGGAGAACATTTTTGCAATCTACCCATCTGACAAAGGTCTAATATCCAGAATCTACAAGTAACTTTAACAAATTTACAGGGCAAAAACAACACAACCCCATCAATAAGTGGGCAAGGGATATAAACAGACACTTCTCCAAAGAGGACATTTACACAAACATATGAAAAAAAGCTCATCATCACTGATTATTAGAGAAATGTAAATCAAAACCACAATGAGATACCATCTCACACCAGTAAGCATGGCAATTATTAAAAAGTCAAGAAACAATAGATCCTGACAAGGCTGTGGAGAAACAGGAATGTTTTTACACTGTTGGTGGGAATGTGAGTTAGTTGAATCATTATGGAAGACGTGTGGCAATTCCTTAAGGATCTAGAACCAGAAATACCATTTGACCTAGTAATCCCATTACTGGGTGTATACCCAAAAGAATACAAATCATTCTACTCTAAAGACACATGCACACGTATGTTTATTGCAGCACTATTTACAATAGCAAAACCTGGAATCAATCCAAATGCCCATCAATGATAGACTTAATAAAGAAAATGTGGCACATATACACCCTGGAATACTAGGCAGCCATAAAAATGAATGAGATTGTGTCCTTTGCAGGGATATGAATGAAGCTGGAAGCCATCATCCTCAACAAACTAACACAGGAACAGAAAACCAAACACTGCATGTTCTTACTAATAAGTGGGAGTTGAACAATGAGAACACATAGACACAGGGAGGGGAACAACACACACTGGCACCAGTTGGGGGCTGGGGGATGAGCGGAGGGAGAGCATTAGGAGAAATAGCTAATGCATGCAGGGCTTAAAACCTAGATGACAGGTTGATAGGTGCACCAAACCACCATGGCACATGTATACCTATGTAACAAACACACACATTCTGCGCCTGTATCCTGGAACTTAAAGTATAATTAAAAGAAAGAAATCCACTCTAGTTAACAGCATTCTGATCAAGTCCACAGATATGAATGAGGGCCATAAAATAAATCAGATTTATCTATGAGAAAAAGAAGATGTAGAAAATACCAAATCTAAACAACAGAGAGAACATAGTCTAGAAAAAGAAAAGTGAATAGTCTCCGATCCAACATACATGTTACTGAGTGTCAGAGGAAAGAATAAAGAGGGCAGAACAGAAAAAAAAAACTATAAATAATGGCTGAAAACTTGCCAGATTTGGCAAAAGACATAAAACTACAGATTCAAGAAACCAACTGAACTCCAAATAAAAAAACAAAAATAATCCCCAGCAAGACACATCATAATCACACTTCTGAAAAATAAAGACAATGAAAGCATATTGGTAATAATGAGATAAATGACATCTTACTTGCAGGGACAAACAATTTGAATGACACATATTTTTCATAATAAATTATGGAGACCAGAAGGAAGTGACAGTATTTTTCAAGTGCTAAAAGAAATGAACTGTCAATCAAGATTCCTGTATTCAGTGAAAATACACTTCAGAAATCAAGGGAAAATTGAGATTTTCACATGAAGGAAAACTAAGAGAATTTGTTGCCAGCAGACCTACCCTAAAAGAATGACTAAAGGAAGCTCTCTATACAGCAAGGAAACAATAAAAGAAGAAATATCGAACTTCAGGAAGAAGAAAAAAATGGAGAAAAAATATGGATAAATACAATAGGCTTTCCTTCTCATTTTTATTTTTCTGATTATGTTTTATATTTGAAGCAAGAACTATGGCATTGTTTGATGTGGTTCTAAACGTACACTGTAGTAATTCATAGTAAGGTGGGGAAAAGAAATAGAAGAAAAAACAGAGAACAAACAAAATGAAAAGTAAATAAGCATACATAGCCCTGACATAATAATAATTACATTAATTATAAATAATCTAAGTACACCAATTAAAAGACAGATAGTGAAAGGCTGGATTAATAAACACTACTTAACCATAAGCTATCTACAAAAACAACTCATGTAAATTAAAACACTATAGTCAAGCTTAAAATGGAAGATTGGAAAAACATCCATCATAGTAAAATTAATCTAAGGAAAGTATGAATGGCTATATTAATATCAGACAAATTAGACTTCAGAGTAAATACAATTACCAAAAACATACAGGGACACTATGTAATAATAGAAGGGTCCATCCACCAAGAAGACATGGATCTTAAATGTACATGCATTAAACAACAGAGCTGCAAAATATGTAAAGCAAAATCTTTCAAAACTAAAATGAGAAATAGACCAATCCACAATTATACTTGTACACTTCAACACTCATCCTTCAACAATTGTTACAACAACTAGACTGAAAGTCAGCAAGAATTTAGAATTTTACAGCACAATCAATCAACAGTATCTAATGGATATATATAGAACACACCACCCAGCAACAGCAGAATATATATTCCAAATACGTATTATTTTTAAGGTCCCATGGAACATTCCTTAAATTAAACCATATCTAGGGCCATAAAGCAAACCTCGACAAATCTGAGAGAACTGAAATCATACAGAGTGTGCTCTCCAATGACAAATCAAATCAAACTAGAAAATGAACAAGAAATTTTTCAAACCCTTGGAATCAAAACAAGACACTTCAAAATAATCTATTAAAGAGGATGCTTGAAGGAAATCTAAAAATACATTGAACTGAATGAAAAGGAAAACACAATATATTTATATCTGTGAGATATGGCTAATGAAATACTGACAGATGAATGTATAGCAACAAGTACTTACGTTTGCAAAAAGGCAGCCTCTAACCAATAATATAAGTCCTACCTCAAGAACCTAGGAAAAGAAGAGCAAAATAAACACAAGGTAAGCAGATGGAAATAAACATAAAAGCATAAATAAATAAAACTGAAAACAGATAAACAATAGAAAAAATCTGTGAAACGAAGGCCTGGTTCTTTGAAAGATCAATAAAATTGACAAATCTCTAGCAAGACTGAAAAAATAAAGAGAGAGAAGACAAAACTTACAAATATCAGGAATGAAATAGGGAATATCACTGTAGACTGCAGGCATCAAAGGTATAATAAGAGAATGCTATGAACAGACTTACATACTTAGATGAAATGGACCAATTCCTCAAAAAATTAAAATACCACAACTCCTTCAATATGGAATAGAGAATTTGAATAACCCTATAAACTGTCAAATAAATTGAATTCTTAGTTTTAAAGTGTCCATAAAGAAATATCCAGACCTAAATGGTTTTACAGCAGAATTCTACCAAGCACTTGAAGAATTAACACGTTTTTTACAATATCTTGCAGAAAATAGAGGCTAGTATTCTGAAGCTACTATTACCCTGATACCCAAACCAGACAAAGGCAGTAAAAAATAAAAACTACAGAAAATATCCCTTATGAAAACAGAGGTGGAGGGTATTCCAAGATGGCCAAATAGGAACAGTTCCAGGCCGCAGCTCCCAACGGGATCAATGTAGAGGATGGGTAATTTCTGCATTTCCAACTGAGGTACCAGGTTCATCTCATTGGGACTGGTTGGACACTGGGTGCAGCCCATGGAGGGCAAGCCAAAGCAGCACGAGGTATCACCTCACCCAGGGAGTGCAAGTGTTGGGGGATTTCCCTTTCCTAGCCAAGGGAAGCCATGACAGACTTCCTGGAAAAATGGGACACTCCCACTCAAATACGGTGCTGTTCCCAAGGTCTTAGCAACTGGCACACAAGGTGATTCTCTCCCTTGCCTAACTCGGCAGCTCCCAGGCCAACAGAGTCTTACTACTGTTAGCACAGCAGTCTGAGATCCATCTGTGAGACAGCAGCCTGTCTGGGGGAGGGGTGTCCACAATTCCTAAGGCTTCAGTAGGTAAACAAAGCAGCCAGGAAGCTCGAACTGGGCAGAGCCCACCTCTGCTCAACAAGGCCTACAGACTCTAGACTCCACCTCTGTGGGCAGGGCATAGCTGAACAAAAGCCAGCAGACAACTTCTGAAGACTTAAATGTCCCTGTCTGACAGCACTGAAGAGAGCAGTGGTTCTCCCAGCATGGTGTTTGAGCTCTGAGAATGGACAGACTGCCTCCTCAAGTAGGTCCCTGACCCCGTGTAGCCTAACTGGGAGTCACCTCCCAGTAGGGGCTGACAGACACCTCATATAGGTAGCTGCCCCTCTGGGAAGAAGCTTCCAGAAGAAGGATTGGGCAGCAATATTTGCTGTTCTGCAATATTTGCTGTTCTGCAGCCTCCACTGGTGATACCAAGGCAAACAGGGTCTGGAGTGAAACTCCAGCAAACTCCAACAGACCTGCAGCTGAGGGACCTGACTGTTAGAAGGAAAACTAACAAACAGAAAGGGATAGCATCAACATCAACAAAAAGGTCACTTATAGCAAAACCCCATCTGTGAGTCACCAACATCAAAGACCAAAGGTAGATAAAACTACAAAGATGAGGAGAAACCATAGCACAAAACCTGAAAATTCTAGAAATCAAAGCACCTCTTCTCCTTCAAAGGATGGCAGCTCCTCACCAGCAATGGAACAAAGCTTGACAGAGAATGACTTTGATGACTTGACAGAAGTAGGCTTCAGAAGGTCAGTAATAATAAACTTCTCTGAGCTAAATGAGCATGTTCTAACCCATTGCAGGGAAGCTAAAAACCTTGAAAAAAGATTAGACAAATGGCTAACTAGAATAAACAGTGTAGAGAAGACCTTAAATGACCTGATGGAGCTGAAAACCATGGCAGGAGAACTTCATGATGCATGCACAAGCTTCAATAGCCAATTCGATCAAGTGGAAGAAAGGGTATCAGTGATTGAACATCAAACTAATGAAATAAAGCAAGAAAACAAGATTAGAGAAAAAAGAGTAAAAAGAAATGAACAAAGACTCCAAGAAATATGGGACTATGTGAAAAGACCAAATCTACATTTGATTGTTGTACCTGAAAGTGACAGGGAGAATGGAAACAAGTTGGAAAACACTCTTCAGGATATTATCCAGGAGAACTTCCCCAACATAGCAATGCAGGCCAACATTCAAATTCAGGAAATACAGAGAACACCACAAAGATACTCCTCAAAAAGAGCAACCCCAAGACACAAAATTGTCAGATTCACCAAGGTTGAAATGAAGGAAAAAGTGTTAAGGGCAGCCAGAGAGAAAGGTCGAGTTACCCACAAAGGGAAGCCCATCACACTAACAGCGAATCTCTCGTCAGAAACCCTACAAGCCAGAAGAGAGTGGGGGCCAATATTCAACATTCTTAAAGAAAAGAATTTTCAACCCAGAATTTCATATCCAGCCAAAAAAAGCTTCATAAGTGAAGGAGAAATAAAATCCTTTACAGGCAAGCAAATGCTGAGAGATTTTGTCACCACCAGGCCTGACTTACAAGAGCTCCTGAAGGAAGCACTAAACATGGAAAGAAACAACAGGTACCAGCCATTGCAAAAACAGGCCAAATTGTAAAGACCATTGATGCTATGAAGAAACTGCATCAATTTACAGGCAAAATAACCAGCTAACATCATAATGACAGGATCAAATTCACACATAACAATATTAACCTTAAATGTAAATGGGCTAAATGCCCCAATTAAAAGACACAGACTGGCAAATTGGATAAAGAATCAAGACCCATCACTGTGCTGTATTCAGGAGACCCATCTCATGTGCAAAGGCAAACATAGGCTCAAAATAAAGGGATGGAGGAAGATCTACCAAGCAAATGGAAAGCAAAAAAAAAATGCAGGGGTTGCAATCCTAGTCTCTGATAAAACAGGCTTTAAGCCAACAAAGATTGAAAGAGACAAAGAAGGCCATTAAATAATGGTAAAGGGATCAATTCAACAAGAAGAGCTAACTATCCTAAATATATATGCATCCAATACAGGAGCACCCAGATTCAAAAAGCAAGTCCTTACAGACCTACATAGAAACTTAGACTCCCATACAATAATAATAGGAGACATTAACACCCCACTGTCAATATTAGACAGATCAATGAGACAGAAGGTTAACAAGGATATCCAGAAACTGAACTCAGCTCTGCAACAAGCAGACCTAATAGACATCTACAGAACTCTCCAACCCAAATCAACAGAATATACATTATTCCCAGCACCACATCACACTTATTCTAAAATTGACCACATAATTGGAAGTAAAGCACTCCTCAGCAAATGTAAAAGAATAGAAATGACAACAAACTGTCTCGCAGACAACAGTGCAATCAAATTAGACCTCAGGATTAAGAAACTCACTCAAAATCATTCAACTACATGGAAACTGAACAACTTGCTCCTGAATGACTACTGGGTAAATAACAAAATGAAGGCAGAAATAAAGATGTTCTTTGAAACCAATGAGAACAAAGACACAACCTACCAGGATCTCTGGGACACATTTAAAGCAGTGTGTTGAGAGAAATTTATAGCACTAAAAGCCCACAAGAGAATGCAGGGAAGATCAAAAATCGACACCCTAACATCACAGTTAAAGGAACTAGAGAAGCAAGAGCAAACAAATTCAAAAGCTAGCAGAAGGCAAGAAATAACTAAGATCAGAGCAGAACTGCAAGGGATAGAGACATAAATCACCATTCAAAAATCAATGACTCTAGGAGCTCGTTTCTTGAAAAGATGAACAAAATTGATAGACCACTAGCAAGATTAATAAAGAAGAAAAGGGAGAAAAATCAAATAAATGCAATAAAAAATGATAAAGGGGATATCACCACCAATCCCACAGAAATACAAACTACCATCAGAGAATATTATAAACACTTCTACACAAATAAACTAGAAATCTAGAAGAATTGCATAAATTGCTGGAAACATACACCCTCCCAAGAATAAACCAGGAAGAAGCTGAACCTCTGAATAGACCAATAACAGGCTCTGAAATTGAGGCAGTAATTAATAGCCTACCACCCAAAAAAAGTCCAGGACCAGACAGATTCACAGATGAATTCTACCAGAGGTACAAACAGGAGCTGGTACCATTCATTCTGAAACTATTCCAATCAATAGAAAAAGAGAGAATTCTTCCGAACTCATTTTATGAGGTCAATATCATCCTGATACCAAAGCCTGGCAGAGACACACACAAAAAAGGGAATTCCTGACCAATATCCCTGATGAACATCGATGCAAAAATCCTCAATAAAATACTGGCAAACTGAATCCAGCAGCACATCAAAAAGCTTATCCACCACAATCAAGTCAGCTTCATCCATGGGATGCAAGGCTGGTTCAGCAAATGCAAATCAATAAACATATTCCATCACATAAACAGAACCAATGACAAAAACCACATGATTATCTCAAAATGTGCAGAAAAGGCCTTAGATGAAATTCAACAGCTCTTCATGCTAAAAACTCTCAATAAACTAGGTACTGATGGAACGTTTCTCAAAATAATAAGAGCTATTTATGAAAAAGCCACAGCCAATATCATACTGAATGGGCAAAACCCGGAAGCATTCCCTTTGAAAACTGGCACAAGGCAAGGATGCCCTCTCTCACCACTCCTATTCAACATAGTGTTGGAAATTCTGGCCAGGGCAATCAGGCAAGAGAAAGAAATAAAGGGTATTCAGTTAGGAAATTAGGAAGTCAAATTGTCCCTATTTGCAGATGACATGATTTTATACCTAGAAAACCCCATCGTCTCAGCCAAAAATCTCCTTAAGCTGATTAGCAACTTCAGCAAAGTCTCAGGATACAAAATCAATGTGCAAAAATCACAAGCATTCCTATATACCATTAACAAACAGAGAGCCAAATCATGAGTGAACTCCCATTCACAATTGCTACAAAGAGAATAAAATACCTGGGAATCCAAATTTAGAAGAATAAATCAAACAACCCCATCAAAAAGTGGGCATAGGATATGAACAGACACTTCTCAAAAGAAGACATCTATGCAGCCAACAGACATGTGAAAAAATGCTCATCATCACTGGTCATCAGAGAAATGCAAATCAAAACCATAATGAGATACCGTCTCACTCCAGTTAGAATGGCAATCACTAAAAAGTCAGGAAACAACAGATGCTGGAGAGGATGTGGAGAAATAGGAATGCTTTTACACTGTTGGTGGGAGTGTAAATTAGTTCCACCATTGTGGAAGACAGTGTGGCAACTCCTCAAGGATCTAGAACTGGAATTACCATTTGACCCAGTAATCCCATTACTGGGTATATACCCAAAGGATTATAAATCATACTACTATAAAGACACATGCACAGGTATGTTTGTTGCGGCACTATTCACAATAACAAAGACTTGGAACCAACCCAAATGTCCATCAATGATACACTGGATTAAGAAAATGTGGCACACATACACCATGGAATACTATGCAACCATAAAAAAAGATGAGTTCATGTCCTTTGTAAGGACATGAATGAAGCTGGAAACCATCATTCTCAGCAAACTATCACAAGGACAGAAAACCAAACACCACATGTTCTCACTCATAGGTGGGAATTGAACAATGAGGTCACTTGGACAAAGGGCAGGGAACATCACACACTGGGGCCTGTCGGGGGGTGGGGAGCTGGGGGAGGGATAGCATTAGGAGAAATACCTAATGTAAATGATGGGTTGATGGGTGCAGCAAACAAACATGGCACATGTATACCTATGTATCAAACCTGCACATTGTGCACATGTACCCTAGGACTTAAAGTATTAAAAAAAAGAAAAAGGAAAACAGACACACAAATTATTAACCGAATATTAAGAACAGAATTCAGCAATACATAATGAAAATTATACACCATAACCCAATGGAGTTTATTCCAGGGATGCAAGTCTGATTCACATTTGAAAATCAATCAGTGTAATCTACCATATTAACAGCCTAAATAAGAGAATTCACTAGATCATATTAATGTATGCAGTAAAAGAATTTGACTAAATTCAACATCCATTTATGATGTCTCTCAGGAAAATAGGAATATAAAAGAACTTCCTCAACATGAAGAGCATCTACAAAATACTGGAGCAAATAACACTGAATGATAGAGAATGGCTGCTCTCACCCTAAGATCAAGGCCAGGAGGTTCTTGATTCTCACCATTCTTTTTAACGTATTTCTGGGAGTTCTATCCAGTGAAGTAAAGCAAGGAAATTATGCAGAAAGCATATGGATGGGAAGAAATAAAACTTTCTCTTTTTGAAGATGGCATGATTGGCTACATAGAAATGCCTGACAAATCTACAAAAAAAAAATTCCTGTAACTAATAAGTAAATTTAGCAAGGTTACAAGACAACAAGCTGGATCACTTACACATTGCTCATGTGAATATAAAGTGGTACCACTGTGTTAGGCCATTCTTGCATTGCTATAAAGAAATACCTGAGACCAGGTAATTTGTAAGAAGAGGTTTAATTGGATCATATTCTGAAGGTTGTACAGGAAGCATAGCATCATCTGCTTCTCAGGTAGCCCCAGGGAGCTTTTACTCATGGTGAAAGGCAAAGCGGGAGGAGGCACTTCACATGGCAAAAGGAGGAGCAAGAGAGAGATAATGGGGGGAGAGGCATTACACACTTTTAAACCACCAGGTCTTATGAGAACTCACTCACCATTGCAAAGACAGCACCAGGCCATGACCCAAACACCTCCCACCAGACCCCACTTTCAGCACTGGGGATTACAATTCAACATGAGATTTGAGTGGGGACAAATATCCAACCTATATCAATAGCCATTCTGGAAAACAGTTTTACAGCTTCTTAAAAAAAAAAAATGCAACTACTATGCCACGCAGCAATAACAATCCTCAGCTTTTAGCCCAGGGAAATGAAAACTTGTGTTCACACAAATCCTGTACATAAATAATCCAATTAAAAATGGGCAAGAGACCTCAGTAGACATTTCTGAAAGGAACACATATAAATGCCTTCTATATAAATAACATATAAATGTTCACAGCAGCTTTATTCATAATTACCAAAAACTGGAAACAACCCAAAGGTCTTTCAACAATGTGAATGGTTAAACAAACTGTGGTACATCCATACCATCAACTAGTACTTAGCAATAATCAGGAACAAGCAAACTATGAACACAAGCAACAACTTGAACGAACCTCCAGAGAATTATGCTTAGTGAAAAGAGTCAATCCTAAAAGGTTACATACTATAAGATTACATTTACATATTCTTAAAATGACAAAATTATACAAATGGAGATTAATGGTTGCTAGGGGTTATAAAAGGGGTAGGGTAAGAGGTAGCAATAAAAGTGGGTGTGGCAATAAAAGGGCAATATTAGGGATTCTTATAGTGATAGAAATGTTCTGAATCTTCTCTATACCAATGTCAATATCCTGTGATATTGTGTAATAGTTTTGCAAGATGTTATCATTAGAGAATACTCAGTGAAGTGTACCTTGGGTCTTACTGTATTATGTCTTATAGCTGCATGACAATCTGTACTTATTTAGTATAATAAAAATTTATCTAAAAAGTTTAATCTAAAAAGAAATATTCTAATTGTTAAATGAGCATTAAAAGCAAACAAATAAAAAACAAGTATTAGAAACATCAATATGTATTCCATAAGTACATAAAATATTTTAATTTTTTTATTTTTAAAATTTTCTTTTTAATTCTCAGCAAGGCAAGTTACGTCTATATAGAAGGGGGTGCCCTTACAGATGGAACAATGGTGAGCACACACTTGGACAAGGGAGGAGAAGGGGTTCTTATCTCTGACACATGTAGCCCCTGCTACTGTGTCGTTCCCCTATTGGCTAGGGTTAGATCGCACAGGCTAAACTAATTCCAATTGGCTAATTTAAAGAGAATGACTGGGTGAGTGTTTTGGCAGGAGTCAGGGCAGGGCAGGTAGCAGGTAATTGGAATGAGTTAGGGTGGAGCAGGTGATTGGAATGTAGGGTGGAGCAGGTGATCAGAATGACTCAGGTGGAGTAGGTAATTGAAAAAGGTTGCTTTATGAAGAAGTTTAAAAGTAGAAGGCAAAGAATTGAACATACTGACATATTAATTCTTTGAAAAGAAATTTAGAACTCACATCTAACAATCCCTCCCCTTGTATTTCCTTACAGCTTTCTTTTCAAACTTTTTTTAACATGTCTTGGCTTAGTTGTTTTGCTTGGTTTTCTAAAGAAGCAGCTTCTCTGGATAAGGTAGAGGATAGTTAAGGGAGGTTTTAGTAAGTGCCGTTTTTATGGGCCTCTGTATCTGCTTAGGGTGAATGGTATGACATAGCACTTGACAAGAATAAGTACACCTATTAAGGCTGCAAGAGAAATAAGAATTGAGGCTATTATTTCTTTCTATTTACAAAACTACTTTAGCCATCCTGTAAAGGGGTCTTTTATCCCTGAGTTGCTGGCTAACCCATTGGATAGAGCAGTCAGACCTTGCAATGTCTTTGTTATACTTCTATTAGGGGCGGTGTTGTTTGTGATGAAGGTATAACATTGAGTTTTAATCATGACGCAAACTCCTCCTCTTTCTGCTAATATCATGTCTAAGGCTATCCTATTTTCTTAAGCCATCTGGCTAGTAGCCCCTAATTGTTTAGCTATTCCTTTAACAGTATCTCTAGTGTAGTTAATAAATTACTGTTGGTTGTAGTAGATGTAGTTTATCCAATCTACATTTTTATTAATTGTTACTCACCAAAATATTGACTTAAATTCTGCAGCTGTTTGATCTTAGGCTTTAAACTGATCTAATATTCCCCATGGGACTCCAATTGCGTTTAAATAGACGTGAGAGTTAAAAGACCTATCAGGGGCTTCTCTCGCTTTACGATGCCTTATTTTTCCTTCCTCTGGTTGATGAAATGCCAGGGTGAAAGGGATAGCCAATTGGACTAAAGTACAAATGCCACTCCAGTTATTTGGCAGAGTGTCCAGTAAAGGTCCACCACAATACCACCACGCATCCGCTTGGGGATGAACAAGGGCTGACTGGTAAGCTCTTGAAAGTTCTTAAGCTCACTGCATCCCTTCAGGTCTCCAAGGAATGCTAAGTTTCCTCCCTGTCCTGAGAGACATGAAGTGAACTTAGTGTTGGGAGACAGAAGTTGGTTGGCCCTCGGGGGCTGACTTGCAGGATGCTGGATTTGGGGATATAGCAGAGAGAGAGCTTGGCACGACTTATTACTCCAGGCTGTAGAATCCTGGAAAAGAGATGCCATGCAGCCCAAGCCTGGTCGACTGGAGGACCACCTTAGTGGAAAGGGGACAATCTGGGCCTCTGACCTGCTGTGGACACAAGCATAACAATTGCTTTTGTTTAACGTGCAGATGGAATATTTGATCCATTTTAACCAGGCATTTACATCTTGGTATCCTGTCTCAATTGCCAAAGTTTAAGTCTTTATCTACCATTGCTATCTTGGCCTTGTCCTTAGATGGAGGAGGAACAATGGTTCCATTATGAGAGGTTTTGGAAAAAGGTTTAGAGGCAGGTGCAGGCAGCAGGGGATCAAAGAAATGCATTTCAAAGAATCCAATAGGGTCTGTCCCTGAAACCTCAGCCCCAATACTATAAAAACTGGCTTAAAGAAGGGAACGGCCTTAGAAAAGGAGAAGAACTTTGGGGGCTTGAAATAATAGCCTGTATAGGGTTGCCCTGGTTTAGCTGACAGTTGCTGCAGGGCTGTCCCTTTAGTAAAATGAATGTATGGTCTTAAGAAATTACAAAAACTGGTTTGGGCAGTCCATCCTTGCTCTTTAGTGGTCCACAGAATGTTGGACCAACTATTGCATAAAAGCTCTACATCGGGAGCCAAAACTCCTGGTTGACACTGGGGTCTTTATTGAAATCTCCCCAGATTACATGGTCTCAATTTACTAATGCCCAGTCTGAGGAGAGTCAGGAGGGACAGAGGTACTTTTCTGTAGTATAGAGCTGTCTTTGACTTGGCAAGTCCCCATAGGGTATAACAAGGCAAGCATAAAATGTAGCCAGGTGCAGTGGCTCATGCCTGTGATCCCAGCACTTTGGGAGGCCGAGATGGGTGGATCACAAGGTCAGGAGATCGAGAATATCCCGGCTAACACAGTGAAACCCTGTCTCTACTAAAAATACAAAAAATTAGCTGGGCGTGGTGGTGGGCGCCTGTAGTCCCAGCTACTTGGGAGGCTGAGGCAGGAGAATGGCATGAACCTGGGAGGCGGAGCTTTTAGTGAGCTGAGATCACACCACCGCACTCCAGCCTGGGTGGCAGAGTGAGACTCCGTCTCAAAAAAATGTAATAATTTGAGGCAAAATTGACTTGGTTATGTTAATAACTAGATGGTCAGCAATAGAGCGAGAAAAGAAGAAAGAGTAATAGAATAGATGAAAGAGAGTTAAATTTTTCTTAGCTTTAGTTTGGTAGGGTTTTCCCCTGGGACTATGGCCCAGGACTCTGGAGGAAGTGGCACTTTCTTGGCTCGGGTGTGCTGACTCCATCCCTTTTTCACTATAGGAATGGCAGTCTCGGTGGGTGGTTAGCAGCACAAGGTAGGGTCCTTCCCAGGCTGGCTCAAGTTTTTCTTTTTTCCACCCTTTGATGAGAAGGTGATCTTCAGGCTGGTGCTGGTTTACCGGAAATTCTAGCGGTGGTACCTGTGCTAAAAGACTTTTAGTTTTGAGGGAAAGGAAAGCAGAAGATAAACCAAGTATATAATTTCTAAGAAATTGACCTTTTGTTTTAAATGTGGGGATATCAACAGTGGTCTTCATAGTCTTTGGTGTCTTCTTACTGATAAATTTTCTTTAGCACCTATTTTTATTAGTTTTTAGACCAAAGAAAGCAAAACACCATTTTATATTTAACAATGCTTCCTGTATGATTTTTGCCAGATAAGCTAAATTTCACCTGTATATCATGTGTTATTAATGTTAAATTTAATTTTAATAAAACTTTGTAGACATATTTATTCCATTTTTAATGTCTGACCATAAGGTAAGATTTTTATAGACTCTTTTTAACCTTTTATAATTTTTGTTAAAGAGCAGGTTAGCGCTTTAAGAAAAACCTGTTGTGCTTTTATTTTAATGTCCAGTTCACAGAAAAACTAGAAGATACCCCTTTAACTTTAGCCAATATGTTTACACACATAATTTACTTTACAATTAACATTTTAAAACTTGATTAAACCTTTAAAACAAAATATACATATTTTTAACCTTTTAACGTAGGTAAAAATTCACATTCTTATGGCTCCTTACAATCCTTTTGCCAAAGGTGTATTTTACTTTTCTTACACACCTTGCACATAAACTGTTTCTTCAATAGTTTTACATTTAGGAGGTCTAATTACTTTTAAATTATGCAACATTTCTTGCACAAATTTCCTTTTATAACCTTTTTTCTTTTTTCTCCATGACTTTCACAGATAATTCTTCGACATGCCTCAACTTTCTGACTTCTCGCACACATCCTTTTTTTTTTTTTAAACAACCAGTTATTTTAGGACAAGAACTTGCCATATAACATTCTTTTTACATAAATTTTCCCCCCACCTTTTTTTAAATTTTATTTTCCTAAAGATGTTAACCATTCTTTTCTAAAGTGAACTTCCTTCATGTCTGTGGACTAGACTGCCTAAGGCCGTAGGATTAGACGTTAGGATAATACGTGTTACACTGTTAACTTTTAGGAAATTTTACTTTCATTGAAAACCTTCTATGTTTGGGATTTCAATTATTTTTGCTATTAATAGACCTTGTTTAGTTCAAATTAACTTAGAATTTGTGTAGATGGTTCCTTCCTGGTTCTGTAAGTACTTTAAGGCGTGGCTGAGTGCAAACAGCTCCCACGTTTGAGCAGACCAGTTATTAGGTAATTTTCCTAACTCTGCTTCTACAAGAGTTTCCCTATCAATTATTGAATACCCATTGCCACTTTTTCTCCCCGCCCTCAATCACCCAGGAGGAATCATCTATGGTCCTGTCCTGAAGGGGGTTCCTCCTAGGTCTGGATGGACCTTTGTATGGTAATTAAGATTTAAATCCCCTGTTAGGAAACCTGCTGTGTTAAGGGAATTTTCAGTGGTTAATGATCAATCATCTTTTTCTAACAGAATAGCCCTATACTTTAAGATTTTTGAGTTAGTAAGCTACCTTTTTGCTTTTTAACTTAGGATAGTTCTCAACTGGTGAGGTGTGCTCACAATGAGGCTTCCTCTAAAAGTTATTTTTTTACTTTCTTCTGTTAGCAGAGCAGTTGCCACTACAGATTGAATGCATCTGGCCATCCGCGGGTTACTGGGTGAAGGATTTTTGATAGGAAGGCTACGGGTAGTCCGTGGCCTCAGTGCTTTTGGGCTAGGCCCTTGTTTACACTGACAACAAAGTGGTATTGGAGTGTTAATAGGGTCACGGAGAAGACTTTTAATTATCAATTATAGGTTCTAAATTTACCTTGGCTTTTAAAGGAATAGGGTACACTTTTTTTTCCTCAACTGCTTGTGTATCTTTTTTTCTCTTTGACTTTCTCTCTCTCTTTGACTCCCTTTTTGTCTGTCTCTTCCTATCTCTCTCTCTGCCTCTCTTCCTATCTCTCTCTCTGCCTCTCTTCCTCTCTCTGCCTCTCTTCTCTCGCTCTCTGTCTCTCTTCCTTTCTCTGTTTCTCTTCCTCTCTCTGCCTCTCTTCTCTCTCCCTCTGCCTTTCTCTCTCTCTGCCTTTCTCTCTCTCTCTGACTCCCTCTTTCTGTCTCTTCTTTTCCCTCTCTGCCTCTCTCCCTCTCTCTCTGCCTCTCTCCCTCTCTCTCTGCCTCTCTCCCTCTCTGCCTTTCTCTCTCTCTCTCTTTGACTCGCTCTTTCTCTGTCTCTTCTTTTCTCTCTCTGCCTCTCTCCCTCTCTCTCTGCCTCTCTCCCACTCTCTCTCTGCTGCTCTCCCTCTCTCTCTCTCCTCTCCTGCCTCTCTCTCTCCTCTAGGGTAGGGACCTGGGGGAGTGGAGCTACTCTCTCTTTCCCCAAGAAAAAAGGAAAGGGGGGGATTGTGTCAGGTTCAACCCTTGAAATTAGCAGAAGGCTTAACCCCTCAACACCAGGGATGTCTTGCCTTGCCTGTCTCAGAAGGCCCAACCTCTCAACACCAGGGATGTCTCACCTTGCCTGTCGCAGAAGGCCCAAACCCTCAACACTAGGGATGTCTCACCTTGACTGTCCTGAAAGGCTCAACCCCCTCAAACCAGGGGGCATCTTGCGTTGCTTGCCCTGGAAGGCTCAACCCCTCAAACCAGGGGGTGTCTTGCCTGTCCTGGAGGGTTGAGCTATTTCTCCCCTTTCTCCCTCTGAAGGTCCTCTGCACACTTCCTACTGGTGCTGTCCTCTCTGGCCACTCCCCCAAGGTAGAATCAGGCCCTTCTTAGTGTTGGCATGCCAGTATAAATCCTATGGCAGGATCCGCCCTAAGCCATATGAGATAGCTATGGAACCGCAGAGAGGACCCACTCACTCCGTCCAGCAGTAGGACTTGTCACCATCCACATGAACAACACCGCAAGCAGGGTCGTTTGTAGTCATTCATGCACACACACATTTAGCCCTCCAGAATTTGACCACCAAGGAAATACTTTACCAGCTCCTGAGGTTTCTCCTTGCTTGGTCTGTGCACAGAATTGTCGCCGCAGTATGTGAGAATCCTTTAAGCTAGGTTGCGGGCCAGTTTTTTGTTTGTTTGGTTGGTTGGCTGTTTTTTTTTTTTTTTTTCTTTTTGCTTTGCTGAGAGCTCGGTTTATTCCTCGCACTGGGTGGGTCTTGATTTCTCACCCCTGAGGCCACCACAATAGGGTGGGGTGCACCTCCTCATGAGAGAGAACCAGAGACCATCCCTGGAGGGGAATGTAATCCTGGGTGAGACCTCAAATTGTTATATATAAAGATTTGGTGCCGCAAAAGAAATAGCACTTGAATATAAAATTTACTTTTTAATTCTCAGCAAGGCAAGTTACTTCTATATAGAAGGGTGCACCCTTACAGATGTAACAGTGGCAAGCACACCTAATTTTTAAAATTCTCATTGTTGTTATGTTATTGATCACTCTGATATTCAAGGTGTCACCTCTTATTTGATTAATCACCCTTATAAGTCTCTAAATCTTTTTTATCTATACATCTTCAATTTCCTGAAAAATAGCCAGATAAGAGCAAAATTTTATGTAGGGTGTAGTAACAGGGATCAGAACAGTATTCCCTTGAAAGCTAAACATAATGAAAAGAAGGGGCAGACCCAGGGCTTAGTAAACTGCATCTAGTCCCATTTCTATCACTAATTAGGAGAGTAATCTAGGAAAATCTACTTGTTCTCTCTGGGTCTCAGGCACTTCATCTGACAGAGGATAATCTCTAAGGAACCCATTAGCTCTGACATTCTAGGAAATCAAAGACAAGCTGCCCTAGGGAAGAGAATTTTTCCTACCCTGAGCTAATTGGAATGGCTGTGTAAATGCCATTCTAGTTCTTATATGCCTGTGATAACTAGTTCCTCTCCAGAAGTCACTGTAGTTTCAGGGCCTGTTCTGTTTGCTAGAAACAGTGAAACTGAAGTTGCAGATCTCTTATTTTGTATAAATGTTAGGGGAAAGAAAACTTGGACATCCCAGGAAATGCAGTGGAGTTAGTTAAGAATTCCTTTTTTTTTTTTTATACTTTAACTTCCAGGATACATGTGCACAACGTGCAGGTTTGATACATAGGTATACATGTGCCATGTTTGTTTGCTGCACCCATCAACTCATCATTTATGTTAGGTATTTCTCCTAATGCTAGCCCTCCCCCAGCCCCTCACCTCCCAACAGACCCGATGTGTGATGTTCCCTGCCCTGTGTCCAAGTGACCTCGTTGTTCAATTCCCACCTATGAGTAAGAACATGCAGTGTTTGGTTTTCTGTCCTTGTGATAGTTTGCTGAGAATGATGGTTTCCAGCTTCATCCATGTCCCTACAAAGGACATGAACTCATCCTTTTTTATGGCTGCATGGTATTCCATGGTGTATATGTGCCACATTTTCTTAATCCAGTGTATCATTGATGGACATTTGGGTTGGTTCCAAGTCTTTGCTATTGTGAATAGTGCCACAATAAACATATGTGTGCAAGTGTCTTTGTAATAGCATGATTTATAATCCTTTTGGTAAATACTCAGTAATGGGATTACTGGGTCAAATGGTAATTCTAGTTCTAGATCCTTGAGGAATGACCACACTGTCTTCCACAATGGTGGAACTAATTTACACTCCCACCAACAGTGTAAAAGCATTCCTATTTCTCCACATCCTCTCCAGCATCTGTTGTTTCCTGACTTTTTAGTGATCGCCATTCTAACTGGAGGGAGATGGTATCTCATTATGGTTTTGATTTGCATTTCTCTGATGACCAGTGATGATGAGCATTTTTTCACATGTCTATTGGCTGCATAGATGTCTTCTTCAGAGAAGTGTCTGTTCATATCCTATGCCCACTTTTTGATGGGGTTGTTTGATCTATTCTTGGAAATTTGTTTGAGTTCTTTGTAGATTCTGGATATTAGCCCTTTGTAAGATGGGTAGATTGCAAAAATTTTCTCCCATTCTGTAGGTCACCTGTCCACTCTGATGGTAGTTTCTTTTGCCCTGCAGAAGCTCTTTAGTTTAATTAAATCCCATTTGTCTATTTTGGCTTTTGTTGCCATTGCTTTTGGTGTTTTAGACATGAAGTCCTTTCCCATGCCTATGCCCTGAATGGTATTGCCTAGGTTTTCTTCTAGGGTTTTTATGGTTTTATGTCTAACATTTAAGTCTTTAATCCATCTTGAATTAATTTTTGTATAAGGTGTAAGGAAGGGATCCAGTTTCAGCTTTCTACATATGGCTAGCCAGTTTTCCCAGCACCATTTATTAAGTAGGGAATCCTTTCCCCATTTCTTGTTTTTGTCAGATTTATCAAAGATCAGATAGCTGTAGATATGTGGCATTATTTCTGAGGGCTCTGTTGTGATCCATTGGTCTATATCTCTGTTTTGGTACCAGTACCATGCTGTTTGGTTTGTTTTGTTTTTGTTTACTGTAGCCTTGTAGTATAGTTTGAAGTCAGGTAGTATGATGCCTCTAGCTTTGTTCTTTTGGCTTAGGATTGTCTTGGCAATGTGGGCTCTTTTTTGATTCCATATGAACTTTAAAGTAGTTTTTTCCAGTTCTCTGAAGAAAGTCATTGGTAGCTTGATGGGGATGGCATTGAATCTATAAATTTCTTTGGGCAGTATGGCCATTATAGTGATATTGATTCTTCTTATCCATGATCATGGAATATTCTTCCATTTGTTTGTGTCCTCTTTTATTTCCTTGACCTGTGATTTGTAGTTCTACTTGAAGAGATCCTTCACATCCCTTGTAAGTTGGATTCCCAGGTATTTTATTCTCTTTGTAGCAATTGTGAATGGGAGTTCACTCATGATTTGCTCTCTGTTTGTCTGTTAATGGTGTGTAGGAATGCTTGTGATTTTTGCACATTGATTTTGTATCCTGAGACTTTGCTGAAGTTGTTAATCAGCTTGAGATTTGGGGCTGAGATGATGGGGTTGTCTAAATATACAATCATGTCATCTGCAAATAGGGACAATTTGACTTCCTAATTTCCTAACTGAATACCCTTTATTTCTTTCTCTTGCCTGATAGCCCTGGCCAGAACTTCCAACACTATGTTGAATAGGAGTGGTGAGAAATGGCATCCCTGTCTTGTGCCAGTTTTCAAAGGGAATGCTTCCGGGTTTTGCCCATTCAGGATGATATTGGCTGTGGCTTTGTCATAAATAGCTCTTATTATTTTGAGAAACGTTCCATCAATACCTAGTTTATTGAGAGTTTTTAGCATGAAGGGCTGTTGAATTTTGTCAAAGGTCTTTTCTGCATCTATTGAGATAATCATGTGGTTTTTGTCATTGGTTCTGTTTATGTGATGGATTACGTTTGAATTGTGTATGTTGAACCAGCCTTGCATCCCTGGGATGAAGCTGACTTGATTGTGGTGGACAAGCTTTTTGATGTGCTGCTGGTTTCAGCTTGCCAGTATTTTCTTGAGGATTTTCACATCGATGTTCATCAGGGATATTGGTCTGAAATTCTCTTTTTTTTGTTGTGTCTCTGCCCAGCTTTGGTATCAGGATGATGTTGACTTCATTAAATGAGTTAGGGAGGATTCCCTCTTTTTCTATCAACTGGAATAATTTCAGAAGGAATGGTGCCACCTCCTTTTTGTGCCTCTGGTAGAATTAGTCTGTGAATCCATCTGGTCCTGGACTTTTTTTGGTTGGTAGGCTAGTAATTATTTCCTCAATTTCAGAGCCTCTTATTGGTCTATTCAGAGATTCAACTTCTTCCTGGTTTAGTCTTGGGAGGGTGTATGTGTCTAGGAATTTATCCATTTCCTCTAGATTTTCTAGTTTATTTGCATAGTGGTGTTTATAGTATTCTCTGGTGGTAGTTTGTATTTCTGTGAGATTGGTGGTGATGTCCCCATTATCATTTTTTATTGCATCTATTTGATTCTTCTCTCTTTTCTTTTTTATTAGTCTTGCTAGCAGCCTATCAACTTGTTTATGTTTTCAAAAAAACAGCTCCTGGATTCATTGATTTTTTGAAGGGTTTTTTTATGTCTCCGTCTCTTGCAGTTCTGCTCTGATCTTAGTTATTTCTTGCCTTCTGCTAGCTTTTGAATTTGTTTGCTCCTGCTTCTCTAGATCTCTTCATTGTGATGTTAGGGTGTCAATTTTCAATCTTTCCTGCTTTCTCTTGTGGACATTTAGTGCTATAAATTTCCCTCTACACACTGCTTTAAATGTGTCTCAGAGATTCTGGTATGTTGCGTCTTTATCCTCATTGATTTCAAAGAACATCTTTCTCTCTGCTATCATTTCATTATTTACCCAGTAGTCATTCAGGAGCACATTGTTCAGTTTCCATGTAGTTGTGTGGTTTTGAGTGAGTTTCTTAATCCTGAGTTCTAATTTGACTGCACTGTGGTCTGAGAGACAGTTTGTTGTCATTTTTGTTCTTTTCATTTGCTGAGGAGTGCTTTACTTCCAATTATGTGGTCAATTTTAGAATAAGTGTGATGTGGTGCTGAGAAGAATGTATATTCTGTTGATTTGGGTTGGAGAGTTCTGTAGATGTCTATTAGGTCTGTTTGTTGCAGAGCTGAGTTCAGTTTCTGGATATCCTTGTTAACCTTCTGTCTCATTGATCTGTCTAAAATTGACAGTGGGGTGTTAAAGTCTCCCATTATTATTGTGTGGGAGTCTAAGTCTCTTTGTAGGTTTCTAAGGACTTGCTTTTTGAATCTTGGTGCTCCTGTACTGGGTGCATATATATTTAGGATAGTTAGCTCTTCTTGTTGAATTGATCTCTTTATCATTATGTAATAACCTTATTTGTCTTTTTGATCTTTGTTGGTTTAAAGTCTGTTTTATCAGAGACTAGGATTGCAACCCCTGCTTTTCTTTTGCTTTCCATTTGCTTGGTAGATCTTCCTCCATCCTTTTATTTTGAGCTTATGTGCATCTTTCCCTGTGAGATGAGTCTCCTGATACAGCACACTGATGGGTCCTGACTCTTTATCCAATTTGCAAGTCTGTATCTTTTAATTGGAGCATTTAGCCCATTTACATTAAAGTTAATATTGTTATGTGTGAATTTGATCCTGTCATTATGATGTTAGCTGGTTATTTTGCCTGTAAATTGATGCAGTTTCTTCATAGCCTCAATGGTCTTTACAATTTGGCCTGTTTTTACAGTGTCTGGTACCCGTTGTTTCTTTCCATGTTTAGTGCTTCCTTCAGGAGCTCTTTTAGAGCAGGCCTGGTGGTGACAAAATCTCTCAGCATTTGCTTGCCTGTAAAGGATTTTATTTCTCCTTCACTTATGAAGCTTAGTTTGGCCGGATATGAAATTTTGGGTTGCAAATTGTTTTCTTTAAGAATGTTGAATATTGGCCCCCTACTCTCTTCTGTCTTGTTGGGTTTCTGCTGAGAGATTCGCTGTTAGTCTGATGGGCTTCCCTTTGTGGGTAACTCGACCTTTCTCTCTTGCTGCCCTTAACAGTTTTTCCTTCATTTCAACCTTGGTGAATCTGACAGTTATGTGTCTTGGGGTTGCTCTTCCTGAGGATTATCTTTGTGGTGTTCTCCATATTTCCTGAATTTGAATGTTGGCCTGCATTGCTATGTTAGGGAAGTTCTCCTGGAAAATATCCTTAAGAGTGTTTTCCAACTAGGTTCCATTCTCCCCATCACTTTCAGGTACACCAATTAAATGCACATTTGGTCTTTTCACATAGTCCCATATTACTTGGAGGCTTTGTTCATTTCTTTTTACTCTTTTTTCTCTAACCTTGTCTTCTCACTTTATTTTATTAATTTGGTCTTCAATCACTGATACCCTTTCTTCCACTTGATCGAATTGGCTATTGAAGCTTGTGCATGCATCACAACATTCTTGTGCCATGGTTTTCAGCTCCATCAGGTCATGTAAGGTCTTCTGTACACTGTTTATTCTAGTTAGCCATTCACCTAATCTTTTTTTTTTAAGGTTTTTAGCTTCCTTGTGATGGGTTCAAACATCCTCCTTTAGCTTGGAGAAGTTTGTTATTATTACTGACCTTCTGAAGCCTACTTCTGTCAACTCATCAAAGTCATTCTCCATCCCACTTTGTTCTGTTGCTGGTGAGGAGCTGTGATCCTGTGGAGGAGAAGAGGTGCTTGGATTTTTAGAATTTTCAGCTTTTCTGCTCTGGTTTCCCCCCATCTTTGTGTTTTTATCTACCTTTAGTCTTTGATGTTGGTGACTCACAGATGGGGTTTTGCTATAAGTGACCTTTTTGTTGATATTGATACTATTCCTTTCTGTTTGTTAGTTTTCCTTCTAACAATCAGGTCCCTCAGCTGCAGGTCTGTTGGAGTTTGCTGGAGTTTCACTCCAGACCCTGTTTGCCTTGGTATCACCAGCAGAGGCTGCAGAACAGTAAATATTGCAGAACAGCAAATATTGCTGCCTGATCCTTCTTCTGGAAGCTTCTTCCTAGAGGGGCAGCTGCCTATATGGGGCATCTATCAGCCTCTATTGGGAGGTGTCTCCCAGTTAGGCTACATGGAGGTCAGGGACCCACTTGAGGGGCCAGTCTGTCCATTCTCAGAGCTCAAATGCCATGCTGGGAGAACCACCGCTCTCTTCAGAGCTGTCAGACAGGGATGTTTAAGTCTTCAGAAATTGTCTGCTGGCTTTTGTTCAGCTATGCCCTGCCCACAGAAGTGGAGTCCAGAGGCAGTAGGCCTTGTTGAGCTGTGGTGGGGTCTGCCCAGTTTGAGCTTCCAGGCAGCTTTCTTTACCTACTCAAGCCTCAGCAATGGCAGACACCCCTCTGCCAGCCAGGCTGCCACCTCACAGATTGATCTCAGACTGCTGAGCTAGCAGTGTGCAAGGCTCCATGGGTGTGGGACTCACTGAGCCAGGTACGGGAGAGAATCACCTTGTCTGTCAGTTGCTGAGACCTTGGGAAAAGCACAGTATTTGGGTGGGAGTGTCCCGTTTTTCCAGGTGGTCTCTTCCAGCTTCCCTTGGCTAGGAAAGGGAAATCCCCTGATGTATTGCACTTCCTGGGTTAGGCAATGCCCCACCCTACTTCAGCTCCCACTCTGTGGGCTGCACCCACTGTCCAACCAGTCCCAGTGACATGAACCAAGTATCTCAGTTGGAAATGCAGAAATCACCCATCTTCTGCATCGATCATGCTGGGAGCTGCACACTGGAGCTGTTCCTATTCAGCCACCTTGGAAAGCCCCTCTTGTAGTTAAGAATTTCATGCCAGGCAAATGTGTGATTGACTCAGAGCTCTGTGCCAATCACAATGGGAAGCTCAACTCAATGAAACTTGGGGAAAGGCTGGGTGCCTAAAACTAGCACCAAGGGAAAAGTTATCTGAAATTCCTATTCGGTGGTGATTTAAACCTTAGGCTGTTGAAATAGGACCTAGGGCCCAGAGGGATAAGGACCTTTCTTCACTAGTTACCCAGGTAATAGAGAAGTAAGTGGTGTGTGTCCGTGTGTGTGTGTGTGTGTGTGTGTGTGTGTAAAAAGGGAAATCAACAGGGCAGAATGTATATATAATATACTCCAATAGCCTTCTAATTGGCCTTCCCAATTCCTCCTTACTTCAATCAAGCTTCCACACTACTGTTAAATTCATTTTCATTCATCAGTTGACAGACACAAGTTGATTCCAAATCTTGGCTATTTTAAATAATGCTGCAGTGAACATGGGAGCATTGATATCTTTTCAAAATAGTGATATTATTCTCTTCAGATGCACACCTAGAAGTGAGATTGCTAAACCATATAGTAGTTTTATTCTTAGTTTTTTGAAGAATCTCTGTACTGTTTTTCATAATGGTGGTACTTACATTTCTACCAATGGTGTGCAAGTGTGCCCATAGCTTTGCCAATACCTGTCATCCTTCTTGTGATAATAACCACTCTGAGAGGTGTGAGGTGATACTATGATTTTAATCTGCATTTTCCCAATATTTAATGATGTTGAGCATTTTTTCATATATCTATTGGCTATTTATGTCTTTTGATAAATGTCTATTGAGGTCCATTGCCCATTTTTTAATTGGGTTATTTGTTTTCTTGGTATTGAGTTGTATGAGATCCTTATAATTTTGGATACCAGATCTATGACTTGCAAATATTTTCTCCCAGTTCATAGGTTCTCTCTTCACTCTGTTAATTGTTTTCTTTGCTGTGCAGAAGCTTTTTAGTTTGATGTGTTTCCATTTGCCTATTTTTACTTTTGATGCCTGGACATTTGGAGCCAAATCCAAAGAATCATTGCCCAGACCAATGTTATGTAGTTTTTCCTCCATGTTTTCTTCTGTAGTTTTATGGACTTCACGTCTTATGTTCAAGCCTTTAATCCATTTTGAGTTGATTCTTGTATATTGTGTGACATGAGTGTCCATTTTAATTCTTCTGCATGTGGATATCCAGTTTTTCCAACACTAATTATTGAACAAACTCTTCTTTTCCCATTATGTGTTCTTGGCACATTTGTTTGAAATCAATTGACCATAAATGCATGGATTTATTTCTGGTCTCTCTATTCTGTTCTATTGGTCAGTGTGTCTATTTTTATGCCAGTACCATACTGTTTTAAATATTATAGCTTTGTAATAAAATTTGAAATGAAGAAGTATGATGTCTTCAGCTTTCTTCTTGCTCAAGATTGCTTTAGCTATTCAGGCTCTTTTATGTTTCTATGCAAATTTTAGGATTTTCAGAAATTTCTGTGAAAGATGCCATGGAATTTTTATACAGATCGCATTAAATCTATAGATTGTTTTGGGTAACATGGACATTTTGATAATATTGGTTGTTTTGATCAACAATCATGGAATGTATTTTCATTGATTTGTGTGTTCATAAATTTCTCTCATTAATATTTTGTAGCTTTCAATTTACAGATTTTTTACCTCCTGGTATAAATTTATTACTAAGTATTTTATTCTTTTTGTTGTATTATAAATGGGATTTCTGTTCTTAATTGCTTTTGTGGGCAGTTAATTATTAGTAAATAGAAAGGCCATTAATATTTATGTGTTGATTTTGTATCCCAAAACTTCAGCATATTTGTTTATTAATTCTAACAATTTTTATTGGCATATGTGGAGTTATGCATATATATGATCATGTATCTGCAAACAGAGACAGGTTTGCTTCTTTTCTAATTTGGATGTCTTTTATCTCTTTTTCTTATCTAATTGCTCTAGCTAGGACTTCCACTACTATGTTGACTAGAGGTGGCAAAATGGGCATTCTTTTCTTATTCCTGATCTTAAAGGAGAAGCTTTCAATTTTTTATCATTGAGTATAAGGTTTGATGTGGGCTAGTTTATGACCTTTATTGCATTGAGGTACATTTCTTTTATACCTAACTTGAGAGATTTTATCATGAAAGGATGTTAAATTTCATCAAATACTTTTTCTGCTTCTAATGAGATGATCATATGGTTATTGGTTTTTGTTCTGTTAATATGATGTATTGCATTTGTTGATTTGCATATGTTGGACCATCTTGGCATCCCCAGGACAAATCCCACTTGATTGTGATGAAATATACTTTTAATGTGCTGTTGAACTTGGTTTGATAGTATTTTGTTGAGGATTTTTGTATCTATGGTTGTCAAGGATATTTCCCTGTATTTTTTATTCCTTGTAGTATCCCTATTTGACTTTGGGGTAAGGGTAACACTAGCCTCATAAGATGAATATAGAAGTGTTCCTTCCTCTTAAATTTTTTCAGAAGAGTTTGAGAATGATTGCATTAATTATTCATTAAATATTTGGTAGAATTAACAGTGAAGCCATCAGGGGCTTTTCTGTGTTGGAATATTTTTGATTACTGAGTCAGTTTCCTTACATTTTATCCAACAATTCAAATTTTCCATTCTCATGATTCAGTTTTGGTAGGTTCTAAGTTTCTAGAAGTCTATTGATTTCTTTTAGGTTACCTAATTTGTTGGCATATAATTGTTCATAGTATTTTTTTCTGATCCTTATTATTTATGTGGTATTATTTATAATGTCTCTACTTTCATTTTTGATTCAATGTATTTGAGTCTTTTTCATTTTAGTCTAGCTAAAGTCTTGGCAATTTTATTCTTCTTTTTAGACATCCAACTCTTAGTTTCATTCATCTTTTCTATTTTTCCTTAATATTTTATTTATTTATGCTGTTTGTCCTTAGTTTGTTCTTCTTTTTATATTTCCTTAAGTGTAAACTAAAGTTGTTTATTTGACACCTTTCTTTTTTCTTTATGTGGGTATTTTATTGTTGTAATAGTCTTTTTTTGAAACTGCTTTTGCTGCATAAGTTTTGGTATGTCTTGTTTTCATTTTCACCTGTCTCATGGTATTTTTAAAATTTTCTCTTTGATTTCTTCTTTTACCCATTGTCTGCTCAGTTGTATGCTATTTAATTTCCACATATTTGTAAATTTCTAGTTTTTCTCCTGTTGTTGATTTCTAGTTTTATACTGTTGTCAATGGTAGAGATATTTAATATGATCTCAATATTCTTAAATTTGTTAAGACTTGATTCTGACATAATATATGATTTATACTCAAGAATATCCCATGTGTACTTGAATGGAATATGTATTTATCCTGCTGTTGAATGGAATGCTGTCTGTGTCTGTTAGATTCATTTTGTCTAAGGTATAGTTGAAATGTGCTGTTTCCTTGATGATTTCATATCTGAATGATCTAGCCATTGTTGAAAGTGAAGTATTGAAGTCCCCTAATATTATTGTATTGCTGTCAATTTCTGCCTTTAGATCTGTTAATATTTGTTTTATGTATTTAAGTGCCCCAATGTCAGGTGCATATATATTTACAATTGTTATATTATTTTAATCAGTCAACCTCTTGGTCTCTCGCCACAGTATTTGATGTTCAGTCTATTTTGTCTGATATAAATATAGCTCCCAAGCTCTCTTTTGATTTTCATTTGTGTAACATGTTTCTGCATCCTCTTACTTTCATTCTATATGTCCTTAATGCTAAAGTGAGTCTCTTGTAAGCAGCATACAGGTGGGTCGTTAAAAAAAAAAAAGCATTCAGCCATTCTTGATTAAAAATTTTAGTTCACTTCCATTTGAAGTAATTATTGATAGATAAAGATTTATGGCTGTTAGTTTATTATTTTCTGTTTTGTAGTTCATTTGTTCATTTCTTCATCTCATCCTGTCTCCCTTTGTGATTTGATAATTTTCTGTAGTGGTATGATTTGATTCCTGTCTCTCTTTTGTGTATCTGCTATAGATTTTGCTTTGTAGTTGCTATGATCCTTAAACAAAACATTTTATAGTTTTAACAGCCTATTTCAAGCTGAAAGCAATTTAATCTTAATCACATTAGAAAACACTACACCTTTCCCCTCTCCCCTACTTTTAGGCATCTCCCAGTCACTCAACTGTGCTGATCCCCTTAGTATTATGTGTAGGGCAAGAAAAAATGTGACTCATAGGCAGCATTCTACACAACTGGAAGTTCTTGGTGCTCACTTACAATATACTCACTTTTCCCCACTGTATGAATTATGGGTTGATGGGGGTTTCTCTTAGCACTGAGTTATACTGCCTTGGAGGCAGGGTTACATGGGTAAAGTGAAAATGTTCTTTTTACCTTTTTAAAGTGTCTATCCTCTATTTTTTTTTTTTTTTTGCTCCAATGGTATGCTGGAACTTCTCCACTGGACCTCTGGACTTACACAAAGGTACTCCAGTCCATGGCTGGTTATCAAATTTGATGCACAATTGGGGGACAATGGTAGAAAACTCCTATTCTGCCATCTTACTGGGAGTCATAAATATCTAGCACAGCTTTAGGCACATTCTTAGATTTTACTTCAACCTGTCTAATTCAACTTTATCTTCAATATAGCTTAATCATCTATCCCACACTACTCTCACCCACTACATTCTATTCCACCAACAAACCACATGGCATTCCCAACCTATGCCTTGTTGTCTTTGCATATTTCTCCTTTTACCAGAGATATCCCAAACCCTTTCTCTATGAAGTTTTACTTTAGTGCTCCAGTTGGTGCACATTTCTTTCCTCCTTTTAACCCCCATGGTATTTATTATCTACTATGGAATGAGAATTAATTATCACAACTAGCTTGAAACAACTTTCCATATTACAAATTAGTTTTTCCAGGCTCATTGTTCCACAGCAAAATGTTTGTTTTTCTTGACTTTTTCAAGAGAGGATGTACTGTCTTCTTAACTATGAAGGCATAGGCAGGCCCTCATACTATTTTGCATGCTCCAAGTGGTACTGCAAAGCACTTAAGAGGCCCTGAAATTTTACTGATTTAACATTGTTGAATAACTGTTAATGTGTCCCTTCATCTCCAGTCTCTTTAGCTCAAGCCCTCCTCACTTCTGCCGGGCACCACTGCAACAGCCTCTTCAGTCATTTCCACTGAATTGATCTGGCTTTCTAAATGTAGGTAAGATTTTATTCCTCCTTCAAAATACAAATACACACAACAATGGCACTCATCCCCTGATGAAAATGTTTAAGACCTTTAAGATGCCATGGAAATAAAGCCCACTAGAGATTTTTTTTTTATTATACTTTAAGTTTTAGGGTACATGTGCATAATGTGCAAGTTAGTTACATATGTATACATGTGCCATGCTGGTGTGCTGCACCCATTAACTCGTCATTTAGCATTAGGTATATCTCCTAATGCTATCCCTCCCCCCTCCCCCCACCCCACAACAGTCCCCAGAGTGTGATGTTCCCCTTCCTGTGTCCATGTGTTCTCATTGTTCAATTCCCATCTATGAGATTTTTTAAGGGCTGGGACCATGTCTTACTCATTCTTGTATCTGATGCCCCCACCACTTCCCTACGTAGTGCAGTGTCTGGCACATAGCACATGCTAGGGAATATTTGACTACTGATTGAGTATGAAAATGAATTGAAAAAATCACTGAATGCCAGAAATAAAAGGAACTTTAGAGATTGTGGTTTTAGAGATGTAGTTCTGCTTTATTGATTTACAGATTAGGAAAATGAGGCTTGGGGAGTTTAACTGTAAGTCAATGTTCATCTTAACACTATATTGCAGTGAAGTTAGGTACAGAAAAGGATCAGTCTCCTAAAGTAGAATGTGATGCTCATTCTCTGAATAACTTTAAATATACGAGGCATGAATTAACCAGGGATGGAACTCATTGGTCTTGCATAATTCTAGAAAATGTTACAACTTGGCACATCACAGTATAGGAAACCAACAGGAGTTTCTTGCTTCAGCATCAACAGGGTGTGACATCACGTTCTTGTGTCATGAAGAAACATGTTCTAAAGTGGTTGAAGAGAAGAAACCACTTTGGAGCTTGAGTATTTATGAGAATTTGATGTTGTGATCAAATGCAGCTAACAACTAAATTTTTCTGATACACATTGGATAATTTGCATAGAAATAACTGTGCTTTTTGGTTAATGGGTGGCATACATTGGGAAGTCAATGTAAATGACTAATTTCTCAATCTTTGACATATAGCTAGATGAAATGCTTATTTTTTATTTTTGTCCAAAGACTCTAGGCTGAATCATCTGGTGCTTCCAACCTATTTTTCATGTTATATCATAACCCTGGGCTTCCCAATCTGATGACACTCTGGAGTTCATTTGGATACCCCGGGTATCCAAAGGACTCCTAGAGGCACAAATTGCAGGCCATATGGTTCAGTTAGATTGGTTGAGGGTTGGGGATGTGTGGTACATAAATGGAGATAAGAGGAGCTGGATAGCTGGGGAGGTAAAAACCCAGGTGGAGTTTTTAATGGACTCTGGATTCTCAGGAACTTCATTCATGTTTTCAGGCAGATTGAGAGCCAGAGCTCTGATAAAGGTTGTGAATTCAGGCAAGAGCCAGAGGGACAGGAAAGGCTCCAGTTTCCCAGACATTTTGGCTCCCAGCAGCTCCAGGGATCATGTAGGCAGGCACTGCTATAGTCCTTCCAGAGATTTATTGACATTAATGGATTGCAAACCTGAATCTTATCAATCTTTTTCTAATAGGAGGAATAAGGTAGAGAGCAGAAAGACACTGGAGTATGGAAAACAAACTGCTCTTTGCACTTGGATGATGTTTTGTCCTATTTACCACTGTAGCTTTTTAAGGGCTGGCACCATGTCTTATTCACTTTTGCATCTGACACCTTGGCCTTCACCACTGCCTAATACAGTGCCTGATATATTATAGATGCTTAGTAAATATTTCCATACAAACAAAAGCTAAGGTTGTATAGAACTGGGCAGAGGAGTAGCGATGGGGGAAGTGTTTGTGGTTGTGTCCAGCCATGGAAAATGACTGAGTCATAACCTTTACTTGTTATGTATTCCCAGAGGGAAAGAGAAGCAGTGGTTTAAGACTTTTAAAAGATTGCTTGCTAACTAATGCTTAAACTGTATGGGTAAGTGCTTCAATCAGACTATGGACATTGTGCAGATTCCAACTATATATCAGCAATTTAACTACTTTCTTTTGATGTTACTTTAAATTTCTGTTTTATCTTTTTAATAGTTTTTTCAGATATAACTGATATAAAATAAAGTACACATATTGAAAGTGTAGAAATATATAAACACATATATGTATAATATTCATAAAAGAATTACAACAGTGAGGATAGTAAACATATCTATCATTCATCCCCAGATGTTCTTCTTGCCCCTTTGTAATTACTCATTCTTGCTCCTCCCCCACAGACAGCCATTGATCTTCTTTCAGTCACTACATATTAGTTGTAGTTTTCTAGAGTTTTATATAAATTGAATCACACAGTGCTATGGTTTGAAGGCCTTTTCAAAAACCCATGTTGAAAATTTAATTGCCATTGTGACAGCGTTAAGAAGTGGGACTGTTAAAAGGTGATTAGAACATGAGGGCTCTGCCCTCATGAGTGTATTAACGTTGTTATCTTAGGAGTGGTTTTGTTATCTCAGAAGAAGATTCATGATTAAAGGATGAGCTTATCTCCTTCTCTCTTTCCTTATCTTGCTCATTCTCACTCACTTACCCTTCTACATTCTGCCATGAGATGACATAGCAATAAGGCCATCACCAGATGTGTGCCCCTTGACCTTGAACTTCCTAACCTCCAGAACTCTAAGAAATAAATTTTTTCCTTATAATTTACACAGAGCATATTCTTTTATGGCAACATAAAATGGATTTGTACATATAGTATGCATGCTTTTGGGTCTGGCTTCTTTAATGCACCATAATTATTTTGAGACTCAAACATGTTATATCAGGTGTCAATAGTTTATTCATTTTTATTGTTATGTGGTATTCCATTGTATAGATATACCAGATTTTCTTTTTTCATTCACCTGCTCATAACATTTGAAATATTTCTGGGTTTTTGGCTATTACCAATGATGCTGCTGTAAATATATTCATATATAAGTCTTTGCATGGACATAGGCTTTCATTTCTCATGGGTAAATGCTGAGGAAGAGAATGACTGCATCATAAGGTATGTGTAGACTTCAGTTTTTAAGAAATTGCCAAATTGTTTTCCAAAGTGGATGGAGTATTTTATATTCCCACCAGGAATATATGAGTTCCAGTTCCTCCACAGCCCTGTCAACATTTGTAGTCCATTACAAAAAAATAAATCTCTCTGTTAATCTCTCATTGTAGTAATTTATTATTTACTGATTTAATTAAGATGTTTATCTGCCTTTTATTGAAGTTCACTGTGCTTCCTTAAAACAATTATTTTGAATACTTTGTCAAGGAGTTCATAAATCTTTATTTCTTGGGGATGGTTTCTGGTGCTTTATTTTATTCTTTTGGCAGTGTAATATTGCTGGTGTCATGTTTCCCTGATTATTCTTTTTTAAACTTTTTTAATTCTTAATTTTTGTGGGTAAATAAGTGTATACATTCATGGTATACACGAGATATATTCATACAGGCATGCAATGTGTAATAATCCCATCATAAAGAATGGTGTATACATCCCCTCAACCATTTATCTTTTGTGATACAAATAATCAAATTATATTTAGTTATTTTAAAATATACAATTAAATTAGTATTGATTATAGTCACCCTCTTGTGCTGTCAAATAGTAAGTCTTATTTTTTCTTTCTAATGTTTTCTTACCTATTAATTATCCCCACTTCCCCCATGCCCTCCCACTCCCTTTACCATCCTCTGATAGCCATCCTTCTGCTCTTTATGTCTACAAATAAAATTATTTTGATTTTTAGGCCCCACAAATAAATGAGAATATGTGAAGTTTATCTTACTGTTCCTGGCTTATTTCACTTAACATAATGATCTCCAGTTCCATCCATGTTTTTGCAAATGACAGGGTCCCATTCTTTCTTGTAGCTGACTAGTACTTCTTTGTGAATAAGTACATTTTCTTTATCTATTCATCTATTGATAGACACTTAAGTTACTTCCAAATTTTGGCTGTTGTGAATTTTGGCTTTAACAATCATGGGAATGAAGATATGTCTTCCTTACACTGATTTCTTTTCTTTTAGGTATATAACCAGTAGTAGGATTGCCGGATCATATGGTAGCTCTACTTTTAGTTTTTTTGAAGAACCTCCAAACTGTTCTCCGTAAACAGCATACAAGGGTTCCCTTATCTCCACATCCTCACCAGCATTTGTTGTTGCCTGTCTTTTGGATATAAGCCATTTTAACTGAGGTGAGATGATAGCTCATTGTAGTTTTGATTTGTATTTCTCTGATGATCACTAATGTTGCCCACCTTTTCATGTGCCTGTTTGACATTTGTATATGTCTTCTTTTGAGTAACGCCTTTTCAAATATTTTGCTCATCTTTTGATTGGATTACTAGATTTTTCCTATAGAGTTGTTTGAGCTCCTTATATATTCTGGTTATTCATCTCTTGTTAGATAGGTAGCTTGCAAATATTTTCTCCCATTCTCTGAGTTATCTCTTCAATTTGTTTATTGTTTCCTTTGCTACGCAGAAGCTTTTTAACATGATATGATCGCATCTGTCCATTTTTGGTTTGGTTATCTGTGCTTGTGGGGTATTACTCGAAAAAGGTTTGCCCAGACAAATGTCCTTGAGAGATTTCCCAATGTTTTCTTTTAGTAGTTTCATAGCTTGAGGTCTTAAGTCTTTAAGCCATATTGATTTGATTTTTGTATATGGCAAGACACAGGGGTCCAGTTCATTCTTCTACATATGAATATCCTATTTTTCCTAACACCATTTATTTAAGACATTGTCTTTTCCCAGTATATGTTCTTGGCATCATTGTTAGAAACGAGTTCACTGTCAGTGTGTGGATTTTTTTCTGGGTTCTCTATTCTGTTTCATTGGTGTACATGTCTGTTTTCATGCCAGTAACATGCAGTATTGATTACTAAAGTTCTGTAGTATAATCTGAAGTCAGGTAATGTGATTCTTCCAGTTTTGTTCTTTTTGCTTAGAATAGCTTTGACTACTCTGGATTTTTTGTGGCTCCACATACATTTTAGGATTGTTTTTTCTGTTGCTGTGAAGAACATCATTTGTATTTTGATAGGGGTTGCATTGAATCTGTAGATTGCTTTGTGTAGTGCAGGCATTATAAAAATATTGATCCTTCCAATCTGTGAACATGGAATATTTTTCCATTTTTGGTGTCCTCTTAAATTCTTTTCAAATTGTTTTATAGTTTTCATTAAGGAGATCTTTCACTTCCTGGGTTAAGTTAAATCCTAATTATTTAATTTTACTTATGGCTATTGTAAATGGGATTACTTTTATTATTTCTTTTTCAGGTTGTTCACTGTTGACATATTTAAGTGCTACCGACTTTTGTATGTTGATTTTGTATCCTGCAGTTTTACTGAATTTGTTTATCAGTTCTAATAGTTCTATTGTAAGTCTTTATGTTTCTGCAAATATAAGATGATATCATGTGCAAACAAGGATAATTTGATTTCTTACATTCTGATTTGGATGTCCTTTATTCCCCTATATTATCTGATTGCTCTAGCTAGGATTTTCAGTAATATGTGGAATAACAGTGGAGAAACTGGGTATCCTTGTCATGTTCCAGATGTTAGAAAAAATGTTTTCAGTTTTCTCTCATTCAGTATAATACTAGCTGTGGGTCTGTCATATATGATTTTTATTATGTTGAGGTATGTTCTTTCTATTCTCAGTGTTGTCAAAGTTTTTATCATGAGGGATGTTAAGTTTTATCAAATGCTTTTTCAGCATCAACTGAAATGATTATATGGTTTTTGACCTTCATTCAATTGACATTATGTATCAAATTCATTGATTTGCCTATGTTGGTGCATCCTTGCATCCCAGGGATAAATCCCACATGGTTATGATGAATGATCATTTTAATGTATTATTGCATTTGGTTTGCTAGTATTTTTGAGGATCTTTGCATCAATATTCATCAGGGATATTGACCTGTAATTTTCTTTTTTTTGATGTGTATTTGTCTGGTTTAGCTGTCAAGGTAATACTGGTCTTGTAAAATGAGTTTGGAGGTTTTCAATTCTTACCTACTTTTCAGAATAGTTGAAGGATTGGCATTAGTTCTTTCTTAAATGTTTAGTAGAATTCAGCAGTGAAGCCATTAGGTACCAGGCTTTTCTTTACTGTGACAGGTTTTAGTACAGCTTCGATTTCCTTACTTGTTATTGCACTGTTCAGATATTTGATTTCTTCATAATTCAATGCTGGTATGTTCCACGTGTCTAGGAATTTGTTAATTTCTTCTAGATTTTCCAATTTACTAGTATATAGTTGCTCATAGTAGCCACTAATGATCCTTTGAATTTTGTCAGTAGTAGCTGGAATGTCTCCTTTTTCATTTTGAATTTTATTTATTTGTATATTCTCTCATTTTTTCTTAGTCTGGCTAAAAGTATGTCAATTTCGTTTAACTTTTCAAAAAAGTAACTTTTGTTTCATCTTTTGTATTGTCTTCTTCATTTCAATTTTATTTATTTCTGTTCTGATCTTTATTAATTCTTTTCTTCTACTAATTTTGGGTTTGATTTGCTCTTGCTTTTCTAATTCTTCAAGATCCATCATTAGAAAGTTTATTTGAAGTTTTTTTTTTTTCTCTTTTTTTGATGTAGACACTTACAGCTATAAAATTCCCTCTTAGTACTGCTTTTGCTGTACTAGGTTTTGGTATGTTGTGTTTCCATTATCATTTCTTTCAAGAAATTTTTCAATTTTCTTCTTAATATCTGCACTGACCCACTGGTCATTCAGAAGCATATTGTTTAATTTCCATGTATTTGTATAGTTTACAACATTCTTCTTATATCAATTTCTAGTTTTATTCCCTTGTGGTCAGAAAAAATGCTTGATATTATTTCAATTTTTTGAATGTTTTAAGACTTGCTTTGTTACTTGCTTTGCTATGTGTTGAGGAAAAGAATGTTTAGTCTCTTTAGCTCTTGGATGAAATGTTCTGTTAATGTCTATTAGATCCCTTTGTTCTATAGTGCAGACAGACTAAGTCCAACGTTTCTTTGTTGATTTTCTGTGTGGATGATCTGTCCAGTGCTGAAAGTGGACTGTTGAAATCTCCATTTGTTATTGTATTGGAGTCTGTCTTTTTAGCTCTAATGATATTTGCTTTATATGTCTGCGTGCTTCACAGTTGGTGCAAATATACTTAAAGTTGTTATATTCTCTTTCTAAATAGACCCCTTTATCATTATATAGTGATCTTCTTTGTCTCTTCTTAAAGTTTTTTCTCAAAATCTATTTTGTCTGATATAAGTATACTGCTCTTTTTTGGTTTCCATTGGCATGGAATATCTTTTTCTATCCCTTAATTTTCAGTCTGTGTGTGTGTCTTTATACGTTAAGTGTATTTCTTGTAGGCAACAGCTCATTGGGTCTTGTTTTTTTAATCCATTCAGCCACTCTCTGGCTTTTGATTAGTTTAGTCTATTTACATTTAATATTATTGTTGATAAGTAAGGACTTCTCCCATTTTGTTATTGGTTTTCTGGTTGTTTTGTGGTTTTTCTTTCCTTCCTGTCTTCCTTCAATGAAGGTGATTTTCTGTGGTGTTATGATTTAGTTTCTTGATTTTTATATTTTGTGTATCCATTGTATGTGTTTTTGGTTTTAGGTGACCATGAGGCATGCAAATATTATCTTATAACCCATTACTTTACACCAATAACAACTTAACACTGTTTGCATAAATAAGCAAACAAACAGGAACAAAAGTTATAAAGCCTCTAAGCCTTGTGTTCATCTCCCCGCTTTTCAATATTTTGTTGTTTCTATTTTTGTCTTATTGTACTGTGTAGGTCTTGAAAAGTTTTTGTAGTTCTTATATTATTTTTGACTCATTCACATTTAGTCTTTCTATTTAAGATAAAGTGAACTTACACACCACAGCTACATTTTAGTAATATCCTGTGTTTTCTGTTTACTTAGTATTACCAGTGAATTTTGTACCTTGAGATGATTTCTTATTGTTCATCAATGTCCTTTTCATCCTGATTGAAGTACTCTCTTTGGCATTTCTTGTACAACAGGTGTACTGTTGATTAAATGTTTCAGCTTTTCTTTGTTGGGGAAAGTCTTTATTTCTCCTGCATGCATGAAGGGTATTTTTTTGGAATATGCTATTCTAGGGTAAAAGATTTTTTTCTTCAGCACTTTAAATATGTCATGCCACTTTCTCCTGGCCTGTAGGGTTATCATTGAAAACTCTCCTGCTAGATGTATTGGAGCTCCATTGTATGTAATTTGTTTCTTTTCTCTTACTGCTTTTAGGGTTTTTTCTTTATCCTTGATATTTGGGAGTTTGATTATTAAATGCCTTGAAGTAATCTTCTTTAGGTTAAATGGGCTTGGCATTTTAGAACCTTGTTGTACTTGAATATTGATATCTTTGTCTAGATTTGGGACGTTCTCAGTTATATCCTGTTGAATAATCTTTCTTCCACTATCTCTTTCTCTATCTCCTCTTTAAGGCCAATAACTCTTAGATTGGCCCTTTTCAGGCTATTTTCTAGATCCTATAGGCATGCTTCATTGTTTTTTGTTCTTTTTTTTCTGTTATCTCCTCTGACTGTCAAATAGCCTGTCTTCAAGCTCATTAATTCTTTTTTCTTCCTGATCCATTCTGCTATTTACAGTCTCTGATGCATTCTTCAGTAAGCCAGTTGCATTTTTCAGCTCCAGAATTTCTGATTGATTATTTTTAGTTATTTTGATCTCTTTATTAAATTTGTCTGTTAGAATTCTGAATTCCTTCTGTGTTATATTGAATTTCTTTGAGTTTCTTCAAAACAGCTATTGTGAATTCTGTCTGAAAGGTCACATATCTCTGTTTCTCCAGAATTGGTCCCTGGTGGCTTATTTAGTTCATTTGGGAGGCCATATTTTCCTGGATGATTCTGATACTTGTAAATGTTTGTCTGTATCTAGGGACTGGAGAGTTAGATATTTATTGTCTTCCACTCAGTCTGGGTTTATTTGTACTCATTCTTCTTGGGAACACTTTCCAGGTATTCAAAATGACTTGGATATTATGATTTAAGCTGTATCTACTTTAGGGGACACCCCAAACCCAATAATGCTGTGGTTCTTACAGACTCATAGAGGTACCACCTTGATGGTCTTGGACAAGACCCAGGATAATTCTCTGTATAACCAGGCAGAGACACTTGTGCTCTTCCCTTACTTTCACTCAAACAAATGTAGTTTCTCTCTGTTTGGAGCCACATGGAACTGAAGTTGGAGTGACACCAGGAACACTGTGGCCACCACCACTAGTGCTGTGCTGAGTCAGACCTTAAGCCAGTGCAGCATGGGGTCTTCCCCAAGATGTGCTGTAACCATTCCCTGACTATTGCCCATGTCATCTCAAGGCCCTGGTTCTCTAATATCAGCAGATGGCAAATCCAGTTAGACCAGTGTCATTCCCTTCAGGACAGTGAGTTCCCCAGGCCCTGGGTTGGTCCAAGGGTGCCGTCTAGGAGTAAGGGACCAGAGTCAAAAACCATAGCTGTCTACCTGGTGTTTTATTGCACTGTGGCTGAGCTGGCACTCTAACCAAAAAACACAGTCCTTCTCACTTTTCCCTCCTTTTTTCAAAGGTAGAGCAGCCTTACCCCATGGCTGCCACCACCTCAGGCCCATGGAGAGTACTGCCAGACTACCACTGATGTTCTGTTAATGTCCCAGGGCTCTTCAGTCAGGTTTTGGTAAATGCTGCATAGCCTGGGACTCACACTTCACGGTAGTAGGCTCCATTTTGGCCCAGAGCAAGTCCAAAAATACTGTTCAAGGGCCTAGTCCTGGAATTGGGGACCACAAGAACATGCTTTGTATTCTACTCCCCTGTGGCCAAGCTGATACCTGACTGGCAAGACAAAATGTCCTTTACTTTTCCCTCCAGTTTTCTCAAGCAGAAGGAATTTTACCCCATAGCCACCACAGTTGATTATGTTTTGAGTCTCACCTTAAGTCAGCAAGTCTCAAGAGGCTCACACAGGGCCCTCTATGTAGTTCCTGGATATTACTGCTGGTAATATCCAGCTCTTCAGTTAGCTGGTGCTGAATCCTGCCAGGACTGGGTTCTTCCCTTCGAGGCAGTGTGTTCCCTTCTGGCACTGGGTGTGTCTAGAAATATCAACCAAGAACTAAGGCCTGGAAAGGGGGCCTCATGACTCTGGCTGGTGCCTTATCCTACTGTGGCTGTGCTGGTATCCAAGATGCAAGAAAAGTTATCCCGACTCTTCCCTGTTCTCTTTTCATGCAGAAAGAAGGGGTCTCTTTTGGAACCATGAGCCGTGTAGCCTGGGGTTAGGGGAGGGGTGATGTCAGTATTCCTTTAACAATTCCCACTGATTTCTCAGTAGGTCTTGTGCCCCACCAGTCCACTGTCTTTGGGCCCAGTCAGTACCAGAACTTGACTAGGAGTTGCAGTCTTTGTGGCCTAGACTGCATTTCAAGTTTATTCAGAGCCCCAGAACACTTTAGTCCATGGTGGTGAGTCTTGTCAGAACTCAAGTTTTGACTGCTGGGATGGGCAATTGCCCTTCTGGCTAGGGCTGGTTTAAATACTCCCCCCCATGGTTGGGCGTCAGCTGAGTTTGTTTCAGTTTTGTTTTCTATTATAAGAGGTCAGCACTGAGTTCAGTCCTTCACAACTGCTGTGCCCTCACACTCCCTAGAACACAGAAACACTCTCTACACACCACCCCTGCTGGAGGTTGGGAACAGAGTGGTATTGGTGATTCAAGACTGTTTTTCCTATCTCTATCTCTTCATTGCCTCTTTAAGTGGTATGAAGTTAAAACCAGGTATGTTGAGGGCTTGCCTGATTTTTGGTTCTCGTGAAGGTGCTTTTTTATGTGTAGATAGTTGTTAAATTGGTGTCTTTGTAGGGGGATGATCAGTAGAGCCTTCTATTCCACCATCTTGCTCATCTTGCTCCAACCCAAGTTTTTCTAATTTTTTTAACTTTTAAACTTTTGTGTTTAAAGGGAAGACATAAACACACATATTTGCCTAGGCCTACACAGGGCCAGCATCATCAATATCACTGTTTTCCACCTCCATATCTTGTTCTACTAGAAGGTCTTCAGGGGCAATAACATGCATAGAGCTGTCATTTCCCATAATAACAATACCTTCTTCTGGAATACCTCCTGAAAGACCTTCCTGAGATTTCTTCAGTCATTTTTATAGTAGAAGGAGTACAGTCTAAAATAACAATAAAAACATGGTATAGTATAATAAATACATCAACTAGCAACATAGTCATTTATTATCATTATGAAGTATTATTTAATATGCATAACTGTATGTGCTATACTTTTATATGACTGGCAACACAGTAGGTTTGTTCACACTAGCATCACTACAAACATATGAATAATGTGTTGTTCTATGATATTATGATGGCTATGATCTCACAATGCTTACAACAGCATGATTGCTGCAATATCACTAGGTGATAGAAATTTTTTTGCTCCATCACAATCTTATGAGAGCACTGTCATCTATGTAGTCCTTCAGTGACTGAAATGTCTTTAATATTGTGCATGATCATACAACGAACATAGTGGCTTAAAATAATACAAATTTGTTACTTAGAATTCTGGAGATCAGAATTCTGAAATGGGGCTCACTGAACTAACATCAAGGTGTCATCAGGGCTGTGTTCCTTTTCTAGCTTCTAAGTGTCACCTACATTTCTTGGCTCATGGACTCCTTTGTCTTATCTTTAATGGCAGCAGTGGCCAGTTGAGTCATTCTTATAACACATCATTCTGACTCATTTTGCCTGCCTCCCTCCTCCACATTTAAGGACCCTTGAAATTACACTGGACCCATCTAGATACTTCATGATAATATCCCCACTTTAAGGTTAACCTTAATTCCATATATTATCATAATTCTCCTTTTCCATATAAAGTAACATATTCACAGGTTCTGAGGATTAGGATGAAAAGCATCTCAGGAGGCCATTATTTTGCCTACCATAAAGTCCAACTGAAGCTGCTCTTGGATAAGGACTAATACACTAAAGAGTGACATCAAGGTCCTTCATGAATAGTGGATATTTCTCTTTATCACTGTACCATCACTAGCCAATTAAGGCTCCATTCTGGACCCTTTACCGCTATACTCTTGTGAGGTTACTCAATAACACATGATTTCAACTGCTCAGTATTCCTGCACCAACTCTCTAACATCTACTGGGTATCCCAAAATTCGATTCAATTCTGGCAATAACCACCTGTGACTAGTACAGATTCCACAGATTAAGGGCAAAGTCTTTCAATTCTGACATCAACAATCTGGAGTTAGTGTAGATGCTCACAAGTTAAGGGCTCAGTCCCAAAAGACTGTCCCCACTTCAGATACCAGCCACAAATATCATTTTCCCCAAACAACTCATTCTACTGCCTGGCCAGCTACAAGTACATGGGTTCCCATGATCTCTTTCTGGGCTAAATAATTTGCTAGAAAGTGCTGCACTTGTGACTACCATTTTATTATAAATAATACAGATGTATAGCAAAATGAAGAAATACATAGGGCAAGACATTGGGGAGGGGAGTGGTGCAGAGCTTTCATGCCCTTTCCTTATGGAATCTAGGCATGTCTTCCTCTTTAGCACATTGATGTATTCACCAACCTTGAAGTTCTCTAAGCCTCATGGTTCCAGGATTTTTATATGAGGTTTCATTAGTAGACATGATTCATTAAATCATTGACCACATGATTGAACTCAATCTGTAACCTCCTTGAATATCTCCTTCGTTCAGTCCCAATTTTCTAATAATAAAGCTGATTTTTTGGCAACCAACCATCATCCTGAAGCTACCCAGTTCTACTCCCTATGAGTCACCTCATTATTGTAACAAAGACAGTCCTATCACTTGGGAAATTCCATTCCCAAATATATTTTTTATTTTACCACACCCTCTATGCTAGTGACACCAAAAGATTTTATTTTCTCTGGAAGTCACTAAGATAGCTTCACATAAGACATCCAATCAATTTCCAAACCCAGTGTCACCAGAATCAGGTGGAATGTCTGTCCCAAGTTCTTTCTTTATTTCCCTGCACTGTAGTAAGTATTCAAGAAATATTTGGTGAAAAGAAAGAAAGAAAGAAGAGAAGAAAAGAAAGAAAGAAAGAAAGAAAGAAAGAAAGAAAGAAAGAAAGAAAGAAAGAAAGAAAGAAAGAAAGGAAGAAAGAAAGGAAGAAAGAAAGGAAGAAAGAAAGAAAGAAAGAGAAATTACCCTTAAGAAACTCTAAATATTGTAGACAAAATAGATACATGAACAAGTCACTTTCATACAATCTGGGAGACCAGGGAAACTTTCACAGAAAATGGAGTAAGTTTAGAAGGATGAGTGTTAGTCAAGTGAAGGAATGTAAGAAGTGGGTTCTAGACAGAGGACTTATCTTGAATAAAGATGTAACTGAATAAGCAGTTTTCCATGGTGTCAACCACTTATTTTCTTATCCATTCTTTCCAGTTCTTTTCCTGTGGCTTCCATCCCCTTACCAACTAGTTCCGTTTAGATTGGGCTATCGCATAGCCTCTCAGAGACCTTTCTATCTTCAAATCTCCTTGAACTGCTGTCTCAGATCACTGTAGTGCAGTGTGCATAGGTCAGCCAGAATCTTTCTGGAGTATTTGGATGTCATTCCACTGTTCAGATACTCAAGGTAGTTAGTGCTCAAATTGAACTGAATCATAGGACACCCAGTTGATGTCAGAGAATAGGTGCAGGAATAGAAGATCCAAACTTATGTGTCAAAGTCCTCTCTAGCTAACCCCTCCTTACTGAACTTCCTTCAGTTCCTGCTAGTGTCTTCCCTCAGCTTTTGCTACTGTCTGACCTGAACTTTTTGTTCCAGCCACTTTGTTTCCTGAGTGAGAAAATATGACTTCCTTATTCCCATTTCTGAACCATCCCACAGGCCAGGAATCCCCTCTCTTCTCTTACCTCTCCTCCTTGAACACAGCTCTGGCAAGAGATCAAGCTGATACTGAAATAGAGCCCATTGTAGTAAGCAAAATGTGAGTCAGCTCCCTACAGACCTGGAACAGGCAGAACAACTTTGTGTGGGCACTTGTGTCTCCAATTGGTAATTCTGGGCCAGCTCTAATCTCAAAATCCCCTGAGGACTCCTGGGAGAGAGAGCTCAGGCAGTTCAGATCTCATGAGATTAGGTTCAATATACTGAGGCTACCTCCCTAAAGATGTGAGTTGATAAAGTTTGTCTGTTGAAGTGCCACTGGCCCTACTGTCTTCTTTTATATTTTTCCTCTTTTAAATCTTATAGCTCTAATCCAGTACTCACCATCACTTCCTTTCATCCTGACAAGAAGAAAAGGGAAGCCAATAATATTATTCATATTACAGTCTTGGGGACTGAATCTACTATGTTTCACAAGAGGATGTCAGGGGGTTGAAAGGGACCTTTGCTACTTACTGGCTATGTGATCTCAGGCAAAGGACTTGAGTGCTCTTTGCCTCAGTTTCCTCATCCATAAAATGGGGATACTAGGAGTACCTATGTTACTGTTAGCTATCATTGTTATTATTGTCTGTCAGTATCCTATACAGCAACCCTGCCTAGCAATTAGCTAGCTTGTGCTTTAGTGCCTGCTATGATGGGAGCACTATACCTCCTAGGACAGTTCATTTATTTGGCAGTTTTATAAATATAGAAAGAAGGAGCTGTATTTGTAGGAGAAGAATGGGTCTTTCTCAGATTTCTAGAATAAAGGTTGTCTACCACGGGTTTGTGAGGCTAGTTAACTCCTCCTGAGACCAATGCTTACCTAATTGTTATTGCTGTAGAGTATTTATAGTAATAATAATAATTCTTCTGTTGAGCATTTACCATGTGCAGGCATTGTGGTAAGTATTTTATATGCATTATCTAAACTAGTCCTTGTTATTGCTCTAATTATTATTATTTTATTAATTGGTAAAATTTAGATAGTGCCCATTATGAGCCAGGTACTTTTCTAAGTGCTTTACTAATTAAATCACATAAAAATCATAAGAAGTAGGTACTACCATTTGTTCACATTACAGATGAGAAAGCTGTGGCTCTGAGAGATTAAGTCACTTGCTCATACAGTTGGTCATACAACTGGTAAGTGGAGGAGCCAGATTTTGAGTCTAAGCAATATGGCTCCAGAAAGCACTCCTTAACTACTAAATCATACTACATTCTTTATAATGCAGCAATTCTAATATACACAGTCTCAGGGAGAGTAACAACTGCCTACATTCTCTTGTACTTACGGTTTCTGCCCCCATGCCACCCCTGCCACCATGAGGAAACTTTGCTTTACTGTTCATTTTACCTCAGATGTTCTCTTAGGGATTATTCCCATATTCCCATCTTTGCTAACGATTAATTGTGCTATGTAAGACAAATTGTTTGATGCCTTTAATTCTAAGTTTTCTCCACTGTAAAACAGAAATTATATCCACCTGGCAGTAATATTGTTATTACTCTCTGCCACAGTCCATACCAACCAGCCCAAGCCACCCCACCCACACACTACTGAGTTGGCAGCCAATAAAGCCAAATACCTGCCCTCAGGGACCCTTTCATGGCAGTCACAGTGAACCTACTCAAATTGCTGCTGCTCTAGCTCCTCATTCCCTCTGGACTGGTCCCTGTAGGTACATGCCTTCTGAACTTGGCTATGCATCCTGTGTCCATCCTCACACTGCTATCCCAGACATGATCATCTCAAGTCTTCTCATTTGTTTCTTCAGTGCTTCTCATGCAAAGGTTTGCATTCTTCCTCTGGTTCTGCCTGTTCTTGGCTGTTCCAGCTATCCCCTGCCCAGCCAAGTCCCAGACCTACCTATCAATGGGTCAACCCTGGGCTACTGCCAAGGGCCATCAGACTAAACCTCTGCTAGTACATGTTATGCAACAATATGACTTCTTTCCCTGGTTTATCTATGCTGAGTTCCCATTTAGGAGTTTCCTACATCTAGAATGCACCTTTAACCCAACAATTGGAGTAATGATTTCCATCCTTGCCATTTTTCTGCATTACTAAACACCATCCCAACCCCTGTAGATTTCAAGCACTTGGAGAGATCATTCAGATAGGAGATTCTATCCAGCTTTCTTCCAGTAAAAATAACCATTACTACTTATTAAACATTTACTATATGCCAGACACAGTGCTAAGCAGTTTACATGCATTCCTTCACTTAAACTGTCCAACAATCTTAGGTGACAAATATCATTATCCTCATTTTCCTACTGTAGAAAAAATGAGACACAGAAAGGTTGAGTGACTCACCTAAGATCACACAGCCATCATGTGGCAGAGCTGGGATCTGAATTCAGATTGTATGCTTTTAAGATTAACACCTTTAATCACTGAATACTTTTGCCTCTCAACTTACATCCACCCTACTAAGTACATGAAGACTTTGCTGAGCCTCTTTACAGTTCATGAAATTGTGAAACTCTTTGTCTTCTCTTTCCTATTAATCCTGCCCACACAGGAGGTAGGTGGCTTCCAGTATTTTGGTTAAGCCCAGCCTACTCATATCCTCCCCCATGGCCCCATGCCAACCAGAGGCTGGGGGAAGAGCAGGTGCTGAAACTTTCAGTTCCACATTGGCCAGTTTCAGGAGCTGGTGTAAGAGAAAGGTTGTGGATTAGCAAAGTACTGGTGAGAACCAGCCCTCTACCTCAAGAATGCTCCCAGGCAAGTCATAACTTCTCCCTGAGCAAATCGGGGAAGTCCCAGACCCATGCCATTATACTGGGCCAACTCACCCACATACTACATGGCAGACAGCCAAAGAAAATGAGTCCCAGCTTTCAGGGCCTCATTTGAGGTAATTGCCTTGAACCGTCTCACTTCACTCCTACTCTTGCTCTTCACTTCTTTCTCTGTTCCTTTGCACACCTGACTCCAGTCCTTCTTGGAACTGTCTCCTGTTTGTTTGTGACCCTGCTTTCACCCCTTAGGCTTGCCACACTCAGCTTTTGACCCTTAGTGCTTTCTAAGAACAGACTTGTCATCATCCCCTGGCTCTTCTTGCTCTTTAAAATTCTAACTCATTACCTTGACTAATTTAAGCTGCCACAAATGGAAATCCTACCCTGATGCTGGCCCACCTGACCAGCACTCCAGTCTTCAAGGGGGTGGGGCTTTGGGGTAATAGAGAATAAAGAAGGGAGTCAGAAAGTGATGAGGAACCAATGAGAAAGATGCCTAGCCAATGCCACCACCTAGTGTAACTGCCTCTTCCCTGGTATACTGAGTCTTAGTACCCCTTCTCTATTTTGAAACTTCTTGAGGCCCACCCATTTGTTCCACAAAATAGACATCCCCGGGGAGCTGAGAAGGCATACAGCTACCCTCTTTTCTCAGCTTTAAATTAGAACACATAAACTGACACTATGAATGTGCTTATGGCAACAACACTATGGAATTTGAATTCATGACTGCCCTAGAAAATCTTTGGTGTACCATCTCCATGCTTATATAGTATGATGGAAGAGTGCCACACATACCTGAGTCCTCAAAGAGGTACCTGCTAGCCTGACATATTGACAGTACCCTACCACATACTGCGCATTCCTTGCACTCTGGACATACTCATCTGTCTTCAGTTTATATCTGCTACACTCCCTCCTACTACAAGGTGCAAGCTATTTCCTTTTCTGGAAAGCTCTTTCTCACTCCTTAAGAATCAACTACCTCTCTTTCTCCAGAAGTTACCTCCATCATCACTTTTTAAAGGAAGTTTTCCAAGTTTCCCTCAGTTATATTACTATGTTCCTGCCCATTGGATCCATTGTAGCACTTGCTGCAATGAAAATTTTGCATTTATTTGTGTGATTCCATAAGAACAAGGGCCATGTATTGTCGTTCACTACTGTCTTCTCAGTGCTTTGCATGATCCACAACAAGTAGTTGTTTTTTGGTTTAATTGTGCAATGAATGAATGGCCTGAAATGCCCACCAACCAAGTCTTCCAAACATCTTTGTCCATATGCACAAACCACGTGGGAAGAGAAGAAGTATCCTGAAGTGCATCTGGGATGGTTCCCTTCTATCAGCAAGTTGGTGCATAGGAGTTTAGCAGATGAACAATGTGAGTTTCTAGCAAGGATGACACATGCTATGTACCTTTCTAGAGTAGAGTAATTGTGATAACTGGGACACAGAGAAATGCAACATGCCCAAGCTCATTTAGCTAGTAGATAGCAGAGCCAGGATTCAAATCTTAGTGGTCCAACTCCACTTGATTCACCTTGCTGAACCTTTGTAGTTTTCTCATCTGTAAAATGGGAGCAATGTTACCAGCTTGCAGAGTCATTACAAAAATTAAATGAGATGATGTATTGAAACCACTTGCACATATTAAGTATTCATTGTATGGTACCTATTAGTATTAGTTTCTCTGAAGATGAAGGGAAGTCAGAGAAGATGCATGCTAGGACAGAGAGGAATGCCTGCCTTTCCATAGTCTCCGCCCATCTTTGTCCCATTTCTCTCTCTCTCTTTCTTTCTCCCTCTGTCTTCCTCTCGCATCCCACCACCCAGCTATCATCTCCAGAAAGAGATGTTTTTAGGGGTTAGGAAACAAATATAGAGAATAGGTTGAAACAGAGATAAATTAGGAATAAAGGGGCTGAAAAAGACACCAGAAGGAGGAAGAAATAGAAGAGTGGCAGGAGAGAAGGGACAGCACATGTAAAATGCTTACATCTTTGCCTCTACTAAATAAAATTGTAAAAATACAGCAGCACGTGGCCTTCCCACAGGACTTTCTTTTCCTTTTTAAAAAAGAGATAAGGGAGGAGGAAGCATAAAGACATGGGCCTAGAAGGGTACTGGCTGAGAGTCAATTTGAAGTTACGTCCATCCCTGCCCTAATTCTTCTAGAAAAAGCTAGAAGGCCTAGAAAGAAAATCTCAATTTATATAGCTTTAAAACACACACACATAAACACACACACACTACCACCATCACCACCACCATTTAATGCTGTCCATTTTTGTATTTTCCAGTCATTTGTTGGTGTCAGTGTGTCTGTTAGTTGAGTGTGCCCCTGGCTCTTACAGAACAGAAGGCATAAGAGTCCAGGCAATGTGTCTTCTCCTCTGCAACCAGGTGCTTAATGTTTTCTTGGAACTGTGATGAGAGATGGATGAGGGGAACAGCTCTTCTTATGGTGGTAACCCAGGCAGCTCCCCATCCCCTGCTGGGTTTGTTTAGTTACGCCTCAGATATCAGAATACCCGGGCCTCTTAGAACACAAGGGCCCAATTGAATAGATCCCCTGGAAGTCCATGGGGCAGAACACAGCAGGACAAGTGATTCTTGGGAGATTGCTAGGCCAACTTGGCAGAATGGAGACTTGGGAAACCTCTAGTGTACATGTCCAAACCAAATTTGTGAAACACTGGCTCATCCCCAGGTCCTTTGCTGGGGCCTTTGGGGAAAGTTCTAAATGCAATCCAGTCTAGTTTAACATTTCATTATTTATAATTACAAGACATAAAAAAAGTGGAAGGAGGGACAGAAACAAGGAACACAGTTAAGGCTTGGCTAGCAACATCTTGGATACAATGTCATTAAAAGTAAAGCATGCTTCTATAAATTAATGAATACAAGCTTTTAAAACATTATTTTCAAGAAAAGAAATGTGCAAAAGAAACCATTGTAGTACTTAACATTCATAAGGTGAAAAAGATACTTGTATTAAAAAAGAAATGTGCCTTGGAAACATATGAGGGATGAGATGCTGCAGGATCTTAATCATAAACCTATGCAGAGTATTATTATAATTAACATTGTTACAATTCTATATGAAATTCCTCATTGGTGGGCACAGGGGAGAAGTTTGCATGTGATGAGCAAGGTTAATACTACTTTTCCTTATTCCTGCTTACTGTGAACTGACCACCTTTAGATTAGTAATATCCAAAGCTGTCAAACAAGTGGAATTTCCATCCTCATCGTTCTTGTCAGAAGAATAAAAATTATTCTCATGGAGAAACAGGAGTCAGAATACTTGAATTATGTTCTCACCTTCCTCTTCCTACTATAGAAGCTCAAAAACTCACTCCACCTCTCTGGATCTCAAACACACCATTGGTCATTTAGGGTTTAATGGATATTACAGATGGTGCTTGCTTTTGTTGAAATGGAATTTTCTCTCTACGTATATCAAGGCCGTAGCCCAGATACAATGTTGGTTTGGAAATTCTGAAAATCAATACAGATCTATTTTTCTAGCCTCCTCTCTAAGAAATCTGTATGGGGTGAGTGGAAACTAGACAATGGTTCTCAGAGACTGTAACTTCCTTCTCCCTTTTAATTCATTAAGCATATCTTGAGCACTTTCTCTATGTGCTGTCTTACAGGAAACTAAAGTAGCACATGTAGAATTTGGAAACCACGGAACTTTCTGAAGAACTTGCACAAGGGTCTCTTACTCTTTAATTTCATGCGCTGACTTTTACCACCTTTCTCTCTCCTCCAACCATTAGGACTCTGCTTTGTTCACAAGGTCCGACAGACTCATTGGCCCTTTCCTGCTGGTCATGCCAGATGTGAGTTTCAGCAGCAGCAGCAGAATTCTTTTGTGAAAGAAGCCAACAGAGACTAGAAGACCCAGAGTATATTTGAGTGTCAGGGAAATGTCTGACTTAAAAATCTACAGAAAAGTGTTTTCTGCCTGTTACTCCAAACTCTAGGAGGGAAAAGAAGAGACTAGAGACAGAGAGTCCTGCTCTCCACATCACTTTTCCAGGGGCCCTTCAGGTACAAAGGACAACATGGCTCCCCTAATCACCTATAATTCACAAAGAGGTGACTTCTGATGCAAAAACACCACTCCATCATTACTGCACACCAGCTAGCACATGCAATTGGGACAAAATCTGTTCGCTCTCCTCTCTCCCTCAACTCACAGCCACTCCTACCCTTCTCATACATATACAATAAAAAAGTAGATTGAGAATGTTGAGGCCCTAGTATGACTTCTTATTTCAGTTCATTCCACATAAGGGCCTGAGGTCTGAATTCCCTAAGACAGGTCTTGGGTGCTTACATTCTCTTGATCTAGTATTATTGAGAATGGGAGGAAAAGGTTAATACTAAGGAGTTGGAAGGGACTGCTGGGTAAAATGAGATTTTTTGTGTGCTTCCATTCTTTTTCGTGGGGTTCCTGTCAAAGCTGCATCCTATGATGGAGAAGTCTTTATAAACTACCAGAGGGGATTACAGAAAATAGTCTGGACACCAAGGAGAAGCATGGAAATTCTAACAGATAATTCAGAGCCATACAAATTGTTCCTTCCAACTCCACTGGCACCAGAGCCCAAGCCACTGATCAGCTACCAGGGCTCCCTGTGCAGCTCTGGAAACACACACAAAGCATATAGCTGCTTACCATTAATTGATGAGCTGATAACACTGTGTACATAGACTTTGGACCTCATATGTGACTTGATTTGTAAAAACAATATCTGCCAACAGTCTCTTGGGTCCTAAGGAACACCAGCTGGGACTAGGATGGGGCTAGAGGCAAAGCCAGATTAAAGAGTACCACTGGCATCCTCAAAACCCAGGCAGAGAATAAGTCAGTAAAAGGCAGGAAGTCCTAGGATAATGGGAACAAGAAAAGAGGGAAAGATGGGGCAGAGGAAAGAAGGAAAGACCAAAGGAGGAGAGGAAACAAGGAAAGCATTTCTCAGAGGGCTCAAAACAAAGGCCTTATATGTCATGGAGCTTGCCATTCCCTCCAACCCTGACTCCCCACTCACACTCAGTGCATCTTTATTCTTGTTCCCTCAACCCTAGTCTTTCCCCATACCCAATGTCACAGTAATCAAACCCACACATCCACAAACAGCAAAACATGTCAAATCTCTCTGTGCTTAAAAACTGTCACCTATTGTATAGTGGATGACAAAGATGCCTTGTTGCAAGTTTATCTCTTGCTGCCATGCTGTTCTTTGTAGTAAATGTCACTCAACTTTATTGGGTGAACTAAGAGGGAAGAACTGTTCCTTTTTAAAGATTCTCCTTTGAGCTCAAGTACTACTACAGCAGAGATGATTGTCTTTGGCATCTTTCTACCTGTCCTTTTAGCACCATCATCTTCCACGATCTTAATTCCCTCTGGCAAGCCTCCTGCCCAAGATTTCTCTACCATGTTCCATTATCCTAGTTCCTCAGGGATCTGCTTTTCCTTCTTCTATACAGCAAATAAACTCTCCCAAAGGTATTAAATATAGTTGGTAGCTTAATGTGTGTGGTGGTTAACAAATTAAGTGTCATCTTGATTGGATTGAAGGTTGCAAAAGTATTGTTTCTGGGTGTATCTTGGTGTTTCTGGGTGTTGCCAAAAGAGATTAACATTTGAGTCAGTGGACTGAGAGAGGAAGACCCACCTGCAGTGTGGGTGGGCACTATCCAATCAACTGCCAGCATGGCTAGAAAAAGCAGGCAGAAGAAGGTGGAAGAAGCTGACTAGCTGAGTCTTCCAGCCTTCATCTATCTGCCATGCTGGATGCTTCCTGCCCTTGAACATCAGACTCCAGGTTCTTTGCCCCTTGGATGCTTTGACTTACACCAGTGGTTTGCCAGGGACTCTCAGGCCTTTGGCCACAAACCAAAGGCTGCACTGTTGGCTTCCCTACTTTTGAGGTTTTGGGACTCGGATTGAGCCACTACTGGCTTCCTTGCTCCTCAACTTGCAGACGGCCTATTATGGGACTTCACCTTGTGATCCTGTGAGTCAATTATCCTTAATAAACTCCCTTTCATATATGCATATAACCTATTAGTTCTGTTCCTCTAGAGAACCCTGACTAATACAATGTACCACTTTTTTACTCTACCATTGTTGCATTTTCATAGAGGTTAACCCAAAGGAATAGTCCTCAGATGATAGAAAAACAAACATGACTGTAAATAAAATAAATTTTGGGACAGTAGACCAGCCTATTCTGCTTCCAGTGAAGGCTAATCTTTGGGATAAGCATAGCGTGTCTGGAATTTATTCCTTCCTGTGGGTTCTTGGTCTCTCTGACTTCAAGAATAAAGCCACAGACCCACATGGTGAGTGTTACAGCTCTTAAAGATGGTGTGTCTGGACTTTATTCCTTCAGATGTTCAGATGTGTCCAGAGTTTCTTCCTTCCGGTGGGTTCGTGGTCTTGCTAACTTCAGGAGTGAAGCCACAGACTTTCACAGTGAGAGTTGCAGCTCTTATAGGTGGCACGTCTGGAGTTGTTTGTTCCTCCCGGTGGGTTCGTGGTCTCGCTGACTTCAGGAATGAAGCCACAGACCCTTGCAGTGAGTGTTACAGCTCATAAAGGTAGTGTGGACCCAAAGAGTAAGCAGCAGCAAGATTTATTGTGAAGAGCAAAAGAACAAAGCTTCCACAGCATGGAAGGGGACCCGAGCCGGTTGCCGCTGCTGGCTCAAGTGGCCAGCTTTTATTCCCTTATTTGGCTTTGCCCACATCCTGCTGATTGGCCCATTTTACAGACTGCTGATTGATCTATTTTACAGAGTGCTGATTGGTCCATTTTACAGAGTGCTGATTGGTCCATTTTATGGAGTGCTGATTGGTGCATTTACAATCATTTAGCTAGACACAAAAGTTCTCCAAGTCCCCAACCGACACAGAAGCTCAGCTGGCTTCACCTCTCAATCCCCCCTCTAAACAGGACATCCCAACTGCTGTTAGGAATTGGGCAATGACTGCTCTAGCTACTTCCTGCTGGATAGGGGTGAAGAAGGGGTCCTGCAGTTGTACTGTCTTCCAAAGGGGAACTCTTTAGGCTAGTGAAAGGGCCAGTGGTTTGGTCCAGGGGGTCCTTGGTAGAAGCTTTTAGTTGAGCTCATTTGGGGTTCCATTTGTAAGACCATCTGTAGCTTGATGGCCTCCATACTAGAGGAAACAAATTTGACAAGGAGGTTAAAAATACAGGGCCCAAAGGCAAGTAATAGCAAGATGGCTGCCACAGGACCTAGAAAAGGAAGAAGCCATGTTGCCCTACTCCAGAGGTTGGTATAAGAGCTTGAAAGGCGTTGTCTGATTTCAGAAGCCTTTTCCTGTAAACACTGGGCAGCATCTTGTACTATCCCTGATTGGTTAGTGTAAAAACAACACTCTTCCCCTAAGAAGGTGCAGAGTCCTCCTTTCTCAGCAGTGAGGAGGTCTAGGCCTTGGCGGTTCTGGAGAGTCACTGCTGCCAAAGAGTCTATTTGGGATTGTAGAGTAAGGATAGATTTTGTTATTTCTTACAAACTGTCTGAGAAATCCCTTGAGAGTGAGTGACATGTTACAATGTTAACTTTTAGCAAACTTTACTTTTGTTGAAAACCTTGTAAGTTTGGGATTTCAATTATTCTTTGCTATTAATAAGACCTCGTTCAGTCTGTATTAACTTAGAATTGGTATAGATGGCTCCTTCCTAATACTATAAGTACTTCAATGTTTGGCTGAGTGCAAACAACTGGCACTTTTGAGCAGAACAATTATTAGGCAATTTTCCTAACCCTGCTTCTACAAGAGTTTCCTTATCACTTACTGAATACCCATTGTGTCTTTTTCCCTTAATCACCTGGGAGGAACCATCTATCATCCTGTCCTGAAGGGAGTTCCTCCTAGGTCTCATCAGACCTTTGTATGGTAATTAATTAGGATTAAATCCCCTGTTAGGAAACCTGCTAGGTTAAGGATTTTTGATAGGAAGGATTTTTGATAGGATTTTGATAGGGTTGTCAGTGGCCTCAGTGCTTTTGGGCTACACCCTTGTTTACACTGACAACAAGGTGGTATTGGAGTGTTATAGAGTCACAGAGAAGACCTTCAATCAATTATAGGTTTTAAATTTACCCTGGCTTTTAAAGGAATAGGGTACACTTTTTTTTTAATTACTTCTATCTCTCTTTCTTTCTGTTCTTCTTTGTCTCTTTCTGTCTTTCCTCTCTCTTTCTGTCACTCTGTCTTTTCCTCTCTCTCTCTGTTTCTCTTTGACTTGATGTCTCTTTTTCTCTCTTCCTCTCTCTTTGACTCCTTCTTTGTCTCTGTCTCTTCCTCTCTCTCTCCAAATTTCTGTCTCTGCCAGCCGCTTATGCTGCGTTGCAACCTCCTTGGGTTTTTGCACTACATGCAATAATTCCATGGTTTCCTTGTGATATTTAATGGGGGTTCCCCCAGAGGTTAGGAACTCCCTTTCCTTCCATATTGCAGCATGGGCATGTAGGATTATATAAGCATACTTGCTATCTGTATACACATTTATTCTTTTTCCCTTTCCCAGTTCTAAGGCTCGGGTAAGTGCCACTAGTTCTGCTAACTGGGCACTGGTCCCTGGGGGAAGAGGCTTACCTTCAAGTATGGTTACATCACTAACTATGGCATAACTTGCCCTTTGTATCCCGTTCTCCACAAATGAACTTCCATCAGTATATAGGTTAAGGTCAGGATTAGCTAAGGGGACTTCTAAGAGACCAACTCGGGTGGCATAAATCTGGACTATAATTTGCTGACAGTCATGTTTGATTGGTTCCCCATCCTCTGGGAGAAAAGTGGCAGGGTTGAGGGCTATGCATGTCATATTTGACTCCCTCAAGGAGTAGTGCCTGGTATCTAAGTAGGCCATTGTCTGATAGCCATAAACTTCCTTTGGCACCTAGTATGCCATTTACATCATGAGTAGTCCAGACAGTGAGATCCTTTCCTTGTATTTTGATAACCTCTGACACTAAGACAGCCACCGCCACAACTACCTGTAAGTGGTGAGGCCAGCCTTTTGCTACTACATCAATTTCCTTACTTAGGTATGTCACTGGTTGTGGGGTTGTCCCACGAGTCTGAGCAAGGACTCCAAGAGCTATCCCTGCTCTCTCTGTGATGTATAAAGAGAAATTTTGTCCCGTGGGAAGGCTTAAGGCTGGAGCTTGAGTTTGTTCCTTCCAATGCCCAAACTTAAGGGTTGATTCCCTCCTCAAGTAGGGGACAACAAATGGGTAACTTGTTCCCCATATTCATGTAGATAATAGCTCCAGCTTTGGCTAATATATCCCTCCCTAATAAGGGTGTGGGATTTTCAGGCATAACAAGAAAGGCATGTGAAAAGAGCAAAGTCTCCCAATTACAACTGAGGAGGTAGGAGAAATACCACCTCCTCATGCTGTCCCAGGATTCCTTGGATGGTAACAGACCTTGAGGATAGCTGTCCAGGACAGGAGATTAACACTGAGAAAGCCACACCAGTGTCCAGAAGGAAGTCAATTTTCCTGGCCCTTAATGGTTATACGTACCCGGGGCTCAGTGAGGGTGATGACATGAGCCGGCACTTGCCCCAGGCACCCTCAGTCCTGTTGTTGGATCATCTGGTTGGGGGCTTCTGGCTCAGAGAAACTTTGTCCTCTGGGGCAGTGTGCCTTCCAGTGACTGCCTCGGCATAGCGGACATGAATGGGGGGCGGCTTGTTTCTCGTTGGGCAATCTTTTTTAAGTGTCCTTGTAAACTACACTGATAACAAGCCCTACTGGGTGATTGGCCTGCTCCATTTTCTGTCCTCTCTGAAGAATTTTCCTAATTCTGCACCTGGGGGCCAGGTGCAGAAAGCTATAATTTGAATGTCCTCCAAAGTTCATATGTTGAAACTTAATCCCCATAGTGGCAGTATTAAGAGGTGTGGTCTTTAGGAGCTGATTGAGTCATGAGGGGTCCACCTTCATGAATGGGTGTGGATGCCCTTAAAAGAGAGCTTGACAAGGGGAGTTTGCCCCTATTATTCCCATCCATACTTTCCACTGTATGACAACACATTACTACTCTTCAGATAATCTAACAACAATGTTTCATCTTGGAAGCGGAGCCCAGACTCTCAATAGGCACCAAATCTGCCACATTGAGCTTGGACTCCCCACCTCCAAAAGTGTGAGAAATAAATTTCTGTTCTTTATAAATTACCCAGTCTACAGTATTTTACTATAGAAGCACAAATATACTAAGACTCAAATTATGCTCCTTCTTCAACTTGCAGTCTAACTGGGCAAAGCAACGTGATTTGCAAGATAATAAACATTCACATAGAGATAAAGGACTCCAGTCAAAGTCGACTGCAGCACACCCTGGGCTAGTTACATTGGCCTGCCTCTGCATTCTGTGTTCTCACATCTCATGTGCCTTTTGTTCCACTGAGCTCTGAGCCAGGCTAGAAAGGCAAGTCTATTACTTCTTCCAAGTGAGATGGCAGAGTTCCAAGTGCAGGAAGGAAACAATCTTATCAGACCTCTAGCCCATTGATAAAACCACAGAAGGAAATCATTGAGTCTTAAATTGAGAAAGGGAAGTCTTAGATAAAAATAAGAATTGCCTGGGAGTTTCCACTTTAAAGTAACTTTTTCCACATCAATAGAACAACTTTTTATCATAGCAAGGGTAATTTATTTGTGGTCTTAGAGCCGAAATGCTGTTTGCCTGTTTAGAGCTGTTTATAAGGTCTACAGTAATGATTAATCCCTCCCACTCCCAAAAGATAGCCATTCTTTTCTCTACACCACTTCCTTTTTCAATTCATCAAGTCTTGTCCTAAAGGCCCAGAGTTCTTCTTTCAGATACTCTCTGAGTTTTCCCAGTACTGTATTTAGGTTTCATAATAGAAGAAACTGCCAGATGGTGAAAAGAGACTGCCTGGACAACATATCAAAAGAAATTATGAAATTGCTTTCATTCTAGATACTACCTGTCTGAATCTGTGTAGAATATATCCCTCCATTAGAAGGTTTTTTCCAATGCTAGAGTTTTAGAATTCTACGTGGTGTTTTGGGTTTTTCAGTTAGTCAGTTAATTAGCTTGCTTATTTATTTTCATATTCAATGATATTATTCTTCAACCACACTCAGAAAGAGACCAGACACATTGAGGAGAGTGAACTATAGTAGGGGTAAATATATAAATATGCAAAGGAACACCAAAGCCAGAGAAATTTTCAAACACCCACAATTTCAATAGAATCTTCATGCTGAGGAATTATCTTCAGCCTTCTTCATTAACTTAAAGACTTAAGGTAAATTTCTATGGGACAGTGACCTAAGGGCCTTTATGGGAGTTAAGAAAGAGTGGAAAATCCAACAAAAAACAGAAATCTCTTGAATTTTTCTCTCTTTTTTACAAGTTTGGCCAACAATGCAATGCAGGCAGTTATATCTTTTATAAATTTATTTTAATAGCTTTCTGGAGATATAATTTACATACTATGCAATTCACTCATTTAACATGTAGATTTCAGTGGCTTTTCATATATTCACAGAGATGTGCAATCATCAACCTATTTAAATTTAGAACATTCTAATCACGTCCAAATGAAATCCCATATCTATTAATAGTCACTCCCCATTCCCAGTAACTAAAAGCTGTTTACAATTTAACCCTAAATTACAAACAAATAAGAGAAAAATACCGTAACCCCCACTCCAATACCCAAATGACTGAACAATCAAAGAGCATGCCAACTTTCAGCTAGGCTGATGGCTGACATCGCAATGGTTCAATTCCCTCCAAACCCTTCCCTTAATCCTTGGGCAACCACTAATGTACTTTCTGTCTCTACAGATTTGCCTATTCTGGACATTTCATATACAAAAAATCATATGGCACGTTTTTCTCTGGCTTCTTTTACCTAGAATAAAATTTTCAAGGATCATCCGTGTTGTAGCATGTATCAGTATTTCATTCCTTCTTATGGCTGAATGATATTATATTGTATGGATATACCACATTTTGTTTATCCTTTTTTCTGTTGATGGGCATTGGCATTGTTTTCACTGTTTGGCTAGTATGAATAATGCTACTATAAATATTCATGTATGCATTTTTATATAGACATGTGTTTTCATTTTTCTTAAGTATACCTAGGAATGGAATTGCTGGGTCATAGAGTAGTTGTATGTTGAATTTTTTGAGGAACCGGCAGACTGTTCTCCAAGCTGCAACATCATTATACATTCCCATCAGCAATGAATGAAAATTCCAATTTCTCCATGTCCTCAGCAACACTGGATATTCTCTTTTTTCTTATAGCCATCCTATAGCCTTGAGTGTGTTGTATCTCATTCTGATTTTGATTACCATTTCCCTGATGACTAACAATGTTGAGTGTCTTTCTATGTGTTTGTTAGCCATTTGTGTATCTTTTTTGGAGAAATGTCTATTCAAATTATTTACCCATTTTTAAATTGGGTTATTTTTCTTTTTATTATTGAGTTGTAATAGTTCTAGATACAAGTTCCTCAGTAAATTCACTTTTTTAAAAAAAATTAACAAGCTTCCTGCTGGATCACTGCTTTATTTTCCACATTACCTCCCAACACCTAACATAGTTTGGCAACCTTCCTCCTAATACTTTTATTACCGCTAGGCTACTTACTCCCTTTGAGGACACAGTAACACCTCTAACTACAACAGATTCTTTGCAATGGGTGACAGGCCCTACTGTTGGTACCTTGAGGTTTACCTTATCTAAGACACTGGATGTCTTCACTGTCTTCTCTACTTAGTAACTAAAAGCTGGTTACAATTTAACCCTAAATTACAAACAAACAAGAAAAAAATACAGTACCCCCCACTCCAGTACCCAAATGACTCAACAATCAAAGAACATGCCAACCTTCAGCTAGGCTCATGGCTGACATCACAATGGTTGCAACTCCTTTCAAATATCAATCAAATGAGCCACATAGACATTTCAGCACTTTGAGTTGCCTTATAAAAAATGTCTTTCCCTACTTTCTCTGCCATCTCCCCAAGAAGGTGGCATCTTCTTCAAAGAAAACAAAGAGCCATTCACTGTAATCATCTAAACTATCAGTCACAAACGACAATGTTTATAGGGGCTAGTCAGGTAGCCTGATGAGTGAAGCTGCCCAAGTGTAGGATGTACTGGAGACTCTGGGAAACTGGAAAGCAAATACCCAATGTATGGAGCAACTTGGCTTCAGCTGATTTTGCCATACAAGATTGCAGGTCCCATGTTGCCATATTGTATTTTGGTAGGGGGAGAAGCTGAAACCAGACTTTTTTATGTGAAAAATTATCTTTTAAAATACTGGCAATTAACTTGATATTTTAAAAAATACTATACAGGCCAACCAAAATGTGTGCCAGCTGGATCTGACCAACCAGCCACCAGTTTGCAATCACTGTTCAAAATATTACTTAATTATTCCCCCCATGTTCCCTGTTATTAGCAGCACCAACCTGGGATCTCATTGCTGCTCACATTCTTAAGTCTTAATTATTCAGACTGTTAGCCTTTTTCAACACCATTTTCTTCTAGCTCTTTCTTCTCTGTGTGCACACCCAAATGCACTCATCCTTAAAGAGTCACTAAATATACTAAAAAAGAGCGTGAACTTTGGAGTCAGTGAGCTCTATCTTCAAACCTGGATTTGCCAATTACCACTCTGTATCTTTGGGCAATTTACTTTACCTCTCTGATCTTTGGTTTCTACATCATTAAAATGGATACAATAACCTTTAACTCATAGGCTTGTTTTGAAGCAATATATTTGAAGAACTTAGCATATTTATTGAGTCCTTAATAAATATATGTCATTCTTCCTCCTTAATTTTTAACTAACATTAACAACTGATTCATTGACACCCTTAACTCATCTTTTTTTATGCTTTTAACTTTAAGTTCCTGTAGCAACATTGTTTATACTCACAAAGTATAAATTCACAAGCCCCAGCATCCTGGATCCTGTCCTACATCATTTGAGTACCCCCGATCCCTTACCAGTGCTCCATCCCAGACTATGTGTAATTTTCCCATACACTTTTTTATTGTTAAATCTGAATTACAGTTGTGTATTTTTATACCTGTTAATCTCTCTGAAGCTTCTGATAGAACAGACCCCATATACCTTACCAAGCTATTTGAATGGGCTTCCAAGATAACAGTTCTGACCCAGTTTGCCTCAGACATGTTGGACCACCCAAGAACACCTATCTATTCAGTTTTGTATCACACTCCCTCTGACAGGTCTCTTGCTTTTTCTGTGTATCCATTAAGACCTAGATTGAATTCATCTGGTCATATGGAGTCTATTTCATTAATGGTAGAAAGTGTAAATGCTTTTTATCTAACTCCATTTATTTCTCCATATGCAAACTAACTCTGGCAGGATGGTTCACCAACAACTCAAGTTAAACATGGAAAAGAGGGAGTTAGACCTGGGAGATCCCAGGGCCATGTAAGTCTCACCACCTTTAATCAAGTAAGATGGCTTCATTTACCTTATTGGTATAGAGAGAACCTCTGTAGCTTCCCGGGCAATCCTCAGAGGTGACAGCAAAGAAGCTGTGAGTCTTATTCCAGGCTTCAGGCCTTTGCTACATCCCCGCTAGTTCTTTCCACTTTCTGTCTTAAATTAATGCACATAGTTTGCACATTTGTGTCTGAAGGCCAGGCCAGAGAGAATGTTCAAAGCTATGTTTCAAAGGAGAATATTAGGAATCTAAGTCTGCTTCTAAGAGAACACTTATTGGGAAATAAAGTTCTGATATGTTTATATGAAAACAAGTCATATTAATCACTTTATGTTTACACCTCATGTGTGAAGACACACCTGCTTTAGATTCCCTGCAGGCACATCACACTTCGACTTCTGAAATTTTTCCAAAACAGTATATTCTGCCTGGAATGCTTTTTCTTCAGGCAGCCAAATGGTCTTTCCCATCATTTAAACAGCTTCTGGAATTCTATCAATCCTCCAGTATTCTAAGATTGATTGGCCAACTGACACATTATTTTTGGCTCAGTCTGGACATGGAACACCCACAGCTATTCTTCGCTTCCTGATCATGTATTTAGTCCTCACTACCTAACCCCTACTAAAGTACATTTACCCTTTCTTTACATTGGCAGATATAATTTGTTTCCATCACAAATTAAACAGAGCATAATGTCTGCTGCTAAAGGAATAGTTTGTAAACCCAAGACTCAGAATTCTACACATAATGTTATTGTATGATGTATTAATTTAGTAGCATAAGAAAAATCCTAGGTTTCAGTTACAGGTATTAGGGTATAAAAGTTGGCAAACCCTAGACCTCTATTATGAAATACAAATGCTAAATTAAGTGCATATGTATAAATTAGAGTGTAGTAACATTTACTGATATTTACAAATGACCTCAATGAAGGTAGAATAGTGTGGTAAAAATTACTAAGACATTACACCTGACAATAACAAGTGGCGTTACACCTAACAGTAATTAGTGTGGCTAGGGTTCACGTATTGATTACTGTTTCTTTTCTCTGTCATATACATTAGAGAGTAGCAAATTAGTTCAGTGAGAGTACTGGAGTCACATGGACTTGAGTTTGAGCATTAGTTCTACCACTTACTATCTGTTTGATCTTGGTCAAATCAATTAACTCCTCTGAGACTCAGTTTCATAATCTTCAAAATGAAGGTAGTAACAGTATCTACCTCACAGAGTAGTGACAGAATCGTGAACAACAGATAACATTTATTAACTAATTAGTTGGAATCAGGCATTGTTTTAGCCCTTTAAATGGATTAGCTCGTATAATTGTCTCCACCAACCTATGAGACAGGTACTATTATTATATTCAGCTTATAGGACTCCTTAAGCAAAAAGATGTTGAGTAACTTACCCAAAGTCAAACAGCTTGTAAGTGGTAGCACTAGAATGTGAATCTAGGCTCTCTATTTTTTAATCATAATCCAGCAATACTTCCAAAGAGTGGAAGGTATAGTGCCTGCAAAGCACATAATACAGTTCCAAGAACATAGCAAGTGCTCAGTAAATGCTAACTACTATTAGTATTGTATACTATGATGTACTAAGAATAACCTCTCACATTTTGTTTCAGTGTATTCACCAAGGTACATAATTCACTCATATGAATACATGCTCCTCAGAGTTTTCCACCTTAGAGTCATCTCTCAGAAGCCATATCCTGTGGTGATATGGCTTCCAATGTAGATCACCATGTGGAAATAGTTCCTTAGCACCTTTCTGAAGTAGAAGTAGGAGGAAAAGAGGAAGAAAGAGAAGGGGCAGAAGTTCTTATCATTTGTGGAAATGGCTTCAACGATCACATGGGGGTCTGTGGGGCTTAAGTTAGAATTCTGCTATGGCAGTTTCAGAGTTCAGCTTGGTTGCTATGGATAGAATAGGGGTGATTTCCTGCAATCCCATTCAAGCATGCCTCCAGCATGATCCATACACTTCTATGGAACTTAGAAGACCTTTCTGTTCAGGGACAGCCTATGTCGTCCTGCACCATTAACTACGGCAGTGAGGCTTGCTGAAAAACAAAGCGTGCACCAGAAGAATTTGGTGTATTTTAGCATTTATGATCATTTAGAAGAAAACGTCACTTACCTGTGTGCTGTACCTTGAGAGGCCTAAAAAGCCCTATGGGCCTCAAGTTTCTGCTAAAATTTTATCATTTGGGGGTTATTTATTTTTAAAATGTTATTTTTAATTTTTGTGGGTACATAGTAGGTACATATATATAATACATATATATATACTATATATATATTTATGGGGTATATGAAATATTTTGATCAGGCATGAAATGTGAAATTATCACATCATGGAGAATGGGGTATCCATCCCCTCAAGCATTTATCCTTTGTGTTACAAACAATCCAATTACACTCTTTTAGTTATTTTAAAATGTGCAAATAAGTTATTATTGACTATAGTCACCCTCTTGTGCTATTAAATAGCAGGTCTTACTCATTCTTTCTGACTAGTGTTTTTTTACCCATTAACCATCTCCACATCCTGGACATCACTTGGCTACCTTTCCCAGCCTCTGGTAACCATAATTCTACTCTGTATGTCCATGGGTTCAATTGTTTTGATTTTTAGAACCCACAAATAAGTGAGAATATGGGATGTTTTTCTTTCTCTGCCTGGCATATTTCATTTAGCAAAACAATCTCCAGTTCCTTCCGTGTTCTTGCAAATGACAGGATCTCATTCTTTTTATGGCTGCATAGTACTCCGTTGTATATATGTATCACATTTTCTTTACCCATTTATGCTGATGGACACTTAGGTTGTTTCAAAAGCTTAACTATTGGGAACACCACTGCAACAAAATTAAGAGTGTAGATATCTCTTTGATAAACTGATTTCCCTTCTTTTTGGTATACACCCAGCAGAGGGATTGCTGGATCATATGGTAGCTCTGTTTTCAGTTTTTTTGAGGAAAGTCAAAACTGTTCTCCATAGTGGCTGTAATAATTTACATTCCCACCCACAGTATATGAGAGTTCCCTTTTCTCCACATCCTCACCAGCCTTTGTTATTGCCTGTCTTCTGGATATAAGCAATTTTACTGGGGTGAGATAATATCTCATTGTAGTTTTGATTTGTATTTCTCTGATGATCAATGATGTTGAACACATTTTCATATGCTTGTTAGCCATTTTCACATCTTCTTTTGAGAAATGTCTATTCACATCTTTTGCCCAGTTTAAAATTTGATTAATTTTTTTCCTATGGAGATGTTTGACCTCCTTATACAATCTGATTACTAATCCTTTGCCAGATGGGTAGTTTGCAAATATTTTCTACCATGCTATGGATTGTCTCTTCACTTTGTTGATTGTTTCTTTCACTATGCAGGGGCTTTTTAACTTGATATGATCCCATTTGTCTATTTTTGCTTTGGTCACCTGCACTTGTGGGGCATTACTCAAGAAATTTTTGCCCAGACCAATGTCCTAGAGATTTGCCCCAATGTTTTCTTGTAGTAGTTTTCTAGTTTGTGGCCTTAGATTTAAGTCTTTAATCCATTTTTTATTTAATTTTTGTATATGGTGAGAGATAGGGCTATAGGTTCATTCTTCTGCATATGGATATCCAGTTTTCCCACCATGATTCACTGAAAAGACTCTTCCCTACCCAGTGTATGTTCTCAGCACCTTTGTCAAAAACGAGTTCACTGTAAGTGTGTGAATTTGTTTCTAGGTTCTCTATTCTGTTCCATTAAAGTATGTGTCTGTTTTTATGCCAGCACCATGCTGTTTTGTTTACTATAGCTCTGTAGTGTAACTTGAAGTCAGATAATATGATTTCTGCAGTTCTGTTATTTTTGCTTAGGGTAGCTTTGGCTATTCTGGATCTTTTGTTGTTCTATAAAAATTTTAGAATTTTTTTCTATTTCTGTGAAGAATATCATTGGTGTTTTGCTAGAGATTTCATTGAACATGTAGGTTGCTTTGGGTAGTACAAACATTTTAACAATATTGGTTCTTCCAATCCATGAACATGGAATCCCTTTTCATTTATTGGTGTCCTCTTCAATTTCTTTCTTCAATGTTTTATAGTTTTCATTATAGAGATCTTTCCTTTCTTTGGTTAAATTAATTCCTAGATATTTAATTCTATGTGTTGCTAATATAAATTGGATTACTTTAAAAATTTTTTTTTCAGATTGTTCACTGTTAGCTCCTGATTTTTGTATACTGATTTTGTATTCTGCAACTATACATAATTTATCAGTTCTAATATTATTTTAGTGGAGTCTTTAGGTTTTTCAAAATATAAGATCATTTCATGTGCAAACAGGGATAATTTGCCTTCTTCCATTTTAATTTGAATGTCCTTTATTCTTTCTCTTGTCTGATTGCTCTCCCTAGGAGTTCCAGTATTATGTTTAATAACAGCAGTGAAAGTGGCATCCTTGTTATGTTTCATATCTTAGAGGAAAGGTTTCAGTATTTCTGCATTCAGTATGATACCAACTGTGGGTCCGTCATATATGTTTTTATTATATTTAGGAATGTTCCTTGTATATTCAGAATTTTGAATGTTTTTATCATAAAGGGATGTTAAATTTTATCAAATGCTTTTTCAGCATCAATTGAAATGATCATATGGTTTTTATCTTTAATTCTGTTGAGAAGACATATCACATTGATTGATTTGCATATGTTGAACCATCCTTGAATCCCAGGGTAAATCCCATTTGCTCATGGCAAATGATCTTTATAATGTGCTGTTAAATTTGATTTGTTAGGATTTTGTTGAAATTTTTGGCATCAATGTTGTTCAGAGATATTGGCTTGTAATTTTCTTTTTTTAATGTGTCTTTGTCTGGTTTTGTTATCAGGTTAATACTGGCCTCATAGAATGGCTTTGGAGGTATTCTCTCCACCTCTATTTTTTGAAGGAGTTTGAGTATAATTGGTATTAATTCTTTTTAAAATGTTTGATAGAATTCAGCAGTGAAGCCATAGGGTCCTGGGCTAGTCTTTGCAGGACAACTTTTATTACAGTTCCATTCTTATTACTTGGTATTGGTCTGCTCAGGTTTTGGATTTCTTCATGGTTCAATCTTCGTAACTTGTATGTGTCTAGGAATTTGTCCATTTCTTCTAGGTTTTCCAATTTATTGATATGTAGTTGCCCATAGTGATCTCTAATAATCCCTTTAAATTCTGTGGTCAGTTGTAATGTCTCCTTTTTCATTTCTGATTTTATGTATTTGTATCTTCTCTCTTCTTAGTCTAGCTAAAGGTTTTTCAATTTTGTTTAACTTAAAAAAAACTTGTTTCATTGATCTTTTGTATTATTTTCTTCATTTCAACTTCATTTATTGCTGCTCTGATTTTTATTGTTTCTTTTCTTCTACTAATTTTGGGCTTGACTTGCTCTTGCTTTTCTAGTTCTTCAAGGTCCATCATTAGATGATTTACTTGAAGTTTTTTCTCTTTTTTTTTTTTTTTTTGATGTAGGTACTTACAGCTATAAACTTCGCTCTTAGCATTGCTTTTGCTGTACTAGGTTTTAGTATGTTGTGTTTCCATTATCATTAGTTTCAATTTTTCAATTTCCTTCTTAATTTCTTCACTGACCCACTGGTCATTCAGGAACATATTGTTTAATTTCTATGTGTTTGTATAGTTTACAAAATTCCTCTTCTTATTAATTTCTAGTTTTATTCCCTTGTGGTCAGAGAAGATGCTTGATATTATTTCAATTTTTTGAATGTTTTAAGACTTGCTTTGTTAGCTAACATATGGTCTATCCTTGAGAATGATGCATGTGCTGAGGAAAAGAATGTGTGTTTTCTAGCTTTTGGATGAAATGTTCTGTAAATATCTATTAGATTCCTTTGTTCTATAGTGCAGATTAAGTCCAGTGTTTCTTTGTTGATTTTCTGTCTGGACGATCTGTCCAATGCTGAAGGTGGAGTGTTGATGTCTCCATCTATTATTGTATTGGGGCCTATCTCTCTCTTTAGCTCTAATAATATTTGCTTTATATATCTTTAAGTATACTTTAAATTGTTATATTCTCTTTCTGGATCAATCCCTTTATATATAGTGACCTTCTTTGTCTCCTCTTAAAGTTTTTGCCTCAAAATCTATTTTGTCTGATACAAGTATAGCTACTCCTGCTCTTTTTTGTTTCCATTGGCATGGAATATCTTTTTCCATCCTTTAATATTCAGTCTGTGTTTGTGTTTATATGTTAAGTGTATTTCTTGTAGACAACAACTCATTGGGTCTTGTTTTTTCAATCCATTCAGCCACTCTCCGGCTTTTGATTAGAGAGTTTAGTCCATTTACATTCAATATTATTCTTGATGATAAGTAAGGACTTACTCATGCCATTTTGTTATTGGTTTTTTGTTGTTTTGTGGTCTTCTCCTCCTTTCTTTCCTTCCTGTCTTCCTTCAATGAAGGTTATTTTCTGTGGTGTCATAATTTAGATGCTTGATTTTTATATTTTGTGTATCCGTTCTATGTGTTTTTTCTTTGAGGTGACCATGAGGCTTGCAGTTATACCTTATAACTCATTTTACACTTATAGCAACACTGTTTTCATAAGCAAACAAACAGAGACAACTAATAAGGACTCTACACCTTACCTTCATCCCCCCTTTTTGTTAACTTTTTGTTGTTTCTATTTACATCTTATTGTACTCTCTATGTCTTGAAAAGTTGTTGTTGTTGTTGTTATTTTTGATTGGTTCATCATTTATTCTTTCTACTTAGGATAAGAATAGTTTACACACCACAGTTACAGTGTTATCTTATTCTGTGTTTTTCTGTGTAATTATTATTACCAATGAGTTTTGCATCTTCAGGTGATTACTTATTGCTCATGAATTTCCTTTTCTTTCTGAATGAAGTACACCCTTTAGCATTTCTTGTAGGACAGGTCTGGTGTTGATGGAATGTTTCAGCTTTTGTTTTTGTGGGAAAATCTTTATGTCTTCTTTATGTTTGAAGGATATTTTGCCGATTTACTATTCTAGGGTAAAATAATTTATTTCCTTCAGCATTTTAAATACTTCATGCTACTCTCTCCTGGCCTGTAAAGTTTTCACTGAAAACTCTGCTGCCAGACATATTGGAGCTCCATTGTATGTTTTTTTTTTCTATTTTCTTGCTGCTTTTAGGATCCTTTGTTTATTCTTGACCTTTGTGAGTTTCATTATTAAATGTCTTGAGGCAATGTTCTGTGTGTAAATCTGCTTGTTTCTATAACCTTCTTGCACTTGGATATTGATATCTTACTCTAGGTTTGGGAAGTTCCCTGTTATCCATTTGAATAAACTTTCTACCCATATTTCTTTTTCTGTCTCCTCTTTAAGGTCAATAACTCTTATAATTTCTCTTTTGAGGCTATTTTTATATCCTGTAGGTATGCTTCATTGTTTTTTATTCTTTTTTTAATTATTTCTATTTTTAAAATTATTTTTTCTGTTGTCTCTTATGACTGTGTATTGTGGTCATAAGACCACAATAGCCCATGGTCAAGCTCACTTAAAGCCATCCCATTACTGAGTATATACCCAAAGGACTGTAAATCATGCTGCTATAAAGACACATACACATGTATGTTTATTGCGGCACTACTCACAATAGCAAAGACTTGGAACCAACCCAAATGCCCAACAATGATAGACTGGATTAGGAAAATGTGGCACATATACACCATGGAATACTCTGCAGCCATAAAAAAGGATGAGTTCATGTCCTTTGTAGGGACATGGATGAAGCTGGAAACCATCATTTTCAGCAAACTATCGCAAGGACAAAAAACCAAACACTGCATGTTCTCACTCATAGGTGGGAATTGAACAATGAGAACACTTGGACACAGGAAGGGGAACATCACACACCGGGGCCTGTTGTGGGGTTGGGGGAGGGGGGAGATAGCTTTAGGAGATATACCTAATGTAAATGATGAGTTAATGGGTGCAGCACACCAGCATGGCACATGTATACATGTGTAACAAACCTGCACGTTGTGCACATGTACCCTAGAACTTAAAATATAATAAAAAAAAATATTAAAAACATAATTTCTTTTGCTTGATCAATTATGTTATTAAAGGACTCTGATGCATTCTTCAGTATGCCAGTTAATTTTTCTGCCCCAGAATTTCTACTAGGTTCTTTTTAATTATTTCAATCTCTGTGTTAAATTTATTGGATAGAAATCTAATTTCCTTCTCTGTGTTATTTTGAATTTGAGTTTCCTCAACACAGCTTTGCTGAATTCTCTGTCTAAAACGTCACATATCTCAGTTTCTCCAGGATTAGCCCCTGGTGCCTTATTTAGTTCATTTGGCGAGGTCATGCTCTCCTGGATGGTGTTGATGCTATTAGGGATTCTTCAGTGTCTGGTCATTGAAGAGTTAGATATTTATTATATTCTTCACTGTCTGGGCATGTTTGTACCTGTTCTTCTAGGGAGGGCTTTCCAGATATTTAAAAGGTCTTGGGTGTTGGGATCTAAGCTGTATCTGCTTTGGGAGGAACCCTAAGCCCAGTAACGCTGTGGTTTTTGCAGACTCATAAACCACTTTGATGATCTTGGATAAGATCCAGGAGAATCCTCCGGATTACCAAGCAGAGACTCTTGTTCTCTTTCTTTATTTTCTCCCAAACATACGGGGTATCTCTCTCTGTTCTGAACCCCCTAAAGCTGGAGTGGGGTGACACAAGCTCCCCTGTTGCCCCCACTGCTATGACCAAGCAGGGGCAGATCTGAAGCCAACATAGCACTGGGTCTCACCCAAGGCCTGCTGTAACCACTCCCTGACTACTGCCTATGCTCATTCAAAGCCCTGGGGCTTTACAATCACCAGATGTTGAAGCCTGCCAGACCTGTGTCCTTCCCTTCAGGTCAGTGAGGTCTCTTATGCCCTGGATGCATCCAGAGGTGCCATGTAGGAGTCAAGGACTAGAGTCAAAAACCTTAGCAGTCTACCTGGTGTTCTACTGTAGTGTGGCTGAGCTGGCACTCAAACCACAAGACACAATCCTTGCCACTCTTCCTTCCCCTCTCCAAAGGCAGAAGAGCTTCACCCTGTAGCCACCACCACCAAAGGCTACAAGGAGTACTTCCAGACTACTACTGATGTTCCCTGAAGGCCCAAGTGCTCTTATTTAAGTTTCGGTGAATGCTGCCTGGCCTGGGATTCACTCTTCATGACAGTGGGCTTCCTTCTGGCCCAGAGCAGGTCCAGAGTTCCCATCCAAGAGTCAAGTCCTGGAATCAGGTGCCCCAAGAGCCCGCTAGGTGTTCTACCCTCCTGAGGCTGTTTTGCTACCTGAGGTGCAAGAGAAAGTTCCTTTTACTTTTCCCTTTGCTTTTCTCAAGCAGAAGGAGGTGCACCCCATAGTCACCACAGCTAGTAATGTGCTGAGTTTCACCTGAAGCCAGCAAGTTTAAGAGGCTCACCCAAGTCTCCTGATGTAGTACCTGGGTATTGCTGCTAATTATTCAGGGCCCAAGGGCTCTTCAGTTAACAGGTCATCAATGCTACCAGGACTTGGTCCTTCCCTTCAAGGCAGCAGGTTTCCTTCTAGCCCAGGGTGTGTCTAGAAATGTTGTTCATGAGCTAGGGCTTGAACAGGGAGTTTCATGACTTTGACCATTGCCCTATTCTCCTGTGGCTGAGCTGGTATTCAAGATGCAAGACAAAGTCCTCCCTACTCTTCCCTCTCCTCTCTTCAAGTGGAAAACAGGGGTCTCTTCTGGCACCATTAGCTGTGCAGCCTGGGGTTAGGGGAGGAGTGATGCCAGTACTCCCTTGACTGCTCCAGCTTTTTTCTCAGTATCTCGTGTCCTGCAGTCCACTGCCTCTGGGCCCAGTTCAGCACTAGTACTCACCTATGAGTTGCAGTCTTTATGGCCTAGTATACCTTCCAAGTTTATTTAGAGCACAGAGCACTTTAGCCCACAGTGGTGAGGTTTGCAGGAACTCAGTTTCTGACTCTGGGATCAGCGATTCCCCCCTCGCTTGGTCTGGTTTAAATGATCCCTCCGTGGGTGGGCATTAGCTGAGTTTAGTCCAGTTTTCCTTTCTGCTCTAACAGGAGAGCACTGAGTTAACTGCTTCACAATTGTATTGCTCTCCCTCCCAGAGAGGTGCTCTCCATACCACAAGGCCACTGCCAGGGGTAGGGGAGGGTAGCACCAGCAATTTAATACTGTATTTTCTATCTCTTCAGTACCTCTATCAGTGATATGTCAAAGCCAGGTACTAGGAGTGCTCACATGATTTTTTGCTCTTATGAAGGTGCTTTTTCTGTTTAGATAGTGTTAAATTGGTATCCTTGAAGTGGCAATGATTGGTGGAGCCTTCTATTCTGCCATCATGCTGTGCCTCCTCCCACGAGGGTTTTTTTTTAATTAGTATTATTTTTAACAAGTTTCCCTTCAAAATTTGGAAAATAAATATATTAAGCCAGTTGCCATCCACACCTTAAGTCAAGTTAGTTTAATCAGAATTCTTCCTCTCTAACAAATAGATGGGTTTCACTGTGGAAGAAATTAGAGACTGTTTTGAGTAAGGGACAGAGATAAGGTTAATTTGAGAGTGTGGAAACACTGCTTAAGCGTGGGGAGGATTGCACAAAGCTGTCCCCAGCCCTTCTTTTAAAGTGCCAACATTCCTGGGAAAGGTTATCCAAAATAGTTTCACATTGGTCTATCTGATCTGGTTTATTCCTAGCAGGAATGAGGAGGGCCTCGTGTAACAAGCTGGAGAGGAGTAAGGAGGACAGGGAGGGCATTTTTGTGCCTGAACCCCATCAGCAACCTAGGACCTTCATGTGGTTCATGCTTCATAGATCAGGGAAAAGCAGAAAGGGGAAATTAAGGAACCAGTGGGGTTTGTCCCAACCAAATTATTTGTCCCTAGTGCTTCCCTCTCTTAAGTGAAAACTCAAGCCTCAGCAGAATATTCCTAGAGGTTCCCATGACTCTTCAATAGTTGAGAATGTCGGTTTAATTAATGGATCAGAGCCTTGGCACTCTTTAATGTAACAAGGGTACCCTGAAGCTGGCCATCGCAGCTGTGTCTGCATCACAGGGAATAGTCTCTGCCATACAAAGGACCTAATGGTGGACATTCAGGTGCTACAGCAGGCCCGCATGAGAACAAACCTCAGTTGAAGAAGCCTTTCTGGTTATTCTAAAATCATACCACAAAGGTGAGGATCTACCTCTACATTTGGCTATGGTGATTTTCTAACCTGTATGTTCTTCCTCTTACATGCAAATCCGCTTGTCTAACACACAGGGACACAAATTTGAGTTCACATTGAATGGGCTTACAATTTGTTTCAGAGCCAAGGATTGCTGTCCAACTCTTTCAGATGTTCTTCCCCTCACTGTTACTAGGGTGAAAAGTCAGTAAGGTTGTAGACAATGAAGGGAAGGGTAAGGAGGAGAAGTTACTTGAGGGCAAGGGGAAAAAAGGAAGGAGGAGAAAGGAAGTAGCTAATTGTGACCTGTTGGTTCCAAAACATACATACACACAAATTCATAAAAGAAAGAAACCATCTCTACTACCTAGGCCTCCTAAGGATGAAATCAAGGCCAAAAAGTTTAAGATATTTTTAGAAATGGAGGAGTCATGCTTAAGGTGGTCTTCACAGCACAGTTTGAGATCATGAAGTGCAGAAAGTGCAGTGAAATGCATTCATGCAGATGTAACATACCTCTTCCCCGTATGCACCCTCACTCAATATATGCATGGATGTAGTTGCATACCATGGCTTCTGCACTCACACAGACACACACACAGGTACACATTGCCAAATACCAAAACACATATGTATATACCCATATAGGTACATGTATACAAAGTCAAATATGGATGCCTGGAAAATATAAACATGGTGGTACACACAAGAAAACACAGTTATAAACAAGATGGCTATGTAAATGATAGTAGCTACTATTTATCAGGGGTCTACTGTGTGTCCAGCACTTCACATATCCTGGCTCATTAATTCTCAAAAATTCTGCTCTGCGGGAGATATCATTAATCTCATTTTAAAAATGGGAAACTAAAACTTAGAGAAGATTCTAACTTGCCAAGAGACATGAAATTAGTATGGCTTATAGCAGAGCAGAAGTCCAAAACCAGGCCAGTCTCCCTGAAAAGTTGCAACTCTCCAGTAGCCATATGTTATAGACTGTCATGACAGTTCAAAGACATGACACTTTAGAAACATCCATAAACAGATGCATACCCATTTATAGGTACTCATGCTCCTTAACCATGAGAATTTTAAAATGTGATGAACATAATTGAGGGTCTGTTGTCATCTTAATCATTTGTTTGAACTAAACAGTCTAAAATTCCATTGAGTGATTAGTACCCATTGGTAAATTAAAATGTGTTTAAATTATCTCTACAGTATTTAAATTTAAACACTCTTGTATCTTGGAGCAGGGCCAGCCAATATTTTTAAATAATAACACTATAATTAAAGCTTAGGGTAGGCTTAGGATCTCATTCAAGTTAACAAAAGATTACCCTTCACACCAGAATTTAAAACAAGGCTCTAATTAATGAATGTGCTAATTGTTCTTCTTTTTTTGCAATCGTTCAAAAAGATGCTGCACAGATATTCACACAAAAACCACAGCTGATACCCTGGTGAATTGCAGTGCTCAGAAAGCTGTCATTTCACTGTGCTATCCTGGGCAACTGTGGGGCACTCCTGTGATGTCAAATGTAGGCCTAGAGTAGAGTCCTCTAATGTGAATTTACACTCTCAAGTATTGGAGAGCTGTAGCTATCTCTAGAATAGGGAACCCAGCCCCCTCGGTTTGCCTGAGACAGTCCAGCTCCCTCAGTTTGCCTGAGACAGTCCAGCTTACTCCTATTGTCTTGATTTAGTTGTTAAGAATACCTTAAAGAGTGTCCTAATTTGGGTGATAACTTACCTGGTCACCCTACATCAGATCATTCGCGGAGTCTTGAATCTTATCAGCAGGGAAGGAGATAAGGTGGGGAAGAGAAATGAGGAAATGGATAATGGTGACTTTCTTCCTGGGCCAAGACTCCTATTAGCATTGATATTTTTTCCAGAGTATGGATTTCCTGCCATGGCCCCCTAGTTTGTACAATCATAACCACATACAGTTCCAGTTACTAGGGGCTTTCCACCTTCCTCTGGCACAACCAAAATTATAGTGTTTCCTGGGAACTAAGACTTTTTTCTTCTTTGTGGTACATACAAATTTTAGCACCTTGTAATAATGGTGATGATGCTACAGAACAGACATGGGATTCAAAAAACAATTCCTTAGTGTTTCATAATTTTATCTGGCTAGGAATTAGAAGATTACAACTCAATGTAACATATAGACCTTACAGAAGAAAGAAAATGTTTGCAGAACATTTCCAACAAAACATTCAGAGGAAGGCACATACTCTGAAGATTGGAAACACTAAACAAAAACACATGGGGTGCGTCATGGGGAGCAATCCTGCCTGAGCAAGCAAGAGGTTGACTGCTCTGCTGGACATTTTTCAAGTCTAACTTCTAAGGATTTTTCTCCTGAAGAGACTGAAAGAAGAACAATGGGGGTCAAACTGCAAAACACACAGCCAGCAAAAGCCAGTCTTTTCTGTGGGATCTTTGAAAGACAATGAGAAACGATAACACCTCAGATCCCTATAATACCTTTCTTTTGAAAAGCCCATTGCTCTTTCACATTTTAAAATTATATTCTCTTGACATTTCTATAATATAGTCATGAAGAAATAGAGGGAATTTCCGTAAGTTTTGCAAGACAATGGCAGAGCCAGAATCAGACTAAGCTTTCTTGATTTCAAGCCTAGGAGGGTTTTTGTTTTGTTTTGTTTTTAATTGAACTTTGTGCCTATGGTAAGATTCCTTTAGCATAGTGGCTAAATGCAAGGACTCGAACTTGACTGTTAAAGTTTGAATCCTGGCTATACCACTTACCAGCTGCATGACTTTAGGTAACAACCTTCACTTCTCTGTGCCTCAGTTTCTTCATTAATAAAGCAGAATAGTAATAAATAGTAATAGTACTTCTTTCAGATTGTTTCTGGAAAGATTATATGTGATATTACATATAGAACTCTTAGAGCAAATCTTGGCACATAGCAAACATTCAATAAATGTTAGCTGTTACAAAAAACAATTTCTAACACCAATTGTGGGTCCTTCACTAAGCAATCAGTTGGATAGACACACAGCTGAATAAATCTCAAAATATCCATTAATGATCAACTCATGTTTGGGGTAACCAAATAAGGGAGTCACGTTAATTGTGTAACCATAAATTTGGTAGTTAGTCCCTGTGATAAAATTACATTTTCAGCAGTTCTGTTAAAGCACAGTTTTCTGAGCTCTTTAGATATCAAGAAATGAGTATTAATATTTATCAGAGTATGTTGCAAGTTTCTTTCTAAATAATTAAACAGGAGGAGGGCCTCCTTAAAGGGTTTTTGATGACTCAAGAATGAAACTTATCCTAAGCTAAATTGTACAGAAAAAAAATTAAAACGTGCTGAGAAGAACATGACATGGTTTAGTTTTCCTCCTGGGGATTAATAAGTATGTGGCATTTTACACTCAACTCTAATGCTACAACCACAATCTATTGTTTCAATCAAAAGTTCCTGCACCCTTAACATTAGTTTCTTGAATTTGCCATTTAGATGCCAGCAGTAATGCCAAATATCTGCATTCTCCAATCAATGGCCTCTACCTGCCATAAATGCCTTTCTCTGTATTGTCCAAGGCAAAAGAAAGGGCAGCCAGAAAGAGTGTTTACAAGGTGAATTGTCCAGGAAATTGTGCCCAAAGTGGAGGAGGATTGTACCTTGTACATTTTGTAGGCAAAGAACAGTTGGCTGAAGAACAAACACGGATTTAATGTTCCTTTCTTCCTTCCATATGAAGAGAGCCATGCAGGCTCTAAAACAGCTTTCTCTGTCATTCAGGCAGGATATGAACTCTGCTGTTGTTCCAAATCACCAGAAGAACATCTGACAAGACTACAGGGATGCAATTGAGGTAGGACACTTAAAACTCTCTGCAGTGGCCCCTGCTATCTCTTTTATACTACTGTCTGATACCTCCTTCCCAAGGAGCAGGTTAGAGAGGCAGGACAGTATATAAGCATTACTCTTTCTCTCCTCCCCAGTCCTTTCCAGCCCAAGAGGCCTTGGGTCTCAAAGCTTTGAGCTATGTGAGCTGCTGTATAGATGAAGTGGGTGCTGTGTTGGTGTTCACTTGCATCAGCTCCTAAGGGCTGATTGTGTTCATCTCTTTCCAACTCCATATTTAGTGACATGCTACTAGCTTGAAGTTAATTATGGTGGAGATATTTTCACTATGGAAATTGGCAAATGTTTCAAATCAAGGCTTCCCTCCCCACATCACAGGGCTAGTCATTGAACATTTACCAGCACATCCCTGGGCAGAATAAACTGCCATTGTGTCAGATACAGCTCCTTCATATGGTTAGGTGAGGTGAGAACCTTTTGGCCCTTGGCAAACATTGAGAGCTTTTAACTAGCCGAAGAGTTCACTGAATTAGGACTGGACAGTTTTGGTTCCATTTTTCACTTCAGGGTTGTTGGCTGTGGCAGTGCTAACAACATATCTGCAAAGGGCACTAGATTACCCAGCCTTTCCACACCTAAGAGGTCTCACCCCATCAAAGAAGAATTTGAGGCCCAAGATGCTAGACGTTGCTCTAAAGAGCAAATCCAAAACAAGCTAAAATTGGAAGAAACTGAATTCAATCAAAGGAGCAGAACTAGCCTGCTTTCAAGTTTTTGATCATCATTTCAGGGAGTGAGATTTCTTCCATTATCAAAGAAAGAAGGGGATTGTACACAAAGCCAGGAACCAATTTGAGCTTTAATGACTAAACAGAGAGGATTGGGTTAAAGCCAACTTATAGAACCAGTGAAAGGGATGGAAGTTGAAACAATACAGGCATAGAACAAACAGGCTTTAGGCCACATGTAAATCTAGACAAATACAAAACACATGGTGTGGTCTCAGGGCACAGGCTTTGCTCTTTGCCTCTCTCTCTTCCACAGTGCTTCCTCTAAAGGTGGTTGATCACATCTTGATAGTACTGTAACAAGAGAAAGGTATCTGTTGGTATTTTGCCTATGTTAGATTCCAAAATAGAAGGCAAGGCCCCAGCTTGCCCTCCTAGAATAAGGTCAGGATACAGTTCTCTCTGTGGTACTATCATAGAATTGCCAAATCTGAGCACTAGAAGATTATCTTCTAGTTCAGTCCCCTTCGTTAACAACTTTGGAAACTGAGACCCAGAGAAGTGAATTCTCTGAAGTCTCAAAGCTGATTAATGGCAGATGTGGCCCAAACGCTCAGGACTGATACATTACTGTGAAGCACAAGTCAAATATTCCTTAAGAGTTTCTCTTGTAAATATCCATGTAGAGATGGGGTATGTCCTTGTGAAGTCGAGAAGACCCTGATCTTCTAGTTACTCGTCCTAACTTTCACACTGCAGCCCAAAATCTACAACTGTTCATCCAGATCACAGAAGTATTTACAAATTTAATTCACAGTCTAGAAATCTTGGCTTTTAAGAATTATTGATAACAAATACTTGACCCAAGAGCATCTGCGAACCAGGCAAAATTCTATGATGTGTAGGGAGTAAATCATGGCTGGGGTGCTTTTACTGTATCCATAATCAACAAGCTTTTACCTCCTGGTGGGTCTTATTCTGACTTCTGAAACAATACGGGCTCGAAAATGACTGAGTACATTGAATAGATTTTATCTCTGAGTTGCAGAACTCTATTACTGAAGACTTTCTCTTCATTCTTCAACCATTTTCCAGTTGCCGTGCTATGTAGTCACCTAGAGACAGCAAATCCCTTTGTACAGAATACCAGCCTGTCTGCAGAAAGTTCTTCTAGGGGTATTTAGGCTCACTGTAACCCTTTTACTGTAACCCTTTCCCTCACACAATTTTTTATACAAACTCAATATGATATGATTCAGCAGGTAACTGACCATGCCTTCCTTGGGCTTCCTTGAATCTTGAGGACTTTCCTGGTTTCAGCATCACAGGGTCAACTTATGATATCACTTTGTAGTCCTGCTGCTGGGAGGGAAGAGGAAAGGGAATAAAGGATAATAGACTGCTATGAGCTGACAAGCTATAGATGGCCTGCAACCTGGGGTATCATTGTATTTCTACAAGGCTCAGGGCAAACGGGAGATCTAAATCTGCTGGATGAGAGAGAAATAACATTTTTTGTTTTGGAAATTTCTTTTTTTTTAATTATACTTTAAGTAACATTTCTTAAAGGTCTTTTATGTGATAGGGAAGTTAACTTTGGGTCTTCCCAAAAATTGCATGCACTACAGGGAAATTGAGCCTCACAGAAATTAAGTTATTCAGGTAGGAAGTAGCACAACTAGAATGAGACATCGGGTCTGTTGGATTTGTAATTCTATTTCAAAATTCATACTCTTTCTACAAGACCAGCCTGCCTCCATAAAGGGAGGGAGGGACACCTGAGCTGAGTTCTGACTGGCCTCTTCTTACATCCCCTCCTTGAAGAAGGGCCTCTCCTTAGCCATGTTCATAAGCTCATCTGCTCAATCTGAGCTTGGCAGCTGCCAAAAGCAAGTTTGCCAGCTTAGAAAGAGAAACAAAGGCAGTGGGAGTCAGAGGCAGCAGCCTTCCAGGTGCAGAATTAAGGCTGAACTCAAGGCCTTGCTTTGGAGAATTCCCATATGCTGACTCTTTACACAAGTCACATGAATAGTTCCTCAGAGACGTGGCTGTTCTCAGTATACCTCTCCAGCATGAACACCATTTGCCTCAGAAAGAAAAAACATTCTAATTATTCACACTACAGAGTGGACAGTCAGGGCTTGTGCAAACTAATTTTAATGCTTGTGGAAAGGGAAGTAGGCAGGAAAACATTTTACCTGTCTGTCTGTCATTGTCTTTGCCAAGAGTACCAAATCCTAGCATTCATTAGTTCACTCATGCAGCCTACAAATAGTGATTCCAACTATGCGCCAGTTAGCATACTAGGCTCTGGGGCTACAAAGGCAAATGGCATAGTCCCTTCCCCTACCCTTGAAGAGTTCCCAGTTCTTAGTATAACTACAAGCAAGCTCCTAGAGGCAGTCTGGATTGGTGGCTAATAGACTGGGTCCTAGAATCAAACCTCTGGGCTAATGTCCTGATTCCACCACTTACTAGTTGTGTGACCTTAGACAGATGACTTAACCTTTCTGCTCCTCATCTTTGAAATAGGGTTGAGAGGATTAGTTAGCCCATGTCTGGCACATTGTAAAGCCTTAATAAATACTAGTTATCATTACTATAAGCCAAGGTAAATTCTTCTAAAGCCTGTCCTATCAGAATGAATGTATTCAGTGAATGAGATAACTTTAGATTTTTGGAAAATTACCCTGAATATGTGGATAGAAATAGAGTCCAGCTGGGGTGATCTTCAAATGAGGGAAGAATGATTCTCCATATCCAGTTTATTTTGAGAATGAATGCCAATTAGAAGCAGATAGTACTATTGACATTTTATAAAGAATGAATTACCCTAAAAACCTCACATATGTGGAAAATTTCCTTGAAACAACACAGCTTGGGCTGGAAACTGCCCCTTTGTAGGCCTCAATTTCTCTATCTGTGGGTTGAAACAGTTGGATTAAATTGATTACGGGAGGCCCTTTGGGCTCTGACATTCAATATTTCTTTTATACTCAGTGCTCAATTGTTATTTATGGAGAAATAGAATTTAATAAAATCTTGAAAGGTTTGTTAGAAAAGTTCCTGTTTTGTCAAATAATTTTGGCTGTGAAAGAAAATTCTAATTTAGTGACTATTGATCATTGCTCAAAATATATGATTTTATTATAATTATATTCCAGAACAATATAAAGCAGTGTAACAGGTTGAAGAGACTTTAAATTAGATCATCTGGTACAGAGCTTCTCAAACTTGGCACTATTGATATTTTGGGCCAGATTATTCCTTGTTGTTGGGGGGCTGTTCTGTGCATTGTATGATGTTTGGCAGTATCTGTGGCTTTTTTGCTCACTAGATGCCAGTTGCACCTACACCAGTTTTCTCCAGACATTGCCAATGTCCCCTGGGATAGTATTGACAGATTTAGCAGGTATATTTTATGTGTGAACCCTAGCTGCAAGGCAAAATTGACTCCAGTTAAGAATAACTGATCTAGCCCCTTGCTACTCAAAGTTCAACATGGGCATCACCTTGGAACTTCGTCGAAGAGCAGATTCTCAAGCCCCAACCCACACCTACTGATTTGTAAGGGAGACACAGTTTAACAACAGCAATAGGTGATTTTTATGCAAGCTCTCTGTGGGCCCTATGGTGATGCCCAGGTGGGGGTGCCTGTGACTCCTGAAGCCCCAGAGGGTGTGTGACAGTACTCTCTTAGCTCTGCTGTCTGTAGACAGCAGTGTGTTATTAGCTCAGTGGGCCCCTTGCCTCATCACGTGGACAGCTGTCCTCCACCAGTGAGGGCAAAGGGCCAGTGTGATGGCCTTTTTGGGGTACCTGCACTCAGTGGGTCCCAAGCTCTTGTCTGGCATCTAGGAAGAATGAGGTCACACAGACACTTGAAGGATGGTGGAGGGGGAGAATTTCACTTAGCAATGGAAATGGCTCTCAGGGGAGAAGGGACCTGAAGAGGTGTAGGAACAGGCAGATAATCTTCCCTGAAGTTCAGCTATCTGTTTTTCGAAGTTAAACTCTCTCGCCTCTGAAGTCCAGCCATCTCTCTGAAGTCAAGTCACCTCTCTCCAGTCAAACCACTTCTCCCCTTCTACCAACTGAGTCTGGGATATTTATAGGGACAGGATGAGGGGTGGGGTGGGCCATAGGTAGTTTTGGATAAGGCAATATTCAATTGGTAAAAAGACATTATTCAGAAAGAACCAATCGGGAGAGCAGGCAAACAGGGATGCTTGTTCTTACTTTGGGCCATGGTTTCAGGCTTTTCAGCTTGAATATGGGGTGTTGCCAGGGACCTGCCGCTATCTGCCTAGAATTTCTCTGCCTCCTGCCTTTATCATTTCCCCCTCTGAAGAGGCACATCTAACTGCTGTTAGAATACAGATGATGTCCGATCTTAGTAACTTTGTACTGACAGGGGACGTTGTTTTGGGGAAAATGGCAGTCAGATTTCCCTCAGAGGTCTACCTAAGAGTTCCCAGTAAAAGGGAGCCATCATCTGAGGCTCCAGTTGCATGATCACTTGGAGTTTGATAGCCTCTAGGTGAGAAGAAACAAGTTTTACCAGGTTAAGTATGCATGGGTCAAATATGCGTATTATACAAAGAGAAGTTAAAAGAAATGAATCTAGTGCCAAAGATTACAGAAATAAGAAGTGAAATATACTAATCATTCTGAAAACAATATTGTGCCTTGAGCTGTTTCACCCTGGTGAAAGAAATTAAACCTTGTATGGGAGTAGTTACAGTTTAAGAGAGGATAACTGTTTAGGGGAGTAGATATTTCCATGGGCATTCAGGATTAAGGGGTCTTTGGTAAATGTGCCCTATGGTATAGAACAGAACAAAGGTAAGAACAGCAAGCATAGGCAATACTATACAGAGGATATCCATGGAAAGTCAATTATTAACAATTATCTTTTGTAATTTTTAGCTTGAGGTCCCTGATTTCTTCACACTTGTACTTTGAGTGCTCCACTGGGTGGACAGAGGTAACTCCCTCAGCTTCCCAGGCCTATACTCGAGTATAATGAATTATAATGAATTCAAGAATCTATTCCAGTGACCTTTACTGCTGTAGGAGTAGAAATAAGTACAGTGCAAGGTCCCTCCCAATCCATGCTTGTAGAGGGAGAAAGGGAAGGAAGTACTTTTACCAGCACTAGGTCCCCTGTATTGAATAGAGTGCAGGATCCTGTAATGCCCAAGTGTTCCCTCAGTTGCTTGAGAGTTTTGGTGAGGGGAAAGAAGGAGATGAGCTTAATCATTTCTTTGCCCAATGCCCTGGCCCCCTATGACAAGACCAAATCTAGGTACTTCACTGAAGTCTGACAGAGCTGAGCTTTAGATTTTGAAACCTTATGTCCTCTGTTAGCTAGAAAATTAAGAGCCTTACTGCCCTTCCGAGAGATTTCCTCAGTTGGGGCACAGAGGAGAATGTCATCTACATATTGTAAAACTTAAACCTTAGGATAAAGGAGTTCAAAGAGGTCTTTGGACAATGCCTGCCCAAACAGGATTCTGTCCCAGAATCCCTGAGGTAACACCATCCGAGTTAGCTGTGTGGCTTGGTTAGAGGGATCCTCAAATGCAAACAAATACTGGAAGTTGGGATGTAATGGTATGCAGAAAAAGGCATACTTTAGGTCCAGGACTGTGAACCACTTAGTTTCCTCAGGTATTGGAGCTAGCAGGGTATAGAGATTGGAACCCACTGGGTGTATTGGAAACACAGTTTCATTAACAAGGTGGAGGTCATGAACTAGTCTCCATTCCCTGTTGGGTTTTGTACCCCCAATATTGGAGTATTAAAAGGGCTATTGCAGGGTTTGAAGAGCCCCTGCATCTTCAAATGATCAGTGATGGCTTCTAGTCCTTTCCTAAATTCTGGCTTCTGGGGATATTGTCTCTGGTTAGGAAAGGAGGTGAGATCCTTAAGGTGGATCCAAACTGGTATAGCGATTATGGCTCAGCCAATTTTCCCTTGAATTGCCCAAATTTCTTGGTTAATATTGGTCTCCACTAGGGGTAGACAAAGAGTTTGTCCTGGTGCCATCAAGATGGTGGTCTCTGTCAGAATATCCCTACCCAACAGAGGAATTGTGTTTTCAGGCATAATTAGAAAGGCATAGGTGAAGAAGAGGTCTCCCCAACTACAACTAAAGGGTTGGGAAAAATATTGGGTTAAAGACCTTCCTGAGATGCCCCTCATGATTGTGGTAAGAGAGGAGGGAGCGGCCAGATTGGAGAGGATAACTAAGAGACCCACCCCAGTGTCCAGAAGGAGATCCACTTTCCTCCCTTCAATTTCCAGAAATACCTGGGGCTCCTGTGTGGTAATGGTGGTTTGGACCACTGGAACCGGAAAGAGGAGCCCCCAGGAATCATCAGTCTTGATGGACCATTTTGGAGACTGGCTCTGGACCTGGTGACCTGCATCTCTGGGGACAATCTGCCCTCCAGTGGTCCCCATTGCAGATTGGACAGGGTCATGGTGGCTTCCTCATGCTGTCGGGAAAATCCTTATTAAAATGCCCTGACTTGCCACATTTGTAGCAGTTAGCAGATGTATCCCAGGGATTCTGGAGTTTTTGGGCCTAAGAGGTGTCCATTAAAGCCTCTGTCTTTTTCTTGTGTCTCTTTCCTCTGTCCCAGGCCTCCTCCCTATCCCTATTGTAAAAGACCGAGATGGCCACTTTCATGAGGTCCTCTCTACTGTCTGGTCTCATGGCCTGTTTCTGCAGCTTCCTCCTTGTATCAGGAGCTGCCTGAGTAAAAAATTTATCCTTTAGGATAAATTGTCCCTCGACTGAATCAGGAGAAAGAGAGGTGTGCTTACCAAGGTCCCTATAAGCCTTTCCAAGAAGGCAGCAGGATTCTCTTCAAATCCCTGTTCTATCAAGGGTAGTTTGGAATAGTTGAGAGGCTTAGTTCTAGTCCTACGTAAGCCCTCCAGCATGCACACCTGAAAGTGTTTTCTCTTCTATTCTCCCAGTTCATCACTGGGATCCCATTTAGGGTCATCCAATGGTACTGCTTCTCTTCCAATTGAATAAGGCTCATCCTCTTCCCTGATACTATATGAAATACAAAGCTTATCCCCAAATCTCTCTGCCACATGCAGAGCAGCCTGCTTCTCAATGTTAGTCAGGGTTTGATTCAAAAGTAACATAACATCTTTCCAAGAGAGTTCAAATACTTGGGATAAGTTCTGGAAAGCCTCTATATACCTGTCAGGGTCATCTGAAAACTTGCTAAGCTCCCCCTTAATTTGCCTTAAGTCCTGTAGAGAGAAGGGGGACCTGGACCTTACTGGGGCCATATTCACTAGGCATCTGCTACAGGGGCAGTAGTGGGACTGGGGTCTGTTTGGAGTGAGGATTTCTAGGAGGGGGCAAGTGAGAGAGATAAATTGGATGGGGAGGAGGGGGTGGACCTGGAGAAACAGGGCCAGAGGGAGCTGGCTCCCCTGCAGGAGGTGCCTCTTGGGTTTGTTTCTCTAGTTGCCTGAGATTTCCCCCTTGCAGCATCTCCTGAGATGGCAAAGAGGGCTGGATCAATCTTACACTGTCAGCAAAGGTCTGGATTACCTGCAAGGTAAAGAAATCCTGCACATATGGGGTCTCAGACCATCTGCCCTCATGTTTACAGAAAAGATCCAGCTGCAGGATGGTATAGAAATGAATGGTTCCTTCTTGAGGCCATCCAGTCCTTCCTGCAAATCATAATTTGGCCAAACCTTTGTGCAAAAGACTATGAGGCATTTTTTCTCCAGAGTCTGAGGGTCAAAGCAGTCCTAGTAGTTCAGGATACACTCCAGAGGAGTGTAGACTGAAGATGATTGGTTAGCCATTTGAAAAAGAGAGAGAAATGGTGTCCCTTAATTCTTTTCTCTCTTTCAGTGGAAACTCGGTGTGTGAGGGAGAAAAGGGTGACTACTTTTTTCTTCCATCTTTTCATCCCTGAGTCCCAGTGGCCTAGGTCGGACACCATCCATGTGTGCCAGTGCAACCTACACCCATGAAGCAGTGGGGCCTAAAAGGCAAGAGTTATTCACATTTACCTACACAGTCTATCACCCCCACTGTCGGTAATCTTTGAGTTCCCTGGGCTTAATTTATGCCATGGATACTAGCATGACCTCTATCCATGAAATAGGGGCTTAATTGGCCCACCTACACTGTGCCCCTACTTTCCATTTTTGCATGCTTTTGGATCCCTCAGATCTAGTTTTTATTTCTAGGGCTTCAACCCAAAGCTTGGAATTGAGTTTGGGACAAAAGTTGTCTCAGAGGGATGCATGGATTCATTGAGATTAAGTCCCAGATGGCCTTCATCAAATTTGCAGCCAGCCACCAGTGAGGCCACTCATTGCTTCCCTATCATAAGCAGAGTGTTAAGGTAGGAAGAAAGAAACCCAGTCATATAGAAAAGGTCACTGTATTTGCAGGGCTATGACCTCCTGACACGGTGGAGAAAAGGAAAAAAGCAGCTTAAGTGCAGGAGAGAAAGAGGTGCCTGGAGAGAAAACTCTTGTTCTATGCAAATGGGTTCCTTTAACAGGGGAAAGACCTGTCCCCCAAGACCATCCTGCGACCTGGGTGGCAGCCACAGCTCATCCGTGCCCTGCGTGATTGCTGGGTGCAGCTTGCACATGCAGTGGACATGGCCATGTGCCCCAGCCGGGGGTAGGGGGAGCCGTCGTATGCGTGTCCATCCCTTGCACACACCTGGAGCTGTTGGGGTGGGGGTGGGACCACTAAGAATAGACAGAAATTGCATTGTTCTGAATTGCATATCTGATGGCTGGGCCAAATGCTTATTTTACCTAGTAACATTTCTGCAGTTTGCAGCAACACCCTTAACATGATAAAATTAGAGATAAGAGCCATTTCAAACCATGAAAGAAGGAAGAAAAGACACCATAGAAAAGTCTGGGGGTCTTGGCCAACACAATTACAGGCAGTCATGGATGGAACCAGTTTAGGGGCCTTCCAGAAACACTGAGGAGTGGTCTCAGTGAGATACCTTCAGTTGCCCCAGGACATTATCCCAGTCCCACCCAATGGCTAGACCTCCGTGAAGGGAAACAAAGCTAACATTCCTTTCACTCAAAAGAAAGAGAAGTGGCAGAGTCACATTCTGTCCTCTGTAGCACTGCTATTTGCCTTTAACTGGACACTCAGGTTTGGTGCATCATCTGCCTTCGGAGGAAAGTCTGAGGACAAGAAGTCTTGGGAAAAAAAGTGAAGAGACAGATCCACATTTACTGACCCTTCTGACGAATCCCAGATGAGTCCCCAGATAATGCAGGAGTTTTCTTGACTCGTTCATCGGACTTGCAATGGGGGTTCCCTGTTTACTCAGCCTGCCATCCTCAACCTCTTGTGGGAGAGAGCACTTGAATAAGTGTGTGTAGGATCAAGCCAACTGGCCGCTTTTAGCACCTGCAGGAGTAGGCTCCATGCAGGCCCTGTGGCCAGACTAGGCATATTCAAATGAGTGAGGGATATGGCTGGCTGCTTCGGGTGCCAGCAGAAGCTGGCTCCTTGTGGGCCGCATGGCAGTGCCCAGGCAGAGGTGCCAGTGATCCCTGAAGCCTCAGATGATGTGTTACAATGTTCTCTTAGCTCTGACATTCATGAAGAGTGGTGTGTTATCAGCTCAATGAGCCCCTTACCTGGTCACATGGGATGGCTGCCCTCCACCAGTGAGGGCAAAGGGCCAATGTGACAGACTTTTTAGGGTACCCACCCTTGGTGGGTCCCAAGCTCTTGTCTGGTGTCCAAGAAGAATGAGGTCACACAGACATTTGATGGATGGTGGAGGTGGAGAATTTTATTTAGCAATTGAAATGGCTCTCAGTGGAGAGGGGAGCCAGAGAAGTGTTGGGACAGGCAGATAATCTTCCCTGAAGTTCAGCCATCTCCGGGCATCTCTTCTTCGAAGTTAAGACATCTCTCTTCCAAAGTCCAGCCATCCCTCTGAAGTCAAGTTACCTCTCTCCAGTCAAGCTTTTTCTCACCCTCTTTTGACTGAGTCTGTGGTCTTTATAGGAACAGGATGGGGGATGGGGTAGTCCATAGGTAGTTTTGGAAAAGGCAATATTCAATTGGTAAAAAGACTTTATTCAGAAAGAACCAATCGGGAGATATCAGGCAAACAGGGATAGATGTTCTCACTTTCGGCTGTGGGTTTCAGGTTTTTAGGCTCAAAGGTGAAGTTTTGCCGGGGACCCACCCCTGTCTGCCTAGAATTTTCCTGCCTTCTGCCTCTATCAATACTAAGCATATATTTAAATAATTATAAAGCAGGATGGGAGAATAGTGATAGAGAGTGTGACTTTCTACAGAGAGAGTTAAGGATAGCCTCTCTAAAGAGGTGGCATCTAAACTGAGACCTTAGTGGAGTGAGGGAGAGGGCCAGGTAGATATCAGGAGGGAGAGTATAAACTCATTATCCTGGTCAATCTTGCCTTTCATGGGCATCAGCGCACCTTTGTAACATCCTACTCTCAAATTATACCCATTGCCATGAAAGATGAAAAATTTCATTCTGCTCCTTTAGTCTAGTGCACCTGCTTCTGAGCTAAACAATTTTTCATCACTTCTTTGAGCATACAGCTTATAGTTGCCTGCAAGCACACTAGTAATTTTGATGGGAGTTGGGTGATCATTTTTAACTAGTGGTGACTGCAGAACAATGCTAGAAGATGTAAAATGGCTTAGTTTTGACTCAGACAGGTTCATAACCTCTAGACTATTTCTGCCAATCAGTAAAAAATCAGAGCAAAAGCTATTTAGACACTATTATTAATCCAACCATATTATTAGTCTGACAATTTCTTTTATGAAAACAATTGGAAAATTTTTTCTAAACTTAAAAAAGCCTTCTAACTTCTATTTCGATCATCATAGTTTATTTTTAAGAGCATATTATATCTACTTTGTTCTTTAAGTCTTATGAAGGCCTCAGATGAAAAGCAATAAAATTTTGAACTGACCAAAATGCCTTTGCTTTCACCTATCCAACTCCTTTTTATGCCAAATCCTCACAATTCTATGAAATCTGCTAAACCAGCCTCATATAAGCTCTGCCTCTTCAATAGACTATTAGCTGTTTCAGGATGGAAACTATGTCTTATGCAGTGTTTGTACCTCTCTATTGTACCTAGCATACTGCTTTGTCCCTAGGTACTCTATAAATATTTGCATGTTGTTTAACTAAATTTAGGCACTCTAATATAGCTAAGCCTGCACAGAAGACACGATGCTGCAGAAACTGTTTCCAAGTCCTTTGTTGACTAATTCAGTTAGGGATGTGCTCTCTGATAGCTGGAATCCTAGGAATAAGGGGGATGACTGACCCTATCAACAAGGGTGGCTTCCTGGTCAGACACTGAATCACCATGTCGTAATCTCTCTGCCTCGATCTGCACCACAGGAAACCAAGTGATCTGTTACATGCATGGATCACTTCAGAGACAGTTGACTTTCTCTTTTTCTGGGGAAAGTAGAGCCACATGTCTGTGAGAAAAATAAAATGAGCATTCCAACATCTTATTTTTAAAACAGAATGCAGTGTATGCCTGCCCATTCAGGGAAGAATGTCTGAGATTACTTGGGAATCTCAAATAGAACTATTAATTATGAATAATGTAAAACTTGTGCTTAGACAAAGCTGATAGAAGAGGCTATGGAGTTGAAGGGACAGATGCAAAAGATGCTTTGAAAGAACAGATTAGGTAACTGATAGGCTGTGGGTGTAAGGCAGTTGTTAACGTTTCTAATATTGGGCCTGGCAAAATAATTTTTCCTTTACTTTAAGGACTGCCACCTTTGTCAGACCTAAAGCAAAAAGGCCAGTAGAGCATGCATATCTTTTCAAGTTACTACCACCTTCTCCAGTGTTAGCCTCTGATAGAGGTGCATTTAATGACTTCCCTACCATCCTTTATTTGTTTTTTTTTCTTTTTTTTATTATACTTTAAGTTTTAGGGTACATGTGCACAACGTGCAGGTTAGTTACATATGTATACATGTGCCATGTTGGTGTGCTGCACCCACTAACTCGTCATTTAACATTAGGTATATCTCCTAATGCTATCCCTCCCCTCTACCCCCACCCCACAACAGGCCCCGGTGTGTGATGTTCCCCTTCCTGTGTCCATGTGTTATTGTTCAGTTCCCACCTATGAGTGAGAACATGCGGTGTTTGGTTTTTTGTCCTTGTGATAGTTTGCTGAGAATGATGGTTTCCAGCTTCATGATGAGTTCATGTCCTTTGTAGGGACATGGATGAAGCAGAAATTTATTTCTCACAGTTCTGGAGGCTCTGAAGCCCAAGATCAAGGTGCCAGCAGGTTTGGGGTCTGGTGAGGGCCACTCTCTGCTTTCAAGAGGGCACCTTATTGCTGCATCTTCTGGAGGGTTTGAATGCTCTGTCCTCACATGGCAGAAAAAGTGGAAGGGGTAAATTTGCCACTTCAAGTTCTTTTATAAGATGTTAATCCATTTATAAGGGCAGAGACCTCATGGACTAATCACCTCCTGAAGTCTCCACCTCTTAATGCTCCACCTTTATTGAATTGGGAATTAATTAAGTTTCAACATAAATTTTGAAGGGGACACAAACATTCAAACCACAGAAAAAGGTCAATCTTCTTGTTGTTTCTGGGCCTTCAACTGACTGGATGAGGACTATCACATTAGGGAGAGCAATCCACTTTACTCAGCCTACCAATTCAAAGGTTAATCTCATCCAAAACACCCTTATGGATAAACCCAGAATAATGTTTGACCAAATATCTGGGCATCTAGTGGCCATTCAAGTTGACACAGAAAATTAACTATCACAATATGTAAGGTATGATTTTATTTTTATAGACCAAGAGGCAAATACATACATAGACAGAAGGAAATATTAATAGTAGTCACCTCTGGGAGAGAGGGCCTGAGATTTGGAGTATGGATTGGGAAGTTCTTTGACCTTTTATTCTTTTTACGGTCTCATTTTTAGTTGATTTTTAAAATCATAACTTGTATTTTATTGCTTTTTTAATTTTAAAATCTAGTTAATAATAAAATAGAAGGTAATGTAGAAGTCCCTCTAATTCAGGCCCACTGGAATGGTTGTAAGGGAAAGGAATGTAGGAGAAAAATCCATCCAAAACTACTAGCTATGGACAGGTTATAAGGATAGCACACTTTCCCCTTTAGCTTTTCTTATCTCCTATTTCTAATCTCTTCTTTCTGTTGAGTACCCATTGCCCCTCATGTCTTATGATTCAGCACTTCTTTTTTTAAATGTTTATTTTATTATAGTTTAAGTTCTGGGATACATGTACAGAATGTGCAGGTTTGTTACATAGGTATACACATGCCAATGGTTGGTTGCTGCACCCATCAATTCGTCATTTACATTAGGTATTTCTCCTAATGCTATCCCTCCCCTAGCCCCACATCCCCTGACAGGCCCGGGTGTGTGATGTTGACCTCGCTGTGTCCATGTATTCTCATTGTTCAACTCTCATTTATGAGTGAGAACATGCGATGTTTGGTTTTCTGTTCTTGTGTTGGTTTTCTGAGAATGATGGTTTCCAGCTTCATCCATGTCCCTGCAAAGGACAAGAACTCATCCTTTTTAATGCCTGCATAGTATTCCATGGTGTATATGTGCCACACTTTCTTTATCCAGCCTATTATTGATGGGCATTTGGGTTGGTTCCAAGTCTTTGCTATTGTGAACAGTGCTGCAATAAACATACATGTGCATGTGTCTTTATAGTAGAATGATTTATAATCCTTTGGGTATATTACCCAATAATGGGATTGCTGGGTCAAATGGTGTTTCTGATTCTAGATCCTTGAGGAATCACCACACTGTCTTCCACAATGGTTGAACTAATTTACACTCCCACCAGCAGCGTAAAAGCATTCCTATTTCTCCACTTCCTCTCCAGCATCTGTTGTTTCCTGAATTTTAATGATTGCCATTCTAACTGGCGTGAGATGGTATCTCATTGTGGTTGGATTTGTATTTCTCTAATGACTGGTGATGATGAGTTTTTTTTCATATGTTTGTTGGCCGCATAAATGTCTTGTTTTGAGAAGTGTCTGTTCATATCCTTCACCCACTTTTTGATGGGGTTGTTTGTTTTTTTCTTGTAAATTTGTTGAAGTTCTTTGTAGACCCTCCATATTAGCCATTTGCCAGAAGGATAGATTGCAAAAATTTTTTCCCATTCTGTAGGTTGCCTGTTCACTCTAATGACAGTTTCTTTCACTGTGCAGAAGCTCTTTAGTTTAAAGAGATCCCATTTGTCAATTTTGGCTTTTGTTGCCATTACTTTTGATGTTTCAGTCATGAAGTCTTTGCCAAAGCCTATGTACTGAATGATATTGCCTAAGTTTTCTTCTAGACTTTGTATAGTTTTAGGCCTTACATTTAAGTCTTTAATCCATCTTCAGTTAATTTTTGTATAAGGTGTAAGGAACAGATTCAGTTTCAGTTTTCTGCATATGGCTAGCCATTTTTCCCAACACTATTTTTTAAATAGGGAATCCTTTCCCCCATTGCTTGTTTTTGTCAGGTTTGTCAAAGACCAGATGGTTGTAGATGTGTGGGGTTATTTCTGAGGCCTCTGTTCTGTTCCATTGATCTATATATCTGTTTTGGTACCATTACTATGCTGTTTTGGTTACTGTAGCCTTGTAGTATAGTTTGAAGTCAGGTAGCATGATGCCTCCAGCTTTGTTCTTTTTGCTTAGGATTGTCTTGGCAATGTGGGCTCTTTTTTGGTTCCGTATGAAATTTAAAGTTGTTTTTTCCAATTCTGTGAAGAAAGTTAATGGTCGCTTGATGGGGATAGCATTGAGTCTATAAATTACCTTGGGCAGTATGGCTTTTTTCACGATATTAATTCTTCCTATCCATGAGCATGGAATGTTCTTCCATTTGTTTGTGTCCTCTTTTATTTTATTGAGCAGTGGTTTGTAATTCTCCTTGAAGAGTTCCTTCACATCCCTTGTAACTTGTATTCCTAGGTATTTTATTCTGTTTGTAGTAATTGTGAATGGGAGTTCACTCATTATTTGGCTCTCTGTTTGTCTATTATTGCTGTATAGGAATGCTTGTGATCTTTGCACATTCATTTTGTATCCTGAGACTTTGCTGAAGTTGCTTATCAGCTTAAGGAGATTTGTGGCTGAGATGATGGAGCTTTCTAAAGATACAATCATGTCAACTGCAAACAGAGACAATTTGACTTCCTCTCTTCCTATTTGAATATGATTTACTTCTTTCTCTTGCCTGATTGCCCTGGCCAGAACTTCCAATACCATGTTGAATAGGAGTAGTGAGAGAGGGCATCCTTGTCTTGTGCTGGTTTTCAAAGGAAATGCTTCCAGCTTTTGCCCATTCAGTATGATATTGGCTGTGGGTTTGTAATAAATAATTCTTATTATTTTGAGATACATTCCATCAATACCTAGTTTATTGAGTACTTTTAGCATGAAGGGGTGTTGAATTTTGTCAAAGGCCATTTCTGCATCTATTGAGATAATCATGTGGTTTTTGTCATTGGTTCTGTTTATGTGATGGATTACATTTATTGATTTGCATATGTTGAACCAGCTTTGCATCCCAGGGATGAACCCAACTTGATGGTGGTGGATAAACTTTTTGATGTACTGCTGGATTTGGTTTTCCAGTATTTTATTGAGGATTTTTGAGTATCTTATTGAGGATTTTTGCATCGATGCTCATCAGGGATATTGGCCTGAAATTTTCTTTTTTTGTTGTTGTTGTGTCTCTGCCAGGTTTTGATATCAAGATGATGCTGGTCTCATAAAATAAGTTAGGGAGGATTCCCTCTTTTTCTATTGTTTGGAATAGTTTCAGAAGGAATGGTACCAGCTCCTCTTTGTACCTCTGATAGAATTTGGCTGTGAATCCGTCTGGTCCTGGACTTTTTTTTGTTCATAGGCTATTAATTACTGCCTCAATTCCAGAACTTGTTACTGGTCTATTCAGGGAATCGACTTCTTTCTGGTTTAGAATTGGAAGGGTGTATGTGTCTAGGAATGTGTTTATTTCTTCTAGATTTTCTAGTTTATTTGCATAGAGGTGTTTATAGTATTCTCTGATGGTAGTTTGTATTTCTGTGGGATCAGTGGTGATATCTTCTTTATCATTTTTTATTGCATCTATTTGATTCTTCTCTATTTTCTTCTCTATTAGTCTGGCTAGTAATCTATCTATTTTGTTGATATTTTTGAAAAATAAGCTCCTGGATTCATTGGTTTTTTTTTTTTTTAAGGGATTTTCATGTCTCTATCTCCTTCAGTTCTGCTCTGATCTTAGTTATTTCTTGTCTTCTCCTAGCTTCTCTAGTTCTTTTAATTGTGATATTAGGGTGTCGATTTTAGATCTTTCCTGCTTTCTCTTGTGGGCATTTAGTGCTATAAATTTCCCCCTAAACACTACTTTAGCTGTGTCCCAGAGATTCTGGTATGTTGTGTCTGTTCTCACAGATTTCAAAGAACTTATTTATTTCTGCCTTAATTTCGTTATTTACCCAGTCATCATTCGGGAGCAGGTTGTTCAGTTTCCAAGTAGTTGTGCAGTTTTGAGTGAGTTTCTTAATCCTAAGTTCTAATTTGATTACAGTATGGTCTGAGAGACTGTTTCTTATGATTTTGTTCTTTTGCATTTGCTGAGGAGTGTTTCACTTCCAATTATATGGTCAATTTTAGAATAAGTGCGATGTGGTGCTGAGAAAAATGTATATTCTGTTGATTTGTGGTAGAGAGTTCTGTAGGTGTCTATTAGGTCTGCTTGGTCCAGAGCTGAGATCAAGTCCTGAATATCCTTGTTAATTTTCTGTCTCATTGATCTGTCTAATATTTACAGTGGGGTGTTAAAGTCTCCCACTATTATTGTATGGGAGTCTAAGTCTCTTTTGTAGGTCTCTAAGAACTTGCTTAATGAATCTGGGTGCTCCTTTATTAGGTGCATATATATATTTAGGATAGTTAGTTCTTCTTGTTGCATTGATCCCTTTACCAATATGTAATGCACTTCTTTGTCTCATTTGATCTTTGTTGGTTTAAAGTCTGTTTTATCAGAGACTAGGCTTGCAACCCCTGCTTTTTTGTTTGTTTGTTTGTTTGTTTTGTTTTTGCTTTCCATTTGCTTGGTAAATATTCCTCCATCCCTTTACTTTGAGCCTATGTGTGTCTGTGCATGTGAGGTGGCTTTCCTGAATACAGCATACTGATGGGTCTTGACTCTTTATCCAATTTGCCAGTCTGTGTCTTTTAATTGGTTCATGTAGCCCGTTTACATTTAAGGTTAATATTGTTATGTGTGAATTTTATCCTGTCATTATGATGCTAGCTGGTTAATTTGCCCATTAGTTGATTCAGTTTCTTCATAGTTTTGATGGTCTTTACAATTTGGTATGTTTTTACAGTGGCTGGTACCATTTGTTTCTTTCCATGTTTCATGCTTCCTTCAGGAGCTCTTGTAAGGCAGGCCTAGTGGTGACAAAATCTCTCAGCATTTGCTTGTCTGTGAAGGATTTTATTTCTCCTTCACTTGTGAAGCTCACTTTGGCTGGATATGAAATTCTGAGTTGAAAATTCTTTTCTTTAAGAATGTTGAATATCCGCCCTCACTCTCTTCTGGCTTGTAGGGTTTCTGCCAAGAGATCTGCTGTTAGTCTGATGGGTTTCCCTTTGTGGGTAACCCGACCTTTCTCTCTTGCTGCCCATAACATTTTTTCCTTCATTTCAACCCTAGTGAATCTGACGATTATGTGTCTTGGGGTTGGTCTTCTTGAGGATTATCTTTGTGGTGTTCTCTGTATTTCCTGAATTTGAATGTTGGCCTGTCTTGCTAGGTGGGGAAGTTCTCCTGGATAATATCCTGAAGAGTGTTTTCCAACTTGTTTCCATTCTCCCTGTCACTTTCAGGTACACCAATCAAGTGTACGTTTGGTCTATTCACATAGTTCCATATTTCTTGGAGTCTTCATTCATTCCTTTTCATTCTTTTTTCTCTAATCTTGTCTTCATGCTTTATTTCATTAAGTTGATCTTCAATATGTGATATCCTTTCTTCCACTTGATCAATTCAGCTATTGATACTTGTGTATGCTTCACAAAGTTCTTGATTCGGCACTTCTAAATGCACTCCCACTTATGGCTCTTTTCTTGTGAAAACTTTTAGTTTCAACTGTTTACTTTCTCTCTTTCTCTTAATGCAGTGATTCCAAATGAGGGCAGAGTCCAGCTAATTCTCACTTTGGAATCAGCTTATACGTGAATTAATTAGTAGATGCTACTAACTGGCAATTACTTTATTTACATATTGAACAAACATGTAACATCTACAGAGTGTCTACTATGTGTGCATCATTGTGCTAGATGATAAGTAGTTCTGCCCAGGGGAAGTAGAGGTTTGATCTCAGGGAAAACTAAGTAAAAGTTGTGTGAAACATGGGACACAATATTCTAGGCAGAGGGAACAATGTCTTTCAAGGTTTGGAGATATGAAATTCCATGACCTTTAAGAAAAATTGTGGGCCAGGCGTGGTGGCTCATGCCTGTAATCCCAGCACCGTGGGAGGCCAAGGCGAGCGGATCACGAGGTCAGGAGATGGAGACTACAGTGAAACCCTGTCTCTACTAAAAATACAAAAAATTAGTCAGGCTTGGTGGCGGGCACCTGTATTCCCAGCTACTCAGGAGGCTGAGGCAGGAGAATGGCGTGAACTCGGGAGGCGGAGCTTGCAGTGAGCTGAGATCGTGCCACTGCACTCCAGCCTAGGTGACAGAGTCAGACTCCATCAAAAAAAAAACTAAAACCAAAATCAGTAGAAAAAAAGAAATTATAAAGACCAGAGTAAAAATAAATGAAATTGAAATGAAGAAAACAATACAAAGGATCTGTAAAACAAGAAATTGGGTTTTAAAATATTTTTAAGTTCAGTGGTACATGTGCAGGTTTGTCATATAGGTAAACTCATGTCACAGGGGTTTGTTGTATAGAATATTTTGTCACCCAGGTGTTAAGCCTAGTCCCCAGTAGTTATTTTTCTAATCCTCTCTCTCCTATCCCCACCCTCAGGGAGGCCCCAGTGTCTATTGTTCTCCTCTTTGTTTTCATGTGTCTTCGTTATATAGCTCCCACTTCTAAGAGACAACATGCAGAATATGCTTTTCTGTTCCTGTATTAGTTGGTGAAGGATAGTGATCTCCAGCTCCATCCATGTTTCTACAAAGGATATGATGTCGTTCTTTTCTACAACTGCATAGTATCCCATGGTGTATATATACCATATTTTCTTTATCCAGTCTAGCCATCGATGCCATTTAGGTTGATTTCATGTCTTTGCTATTATGAACAGTGATGCAATGAAGATACACATGCATGTGTTTTTATGATAGAATGATTTATATTCCTTTAAGTATATACCTAGTGATGGGGCTCCTTGGTCAAATGGTAGTTCTATTTTTAGGTTTTTGAGGAAACACCACACTGCTTTCCACAATCACTGAACTAATTTATGCTACCACTACCAGAGTATAAGCATTTCCTTTTCTCTGCAACCTCACCAGCATCTGTTATTTTTGACTTTTTTGTAGTAGCCATTCTGATTGATGTGAGATGGTATCTCATTGTGTTTTAGACTTGCATTTTTCTAATGATTAGTGATGTTGAGCTTTTTTTATCATATGATTGTTGGCTGCACGTATGTCTTCTTTTGAAACGTGTCTGTTCATGTCTTTGTCCACTTTCCAATGGGGTTGCTTTTTTCCTGTAAATTTGTTCAAGTTCCTTATAGATGCTGGATATTAGACCTTTGCTGGACAAAGAGTTTGCAAAAATTTTCTCCCATCCAGCAGGTTATCTGTTTACTCTGTTGATAACTTATTTTGCTGCACAGAAGCTCTTTAGTTTAATTAGAACCCATTTGTCAATTTTTCCTTTTGTTGCAATTGCTTTTATCTTCTTTATCATGAAATCTTTGCCCATTCCTATGTCAAGAATGATATTATCTAGTTGTCTTCCAGGATTTTCATAGTTTGGGTTTTACAATTAAGTCTTTAATCCATCTTGAGCTGATCTTTGTATATGGTGTATATGGGGTCTGGTTTCAATCTTCTGCATATGGCTAGCCAGTTATCCCAGCACCATTTAATGAATAGGGAGTCCTTTCTACATTGTTTGTTTTTGCCACCTTTGTTGAATATCAGATGGTTGTTGGTGTGTGGCCTTATTTCTGGGCTATGTATTTTGTCCCATTGGTCTATGTGCCTGCTTTTGTACCAGTACCATGCTGTTTTTTTTACTGATCCCTGTAGTATAGTTTGAAGTCAGGTAGTGTGATGCCTCCAGCTTTGGTCTTTTTGCTTAGGATTGCCTTGGCTATTTGGGGCTCTGTTTTTGTTTCGTATTAATTTTTTTTAATTTTTAATTTTTTTATTTTAATAGGCTTTTGGAGAAACAGGTGGTGTTTAGTTACATTAGTAAGTTCTTTAATGGTGATCTCTGAAATTATTGATGTACCCATTACCCGAGCAATGTACATTGTACCCAGTGTGTAGTCTTTTATCCTTCACCCCCAATCATTTCTCCCAAGTTTCCAAAGTCCAGTGCATCATTCTTATGCCTTTGCATCCTCATAGCTTATCTCCCACATATGAGTGAGAACATACAATGTTTGTTTTTTACTCCTGAGTTACTTCACTTAGAATAATAGTCTCCAATTCCATCCAGGTTGCTGTGAATGTCATTATGTTGTTCCTTTTTATGGCAGAGTAGTATTCCATGGTATATATATTGTCCACTCATTGATTGATGGGCATTTGGGCTTGTTTCATATTTTAGCAATTGCAAATTGTGCTGCTATAAACATGTGTGTACAAGTATCTTTTTCATACAATGACTTATTTTCCTCTGGGTAGATACATAGTAGTGGGATTGCTGAATCAAATGGTAGACCTACTTTTAGTTCTTTAAGGAATCTACACACTGTTTTTCATAGTTTACATTCTTGCCAACAGTGTAAAAGTGTTCCCCTTTCACCACATCCACACCAACATCTATTATTTTTTGATTATTTGATTATGGTCATTCTTGAAAAAGTGAGGTGGTATCACATTGCAGTTTTGATTTGCATTTCTCAGATACTTAGTGATGTTGAGCATTTTTCCATATGCCTGTTGGCCATTTGTATACCTTTTTTTGAGAATTGTCTATTCATGTCCTTTTTATGGGGTTGTTTTTTTCTTACTGATTTGTTTCAGTTCTTTGTATATTCTGGATATCCTTTGTTGGAGATGTAGATTGTGAAGATTTTCTCCCACTCTGTGGATTGTCTGTTAACTCTACTGATTAATTCTTTTGCTGTGCAGAAGCTTTTCAGTTTAATTAAGTCCCATCTATTTATCTTTGTTTTTGTTGCATTTGCTTTTGGGTTCTTGGTCATGAAGTTTTTTCCTCAGCCTATGTCTAGAAGGGTTTTTTTTTATGTTATCTTCTAGAATCTTTATGGTTTCAGGTCTTACATTTAAGTCTTTGGTTCATCTTGAGTTGATTTTTTGTATAAGGTGAGAGATGAGGATCCAGTTTTACTATTCTACGTGTGGCTTGCCAATTATCTCAGCACCATTTCTTGAACAAGGTGTTCTTTCCCCACTTTATGTTTTTGTCACTCTGTTGAGGATCAGTTGGCTGTAAGTATTTGGCTTTATTCCTGGGTCTCTATTATGTTCCATTGGTCTATGTGTCTATTTTTATACCAGTACCATGCTGTTTTGGTGACTATGGCTTTATAGTATAATTTGAAGTGGGTAATGTGATGCCTCCAGATTTTTTCTTTTTGCCTAGTCTTGCTTTGACTATGTGGACACTTTTTTGGTTCCATATTAATTTTAGAATTTTTTTTTCTAATTCTGTGAATAATGATGGTGGTATTTTGATGGGAATTGTGTTGAATTTGTAGATTGCTTTTGGCAGTATGGCCATTTTCACAATATTGATTCTACCCATCCATGAGTATGGGATGTGTTTCCATCTGTTTGTGTTGTCTAAGATTTCCTTCAGCAGTGTTTTGTAGTTGTCCTTGTAGAAGTTTTTCACCTCTTTAATTAGGTAGGTTCCTAACTTTTTTTGTTTTGTTTTTGTTTTTGTTTTTATTGTGTGTGTGTGTGTGTGTGTGTGTTTATTATACTTTAAGTTTTAGGGTACATGTGCACAATGTGCAGGTTTGTTACATATGTATACATGTGCCATGTTGATGTGCTGCACCCATTAACTCGTCATTTAGCATTAGGTATATCTCCTAATGCTATCCCTCCCCCCTCCCCCCACCCCACAACAGTCCCCAGAGTGTGATGTTCCCCTTCCTGTGTCCATGTGTTCTCATTGTTCAATTGTAAAAGGAGTAGAGTTCTTGATTTGATTCTCAGCTAGGTCATTGTCAGTGTATAGCACAGCTACTGATTTGTGTGTGTTAATTTTCTATCCTGAAACTTGCCGAATTCATTTACCAGTTCTATGAGCTTTTTGGATGAGTCTTTAGGTTATGCTATGTATACGATTATATCATCAGCAAATGGTGACAGTTTGACTTCCTCTTTACCAATTTGGATGCCCTTGATTTCTTTTTCTTGTCTGATTACTCTGGCTAGGAATTTCTGTACTATTTTGAATAGAAGTGGTGAAAGTGGGCATCCTTCTCTTGTTCCAGTTCTCAGGGGGAATGCTTTTAACCTTTCCCTATTTGGTATAATGTTAGCTGTGTGTTAGTCATAGATGGTTTTTATTACCTCAAGTTATGTCCCTTCTATGCTGATTTTGCTGAGGGTTTTAAATATAACAGGATGCTGAATTTTGTGAAATGCTTTTTCTGTGTCTATTGAAATGATCATGAAATTTTTGTTTTTAATTCTGTTTATGTGATGTATCACATTTATTGACTTATGTATTTTAAACCATCCCCACATCTCTGGTATGAAACCCACTTGATCATGGTTAATTATCTTTTTGATATGCTGTTGAATTCAATTACCTAGTATTTTGTTGAGGATTTTTGCATCTGTGTTCATCAGGGATATTGGCCTGTAGTTTTCTTTTTTTCTTATGTCCTTTCCTGGTTTTGGTATTAGGGTGATACTGGCTTCATAGAATGAATTTAGGGAGAATTCCCTCTTTCTCAATCCTGTGGAATAGTGTCAATAGGATTGGTACTTTCTTCTTTGAACATCTGACAGAATTCAGCTGTGAATCTGCCTGGTCCTGGACTTTTTTTTGTTGGCAATTTTTTATTACCATTTCAATCTCACTGCTTATTATTGGTCTGTTCAGAGATTCCATATCTTCCTGGTTTAATCTAAGAGGGTTGTATCTTTCCAGGAATTTATCCATCTCCTCTAGGTTTTCTAGTTTATGTGCATAAACTTGCTCATAGTAGCCTTGAATAATCCTTTGTATTTCTGTGGTATGAGTTGTAATATCTCCTGTTTATTTCTGATTGAGCTTACTTGGATATTCTCTCTTTTCTTGGTTAATCTTGCCAATGGTCTATCAATTTTATTTATCTTTTCAAAGAACCACCTTTTTGTTTCATTAATCTTTTGTATTTTTGTTGTTGTTATTGTTGTTTCAATTTCACTTAGTTTTGCTCTGATTTTCATTATTTCTTTTATTCTTCTGGGTTTGGGTTTGGTTTGTTATTGTTTCTTCAGTTCCATGGGGTGTGACCTTAGATTTTCTATTTGTGCTCTTTCAGGCTTTTTAATATAGGCATTTAATGCCATGAACTTTCCTTTTAGCACCACTTTAACATCCCCAAAATATCATACCAGCTCATCAGCAATGGATCCAAACAAAGACAAAATCTCTGAATTGCCAGAAAAGGAATTCAGAGGGTCAATTATTAAGCTAATCAATAAGTCACCAGAAAAAGGTGAAGTTCAACTTAAGGAAATAAAAAATATGATACAGGATATGAAAGGAAAATTGTTCGGTGAAATAGATAATATAAATAAAAAGAAATCACAACTTCTGAAAATCAAGGACACACTTAGAGAAATGCAAAATGCACTGGAAAGTCTCAGCAACAGAATCAAACAAGCAGAAGAAAGAACATCAGGGCCCAAAGACAAGGCTTTCAAATTAGCCCAACTTGTCAAGGACAAAGAAAAAAGAGTAAAAAAAAAAAATAAACAAAGCCCCTAAGAAGTTTGGGACTATGTTAAACATCCAAATCTAATAATAATTGGTATTCCCAAGAAAGAAGAGAAATCAAAACATTTGGAAAACATTTTTGAGGGAATAATTGAGGAAAACTTCCCTGGCCTTGCTAGAGATTAAGACATCCAAATACAAGAAGCTCAAAGAACACCAGGGAAATTCGTTGCAAAAAGATCATTGCCTAGGCACCCTGTCATCGGGTTATCTAAAGTCAAGATGAAGGAAAGAATCTAAAGAGCTGTGAGGCAAAGTATCAGGTAACCTATAAAGGAAAATGTATCAGATTAACAGAAGAGTTCTCAGCAGAATCCTTACAAGCTAGAAGAATTTGGGGTCCTATTTTTAGCCTCCTTAAACAAAACAATTATCAGCAAAGAATTTTGTATCCAGCAAAAAAAATAAAGTCTCTTCCAGATGAACAAATGTTAAGAGAATTTGCCACTACCAAGCCAGCACTACAAGAACTGCTAAAATGGAACTCTAAATGTTGAAACAAATTCTCAACATGCACCAAAATAGAAGCTTCTTAAAACATAAATCTCACAGAACCTATATGACAATAACATAATGAAAAATACCCAAAGTATTCGGGCAACAAATAGCATGAAAAATAGTATAGCAACTCACATCTCAATACTAACATTGAATGTAAATGGCCTAAATGCGCCACTTAAAAGATACAGAATGGCTGTAATCCCAGCACTTTAGGAGGTGGAGGCAGGCAGATCATGAGGTCAGGAGATCAAGACCATCCTGGCTAACATGGTGAAACCCTGTCTCTACTAAAAATACAAAAACTTAGCCAGGTGTGGTGGTGGACGCCTGCAGTCCCAGCTACTCGGGAGGAGAATGGTGTGAACCCAGAAGGCAGAGCTTGCAGTGAGCTGAGATCACACCACTGCACTCCAGCCTGGGCAAAAGTGCAAGACTCCATCTCAAAAAAAAAAAAAAAAAAGATACAGAATGGCAAAAAGGAGAAGAATTCACCAATCAAGTTTCTTTGGCCTTCAGGAGACTCACCTAACACATAAGGACTCACATAAACTTAAGGTTAAAGGATGGAAAAAGATATTCCATGCAAATGGACACCAAAAGCAAGCAGGAGTAGCTATTCTTATATCAGACAAAAAAAAAACTTTAAAGCAACAGCAGTTTAGAAATACAAAGAGGGATATTACACAATGATAAAAGGAGTAGTCCAACAGGAAAATATCACAATTCTAAATACATATGCACCTCACACTGGAGCTTCCAAATTTATAAAACAATTGCTACTAGACCTAAGAATTGAGATAGATGGCAACAAAATACTGATGGGGGTTATGTATGAGTTTTTAAATATTTTTTCTACTTGTGTGAAGAATGTCATTGGTAATTTCATAGGAATAGCATTGAACCTATAAATTGCTTTGGGAAGTATGGCCATTGTAAGCAGATTGAGTCTTTCTATCCATGAGCATGGAATGTTTTTCTATTTGTTTTTGTCATCTCTGATTTCTTTGAACAATGTATTGTAGCTCTCATTGCAGAGATATTTCAGCTTCCTGGTTAGCTATATTTCTATGTATTTTACCCTTTTTGTGGCAATTGTGGACGGAATTGCATTCCTGATTTGGCTGTCAGCTTGACTGTTGGTGTATAGGAATGCTAGCAATTTTGGTACATTGATTTTGTATTCTGAGATTTCATTGAAGATGTTTATCAGCTTAAGGAGCATTTGAGCTAAGACCATGGGATTTTTCAGCTATATAATCATGTTATCTGTAGGCAGCAATAGTCTGACTTCCTCTCTTCCTATTTGAATGCCCTTTATTTCTTTCTTTTGCCCGATTACTCTGGCCAGGACTTCTAATACTATGCTGAATAGGAGTGGTAGAGAGCACATACTTTTCTTGTGTTGGTTTTCAAAGGGAATGCTTCCAGCTTTTTCCCATTCAGTGTGATGTGGGTTGTGGATTTTTCATAGACGGCTCTTATTATTTTGAGGTATGTTCCTTCAATACCTAGATTATTGAGAATTTTAAATTTAAAATGAAAGGCTGTTGAATTTTATTGAAGGAATTTTCTACATTTATTGAGATAATCATGTGGTTTTGTCTTTAGCTCTTTTTATGTAATAAGTCACATTTATTGATTTGCATATGTTGAAACAACTTTGCATTCCAGAGATGAAGCCTACTTGTTTGTGGTGGATAAGCTTTTTTATTTGCTGCTGGGTTTGGTTTGCCAGTGTTTTGTTGGGGATTTTTGCATAAATGTGCATCAAGGATACCAGCCTGAAGTTTCTTTTTCTGTTGTGCCTCTGCCAGGTTTTGGAATCAGGATGATGCTGGTCTCATATAATGAGTTAGGGAGGAGGCCTTCCTAGTCAATTTTTTTTGGAATAATTTCAGTAGGAATGGGACTAGCTCTTCTTTGTACATCTGATAGCATTAGACCGTGAATCCGATCCTGGGCTTTTTTGTTTTGTTTTGTTTTGTTTGGTAGGCTATTTTTACACATTCAATTTTGGAGATTATTATTAGTCTGTTCAGGGATTGAAATTATCTCTGGTTCAGTATATGTGTACAGGAATTTATCCATTTTTTTTTAGGTTTCCTAGTTTGTGTGCAAAGCAGTGTTTTAATATTCTCTGATGGTGGCTCACACCTGTAATCCCAGCACTTTGGGAGGTTGAGGCGGGTGGATCATGAGGTCGGGAGATCCAGACCATCCTGGCTAACACAGTGAAACCCTGTCTCTACTAAAAATACAAAAAAATTAGCCTGGCATGGTGGCAGGTGCCTGTAGTCCCAGCTACTCAGGAGAATGAGGCAGGAGAATGGCGTGAACCCAGGAGATGGAGCTTGCAGTGAGCCAAGATTGCACCACTGCACTCCAGCCTGGGCAACAGAGCAAGACTCTGTCTCAAAAAATGTATATGTATATTCTCTGATGGTTATTTATATTTATATAGGGTTGGTAGTAACATCTCCTTTGTCACTGCTAATTTGGATTGTTTGAATCTTCTCTCTTTTCTTTATTTTTCTAGCTAGTGGTCTATATTTTATTAATTTTTTTTCAAAAAATACAACTTCAGTTATTAATTTTTTGAATGGTTTTTCTTTTGAATGCTTGAGCTCAAATCTCCTTCAGTTCAGCTCTGATTTTGATTTTGGTTATTTCTGGTCTTCTACTAGCTTTGGGGTTGGTTTTCTCTTCATGCTCTAGTTCTTTTAGTTGAGATAATTGCTTTTGGTTCCCTAGTTTTTTTAGTTGTGATGTTAGGTTTTTAAATGGAGATCTTTCATACTTTTTGATGTAGGCATTTTGTATTATAAATTTCCCTCTTAACACTACCTTAGCTGTGACCCAGAAATTATGGTATGTTTTATCTTTGTTCTCATTAGTTTCAAAGAACTTCTTCATTTCTACCTTAATTTCATTATTTACCCAAAAGTCATTCAGGAGTAGGTTATTTAATTTTCATGAGATTGCAGAGTTTTGAGTCATATTCTTGGTCTGGATTTCTCAATTTATTGTGCTGTGGTCCAAGACAGTGGTTGGTATTATTTTGGTTCTTTTGTATTTGCTGAAGATTGTTTTATGTCCAATTATGTGGTCAATTTTGAAGTATGTGCCATATTGTGATGAGAAAAAATGTCTATTCTATTGTTTTGGGGTGAAGAGCTCTGTAGATATCAGGTCCATTTGATCCAGTGCTGAGTTGAGGTCCTGAGTATCTTTGTTAATGTTTTGTCTTGATGATCTGTCTGATACTGTCAGTGTGGTGTTGAAGTCTCCCACTATTATTGTGTGAGAATCTAAGTCTCTTTGAAGTCTCTAAGAACTTTATAAATCTTGGCACTCCTGTGTTGGGCTCATTTATTTAGAATAGGTAGGTCTTGTTTAGTTGGACCATTTAACATTATGTAATGCCCTTCTTTGTCTTTTTAAGTATTTGTTAGTTTAAAGTCTGTTTTTTTCTTGTTCTTGTTCTTTTTCTTTCTTCTTTTATTATTATACTTTAAGTTCTAGGGTGTATGTGCACAACGTGCAAGTTACTTACATATGTATACATGTGCCACACTGGTGTGCTGCACCTGTTACCTCGTCATTTACATTAGGTATATCTCCTAATGCTATCCCTCTCCCCTTCCCCAACCCCATGACAGGCCCCCCTGTGTGATGTTCCCTTCCTGTGTCCAAGTGTTCGCATTGTTCAATTCCCACCTATGGGTGAGAACATGTGGTGTTTGGTTTTCTGTCCTTGTGATAGTTTGCTGAGAATGATGGTTTCCAGCTTCATCCATGTCCCTACGAAGGACATGAACTCATCATTTTTTATGGCTGCATAGTATTCCATGGTGTATATGTGCCACATTTTCTTAATCCACTCTATCATTGATGGGCATTTGGGTTGGGTCCAAGTCTTTGCTATTGTGTATAGTGCTGCAATAAACATATGTGTACATCTGTCTTTATAGCAGCATGATTTATAATCCTTTGGGTATATACCCAGTAATGAGATGGCTGGGTCAAATGGTATTTCTAGTTCTAAATCCTTGAGGAATTGCCACACTGTCTTCCACAATGGTTGAACTAGTTTACAGTCCCACCAACGTGTAAAAGTATTCCTATTTCTCCATATCCTCTCCAGCACCTGTTGTTTCCTGACTTTTTAATGATCACCATTCTAACTGGTGTGAGATGGTATCTTATTGTGGTTTTGATTTGCATTTCTCTGTTGGCCAGTGATGGTGAGCATTTTTTCATGGGTCTGTTGGCTGCATAAATGTCTTCTTTTGAGAAGTGTCTGTTCATAATCTTTGCCCACTTTTTGATGGGGCCGTTTGATTTTTTTCTTTGAAATTTGTTTAAGGTCTTTGTAGATTCTGGATATTAGCCCTTTGTCAGATGAGTAGATTGCAAAAATTTTCTCCCATTCTGTAGGCTGCCTGTTCACTCTGATGGTAGTTTCTTTTGCTGTGCAGAAGCTCTTTAATTTAATTAGATCCCATTTGTCAATTTTGGCTTTTTTTGCCATTGCTTTTGGTGTTTTAGACATGAAGTCCTTGCCCATGCCTATGTCCTGAATGGTAAGGCCTAGGTTTTCTTCTAGGGTTTTTATGGTTTTAGGCCTAACATTTAAGTCTTTAATCCATTTTGAATTAATTTTTGTATAAGATGTAAGGAAGGGATCCAGTTTCAGCTTTCTACATATGGCTAGACAGTTTTCCCAGCACCACTTATTAAATAGAGAATACTTTCCCATTTCTTATTTTGGTCAGGTTGGTCAAAGATCAGATGGTTGTAGATGTGTGGTATTATTTCTGAGGGCTCTGTTGTGTTCCATTGAACTATATCTCTCTTTTGGTACCAGTACCATGCTGTTTTGGTTACTGTAGACTTGTAGTATAGTTTGAAGTCAGGTAGTATGATGCCTCCAGCTTTGTTCTTTTGGCTTAGGATTATCTTGGCAATGCAGGCTCTTTTTTGGTTCCATATGAACTTCAAAGTAGTTTTTTTCCAATTCTGTGAAGAAAGTCATTGGTAGCTTGATGGGGATGGCATTGAATCTATAAATTACCTTCGGCAGTATGGCCATTTTCACGATATTGAGTCTTCCTATCCATGAGCATGGAATGTTCTTCCATTTGTTTGTGTCCTCTTTTATTTTGTTGAGCAGTGGTTTGTAGTTCTCCTTGAAGAGGTCCTTCACATCACTTGTAAGTTGGATTCCTAGGTATTTTATTCTCTTTGAAGCAATTGTGAATGGGAGTTCACTCATGATTTGGCTCTCCATTTGTTTGTTATTGGTGTATAGGAACGCTTGTGATTTTTGCACATTCATTTTGTATCCTGAGACTTTGCTGAAGTTGCTTATCAGCTTAAGGAGATTTTGGGCTGAGACGATGGGGTTTTCTAAATACACAATCATGTCATCTGCAAACAGGGACAATTTGACTTCCTCTTTTCCTAATTGAATATCCTTTCTTCTTTCTCCTGCCTGATTGCGCAGGACAGAACTTCCAACACTACGTTGAATAGGACTGGTGAGAGAGGGCATCCCTGTCTTGTTCCAGTTTTCAAAGCCAATGCTTCCAGTTTTTGCCCATTCAGTATGATATTGGCTGTGGGTTTTTCATAAATAGCTCTTATTATTTTGAGATATGTCCCATCAATACCTAATTTATTGAGAGTTTTTATCATGAAGGGTTGTTGAATTTTGTCAAAGGTCTTTTCTGCATCTATTGAGGAAATCATGTGGTTTTTGTCTTTGGTTCTGTTTATATGCTGGATTACATTTATTGATTTGCATATGTTGAACCAACCTTGCATCCCAGGGATGAAGCCCACTTGATCATGGTGGATAAGCTTTTTGATGTGCTGCTGGATTCAGTTTGCCAGTATTGTATTGAAGATTTTTGCATTGATGTTCATCAGCGATATTGGTCTAAAATTCTCTTTTTCGTTGTTTTGTCTCTGCCAGGCTTTGGTATCAGGATGATGGGGGCCTCATAAAATGAGTTAAGGAGGATTCCCTCTTTTTCTATTGATTGGAATAGTTTCAGAAGGAATGGTACCAGCTCCTCATTGTACCTCTGGTAGAATTCAGCTGTGAATCCGTCTGGTTCTGGACTTTTTTTGGTTGGTAGGCTATGAATTGTTGCCTCAATTTCAGAGCCTGTTATTGGTCTATTCAGGGATTCAACTTCTTCCTGGTTTAGTGTTGGAAGGGTGTATGTGTCCAGGAATTTATCCATTTCTTCTAGATTTTCTAGTTTATTCATGTAGAGGTGTTTATACTACTGTCTGATGGTAGTTTGTATTTCTGTGTGATTGGTGGTGATAACCCCTTTACCATTTTTTGTTGCGTCTATTTTATTCTTCTCTCTTTTCTTCTTTATTAGTTTTGCTAGCAGTCTATCAATTTTTTTGATCTTTTCAAAAATCCAGCTCCTGGATTCATTGATTTTTTGAAGGGTTTTTTTGTGTCTCTATGTCCTTCAGTTCTGCTCTGATCTTAGTTATTTCTTGCCTTCTGCTAGCTTTTGAATTCATTTGCTCTTGCTTCTCTAGTTCTTTTAATTGTGATATTAGGGTGTCAATTTTAGATCTTTCCTGCTTTCTCTTGTGGGCATTTAGTGCTATAAATTTCCCTCTACACACTGCTTTAAATGTGTCCCAGAGATTCTGGTATGTTGTGTCTTTGTTCTCATTGGTTTCATAGAACATCTTTATTTCTGCCTTCATTTCATTATGTACCCAGTAGTCATTCAGGAACAGGTTGTTCAGTTTCCATGTAGTTGAGTGGTTTTGAGTGAGTTTCTTAATCCTGAGTTCTAATTTGATTGCACTGTGATTCTGAAAGACAGTTTGTTATAATTTCTGTTCTTTTACATTTGCTGAGGAGTGCTTTACTTCCAACTATGTGGTCAATTTTGGAATAAGTGCAATGTGGTGCTGTGAAGAATGTATATTCTGTTGATATAGGTTGGAGAGTTTTGTAGATGTCTATTAGGTCTGCATGGTGTAGAGCTGAGTTCAATTCCTGGATATCCTTTTTAACTTTCTGTCTTGTTGATCTGTCTAATGTTGACAGTGGGGTGTTAAAGTCTCCCATTATTATTGTGTGGGAGTCTAAGTCTCTTTGTAGGTCTCTAAGGACTTGCTTTATGAATCTGGGTGCTCCTGTGTTGGGTGCATATATATTTAGGATAGTTAGCTCTTCTTGTTGAATTGATCCCTTTACCATTATGTAATGGCCTTCTTTGTCTCTTTTGATCTTTGTTGGTTTAAAGCCTGTTTTATCAGAGACTAGGATTGCAACCCCTGCTTTTTTTGTTTTCCATTTGCTTGGTAGATCTTCATCTGTCCCTTTATTTTGAGCCTATGTGTGTCTCTGCATGTGAGATGGGTCTCCTGAATACAGCATACTGATGGGTCTTGACTGCTTATCCTATTTGCCAGTCTGTGTCTTTTAATTGGAGCATTTAGCCATTTACATTTTAGATTAATGTTGTTATTTGTGAATTTGATCCTGTCGTTATGATGTTAGCTGTTTATTTTGCTCGTTAGTTGATGCAGTTTCTTCCTAGCATTGATGGTCTTTACAATTTGGCATACTTTTGCAGTGGCTGGTACCGGTTTCTCCTTTCCATGTTTCAGGCTTCCTTCAGGAGCTCTTTTAAGGCAGGCCTGGTGGTGACAAAATCTATCAGCATTCACCTGTCTGTGAAGGATTTTATTTCTCCTTCATTTATGAAGTTTAGTTTGGCTGGATATGAAATTCTGTGTTGAAAATTCTTTTCTTTAAGAATGTTGAATATTGGCCCCCACTGCCTTCTGGCTTGTAGAGTTTCTGCCAAGAGATCCGCTGTTAGTCTGATGGGCTTCCCTTTGTGGGTAACCCGACCTTTCTCTCTTGCTGCCCTTAATATTTTTTCCTTCATTTCAACTTTGGTGAATCTGACAATTATGTGTCTTGCAGTTGCTCTTCTCAAGGAGTATCTCTGTGGCATTCTCTGTATTTCCTGAATTTGAATGTTGGCCTGCCTTGCTAGATTAGGGAAGTTCTCTTGGATAATATCCTGAAGAGTATTTTCCTACTTGGTTCCATTCTTCCCTTCACTGTCAGGTGCACCAATCAGATGTAGATTTGGTCTTTTCACATGGTCCCATGTTTCTTGGAGGCTTTGTTCATTTCTTTTTACTCTTTTTTCTCTAAACTTTTCTTCTCACTTCATTTCATTCATTTGATCTTCAATCACTGATACCCTTTCTTCCAGTTGATCAAATCAGCTACTGAAGCTTGTGCATGTGTCATGTAGTTCTCATGCCATGGTTTTCAGCTCCATCAGGTCATTTAAGGACTTCTCTACACTTGTTATTCTAGTTAGCCATTCATCTCATCTTTTTTCAAGGTTTTTAGCTTCTTTGTGATGGGTTTGAACATCCTCCTTTAGCTCAGAGAAGTTTGATCATCTGAAGCCTTCTTCTGTCAACTCGTCAAAGTCATTCTCCATCCAGCTTTATTCCATTGCTGGCAAGGAGCTGCATTCCTTCAGAGGAGAAGAGGCACTCTGATTTTTAGAATTTTCAGCTTTTCTGCTCTGGTTTCTCCCCATCTTTGTGGTTTTATCTACCTTTGGTTTTTTGATGATGGTGATGTACAGATGGGGTTTTGGTGTGGTTGTCCTTTCTGTTTGTTAGTTTTCCTTCTAACGGTCAGGAACCTCAGCTGTAGGTCTGTTGGAGTTTGCTGGAGGTCCACTCCAGACCCTGTTTCCCTGGGTATCACCAGCGGAGGCTGCAGAACAGCGACTATTGCAGAACAGCAAATGTTGCTGCCTGATTGTTCCTCTGGAAGCTTCATCTCAGGGGGGCACCCAGCAGTGTGAGGTGTCAGTCGGCCCCTACAGGGGCTGCCTCCCAGTTAGGCTACTCAGGGTTCAGGGACCCACTTGAGGAGGCAGTCTGTCCGTTCTCAGATCTCAAACTCAATGCTGGGAGAACTACTACTCTCTTCAAAGCTGTCAGACAGGGACATTTAAGTCTGCAGAGTTTTCTGCTGCCTTTTGTTCAGCTATGCCCTGCCCCCAGAGGTGGAGTCCTACGGAGGCAGGCAGGCCTCCTTGAGCTGCAGTGGGCTCCACCCAGTTTGAGTTTCCTGGCTGCTTTGTTTACCTCCTCAAGCCTCAGCAATGGCAGGCACTCCTCCCCCAGCCTCACTGCCACCTTGCAGTTTGATCTTAGACTGCTGTGCTAGCAATGAGTGAGGCTCCGTGGATGTGGGACCCTCCGAGTGAGGTACGGGATATAATCTCCTGCTGTGCCATTTGCTAAGACCATTGGAAAAGCCCAGTATTAGGGCGGGAGTGACCCAGTTTTCCAGGTGCCATCTGTCACTGCTTTCCTTGCCTAGGAAAGGGAATTCCCTGACCCCTTGTGCTCCCTGGGTGAGGCGATGCCTCGCTGTGCTTCGGCTGTCACTCGGTGGGCTGCACCCACTGTCCTGCACCCACTGTCTGACAAGCCCCAGTGAGATGAGCCTTGTACCTCAGTTGGAAATGCAGAAATCACCCATCTTCTCCATCACTCATACTGGGAGCTGTAGACTGGAGCTGTTCCTATTCGGCCATCTTGGAACCTCCCTCTAAAGTCTGTTTTGACTGAAATTAGGATTGCAAGCCTTGTTTTTTCTGTCTAAGTCTTTTTGGTGGTCTCTAAAAACTTGTTTAATAAATCTGGGTTCTCCTGTTTTGAGTGCCTATATATTTAGCATTGTTAGTTCTTTTTGTTGAGCTGAGCCCTTTGTGTAATGCCCTTCATTGTCTTTTTGTACCTTTGTTGGTTTAAAGTATGTTTTATCTGAAATTAGGATTACAACCTCTGCTTTTTTCTGTTTTCCATTTGCTTGGTGGATTTTTCTTCCTCTCATTGTTTTGAGCCATTGGTGTCATTGCATGTGAGATGGGTCTCTTGATGACAGCATACCAATGGGTCTTGGTTCTTTATCCACCTTGCCACTCTGTGCCTTTTAATTGGGGCATTTAGCCTGTTTACGTTTGAAATTAGTATTGATATAAGTCTATTTAATCCTGCCATCATGACATTAGCTAGCTGTTACACAAACTTGTTTCTGTGGTTGCTTTATAGTGTCACTAGTCTATGTACTTTAGGGTGTTTTTGAGTTGGCTGATAATGGTCCTCCCTTTCCATATTTAATGCTTCCTTCAAAAACTTTTGGTAAGGTAGGTCTGGTGGTAATGAATTCCCTCAGCATTTGCTGGTCTGACAAGGATCTTATTTCTCCTTTGCTTATGAAGCTTAGTTTGGCTGGATATGAAATTCTTATTTGAAATTTCTTTTCTTTAAGAATGTTGAATATAGGCCACCAATCTCTTCTGGCTTGTCGGGTTTCTGCTGAAAGGTCCACTGTTACTCTGATAGGCTTCCCTTCACAGTTGGCCTGGCCTTTTACTTTGGATGCCTTTAATATATTTTCTTTTACTTCAACCTTGGAGAATCTGATGGTTATGTATCTTCGGGATAATCCTCTTGTGTAGAATCTTTCAGGGGTTCTCTGTATTTCCTAAATTTGACTGTTGGCCTCTCTAGTGAGGTTGGAGATATTTTCATGGACAATATACTGAAATATGTTTACCAAGTTGTTTCTTTTCTCCCCTTCTCTTTCAGTGATGCCAATGATTGGTAGATTTGGCCTCTTTACATAATTTCATATTTCTCAGATTTTCTTCATTCATTTTTATTCTTTTTACTTTATTTTTGTCTGACTGTCTTATTTGAGAGAGCTAGTCTTCAAGTTCTGAAATTCTTTCCTCAGCTTGGTCTATTCTGCTGTTAATACTTGAAATTGCATTGTGAAATTATCTTAGGGTGTTTTTCAGCTCTGTCAGATCCATTAGGTTCTTTTTTTTTCTCTCTCTATTTTGTCCTTCAGCTCTTGTATCATTTTATTGTGATTCTTAGTTTCCTTGGATTGGGTTTTGCCATTCTCCTGAATCTTGATGATTTTCATTTCTATCCATATTCTGAATTCTGTGTCATTTCAGCCAACTCAGTTGGGTAAGAAAACTTGTTGGAGAACTAGTTTGATCGTTTGGAAGACATAAGTCTCTCTGGCCATTTGAGTTGCTGGAGTTATTGCATTGGTTCTTTCTCATTTCTCTGTGTGGGTGCTCCTTTAACTGCAGTGTAGATTGAGTA